>NC_000001.11:148184587-148809587 GCF_000001405.40 Homo sapiens | reverse complement strand
CTGGAATCACTAGGCCTGGTAGTTTGATTTATGAGTACTACCTTCCATGAGATAAAAAGCTAAAAATGCTGTGATGCGGACATGTTTATTTCTAAAAAGCCTGCAGCACAATCTATCTCTTCTCCCAAAAATCGTATGTATGACAGATTTTTATGTTACTGCTGCTACACGAAGAAAATTGAGCCTAATATGTTCGGTCTTCCAGGCCAAAGCAAAGGATTGATTTTAGAAGGAACTTGTCCTGCATGGCCTCCATCCAGCCATCAGGCAGGGCTCCAGCTCTGCAGGGGAAAAAGAGATAGCCCAGGAAGAGGGAATCACCACCCACCCCACCCTGCGATCTGTATCTAAGAGAAATAACCCTGAAAAGAAGAGCTATAAGAGATGGCAGTGTGTGCTTTCGTCCGGGTGCACTTCCCGATCCTTCAACTTTCATGCCCATCTCTGATGTTTCCATCCTGGTATAGCCTTCTGAGTCATGTGTTCATCTCTCCTTTGGCTCAACCCAACAGACACAGCCTGCAATCTCACCTCCGTCAACACAGCAAATGTCTGTGTCTCAAAGACCTCGAGATAGAGCTTCCTATGCTTTAACCCTTCCAGGGGCACACCTTTATTTCTGGGCAACTCAACACTGTCCCTCCTCCTGCCTCCACCACGGGCCCCATTACCTCCCTACCCTTCTCCAAGCAGTAGTCACTCAGCGCCAACCCCTCTCAGGCGTCGGGATCTTCAGTCCGGGGCCCCAGCCCTCCGCGCGGTTCTCCTGCCCAGCGCACCGTGCGTTGCCACCCCCATCGCGTTCCTCAGCCTCCCGGGCTCCAGAGGCAGGAGCTGGCCATGCTCTCACCTCATCCAGGGTGTGGCCGCCGCAGCTGCTTCTTCCTCCTCGGCCGCTGCTGCCCAGCTCCCGGCTGGCTCCGGGCGCCGTCTTTCCCGGCTCGGGGTCTGCCGTGGGGACTGAGGGGTTCGCGTCGCGTCCCCGGACCGGTAAGGCGTGTAGTGAGCCCGGCGGGACGCGCGACAGCAGCAGCCAAAGTCGCATCGGCGGCGGCAGCAGGACCCGCTGTCTGTGCCCTTCATGGATTTCCTGGGCCTGGCCACCCCAGTCCTAGCTACGGTTCCTGCTTGTTTTCCTGGTGTTTTCCGGGACTGCCAGGGCGCATCCTCTGGGCCTGGCTGAGCATCCCCGTCAGTTCCCTGGGCCTCCTCCGCGGCTGCCTCTGCCACCTGCTCCGCCCAGATTGCTTTGGTCCTTCTCCCGCAGACACACTCAGCTGCCCTTCATCCTCTGTCGTCTCCCCATTCTCTCTCCACCCACTGCCTCATTCCCAGATCCCACGCCGTTTCTTCCTTTCTATCCGCTCCAATGTCACCTTCTCTTTATTTCCAACCTCAGATAAGTTTCTCCTTTTCTTTCTGTCTCTCTCAATATTTTCCCCGGTTTCATCCTCCTCCCCGTGCCCCCGTATCAGTCATCCTTTTATAATTTATCCAGTTTTTCGTCTCCTATTAGTTCCTCAGAATCACTACTGCAGGTTGTTGGCTAGCCTCTTTTCTTCCTCTCCCTGTTTCTTTCTCTTTCCTAAAATCTTTTCCTTTCAATTTTCCCTTGAGTTTTTCAATTGTAAAAACTTTCTCCCAAACAACCTACATTTTCCTTTCAGTTGAGACTGATTGCAGTTTTCCATGAACTCATAATAAAGCATATATAGCTTGGTATCCACCATAAACCAAGAAAGTGTTTTAACCTTTTTTTAAAGTTGGTCAGTTAAATAAATTATCCCATAAATATTCATTCTGAAAATCCAGTTCTTATATCCTACATATGTCCTTGAAAACAGAGACTAGTTTGCTTTTGTATCCAGCAAAGCAAAATGTTTCTGCAACACTATTGCATATAGCATAAGTTCAGCAGGGGAGGGGGAGCAAGGTTTGTCTTTGTAGTTGGGCACTGTGGATCTCAAGGTTCATAGGCAACAGCTATTATTGTTGACTGACTGAATGCAGACAAAGCTGAATTCATCTCAGCTCATCCTTCCAAATCTGTTGCTCAGTTCTGTGTTTTAACCCCAGCCCTATCTACCCAGCTGCTCAATCCCCAAACCTAGAATTTGTCAGGGACCTATTTCTCTTTTACCCATCTCATCCAGTCATTAATTCTACTTTTTTACTCTCTCCCTCTCTCTCTCTCTCTATAGATAGATAGATAGATAGATAGATAGATAGATAGATAGATAGATTTTTTTTTTTGAGACGGATTCTCACTCTATCACCCAGCAGGCTGGAGTGCAGTGGCACGATCTTGGCCTACTGCAAGCTCTGCCTCCTGGGTTCAAGCGATTCTCCTGCCTCAATCTCCTGAGCAGCTCGGATTACAGGCACCTGCCACCACGCCTGGCTAATTTTTGTATTTTTAGTAGAGATGGGGTTTCGCCATGTTGGCCAGGCTGGTCTCGAACTGCTGACCTCAAGTGATCCTCCCGTCTCAGCCTCCCAAATTGCTAGGATTACAGGCGTGAGCCACTCACCTGGCCCATTCTTTCTTTTAAGCCTCCTAACTTAAGCTTCATCTTTACCTCTCCTTATCTTTGTCCAATCTGTCTTATCTGGGCTCTTTGTCTAACAACCTCTACCAGAAAATTCTTAATTATCTCTTATTGTTTTGTATCTTCTTCCTCTCCTTTTCCATTAGCTTCATCCCCAGCCCACAAACATGCTTAACTCTCCTCACTCTTAAAACAAAGTCCTTCCCTCTCTACCTATCACCATATCTCTCACTTCCCTTCACATCCAATTTGTTTAATATATTGTGTTCATTTGATGTCCACACTTTCTGACTTCCCAATCATTCTTTACCTCCTAATTTTCTGCAATCAGGCTTCTAATCCTATTGCTTAACTAGAGGTATTCTCCCAGAGGTCCTGGCGAATTTCATGTCAGGCATAGGTAGGCAATGCCAGATCAGTTGCCCCTAGTTTTTCTCCCCGCAACAAACGAATTCAGATCTAAGAAAAAAAAAAAAAAAAAACCTGTGGTATCAAGGCCACCACATTGCAGAGCACTCAACCGCCATTTAACCTACATAAATAGCACCTTACCCACTGAAGCCTGCACAACTAAAAACAATGGCCTTGAGTGGTAGGGCTAAACTCTTGGGTTCATGCGGTTTATCCAAATGCAGGCTGAAGAGGAATCCCCATTATATGACTCTAGATTGATAAATTACCTAGTTTTGATTATGGCCTTAGATTTTAGAGATTCAGACTTTGGTTTTGCCCATAGACACGTGGTAGATTTTATCTAACACACAAATTAAAAGGAATAGGGCTCCATAACTTAAAGAGAATAAGCCATCTTTTGTAGTTGTGGCAGATAAACAGTTCAGTGAAGTTACTGCAAACCCACAGCATTCATTACTGCTATGAAGTACTGAGACCTCCAACTCCAGCCAAGATGTAGTAGTATATATCAAACTAAACCTCCCACTTCAGGGGGAAAGTGGGATAAAATATGCATAAATATTTACATATTTGTATATATTTATATGTGTGTGTGTATATATATATATAGTCATGCAATGCATAACCAAGTTTTGATCAAAGACAGACTGCATATGCAACTGGTGGTCATATGCAGTTGCATATGACTTGCTATACATTTTCCAAGTTTAGATGTACAAATACCTACCATTAGGTTAAAATTGCCCACAATATTTAGTACAGTACCATGCTGTACAGGTTTCCAGCCAAGGAGCAATAGGCTGGGTGTGTAGTAGGCTATACCATCTAGGTTTGTGTAAATATATTCTGAATGTTCATACAACAGTAAAATTGTCTGATGATGCATTACTCAGAATGTATCCCTGTCATTAAGTAATACATGACTTTATACATATACGGATGGTCCCCAACTTACAATAGTTTGACTTAAATTTTTTTGCCTTTATGATGGTGTGAAAGTGATAAACATTCAGTAGAAACTGTACTTTGAATACCCATACAACCACTCTATTTTTCATTTTCACTACAGTATTCAACAAATTACATAATCAACACTTTATTGTAAAATAGGCTTTGCATTAGATAATTTTGCCCAACTGTAGGCTAACATAAGTGTTCTGAGCACATTTAAGGTAAGGTAAGTTAAGCTATGATGTTTGGTAGGTTAGGTGTATTAAGTGCATTTTTGACTTACAATATTTTCAACTTAGGTTTATTGGGATATAACCCCATCATAAGCCTAGGAGTATCTATATATCTATATCTATAATTCTTTGGAGGCATTGAAGAGTAACTAAACCAGGCGGAACTTAAAGCTATGATCCTGGAGAGAAGGCACATGAGGTGAACTCAGTGTTTACCCTGGAATATTTCTCTTGAGGGAATGCTCAAAACTAAGTGCAAGACAATAAAAGCCAAAAAAAAAAAAATACAGCAGTTTTTCTGGGCTGAAGAATAAGAGGCTGTATTAGTCTATTCTCACACTGCCAGAAAGAACTACCTGAGATTGGATAATTTATGAAGAAAAGAGATTTAATTGACTCACAGTTCTTCAGGTTTAACAGGAAGAATGACTGGGAGGCCTCAGGAAACTTACAAGCATGGTGGAAGGTGAAGGGGAAGCAAGCACGTTTTACCATGGTGGAGCAGGAAAAAGAGAGTGAGGCGGGAAGTGCCACACACTTTGAAACCATCAGGTCTCATGAGAACTCACTCTCACTATCATGAGAACAGCCTGGGGGAAATCTGCCCCCATGATCCAATCACCTAATACCAGGTCTCTCCCCCAGCAGTGGGAATTACAATACAGCATGAGATTTGGGTGGGAACACAGAGCCAAATCATATCAAAGGCCAAAGTTGAGGGCTACCAAAGTGCCTCTGATTGAGGGCAAACTCCAAGAGGGGAGAATTGCAGAGGAGCTCAACAATCTATGCAAATTGCCATCATGATAGTGATCTAAGTTCCTACACTCAGCATGCACAAAGAAAGATGCCAAAAAAAAAAAAAAAATCAGAAAACAGCAGTTTAGGGTCTAATGAGGTAAGTGAAGATTTCAGCATCCAACAGAAGTTGGACTTCAAGCCTTGATAAGGTACCTAGATACCCAGGGTTTTCAGTTGAGATCTCAGCACATCCTTGGAGTAAGAGCAATATAATACTGAAATAAAATAGATCTAACAAAGCTTGAAACCAAGCCTTTTCAGGATCAAAGTTATCTGCCACTATTCTTTCTACTTTCCAGGAGTAGAAAGTAGAAACTCTATGGAGGTAGGTAACATTATCCAGAGTCTACAATTTTGTCTTATACAATATCTGGGATCCAATACAAAATAATTATGAGCCATGCAAAAGATCAAATCCAAATGACTAAACACTAAGAGAAAAACGTTAATAGAAACAGAACTAGATATTAGAATTGGCCAGGACTTTAAATAACTATAATTAATAGTTTTAAGAAAATAGAAGAAAAGGTGGACAAAGATGAAAGATGGGTAATTTACTTCAGTATAGAATTGGAATCTGTAAAAACAATTATTGGACAAATATTCTAAAACTAAAAATTACAGGCCGGACACGGTGGCTCACGCCTGTATTCCCAGCACTTTGGGAGACTGAGGCAGGTGGATCATGAGCTCAGGAGTTCGAGACCAGCCTGACCAACATGGTGAAATCCCCGTCTCTACTAAAAATACAAAAATTAGCTGGGCGTGGTGGCATGCACCTGTAATCCCAGCTACTCAGGAAGCTGAAGCAGGATAATTGCTTAAATCTGGGAGGCAGATGTTGCAGTGAGCCAAGATCACACCACTGCATTCCAGCATGGGCAACAGACAGAGACTCTGTCTCAAAAAAAAAAAAAATTACAATAACTGGAAATAAGAACCCTTTGGGTGTGCTTAACAACAGTCTGAGTACAGCAGAAGTCAGGATTCATGAACTGGAAGACAGGTCTGTAGAAAATATCCAAACTGAAGGACAGAGAAAAAGGAAAAGAACATAACAGACCTCAAAAACACAGTAAAAATGTCTAATAAGTGATTAATTGCAGTCCCTGAAAGAGAGAGGAAAGAGAGGAGCAGTATTTCAGGAGACAAAGCTCAAGAATTTTCTAAAACTGATAAAAGGCATCGACCTCTCAGATGCCAGAAGTTCAGCCAACCCCAAGAAGAACAAAAGACCATTATCGCTCAGAAATATTAGAAGCAGTTTCAATTTAGATATTTGCTGAAGACAATTCTTAAGTTGAAACTAAGGAAGAACTCTTGATTGAGAGGCAGGTTTGATAGGTCTAAGCAGTTCTACAGCACTAGACAGTGGCATGAGTCACGGTGGTATGGGCTTGAAATGTCCACATAGAAAAGAGTGTGAAAATTGCTGGGCGCGGTGGCTCACGCCTGTAATCCCAGCACATTGGGAGGCCGAGGCGGGCGGATCACGAGGTCAGGAGATCGAGACCATCCTGGCTAACACAGTGAAACCCCGTCTCTACTAAAAATACAAAAAATTAGCTGGGCGTGGTGGCGGGCGCCTGTAGTCCTAGCTACTCGGGAGGCTGAGGCAGGAGAATGGAGTGAACCTGGGAGGTGTAGGTTGCAGTGAGCTGAGATCTCGCCACTGCACTCCAGCCTGGGTGACAGAGCGAGATTCCGTCTAAAAAAATAAAATAAAATAAATAAATAAATAAAAAGAAGACAGTGTGAAAATTATATAATAAACAGAACCCACACTCAAATCAGCCCTTTAGTGCCAGAAAAAAAAGAGGGATTCAAAAGATAAATGGAAATTAATGGATTTTGATTATCCTGGTGGGAAATCAAAACCAATAATTTCACTAAACCATAGTAACTG
The DNA here is from genome assembly GCF_000001405.40 of Homo sapiens. NCBI lineage: Eukaryota > Metazoa > Chordata > Mammalia > Primates > Hominidae > Homo > Homo sapiens. The sequence continues at coordinate 148,802,733 of NC_000001.11, read as the reverse complement.
GAAACTGAACCTGCCAACCTGTAACTTTCTAAATTTAGTAATGAAGTACCAAGATTTCAAGTGTCGCTCTCTGAGAGAGGAGACCTGTTATTAAGTGATTTCCAACCCCCATTTGCCACATATTAAACACAGTATGATTAACCTCTTCACAGTAAACATTTATCTCAATTGACTTTACGGTTATAGGTCACAGGCTCAGATAATTGGCATATAATGTTTGTCAAACCAGATAGGCTAACACTAAAAGGTTCCCTCTTCTTTGTCTACTTGAGTTTCTGCTATGAGTTTGGAAGCAACTATGAATCTGAATTGTTCCAAATATTGCACTGGGTTCTGATAATATCATTTTGTTTGGTTAGCTCTAAGACTTTGAAATTGACATTTTAAAAAGTAGACTTTATTTTTTTAAAGCAGTTTTAGGTTCAGGACAAAATTGAACAGATGATAGAGGTTTCATACATACATCTTGCCCCCGAGACACAAACAGCCTCCCCCGCATCAAAATCCAGAGTGTACATTTATACAATCAATGAACCTACATTGACACACATTATCATCCAAGGTCCATAGTTTACATTCAGGTTCACTCTTGGTGTTGTACATTCTATGGATTTTGACAAATATAAAATGGTATGTATCCACAGTTATAGTAACAAATAGAGTAGTTTCATGGCCATGTAAATCCTCCATGTGCCACATGTTCATCCCTCCCTCTTTCCAACCCCTGACAACCACTGATCCTTTTACTGTTTCCACTGTTTTGCCAATTCCATAGTGTCATATAGTCAGAATGATACCATATGCAACCTTTTCAGATGGGCTTCTTTCACTTAGTAATATGCATTTAAGGTACCTCCATGTCTTTGCATGGCTTGATAGCTCATTTCTTATTAGCACTTTATAATATTCCATTGTGTAGATGTGTCACAGTTTGTTTTTCCATTTACCTGCTAAAAGACATTTTGGTTGCTTCCAAATTTTGGTCATCATGAAAAAAGCTGCCATAAACATTCATGTGCAGGGTTTTGTGTGAATGTAAAATTTCAACTCTGGGGAAATACCAGGAAGCCCCAGTTGCTGGATGGTAAAGTAAGAGTATGTTTAGTTTGTAAGAAATACTCGTCTTCCAGTGTGGCTACCATTTTTGCATTCCCCACCAATAATGAATAAGAATTTCGACTGCTCTGCATTCTTGCCAGCATTTGGTGTTGGTGTTGGCCTTTCTAATAGGTATGTGGTAGTACATTATTATCGTTTTTATTTGCAATTCCCCAATGATGTATGATGTTGAGTATTTTTTCATATGCTTATTTGTCATTTGTATATTTTCTTTTGCAAAATGTCTTTTGGCTATATTTATGTGGGTCTCTTTCTGCACTCTCTACTCTGTTCCATTGATCTATATTTCTATTATTTTGCCAATGTCACACTGTCTTGTTTACTCACATAGTGTCCTCCAACTTTGTTCTTCTACTTCAATATTGTGTTGGCTATTCTGAGTATTTGCTTCTGCATATAAACTTTAGAATCAGTTTATAAAAATCCACAAAATAATTTGCTGGGATTTTTATTAGAATTGCATTGAATATATGGGTCAAGTTGGGAAGAATCGACATCTTGACAATACTGTCTTCTTATCCATGAATATGGAAGAGCTCTCCATTTATTTTGTTTATTTATTTGTTTATTTTGAGACAGGGTCTGACTCTGTTACCCAGGTTGGAGTGAAGTGGCACCATCTTGGCCCACTGCAAACCTCCACCTCCTGGGTTCAAGCGATTCTCGTGCCTCAGCTTCCTGAGTAGCTTGGATTACAGGCACCCGCCACCACCCCCAGCTAATTTTTGTATTTTTAGTAGAGACAGGGTTTCACCATGTTGGCCGGGCTGGTCTCAAACTCCTGACCTCAAGTGATCCGCCTGCCTTGGCCACCCAAAGTGCTGGGATTACAGGTGTGAGTCACCGTCCCCAGCCAGTTCTCCATGTATTTAGCTTGTTTTTTATTCTTTCATCTGTTTTTTTAGTATAGTCACAGAATTGTGCAATCATTATCACTGTGTCATTTCAGAACATTTTTATCACCCTCAAAACAAACTCCATACTCACTTACCCTTTCCATTTCTACCACCGGCTGTTCCTCTCCCCAGCCCCTGGCAACCACTAATCTTTTTATATTTATAAATTTACCTATTCTGGACACTTCATATAGATGGAATCATCTAACATGTAGCACATTATGTCTGGCTTCTTTCAGTTAGTATGGTGTTTTGAGGTCCATCCACTTTACAGCGAATGCCAATATTTCACTCACTTTTTTATTGCTGAAAATATATTATATTGTAAGGAAATATCACATTTAATGTACCTATTTGTCAGTTGATAGACACTTAGGTGGTTTTTGTTTGTTTGTTTTTTGCTATAGTGAATAATGCTGCTGTGAACGCTCATGTACATGTTTTTCTTTGGACATATGTTTTCAATTACTTTGGGTACATACCTACGAGTGGAGTTGCTGGGTTATATGGCAACTCTGTTTAACTTTTTTTAAACTGCCAAAGTGTTTTTACAAATGGCCTCATAATGTTTACATTCCCACCAGTAACTCAATGTTTTTCCACATTCTAACCATTTGTTAGTATGTGTCTTCTTTATTATAGCCATCCTAGTGGGTGTGAAGTGACATTTCACTGTGGTTTTGGTTTGTATTTCCCTAGCTAATAATGTTGAGCATCTTGTCTTGTATTTAGTATTTATTTGTATATCTTCATTGGAGAAACATTTTTTCAAATTTGTTGCCTATTTTTCAATTGGGTTGTTTGTTCTTATTTTATTACTGAGTTGTAAGGGGTGTGTGTGTGTGTGTGTGTGTGTGTGTGTGTGTGTGTGTGTGTGTTCTGGATGCAATTCCTTTACCTGATATGATTTGCAAGTATTTTGTCCCACTTTGAGGGTTGTCCTCTCACTTTCTTGTGCTTTTTGAAGAAAATAAGTTTTAAATTTTGGTGAAGTCTTTTTATCTATTTTTTTCTTTTGCAGCTTGTACTTTTGGTGTCATAGCTAGGAAACCATGCTGGATCAAAGGTCACAAAGATTTATTCCTGTGTTTCATTCAAAGAGATATATAGTTTTAGCTCATAGGTTGACAATCCATTTTGAGATAATTTTTATATATAGTGTGATGTAAGAGCCCATCATCATTTTGCATGTGAATATCCAGTTGTCACACATCATTTGTTGAAAATACTCTCCTTTCCTTATTTTTTTTTAATTAGACCATATATGCATGTGTTTATTTTTGGGACTCTCAATTATATTCCATTGACCTGTATGTCTATTCTGATTTCAATACCACACTGTCTTAATTATGTTGCTTGTTATTAAGTTTTGAAATCAGAAGTATGAGTCCTTCTCACACCTTTTTCCTTCTTTTAAAGATGGTTTTAATTATTCTGGGTCCTTTGCTTTTCTACCTGAATTTTAAGAGCAGCTTGTCAATTTCTGCCACACACAAAAAAAAAAAAAAAAAAAAGAGAGAGAGAGAGAGATCCTGCTGGGATTTTGATAGAGATTGCAACAAATCTATAGATCAATTTGGGATTACTGCCATCTTAACTCTGTTAAGTCTTCCAATCCATGAATGTGGAACATGAACATGGAATTCCTTTCCATTTATTTAGGTCTTTTAATATTTCCTTCAACAACATTTTGTGGTTTTTAGTGTACACTTTTTTTGTTAGATTTATTCCTAAACATTTCATTTATTTACTCATTTTAAATTTCAACTTTTAGATACAGAGGGTACATGTACAGCTTTGTTACATATCCATGGAGGTTTTTCTACCCATGTTCCCTCCCTCGGTCCCCTCTCTAGTAGTCCACAGTGTCTATTGTTCCTATGTTTATGTTCATGTGTGCTCAGTGGTTAGCTCCCACTTATAAATGAGAACATGTGGTATTTGGTTGTCTTTTTCTGCATTAATTTGCTAAGGATTTTGGCCTCCAACTCTATCCATGTTGCTGTAAAGGACATTATTTCACTTTTTATGGCTGTATAGTATTCTACAGTGTATATGTACCACATTTTCTTTATCCAATTCACCCTTGATGTGCACCTAGGTTGATTCCATGTATTTGCTATTGTAAATTGTGCAGTGATGAACATATAAATGCATGTGTCTTTTGGTATAATGATTTATTGTCCTCTGGATATGTACCCAATCATGGGATTGCTGCATCAAATGGTCGCTTTAAGTTATTTGAGAAATCTCCAAACTACTTTTCACAGCGGCTGAACAAATTTACATTCCGAAAAACAGTGTGTAAGTGTTCCCTATTCCCTGCAGCCACATCAGCATCTGTTGTTTTTTGACTTTTTAATGATAGCCATTTTTGACTTTTTAATAATAGCCATTCTAACTGGTGTGGGGTAATATCTCATTGTAGTTTTGATTTGTATTTCTCTGATAATTAGTGTTGTGGAGCATTTTTTCATATGTTGGTTGGTCACTTATATGTCTTCTTTAAAAAAAGTGTCTGTTCATATCCCTTGACCATTTTTAAGGGGATTATTTGTTTTTGCTTATTGACTGAAGTTCCTTATAAATTCTAGGTATTAGATCTTTGTTGGATGCATAGTTAGTGAATATTTTCTCCCATCCGGTAGGTTATCTATTTACCCTGTTGATTGTTTATTTTGCTATGCAGAAGGTCTTTAGTTTAATTAGGTCCCATTTGTCAATTTTTGGTTTTGTTGCAATTGCTTTTGGGCACTTATCCAAAAACTTTTTGCCAAGGCTGATGTTGGTAAAAGTATCTTCTAGGTTTTCTTCTAAGATTTTTATATTTTGAGGTCTTACATTTAAATTTTTAATTATCTTGAGTTAATTTTTGTATACAGTGAAAGGTAAGGGTCTAGTTTCATTCTTCTGTATATGGCTAGCCAGTTATCCCAGCACAATTTATTGAATAGGGAGTCCTTTCCCCATTGCTTGTTTTTGTCAGCTTTGTTGAAGATCAGATGGTGTAGATGTGCAGCTTTATTTTGATGCCTTGTAAATGGAATTGTGCTCTCAGTTTCATTTTTGGATTGTTCATTTCTGGTGCATAGAACTGCAAATTTTTTTGTATATTGATCTTGTACCCTACAATTTGGTGAATTCATTTATTAATTCTTAAATTTTTGTGTGGATTCCTTAGAATTTTCTATATACAAGATAAAGTCATCTACAAATAGAAATAGTGTTACTTATTCCTTTCCAGCTGGGGTGCTTTTATTTCTTTTTCTTGCCTAATTGCCCTCATTAGAACATCAGGTACTATGTTGACTAGAAGTGGTGAGAGCGGACATACTTGTTTTATTCCTCATCTTACAGGAAATGTTTTCAAGTCTTTCCCCTTTAAGTATGGGGTTAGCTGTGGGTTTTTCATAGATACCCTTTATCAGGTTGAAGAAGTTCTCTTCTTTCCTAGTTTGTTCATTGTTTTTTAACAAGATAAGATGCTAGATTTTCTCAAATGCTTTTTCTGCATTTATTGAGATGATCATATGGAGTTTGTCCTTTGTCCTTTGTAATATGGTGCATTACATTTATTGTTTCATATGTTGAATCAACCTTGCATTCCTAGGATAAATGCCACTTTGTCATGATGTATAATCTTTTTCATATGTTGCCAAATAAAGTTTGTTGAGAACTTTTACATCTATATTTATAAAGGTATACTGGCCTGTCATTTTCCTTTCTTGAAGTCTTAGTTTTGGTGCCAGGGTAATACTGGCCTCATAGAATGAGATGGGAAGTGTTCTTCTTCTCCTTTTTTTCAGGGGGTGAAGAGTCTGTGTCCTATAAACATATTCGGCAGAAGTCACAGATTAAGCTATCTGAACCTGGGCTCCTCTTTGTGGAACATTAAAAAAAATTATTACTACTAATTGAATTGCTTTACTTGTTATAGGGTATTCAGATTTTCTATTGCTTCCTGAATCAGTTTGGGTAGCTTGTTTCTTTCTTGAAATTTGTTCATTTCATCTAGTTTATCTAATTTCCTGGCATATAACTTCTCATAATATTCCTCTATAATATTTTGTATTCCACAGGTTGGTAATAATGTCCCCTCTTTCATTTCTGATTTGATCCATGTGTTTTAAGGAAAAGTTTGTGTCCCCACGAGTATCCCTCCATAAAAAACAAAACCTCCAGAAAATTCTGTCTGAGACTAATTTCAACAGTTACAACGTTACAACAAAGACAAATTTAAAACAAAATGCCTCTGGTGTAATTTGTGGTAAATGATAGCTTGTGTTCAGACTAGACTTGATCATCACTGCTCAAAAAATGTCCTTTAAAAATTATGCAAATTTTGATACATCACCCATCATCCATTACTTCTATTTTCCAAAGTCTTGAAGTATTTTAGAAGTTCAATTAAGGCTTATCTCGTATCAGTATTTTCAAGTTTTCTCAGCAGCAATTCATAGAGCATATTGAACGAAATTAAGCAGCCACACAAAACCTGTCCAAAATCCAAACACAAGTGTAGCAATTTTAGATAAGGTTTTGTCATTTGTGGCAAATAAAATGATAAATACCAATAAAAATGCACATCCTATCCCACAAGTAATATAAAAATCTAGTATTTCTTTTGGTGTGGCAACTGCAATAAACTGGAGTACACAAACACAGTCAGAATAAGGAAATTCATAAGAAAGGCACTGTGTCACATGAAATTCACATAAGTGAGGTCCTCCACAAAAAGTGTATTACAGGGACAAACCCTTTTCCCAGCTAAAGGCTGGGAGAGAGAGAACAGCTGGAAGTCTCTGAGATCACCACCGCCACTGGAGCTGGCCAAGGGACACAAAGGTACTAAGATCATTTCTGCTCTCTGGTAGGAGGTGGGTCCTCCTTTGTGTTGGACTGCACCCTGTTCCCTTCTTCACTGAGAATCTGAGAAGTCTTGTGGTGATAGCTGAACACTTAAGATGCCAGCCTCAGAGTAGGTCATTCTGGTTTGCCCTATGCCATGTGGTAAGAAGCCAGTCAGCCTGCCCATTTGAGAAAGGCCTGCTGTTTCTGGAGTGAAGTCTGCCTAATTCTGGAGTGAAATATTAGCAGGACCTTTGCATCATCACAGATCTAAATGCAAGTTCTCCACTTAGTTTGATCAGTAATAAAAGTACTGTAGCATTATTAATTCTCTGTTTGACTTCTCTATTTCCCAATTTGATCTGAACTTAAAAGAGGAAGAAAGGATTATGTCTTGAGCTCCTAAAACTTCAACTCAAAGCTTTCATTGTAATATTCTCAAGAAGTGACAGTCTGCATAAATAGCAGATTTTTTAAAAAGGAAATTCCTCCTAGAACTTTGAAATTTTGGTTATTATCTGCCCGAGAGCTTGGAGGTAGACCTCCGTAGAGAAATGGCACACAGAGTTTGGGGCCTGACTTCAGATTTCCAGAACCAGAGGATCATGCTCCCTAATAAAAAACAAAGAAAAAGGTCTCATATCAGGTAGTGATGGAGTAAGAGGATGGGCCAGGGATTAGGGGAAGAACCAAGAGGGACTGATTAACAAAAATTACATCTTTGGAAGCTAGAGAATTCACCACAAGCAAACAACAACAGCAAGTTAGATTATGACCCACTTTGTCACCTTTAATGTCGTATTAGATTTAATTCTTTGGCAGGTAGAGCTGAATGAATTTGCCTAAACTTTTTTCCCAGGAACGATAGCAAAGACTAGTAATAACTGAAAGATCTGGCCAGGTATGGTGGGTCACACCTGTAATCCCAGCACTTTGGGAGGCTGAGGCAGGTGGATCACTTGAGCCCAGGAGTTCAAGATCAGCCTGGGCAACATGGTGAGACCTCATCTCTACAAAAAAAAAAAAAAAAAAAAAAAACAAAAATTAGCCGGATGTGGTGATGTGTGCCTGTGGTCCCAGCTACTGGGGAGGCTGAGGTGGGAGGATCACTTGAGCCCAGGAAGTCAAGGCTGCAGTGGGCCAAGATTATGCCACTGTACTCCAGCCTGGGTGACAGGGAGACCCCATCATAAAAAATTGAAAATAAAATAAAATACTACTAATATTAATAATGAAAACTGAAAGATCCTTAAGATTGTAAAGAAAAGTCAGTCTGAGACGGAAATTTTCACTAATTGCTGAAACACTGAACCACCACTATGAGTAGAGGAGAGATGGTCCAATAAAAGGAGCAGGAGCTGGAGGACTATTAGAGGAGGAAGCCAAGCTACAGCAAAGCTGTTGAGACAGCAGGTAAGATGAGGAAACTATAATGGCCGCTAGGAAAAAACAAATCCATTTAGACTCCACAGAAAGATAATAAAGCTGCCGGTCTGAAGGACAATCTCGTTGTATATTCAGAGTTAAAAAAGTCACCATCCAAAGCTTTTATTGTTGCAGATTGAGAGGTGGGAATGCAATGCGGGTGGAGGTGGGTTGGGGATAATGGAAGAGAGACAGAGCCAGCTAGAATGTAACTGTCAGAGGCATTCAAATCAGAATGACTCCATCTTGAATACGGGCTGGGTAAAATGAGGCTGAGATCTATGGGGCTGCATTCCTAGGAGGTTAGGCATTCTCAGTCACAGGATGAGATGAGAGGTTGGCAGGACTGGTATCACAAGATAAAGGTCATAAAGACCCTGATGATAAAACAGGATGTGGTAAAGAAGCTGGCCAAAACCCACCAAAACCAATATGGCGATGAATATGACCTCTGGCTGTCCTCACTGCTCACTGTATGCTAATTACAATGCATCAGCATGCTAAAAGACACTCCCACCAGCACCATGACAGTTTACAAATGCCATGGCAATGTCAGGAAGTTACCCTATACGGTCTAAAAGAGGGAAATCCCTGCCTCTTTCCCAGAAAACTCATGAATAATCCACCACTTATTTGGCATATAATCAAGAAATAATCATAAAAATAGCCAACCATCAACTCTTGGTGCTGCTTTGTCTATGGAGTAGCCATTCTTTTGTTTCTTTACTTCTCTAGTAAACTTGCTTTCACTTTACTGTATGGACTTGCCCCCAGTTCTTTCTTGCAGGAGATTCAAGAACCCTCTCTTGGGGTCTGGATAGGGACCCATTTCCAGTAACATATATCATGTTCCTTTTGTTAACCTCTGTATAATTCAGTGCCTGATATTCCTAGCCCATAGTAGTTGAACAATAAATATTTGTTGAATAACTAATTGGAAGAATGAAAGAAATGGGGGTTGGACATGTTTTCACTAAGTACAATACCAACTGTGAATCGTGCTGTATACAACCAATGAGTATCATCTCAACCCATGAGACATGCCATTCATTCAGTCATTTAGTCCATAAACAGTAATTGAGCATTTGCTAGGTTCCAGGTACAGGATACTAGACCCTTGGGAATAACTAACTAGTTTTTCTGTCCTGAAAGAGTTTGGAGATTAGTAGTAGAAGAAATATGTTTTTTAAAAAAATTAAGTTCCATACAATATTTTAGGTGCTATCAAAACTACCCCAATTTTATATGTAAAATGTTTATTTAGAAACAGAATGCTTGTTAATCGGTACTGCAAGGAAAAATTAGCATTCAGACAAAAAGTTTTCTCAGCAAGATAATTTTACTTTCTGCAGAAAGAGTGCTCCTCGCAGATGGAACAATGGCGAGAGCACACCTGAACAATGGAGGGAAGAAATTTTTATCCCTTACGCAGCTTGTCCTTGCTGCTGTGTCCTGTCTCCGTTGGCTGGAGCCAGACTGCACAATCTAAACTAAAACCTGACTGGCTAATAATTTAAAACTTTTCTAAATAGGTAAAAGCAATGGAAAGACAAAGGAAAAGAGGAAGTTGCTTATGAAAGGACTTAGAAAAGTAATAATATTCCTGAATAAGGAAGGGGCATAGGCTGTGAGCTGAGACATGCCCGTGAGCACCTCCAGCACAAATATTTTGGTTAAAGTACAAGGACATAGAATGTACTTATTCCTTTATGTCTAATAGCTACATAGGATAGGGCTTAACAGAGAGTTAATAGCACAAAGCAAGGAGGATTGAAGGAAGTTAGTCTTTAAAAGAAACTATTATTTCTAACACTTATGATTTATTCTTTAACAAGAAGGGAAACTCTGAAGAGGAAACTTTTTACTTTCTACACCCAATTATCCTACTCACCCCACACATCCCAAGCCCCAAGGCGTGAACCAGCTGGGCCTGCTCTCTGCTAGGCTTTCCTGACAAAGTAGGGAAACCAGACAGACATGTTGGAAGAAGTATTACAGTTTCATGAAATAGCTTCCTCTAGAAGGCAAGAGATAGCTTTGCTGTGGCTTGATATTTGAAATAGGCTATTTAAAGTCATAATTTTTTTTTTTTTTGAGACGGAGTCTTGCTCTGTCACCCAGGTTAGGGTGCAGTGGCGCGCAATCTCGTCTCACAGCAACCTCCGCCCCCTGGGTTCTAGCAATTCTACTGCCTCAGCCTCCCTAGTGTCTAGGATTACAGGCGCCCGCCACCACACCTGGTTAATTTTTGTATTTTTAGTAGAGACGGGGTTTCGTCATTTTGGCCAGGCTGGTCTCGAACTCCTGACCTCAAGTGATCCACCCGCCTCGGCCTTCCGGAGTGCAGGGATTACAGGCGTGAGCCACTGCGCCCGGCCAAAGTCGTAATTATTTTAAACAGAGGCTTTCACGGGACTTCCAAAGCGCACCTTGTTCTTTCCGGCTCATTCCCCCTTCCCCTCTAACCCTTCACTTTCACTTCTCTGACTGGATGCACTGTGCGGAGGACACAGCTAAGGGCTGTGAAAATTCAAGAATAAAGAAAAGTCCTGCCTTCACGCAGCTCGCACTGTGAGGAGGTTTAATCAGGGATGGTAATTCAAAATAACTCGTGTTTAATCACCAGTGCAGATGGTGTCAGTAAACCTGCCTGGGGCGCTGCTTCCCAACCCCCACCAGGGCCTACGCCCTGCAGCCCACCGGAGGCGTGGCCGGAGGGCAGGCGCCAGGGCGGAAGGCGGGGGTCGTTCTAATTCCCTGGGGGTAGCTAATGGCCATGCCTGGAGGCGAAGCTTTTCAAAATGACTAACATGGAAAACCGCCAAAGACAATGGAATCTGGCAGAACTGTGGGGAGCAGGAATCTTAAGCGTTTGCATGTTGTTGGGGTAGAAGGGGCTCAAGAAGGGGATGCTCAGGGCAATAGCTTTTTTACTAATCTGTAAGAAATGTTCCAGTATTTTAATAGCTGGTACAGCCATACTGATGCATGCAGTCCAGATCGATAGATATTGGTCCAGATACAGTGGCACCTGTTAAAAGTTCAGTACATCACATTCTTTCAGGATTATCCCCAGTTCCCACCTTCTCCAATACGCCGTACCACATTCCTGCAATACATTGTAACTTATTTTTTTCTTTGTCTTTCAATAACTTGAGTTTCCTAGCGGGCAAACGACGGGTCTTAATCATCTCTTTGTTATCCATACCTTTTACGATAGCTGCTTTATGCTGGTAGGTGCTCAAAAGTATACTGAATTGATTAAAAACAGCACTAATTCCAGATGTCTTAAAAGAAAGCTGTTTTGTGTTTTAGAAACGCAGTGGAAATTTCTGAAGTAAGACAAGTTTCTGGAGCAAGCTTGGGAGGTTCTGAAGACAAAGCTGAGAATGGAATTTATATAATTTGTTTAAAGTGATCAATTTTATTTTACTTTTCCATACAGTCTAAGTAAAACCTTGAGCCTTAAAAAAAGATGAGATATTGAAAAAATAGTTTGCACATTTCTTCTGTTGGACTTTTCATTCATATATTAATGCAAAAAATTTTTACTGAGCACATCAAATGTGCCAGGCATAGTGTTAATGCAGGGAGTTAGAGTACACAGTCTCTACCTTTGTGGAGCTTACAGTCTAGTGGAAAAATCAGATAACCAACAAACTATTAAAATGTAGTTTAACTGCTAAGGAGAAGGAAGAGGGTTTTGTGCTTGAACATGGAAAATATATCTAAGTTGGTTTTAGGAAATCAGGAAAGTCTTCCCGGAAGGTATGACACTAAGGTAACAGTAGGATCCAGTAGTAAGGAACTATTATTCTATTTGGTTATATGCCTTTTTAGGTTTGATTTGGAAATATAGTTACTTTCACTTTTAGGAGAGTGGTGATACAGATAATAAAGTTGCAGGTCATGCTAAGTGAAATATATTCTATTCATTACATAAAAACAAAGTCTAATCTTTGAAATAAACCGTGAACAATTTAACATACCCCGATTTGCTAATGTGAAATGTTTTTCAGGAATACTCTAGGACCATCCTGCAGAAGGAGTGTAATTGTTCAAATGAACCTAGGAATATGATTTGAACAAAGTAGATAGTGCAGGGGAATATCCTTGAAGGATGTGTAGTTTGACTAAAAAATAGTTTTCCTACAGTGGGTGGCTGTGTGTTGGGGGTAGGGGGGATGGAATCTGGTCAATTTTTAAATTATTGCATTGAATTCCAGTGTTAGCAAAGAATACAAAGTGAACTTGAAAGTCTACTTAATATTAGTGGCCCCTACTCTCTGCCATGATACTTTATTGAAAAATTAATTGATTTATTGTTTTTTAATTATAAATTTGGTATTGATTTCATATTGGTTTATCAAGATGGGATGCTTTGTTTAATTGACAAGGAAAGAAATTTTACACACAAATATTTTTGTGATTGTAGTGCCATAGTATTTTCCTTTAGGAATTTTGACTTTGAATAATAAAGTTTGCCTAAACTTTTAATGTCTGTAAAGATCTGAATCTTAGGCTTACTTTTACTATTTTAATAGTATACAGAACATTTATAAAAGCACCTACTACATACCAAACACTGTGCTAAGCCTATTAAATTCATTTTTTTATTTAATCCTCATACTACCATATTAGAACAGGTACTATTAAAATCTCCAATAATAGATAAGGAAGCTCTGAGGCTTAGAGAGGATAGATCACTTGCCTAAATTCACAGCTAATAAGTGGCATAATGAAATTTTTCATCAGGGTTTTTCCCCTTGGCACTGTTGACATTTGGGGATGGATAATTATTTGTTCTTGGGGACTGTTCTGTATATTGTGTAGGAGGTCCAGCAATATTCCTGGCCTCTACCCTCTAGATGCCAGTAGTACCACTACCCTTCCCCACTTTGTTTGTTTGTATGACGACAAAAATATTTCTAGACATTGCTAAATGTCTCATGGGGGCAAAATCACCCCAATTGAGACCCAGTGGTTTTTATTAAGTTTTTGTCGACTCAGACAAAAACTTAATAACCACTGTACTTTAGTGCCTAACCACTGTACTTTACTGCCTTGTTCTAAGGCCTTTTAATGATGTCTTACCTCTTAGGAGTCCAGGAATAACTTTTTAATAAACAGATATCTCAACCAAACAGTTTTATATTTAATCACCTTAATTGTCCAGGCCAGATAATTCAATGTATTTTCATTTTTGTATGTTTTTGTTTTCTTATCAGTGTACTTTCAGTATTTACACTGATAATAGATATCATATTTTAGGTATTTACTAGGTGCCTGTACAAGCTGCCATATTACCGAAGATGGACAGTTATTCAGATAATACAATAGAGAGTAAAATTTACAAAATAATGTAGACAGAGTATTTTATACAGGGTGTTTCCTCTGTGTTTAACTGAAAATTTAGACTTAGGGCAGGAAGAGAGATGAGCTTTTCTTCTCAAATGTGGACTCCCTAACTGATACCCTGTTTATCTTTTTTCCTCATTCCTTTTATGGCATGTTTCTCCTTTTAGGATTTTTGCAATTTCTTTATCTACCTTTCTGTTCTGCCTCAAAATTATTGTATTTTCTTTCATTTTCCTCTGGCATCGTGAAGGGCAGTCCAGACTTGAAGAAAGTGTTAGATCTCACCAAATAGGCAGCAGGAAGCTCCAAGAAAGCAGATAGATAACATGTTATACAGTTAAATTGTCTCACGCTCCCAATCACTGAGGGTTGATTAATCCACTTACTGTAACTGCTTTTAGAGGAAAGTGGTTGGTTCTTGGTGCTGCTGGTCTTTGACCAGCTGAGTTCAGTGGGTATTGATACCCACTGAACTCAGCTATGAAAATGATAAGAGCTATGAAGGCAAAAGTTGTTATTGATACAACTAGTTGTTCAGCAGTCTTAGGTGACAGCAACGAAAAGTATTGCGGTTGTGTGTCAAGTTACTACCTTCTATCTTTTGTAATATATAGATCCAAATCCTACATTTGCTGTTGGATAACCTCAAATTTGTTTCACAGTTTTTCCAGTTATTCTGATCCACTGCATTATTGGATTACTAATAGATATCTCATAATTATATCATATACAAATTTCATTAATCTTTTCTAGATGAAGTAGAAAACACAATGAGGATATCTAAATATTTTTAGGTGGACTGGCTAACTGTGGGCCCTTTGTGACTTTGATCTTGAAAGCAAACTAAAGGTCAGTATGTAAAACAGTGGTTAGGTTGTTTTGTGAGATCTAGATCAGAGCTGCCCCATGGTTTCTTGAGCATTTCCAATGAGTTAGAATTACATAGTAAGACTTCACCTAAAAGGTGGATCTACTATTGAAACAATTTCAATTATAGAGTTAGGGTAGCATAATGCTTAGGAGTAGGGGCTCCAGGGCCAGATTGCCTGCATTCAGATCCTAGTTCCTCCCTTTTTAGCTTAGAGGCTAAAAAGTTTGACTTCTCAAGTAAAAAATTGACATAATAATTCTAATCACCTCATGAAGAATAAACGAGTTAAATAATGTAAAGTGTTCAGAACAGTGGCTGGCAGAAAGTGAACACTTAATAATTTCATTTGATCATTTCTGAAGAATCTTTTCTAATTCCATCTTGCCTTTCTTTTTTTTTTTTTTTTGAGATGGAGTCTCACTCTGTTGCCCAGGCTAGAGTGCAGTGGTGTGATCTCAGCTTACTGCAACCTCCGGTCCCCAGGTTCAAACGATTCTCCTGCTTCAGCCTCCCGAGTAGCTGGGATTACAGGCACCTGCAACCCTACCCGGCTAATTTTTGTATTTTTAGTTGAGATGGGGTTTCAGCATCTTGGCCAGTCTGATCTTGAACTCCTGACCTCATGATCCACCTGCCTTGGCCTCGCAAAGTACTGGGATTACAGGCGTGAACCCCCATACCCAGCCTCATCTTGCCTTTCTTAAAGGTTCACAGATCAGAACTGCACATAATCGATACACTGGATGCAAATATGTAATGAATGAATGATTTTTCACATTACAAAATTAATTTGTGCGTATTATAGAAAGTTCAGTAAATACATAAAAGCAAAATGACCAAAATGTTAACAGTGTTTATTAACTATAATCTGTACTCAAATTATATCCATTTTGGTGGATGACCTTAAACATATGTATGTGTGTATAACATTAAATAATAGGTAATACCGTAAGACTGTTTCACCTAATTTTTTCCACTTAACAGTGTTTAATGAATATTTTCTCATATCATTAAACTCTATACAGCATTGTTTTAATGGCTGCATAGTATTCCATTGTATGAATATGCCAGAAAGATTATTATTTAACCATGAAGATTGTGCTAGCATTGTGTTCTCAAGGATGGTAATGCTAACTGAACCAGCATGGTAAGGTGTTGGTTGGCATACCATAATCCCTATAAATACATCCCCAGTGTTGTATATTGGCAGTCTTTACATTGCTGTTTGCAAATTCCTGAAATTGCAGAATGCTTTTGGCCAGTTTCTTATAGTTGATACAGTTGTTAGTCTTTTTCTCAGGTTACAGTAATGTTTACAGTGCCTCTTGTAAAGTCAAAGGATTTGTACCAATCTGAGTGGCAATTTTTTCCATGTTTCTTCAACTAGTCCTTTTAAGATTCTCACCTGCCTTTAGCAAAGAACATATATTTAACACCTGTGGTTGCAGTTATGTAAAAAATACCGATGTCACAGCCCCACCTCCAAGATGCTGACTTAATTGGTTTGGTGGTGGAGACTGGGCATAAGTAGTTTTGTTTTTGAGATTTCCCCAAATGATTCTATTGTGAAGCCAAGGTTGAAAATCACCGATCTATGTTGATATTCTTTCTTGGCACTTGAGTAGCATTCCCAACATTATTTGCATGCTTTTTATCTACTCTTGTGGGTTCAGATCTCTTCAGAATGGCACTGGGGAAACAAAAAGATTGGTAAGTACCATTCAAATTTAGGAAAATAGAATATTGGGCACTAGTTCTTATTGGCTAAAAGCATATGACAGTATTCACTCTTACTGGCTGGCCATATATTAGTAGTACTGTTTAATATGATAATTTTGATATAATTATTATAAAGTACTGTTTAATATATAAAACTGTACATACATACAGACATACATATGTTAATATAGAACTATTTCTCAAATATATAACAAATATATGTCAATAAAACAAATAATTGCCATAACAGTGGTATTAAACAAGATAAATCTACAAACTAATACCTCGACTGGACTCTGCCTATCTCCCCTGGTTCACCTCATGCTTATTCACCTTCTTATTCATACTGAAATTTCCAGTTCACCATTTTTACATATAGCTTAGAATCTTATTATCCTGTAATTGTACATTTGCTGATCTGCCACTTTATCATTTTATTGTTGCTTCCTTGTTTTTATTATCAGCTTAGCAGTACACTATCTACAATTTTAAGATATCACTTTGTACTTTATCAAAGTTAGACCTCAGATCCTGGGAGACCCTAGCATAAATACTTTTCTACTTAAATATTTAGTTATTAAACATCTGCCAAAGGGAGGCTATTCTTTCTATGTAAAATAAATAATTCCAAAATAGGATTATTTCTTTGCATCACATGGCAGTGTCCTAGTCTGGGTTACTATACAAAATACCATAAATTGGGTGGCTTATAAATGACAGAAATTGATTTTTCTAGTTCTGCAAGGTGAAGATCAAGCACCAGCAGATTTGGTGACTATTGAGGGCCTATTCCTGGTTCATAGATGTCACCTTCTGGCTGTTTCCTCACATGGTGGATGGAGCAAGCTAGCCCTCTGGGGTCTCTTTTATAAAGGTACTAGTCGCATTCATGAGGGCTCTACCCTCATGACTTAATCACCTCCCAAAGGTCCCACTTCTTAATACCATCACTTTGGGGGGTTAGGATTTCAACATGAATTTTGTGGGGGATACCAGCAAACATTCAGACTATAGCTGGGTAGCTGGCAGAAAGCTCCCCTACCCCACATGTGGATGGAAAAACAATGTCTATTTGCTTCCCATTCTTCAGGCACTTCCTTTCCCTGTTGGATCTAGTAGATTGGAGATGCATGGTTTTCTTCTTTTGAAATGACACTGCTGGTTTTTCCAGTAGATTTGCCCCCTCTTTTTAACAAAAATAATTGTAAAAGCAGTTAGAAATTGTTCAGGAAAATATTACCTGTAATTATAACATGTGAATGCTATTATTTTCATTTTTGTCTGCATATATCCCTCGATATTCAAACTTTTGCTGTCCAAACTTGGGAACCAAATAGATTTCTTCAGTAAAGGGTATCTGACATGCTAATCTTTGTCTCTACCCTTGGTCATTTTTATGTAATTGCAGTCAAAGTGTTCATAATAATTTGCAGTCACTAGTACACACATTTAGTTTTGTTTAAATGCTAAAAACTGTAACACTTGTGGAAGGTTCTGCTGGATATTCCAACATAAAAATGAAATTCACCAATCTTGTTCCTAGGATATTCCCCTGAGTATAGCACATGCTGTGTAGTTCTGTGCCAATAACTGCAAATGAAATGGGTTAGGAGGAGAGTACTGTCCTAATAGTGGAAAGAAGACTGGATTGAAAGTTAGGAGTGCTTAAGTGTATTTGAGGTATATGCTTTTGCTTCTTAGCAAATAACTAATGCGATCATCTTGAAGAAGTAGGGGTTAGGTCTTCCTCTGTACTCTGAAAGTAGGTTGTCTTTCCTCCGTTAAAATGAATCTTACTTACCTGTAAATGAAGGACCTCATTCAGAGTGTCCTCATAATATGGTGCTTCTCACTAATTGATACAGCATTTTGTGGAAAATTCTTAAATGAAGATGTCTTCTTTCAGTCTGGCCGGGACCTTCAACAGTATCAGAGTCAGGCTAAGTAACTCTTTCGAAAGTTGAATGAACAGTCCCCTACCAGATGTACCTTGGAAGCAGGAGCCATGACTTTTCAGTGAGTGTAATCTTGATTTCTTTATGATCATTTAAGTGTGAAATACAGTAACAGAATGCCTGATAAAAAATAATAATTTTTAAAAAGTAAAGATTACTTAAAAATGTTGTCTTTTGGGAGGAGCAACTTCTCTGGCTCTAATTCTACAAAATGGACATCTTGTTGGTTTTTTCAGCATGCTTACAGTAATTTAACCTGTTAACATGTGTCTATGCTGTGCCCATCATGCAATAATAGATAACTTCTTGCTTTAGGACTGTCTTGGAGCCAGATATGTGTAGGTTAGTACCCTTGCTCAAACATTTCCTAACAGTGTAACTTTGAGCAGCTCACATAACTTCTCTAAGCCTCAGTTTCCTCTATAAAGTAGTGAAAATAAACATAGGAGGTTTGAGAGGATTGTGAGGGAATCCGTGTGTATTACTTAGCATCTTGTCTGACACACATGGGAAGGGTCAATAATTATTAGTTATTATTATTTTGAAAAAAGAAAATTATAAAAGATAAGAGCATCTTAATCAGTGGTTATAAACGATACAGCTGATAGAGGACTCAAAGGAACATTATTGGATTTTAAATTATCTACAAATAATTGGTATTTAATGTTTAATACATGCCAAGTTTGAAGCTGACAAAATGGGAAGGATTAAAAAGGAAAAGAGTACAAGAGCATCAGAGGAAAATAAAAACGGATTAGTTAAATAATCTTTGCTATTTTAGGGACTTAGATAGTAAGATAACTTAGGCCAGGGAGGAAGCTGCTATGTTTACTTTTAAAAAACAAAACAAAAATTCTCTACCTATAAAAGACAAGTAAAAAGTACATCAAAACAAAAATAAAACCCTAGGCAATTGGCTAAGAAAATGTTGGACATTATGTTTTATGATGTATTAATTTTTATAATATCTGAAATATTTTCTAGAACTCTAATTTTCAACACCAAAAATAGTCACTCACTTAATATCTAGTATCCTCATTTTCACCATGGTTTAGAGAACCAAGACCTAGGAAAGTTCTCATGGAACTGAGAAGAGATTTTCTTCTGCCTGATTCCTTTAGGACATTCATAATCTCATATCATCCTTTATTTCCATCCAAGAGCTATTAAGGGTTTATTCTTTGCCGGACCTTATATTGAGTCCTGCATTTAATGTCCATACCTTTTAACACTGTTCTCTTAGTACAGAGAGAGACATATACTCAAACAAGTATACTATAATATCTTCATTGAAAAGATGTTGTAAATTAGATTTAAATGAAATGTTTTGGGAACAGAGAGAAGGAAGGAACAAATTCCCATTTGTAGGGGGTAAGTTTGAAGAAACGGGACAGAGGAGGGGAGTATATTTAAAGAAGTTTCACAGAAAAAATTATGGTAGAATTGAACATATGGAAATGAACAGGATTTCTCCAGGTATTTAAAAGAGCATTAATGGTTAGAAAAAACAATATAAGCAGAAGTCCACAAATATGTAAAGAACCTAGCATGTTGGAAAACAGTCCGCCATTTGGTTTATTAAAATATATGATAGAATGTTGCTTACACTTGTTTTGAAAGGCTGTAAATATAATACCATGGAGTATGATTTTATTTTGTAGGTATTAGGGAACCCTTAGAGTTTGTAAGCAGGGTAATATGGTCATCTGTAGTCTCTGGGAATAAAACTGATGGTATAGAAGATGGTGTAGACTAAAAGCAAAGAGACCAGTTAACTCAGGTGCCCAAGCAAGGAATAAGACAGCTGTATTATTAATATTATTTTAAGGGACCTGAGAGATCATATAATAGTCTTTATCCTTTATGGAGCCCTAGGATGCCTCAGGAGCCACATAGAAAGGGCAAGGATGGGAGTATATATAATGCTTTGGGCCCCTAAACTCCTCCTTATGTTTTAAATTTTTTCCTTTTATTTTCAGTTGACATGTAATAATTATACATATTTATGGGATACAGAGTGATATTTCAATACATGTATACAATGTGTAATCAAATCAGAGTAATTAGCATATTCATCACCTCAAACATTTATCATTTCTTTGTGTTGTGAACATTCAAAATCTTGTAGCTTTTTGAAAATACGTGGTAAGTTATAGCTAGCCATATTTACCCTACAGTTCTGCAGAACACCAGAACTCATTCTTCCTATCCAGTTGTAATTTTTTATCCATTAACTTGCCTCTGCCCATCCTCCCCTTCTCTCTACCTTTCCCTACTTCTAATACCCACAATTCTACTCTCTACTTCCATGAGCTCAAAAATTTTTTTTGGCTCCTACATATGAATGAGAACATGCCATATTTATCTTTCTGTGCATGACTGATTTTATTTAACGTAATGTCCTCCAGATTTATCCATGTTGCTGCTAATGATAGAAATTCATTCTTTTTTATGGCTGAATAGTATTCCATGGTGTGTGTGTGTGTGTGTGTGTGTGTGTAAAAAACACTTTTAAAATCCATTATTCTCTTGATGGACATTTCTCTTGATTATCTATCCATAGATATTATGAATGGTGCTGCCGTAAACATGGGGGTACAGATAAGTTTTTAACATAATGAGTTTTTTTCCTTTGGAGAAATACCCAGCAGTGGGATTGCTAGATTGTATGGTAGTTCTGTTTTTAGTTTTTTGAGAAACCTCCATACTGTTTTCCATAGTGTATAAAAGTTCTCTTTTCTCTTCATCCTCAACAGCATTTATTGACTTTTGTCTTTTTAATAGACATTTTAACTGGGGTGAAATAATATGTCGTTGTGGTTTTTATTTGCATTTACCTGAAGATTAGTGATGTTGAGCATTTTTTCATATACTTGGCCATTCGCATGTCTTTTGAGAAATGTCAATTCTGTTCCTTGCCTACTTTTTAATTGAATTATTTTTGGTTTTGCTGTTGAGTTGTTTGAGTTCCTCGTATGTTCTGGATATTAGTTCCTCATCAGATGAATGAAACTAGATCCCTATCTCATCATATACAAAAATCAACTTAAAGTAGATTAAAGACTTAAGCATAAGACCCTAAACTATAAAACTACTAGAAGAAAACATAGGGGAAATGCTTCAGGACATGAACCTGGGCGAAGACTTTATGGAAAAGACTTCAAAGCATAGGCAACAGAAAAGAAAGTAGACAAATGGGACTGTATTAAACTAAAAGCTTCTGCACAGCAAAGGAAACAACACAGTGAAGAGACAACTTGCACAATGGGAGAAAATATTTGCAAACTCCTACTTAAACTAAAGAACCTCTGATTTTATCTGATATATACATTGGCCTTCTGAATATAAGTTTTGCTTGTTATATATACATATTCCATATATAAATATATATATTTGCATGTGTGTGTGTGTATACTATGGCTAAAAAGAAGTTGGAAAACCACTTAGTAGCCTAACATTTTTCTAAGAATTTCTCAGATGTGTAATCATATAGCCCCTTCCAGAGTGCATGGGCGCTCATCATCACAAAAGAAAGTCAGTTCCATTGTTGAAAAGTTTCCAGTTGATTACAGAGTCCTCCTGGACTGTAAATTAAGGAGTCTTATTAGTCTTGTACCCAGTAAACATTATGTCATTAACCTTACATTTCTATCCACAGAAATTTCCAGTTACAGTGTTTTCCTTTGTGGCTGGAAAGAGTTTAAATATGTGTATGCTAGTTTACCATATAGAATCAAAGGGTGGATGGAGTCACAACTCTGAATTTTTCAGGAAAAAGTCTTAAGTATTAAGCAAAAAACAAATAACCCCATTTAAAAAATGGACAAAAGACATGAGCAGATATTTCTCAAAACATACTAGAGGCTAGCAAACTAATGAAAAAATGCACATCACTAATTATTGGAGAAATGCAAATCAAAACCACAATAAGATACCATCTCACAACAGTCACAGGGCTATTATTAAAAAGTCAGAAAACAACAGATGCTGATGAGGCTGTGGAGAAAAAGGAATTGCTTATACACTGTTCGTGGGAATGTAAATTCAGCCACTGTGGAAAGCAGTTTAGAGATTTTTCAAAGAACTTAAAACAGAACTACCATTAGACCCAGCAAACCCATTAATGGGTTTATATCCAAAAGGAAACAAATCTTTCTACCAAAAATCATGCACTTGCATATTCATTGCAGCACTATTCACAATAGCAAAGATATCAACTAGGTACATGTTAGTGGTGGATTGGATAAAGAAAACGTAGTATATATTCAGTATGGAATACTATGCAGTCATAAAAAGAAATGAAATCATGTCTTTTGCAGCAACATGGATGGAGCTGGAAGTCATTACCTAAGTGAATTAATGCAGGAACAGAAAACTAAATACTGTATATTCTCATTTATAAGTTTATAAGCTAAACATTGGGCACTCATGGACATAAATATACTGAGGACTTACTAGAAGAGGAGGGAAGGAGGGGGCAGGGGTTGAAAAACTATTAGGTAGTATGCTTAGTACTTGGGTGACGGGATTGTTTGTACCCCAAACCTCGGCATTATGCAATATACCCAGGTAACAAACCCGCACATATACATCCTCAAGCTAAAATAAAAGTTTAAAATGTTAGTTGAAGAATTGTGTAATGGGCTGGGTCCAGTGGCTTACACCTGTAATCTCAGCACTTTGGGAGACTGAATTGGGTGGATCGATTGAGGTCACGAGTTTCAGACCAGCCTGGCCAAAATGGTGAAACCCCATCTCTACTAAAAATACAAAAATTAGCTGGGTGTGGTGGTGGGTGTCTGTAATCCCAGCTATTTGTGAAGCTGAGGCGTGAGAATCACCTGAACCTGGGAGGCGGAGATTGCTGTAACTGAGATCATGCCACTGCATTCCAGCCTGGGTAATCTGGGTGATCGAAAGAGCCCTGTCTCAAAAAAAAAAAAAAAAAAAGAGAATCTAATGGATGAAAAATTATAATAAATATGTCTAAATACTCCTTTTAGAATATACGGCTAATAGGCTGGGTGCAGTGGCTCACGCCTGTAATCCCAGCACTTTGGGAGGCTGAGGCGGGCGGATCACGAGGTCAAGATATCAAGACCATCCTGGCCAACTAACGTGGTGAAACCCCGTCTCTACTAAAAATACAAAAATTAGCTGGGCATAGTGGCGCACGCCTGTAGTCCCAGCTGCTCGGGAGGTTGAGGCAGGAGAATGGCTTGAACCCGGGAGGCGGAGGTTGCAGTGAGCCGAGATAATGCCACTGCACTCCAGCCCGGGGGCAGAGCGAGACTCCGTCTCAAAAAAAAAGAAAAAAAAAAACCAAAAACAAAAAAAAAAGAATATACATCTAATAATGGGAAGATGTTTGCTTTCTGATTCCAAGGATTTGCGGTTTTAAATTGACTCTCGTTTAGCCAGCCTCAAAGTATTTAGGCTAGATTTTTAAAAAAGTTTGCATGGTACAGAGATTCTGCTTTAAACTGTTGTCAGTGCTATTACTTTACAGACAACTTTGTCTTGCTTTTTATGTCTCACCAGCTACATTATTGAGCAGGGGGTGTGTGATTTGGTTTTATGTGAAGCTGCCTTCCCTAAGACGTTGGCTTTTGCCTACCTAGAAGATTTGCACTCAGAATTTGATGAACAGCATGGAAAGAAGGTGCCCACTGTGTCCCGACCCTATTCCTTTATTGAATTTGGTAAGTTTTTGCCCCTCACTTCTCTCTATCAAGGGAGCAAACAATATGGAGAAGCTATTTGTTACACTGATATAATATTTATACATTTTTTCTGATGTTTACTTGCTGAAGTTTTAGCTTCTGCTTCCTTTTCCATTCCACTTCTTTTTGTCTTTTTGAGTGACTAAGGCTTTGTTCTGAAAAGTAATTTTCTCTAGTCTTTTGATCTTTCCTCCATAGAAATTGTTGCCTTTTGCCCTTTCTGTTATTTGGTTTGATTCTTCTTTAGAGTCACATGTGACAGGAACTTTGCTAAAGATCTACTTGATTGGCATATAATGGCTGAGTTCTTCTTTACCCCAGTCCACAGACTCACACTCACAATAAGGCTCATTTTATGGAGATCAGAATTGGGAAATCAGAAAGAATGATGTTTTGTTTCTTTTAGTAGAATAAGATCCTCTAATTAAAAAAACAAAACAGAACAAAGAAATAGAAGATACCTGGTACTCATGGTATTGGGGTATAATATTTACTACATTCAGGAATGGTGAGCATAGGTGTCTGTATTTGTACAAGAATTATAGAAAGACCAATTACTAATCAGACCTGGTAAAGTATCTGATGGTAAGGGATCAAAGGAAATGTCCTAAGTACAGTAAGTACAGGGAGTGAGAACAAGTAGGATCAGGCTATATCGCTGCAATTTTTAGTTAAAAGAGAAATTGGTTTTACTGGCTTAGAATTTTTGAAGTGTTTCAAGTTTGCTAGATAAATGGGTCATCTTGCTTTGGAAAAACACTCTAGTGTTTCATAACTATATACTCTCCAAGTGCTGCTTTATATAATGTCCAGTTTTTCAAATTTTATTTTTATAGACAGTAATACTCCCATAAACCTCCCTCAAAAAGAAGACAAATGTATCAGGGTCATACAGGAAACAGATGGCACACCCAAATTAGCTTAAGGGATTATATACAAAGATATGACTAGGCTGTAGGAGAATTACAAGGTACAGTAACCTCTGACCAGTAGCATACTGGTTGTTACCATCCCTAGGCCTGAATGTATAAGGGGGAGGAGCAGTTTCTGAAACTGAAAAGGAGAAAATTTCTAGAGAAGGCCAACTTGAGAGGAGCGTAACTTTTGGTAGAGGGATACTTCCAGAAGAAGGTTATTTCCTTCTCTGAAAGAAGCCAGGGGAATAAATACCCGGACATCACTCACTGTCTGTTCTCCTTCTTCCCTACTGTTGGGGCTTCTTCATTGCCTGAACCTAACTGGCACAGAGCAAGGAGTCTATTGAGGCGCTTCATCCAAGTCAGCTTCCCAGTGCAGAAAGCAAGGTGCAGGAGGGCAGAGAGGAGATCTAAAGAGGCAAATGAAAGGGGTACAGCACACTTAAATTAAGATTTTTGCCAAATGTTGAAAATATCTTTAATAATAAGTCGTTCTTCCTATAGTTTTGAGAAATACTGATATGAGCAAAAGATGGATGAGACTTCAGTTTTTATTTATTTATTTATTTATTTACTTAGAGACAGAGTCTCGCTCTATTGCCCAGGCTGGGGTGCAGTGGCATGATTTTGGCTAACTGCAACCTCTGCCTCCTAGGTTCAAGTGATTCTTGTGCCTCAGCCTCCTGAATAGCTGGGACTAGAGGTGCACGCTGCCATGACCAGCTAGCTAATTTCGGTAATTTTGGTAGAGATGGGAGTTTTGCCTTGTTGGCCAGGCTGGTCTCGAATTCCTGGCCTCAAGTGATCCACCCATCTTGGCCTCCCAAAATGCTGGGATTTATACGTGTGAGACACAGTACCTGGCCGAGACTTCAGTTCAGTTTTATATTGGTATTTTGGAAAACTCCCTATTACATACTTGCTTTACCTGAGGTTTAAGAATGGAATGAAACTGGGAATGTATATTAGAGAAAATAAGGTAAAGTTTCTCAGCTTTTTAATGATCATGAGCCCTTTTGCCATGTTAGGCTGTAATAATGCTAGAGTGTTACCAGCATCCTTTTAAGGAATGTGTAGAGGTAAGTAACACTTAGCCTAAGGGTCCTCAGAATACTGTTTGAAAATTTCTGTTTTCAGGAAAGGCTTACTATAGTGGGTCTTAATTTCTCTAAGGATTCTGATAGCAGCCTTAGATAGCAAATACTTCTAATTTAAAGGTATTCAAAGGACATTTCTCCTGAATGGTCGTCTAATTATACCTTTACATCTTACAAATGAAATAATCAAAGCCTAGATTTTGATATTCAACCAAGAGTTTGGTTAACCATGGACAGTGGCAAATCCAGGAATAAAGACAGAACTGTTTTGGTTTTTTTGTTTTTGTTTTTGAGACAGAGTCTTGCTCTGTCACCCAGGCTAAAGTGTGGTGGTGTGATCTCAGCTCAGTGCAACCTCTGCCTCCCAAGTTCAAGTGATTCTCCTGGCTCAGCCTCCTGAGTAGCTGGGATTATAGGCGTGTGCCGCCACGCCTGGCTAACTTTTTATATTTTTAGTAGAGACGGGGTTTCACTGTGTTAGCCAGGATGGTCTCGATTTCCTGACCTCATGATTCACCTGCCTTGGCCTCCCAAAGTGCTGGGATTACAGGTGTGAGCCACCGTGCCTGGCCAACTCAGAACTTTTAATTTCCTACCTCAGTACTTTGATGGCCATGAAAGAAATGGTCAGTTTTCTTCATCATTCTAGATACTTTCATTCAGAAAACCAAGAAGCTCTACATTGACAGTTGTGCTCGAAGAAACCTAGGCTCCATCAACACTGAATTGCAAGATGTGCAGAGGATCATGGTGGCCAATATCGAAGAAGTGTTACAACGAGGAGAAGCACTCTCAGGTATCTAAAAGCAATGAGTCTTATGAAGAAATGGTTCTCATTCCATAGACAAGGATAGCTTATTTTGCAGTGCCTTTTATGCTATTAGATTCTACCTAGAACTGTTAAGAATTTATCTCCCAGAAGTACATTACATTACAATGCTTCCAATATATTTTTTTTCCTAGCATGATTAGTTTTTGTTGAGTTGGAACAGTGTAAAGGACTCATCCATATTAGAAGCAATGATTATTTCTAAGATATTCACAAAATTAATTAAATTATATAACTTGTATAAATTAAGGGAAATGAATGAGAGAAAACTCAACAATGTATTGCAGTGGTTTTTTGAGTAGCCTCTTTGGGAGACTTTACTGCTGCCAGATCAATCTTTATAAAATGCCATTTTCATCAAAGCATTCCTCTCTGAAAAACTTTTAAATCTGGGACTACAAGATAAGATCCAGTCTGACTTATTTTTCCGTCAGTCAGCCATTGTTATTGAGAGCTTGTTATTTGTAAGGCGTTGTGCTCTACATATGGAAAATAAGGAAGATGCAAATGTCTGTCATTCTCTAGTTCACAAACATTCTTCTGTAGCCACACCAGCTTCTTTACTATCCTTAGTGGTCCTTAGAACAGAATACTGCCTTATGCTGGACCTGTTCTGTATGTAAGACCTCCATAAGAACTGTCTCTTTAAAGAACCTTTCTCTGATCCTTATAGCCTGTATCACATTAATCTCTTCTGTCCTTTAAACTCCTAAAGCACTTAGTAACATAATGGTTTTAGCACATATTACATGTATGTGTGTTTACCTAATTTACCTTAAATATATTTATTAAATACCTCTTACCATATTAAATATATATTTAATATATATTAAATATATTTCCATATAACATAAGTATATGTTTCATATATTTATATTAAAGTAGGCAAACATATTTGGATAATTAAATATTTTTATATAATTTCATATATTTTTTTGAGACAGAGTCTTGTTCTGTTGCCCAGGCTGGAGCGCAATGGCACGATCTTGGCTCACTGCAACCTCCATCTCCTGGGTTCAAGCGATCTTCCCACCTTATCCTCCTGAGTAGCTGGGGCTACAGGCATGTGCCACCACGCCTGGCTAATTTTTGTATTTTCTTAGTAGAGATGGGGTTTTGCCATGTTGTTCCGGCTGGTCACAAACTCCAGGGCTCAAGCAATCCACTCACTTCAGCTTCCCAAAGTGCTGGGATTACAGGCATGAGCCACAACACCCAGCCCTTTATATAATTTTAAAAGTGTAGGTAATTAGGTAAAATTAGGTTAAAAGTATATGTATATTTACCTGATATTTCAATATTACCTAAGTGTTTAATGTGGACATGTAAGCTCTTTAAAGATAGTGCTTATGTATTTTATATCTGTTTCACATACTCCTTATATATCCCCCACAGAAATGGTCACAAATAGGTTCCTTAATAAGTATTTTTGAATTCAGCCATGCTATATATTCATTAGTAAGTGAGTTTTCTTTTATTATGAACTACAAACTTTAACCTTTTTTTGAGTAGTGAGCAGTTATTCATTTACCTTCACACTCTTTAAATACCAAATTTTGAGTGAGTGAGTGTGTAAGGTTTTGTCATACAGACTTGCAATTCCTATATGGGATAAAGTAGACTAGCACAGGAATTTTTCTTGTATCACTCATGCAAGACTCTAAATTCCTTAAAGGCAGGGATCATGTATATTTTGATCACTGTTGTATCCTCAGCACTTCACATGGTGCCTGTCACATAAATATTTGTTAAATGACTTCTCCAAGCAATAGCTTTGTCTTTATGTTATCCTGTATTTCAAAACGTTCATATATAAATTCTCTCAACTATGACTTGTTTCATAGGGTCTAATAATTGTTCCTCTGCTGAGTTATTCTCAGCAGATTTAGATTCATTTAGCAAATGTTTATTGAGCACTAACTATATACCAGGCCCTGTTCTGGGCATTCAGGATATAGCAGCAAACACAATAATTTAAAATCCCTGTCCAGTGAAGTGTATATTCTTGTAGGCTCTGTAAAAAGATGCCCTGTGCATTGTCATGGTTATTTCTCAGTCCCTGACTCTTCTTCCGTCACTAGATGTTTTTCTTACTCATGTGATCAGTTGCTAATTCAGACGTGGCTGTCATGCCTGTGTTATTAAGTAACGCCATGTTTCCCAATCAAAACCAGTCTCTATTAAGCAACTCCAAATATTCCAAAAGCATTCTTTAAGGAAGAAACAGCCGGATTGCAAAATAGTTTTTTCTGAAATTTCAAGAAGTGAAAAGTTTGATCAGAATTTATTATGTCAAATGGAGAGTTTGTGTTTATTATTAAAATATGCCCTATATTTTAATATGGTCTAGCTTGTGTCTATCTGGCTATTTCTCTAAGTGTTTAGTTAACTGTTATAAGAAGATAACAACATTACAAATGTCCTTGGGGGTGAAAAAACTTGCCAGAAAATACTAAAAAGCTTAATTTACTTGCGTTTTTTTTTGTAGTACTTATTGTATTTTAGTTACAACTTTCCTATGTCTATTGAAATATAAATCCTGATAGCTTTAACTTCGTAGTAGTCTCTACTATGTGGAGAATCTTAGAAATGTTAGCAGTCATCATTGAAGTATAGCTTAAGACTGTGTTTGGTTAATTGAATTTTCTGGTTATCTGAGTTTGTTTTACATGGATTATCATTATCGTTTTTCAAAATATAAGAGAATATGATTCAGACCATTAGAAGATTATGAAGATAATAATTATTAACATGTAATAATTATTATAATTTATCATGTGCAGGCATTGTTGCTCACTTTACAGGCAATCTCATGTACATACAACTTTATGACATAGTTACTGTTATTATCCCCAATTATAGATGAAGAAACTAGGTTTTAAATAGGTTACATGACTTGACCAATGTCACATAACTTGTACAGGTGATATCTGAACCAAAGAGTCTGAGGCCAGAACCTGCACTTCTAACCACCTTACTATATAGCCTCAAAAATTCAGACATAATCTGATCAGCATCATCAGTTAATTAGTATATGCAATGTTAGCCTCAAAATAAAAATGATGATTTAAGATTCATGGTTGTTGCAGTGCTGCTCATTTTGGTTATTTTTAATGCCTTAATACTTTCGGTAAAATACTTCCAGGGACTAATTAATGTTTTCCTTTTTTCCTCTTTGACAGCATTGGATTCAAAGGCTAACAATTTGTCCAGTCTGTCCAAGAAATACCGCCAGGATGCGAAGTACTTGAACATGCATTCCACTTATGCCAAACTTGCAGCAGTAGCTGTATTTTTCATCATGTTAATAGTGTATGTCCGATTCTGGTGGCTGTGAAATAATGAATACAGTCACTGGTAAGGGAGAACCTAGAACCCAGTAGGTGTATATTTTCAGGAAACTGAGCTCACAGAGATGTGTATTAGAATCCAAGTGGAACTTCTGCCTCTAAAGACCTTGCAAGAAAAGAGATGTCCTGAAAATGAAAGGTTGCACCTCATTTAATGAAGCTTAACCCTATGTAGAAAGTCTCTTTCGGGGGCAGAGGCTTTCTCTGGGTGCCAAGCCATATATATTAGGGAATAGTAGATTGTTATTTCGTTTTTTCCCTCCCAGTGCATTTTAAAAACAGCACTGGCTGGGCATTCTCATTCTCTGATGGAGCCATCAATGAGATTTAACTTAGTCAACCTGTGCTAGCAACATTCTGAAATTCCTTCAAAGAAGGCAGTCCTTTGGGAAGGTGTTTTTTTTTTTTTGTTTTTTTGTTTTTTTGTTTTTTTTTGACTCTAATCAACATTCCTTTTGTTGGTGACATTTGTGATTTTCAGTAATCTGAGTTTTTGATGGCCTTTTAAACAAGACTCCAGTATGTGAAGGTTAATTGCTGTGCTCCACAGATCTTGTCTATTGGCCCCTGTAGAAAGTTAACCTTTGTTGTTTTCCTTTTATAATTTGCTTATTGCACAATTGCTTTAGGGTAAGTGAATTATATTAAGATGCCTTGAAATTATAGCACTCCTTGATTAAGAAGCTAAAATGTTTCTCTCATTTACTCCTTAAACAAAAGACTTAAATTAGTTTGGGTCATTATTACTTTTATTTTGCAGCATTTGGTTTGTTATTAGTGTAAGAGCAAGTATAGGATATGGAGAGGCCCCTGGCTTCATGAGAACAAAGGCAGGCCCAGGTTATAATTACAGCTTTCTCCTGCCCCTTCTTTACTTTCTCTACCACAGTTTTCTCCGCTGTTTGTTTTCCTCTTGCCACAATTTGCTAACACTTAAAAAATTTTCCTGCACCCAGTAGTTTCATATCCTGTAGACATCCTCTTAGGACATTCTCAAATTTCAAAATAAAAAATATTCATCTATGTAGTTAATTAAAGTTAAAGTTTCTGCAGATCAACTACTCAAACTACTAAATACATTTACCTGAGAAAAAGTCTCTGAGAGCACTTCATTCCTGTTTTAGTTCGTGTAAATTCTCTGAGAATGTTCTGGAGATAGATAACTCATTTACAGTGGTTTCTATTAACTAATTAAAGTACCCATGATTTTTTCCTTTTCTGCTCAGGGATGATGGAGATTTCCTTTTACCTTTTTTAATGGGGTAAATTTTTTAATGGGGAAAATAGGCCTTTTAAATATTATTGCCAGGGTCTGCAATATAACTTAAAATTCCTGTACATACTGCAAATATTTCTTTAAATTGCACAGGAAAATGAGCGAACTTTTTATTTCTTAATATCTTTGGCAAAAAACTTTAACCAGTAAGCAATTTTATAACCCTGAGGGATCATCAAAGATACTATCCTGATTCCTGGTAAGGAAAAATATATTATTTCCTTATAACAAGGCAAGGAGAAATGCTATTTTATTCCTGATAATTTATATAGCTAGAATAATTTTTTTCCTTTCTTTTATGGACCTAAATCTGCCAATTGGGAATTTTGTGCATGAAATATGAAGTTACTTTTTATAGATAATCAGTGCTTTTAAGTCCCTAAAAGGCTCCTGCTGAAGTAATGATGAAGTTCATAATAAAAGCCTTTGAAAGGCTGAAAACCTACATAGTGGTACCATAGTATTTGGAGCTTCTATAGGAGTGGAGAGGGGCAGCTCATTGTTGAGAGTTGCATGCTGCAACCTAATGGTCAGCAATGAAAGAAATACTTGTAGAATGTTCACTTCAGTGTGAAGTTTTGTTATCTAGTTAATTTATATACATATATCCTTTGTAGATACATTTCTATCTAATCTTGTTGAGCTAATTAAGAAATAAGGGGTGGGGTAATTGTCAACAAAGGGAGAAGAAAGTGGTTTAAGATCAGGGCAGCAGAAAAATTAGAGAACAAGAATATCATAATATGGCTCCTGGTTTTCTTTATAAGAGGCAGTGGGAAGATCTGACTAGATGAAATGTATCATCAACCAAACTGGCATCTAAAATAGAATGGGATAAATACTGTATGGGGTTATTGGAGGCATATTAAGAAAGGACACCTAATTTATTTTGGGAAGAAGTATGTTAAGAGAAGACTTTCTAGAGAAGGAGAATGGGGCATTCTAGGAAGAGTCAATGGCATGTGCAAAGGCATGAATAAAGACAGTGAGGCATGTTTTGGAAATGTAACAGCTTGATTCAGCTTAGCCCATAGGGTAAGCATAGACAACAGAGGAGACTTGAGGAATGAGAACTAGATGGGTACACTATCATAAAGGGACTTGTCTATCATGCTGAGGAGTTTAGACCATCTTAATGGTAGTGGCCAAGGATGGCATCAGATTTATAGTTTCAAGTGATCATAATATTGGCATAAAAGATATATTAGGGAGGAAGCCTGAAGTAGGGAGATGAAAATAAGGAGCCATCAAAGGCAGAATGAAACTTAGGCAGATTTCAAGTGATTTTCAAAAATGATGTGATCAGAGGTACCAGATAATAACTATTACATAACACTTTCTTTGTTAGGAGCTTATTTCTCACACTGACCAAAGCTTTTGAAGTAAGTACTCTTTACACCACTATATAAATAAACCTTACAAAGGATTCTGCTTTGAGGCATGAGAGAGTTAAGTCATTTGCCCAAAGTCACAGAGTTAGAAAGTAATAGAGCTAAGATTTGAACCTAGGCAGTTTGGCTCCAGAGTCTGTGCTCTTACACTATATTACCACCAAGAGGTCAAATAAATACCAAAGAATGTATTTTCGAATTTAACAATGAGGAACTTAATCATACAGGCAGAAGTAATTCCAGAGCACCGGAGACAGAAGCCAGATTGCCATATGGGTTAAAGAGTGTGTAAACCACTAGGAAGTAAAGACATAGAACTACTCTCACAAGTGCTTTTCTGGTTATTGTGACGCTGAACTTCATGGCTTGTTTTAATTAAGACATCTTACAAGTGTCAAAATTTGGAAATATTTGGACACTGTACACTCTGGTTATTTAAATATCTAACAGTGGTTCTTGAGCATTTTGAGAAACCTTTGAAAATCTGATGAAAGGTATGTGCCATTACTCTAGAAAAATGTTCCTGTGTACATGCACATCAAGTATCACATACTGTTTCAGGCTGTTCAAAGACTACAAAGTCTGTTCATGACCTAATGGTCCATGTTCCCTCAGTTAAGAGCTCCAGAGATAAAGGATGTGGAACTCAAAGGTAAGTACCCAGAGCCTTGAAAACTCCATTTGTGACTTGGAAGAATTCTACAATTTGAATTAACTTTGTGGAGAGAGATATATTTTTGAAAAATTGTGTGTACCAAAAAAATTTCATATCAAATAATATTTTCCTGTAGTGCATTCAAGGATCTGGTTCCACAGCAAAAAATTGTTTTGGTCTCAGTTCCTCAAAATCACATTTAAGGAGCTTGAGATTTATATTTTCTACTTAATAAGTCTTACAAAAGCAAGTTAAGAAGGAAAATGGACAATCATTTCTGCACATGTAGGGTTTAATAAAACATGTATAATGAAATATTTCATATTTTAAATTTCCACCTTATTGGTAGCTTTCATGACAAAGGGCTAGGGTGCTGGTGGCCATACAATTAAGGTTTTTGGTTAGTTAGTTAGCAGAACTAACTGACTCCTACCTGGTGGGTTTTTCTTTTGTTTGTTTGTTTGGTTGGTTGGTTTTTTCCCAGATGGCTCAGGAGGAAGGTAAATAGCAGTCATTGTATGTGTGACAGAGTTTGAGATAGAATGAGCATATTGAATCCCACATCCTGTTCTTATTACTGTCAGGCAGCGTTGACCTAGCAGTATAAAACTATCTGAAGCAATGTAGTCACTCAGTTCTCATAAAGTTTATTTCAAGTACTGTAACAATTCATGTTTGGATTAGAAAAGTCACTAGAAATTTGACTTCCATATAGTAATCTATACTTTTTTCTCTCATTTCCTTCATTTTTTGAGCCGTAAGTGTAAGGCATTTTGGTGGTATTATTACAATGGTTATGAGGAGTTTCTTTGCTTGCCCAAGGTCACATAGCTAGCAAGTTAAAGTAGATTCAAATCCAGGCCTGCTAGATACCAAATTATTATTTAAGAGTACTTTTCACTACTCCTAAATAATGACACAGATATGTTTGTCTTACACATTTCACTTTATTGTCAAGTTATTAGTATGTTTATTTTCAAAAGGTATTTTTTGCAATTTCTTTTTATTATTCCGTACTTTTTAAATTTACTTCATTATCACGTCTTCCTTTATTCTTTTTAAATAGTTTTTGCTTTTGTTATTTTGTTTTCCCTTTTTTACTCTTGGTTTGTAATACATCTTTCCTTATTTGCTCCTTTCTCATTTGATCTCAATGTTAATCCAACTGTTTTCCACATCTGATTCACTAAAATTTTAGCCCTTTAAAAAAAAATTCCTGTTTTTCCTATCTCCTTTTGCCCATTCTCTTCTCCTTGCCTCTCTTCTTTTATCTTTTTCCATTTTACTTTCATTTTTTGTTTCTCTAGATGTTGTTTTGACATATGAGTTAATGTACTGGTACAATTTTGCATCTGTAAATTAGAGCTTCAGAATCAACTGAGTGTATTTATTCTTTATTTTTAGGCCTCAATTTATCTTACCTTTTATTGATTTTATAATATACTATACTCTTTCATTTTAGTCTGCATATGTTAGCCAAAGAAGATATGCCCCTGTTTTAAGAAATCTCTGTAAAAAATGTCAAGTGTGACAAGAATTCTTCAAGAAACAAGCTCCTCTAGTTTGTCTTCTATATTTAGAGCTTCAACAGTTACCTATATTACTGGTAACTCCCAAATATACCTTCAAACTTGTTTTTTGGGCCCAAGTTTTTTGCTTCATAGATATCTGTTTTGAATATCCCATAAATAATTGCATCTAAAGCATACCTCCACTCCATTGTTCTCACAGATAAAACCAAACCTGTGCTGCTTCTTATATTTCTAGTATTTAAGCGTCACCTGCCACCCCTTTACCTGAGCTACAAGTCACGCATTGCATTAGACTCCTCTGCTTTCTTCTTTCACCTCTAACTAGACTATTCACCAAAAATTTTTAAATATAACTTTCAAAAGGTATTTTATTACATCATTTCCATCCTTTATGTTTGGGTTCGAGCCCTCATTAACTTTAACATGGATTCTTGGAGTACCCTCCTTACTGATTTTGTTACACGTGTCCCTCTTTTAGTCAGTACTACCATGATAATACCATGGATAATAATTTTTTCATTTTTATTTTTAGTCTTGCTCTGTCGCCCAGGCTAGAGTGCAGTGGCGCGATCTCAGCTCACTGCAACCTCCACCTCCCGGGTTCAAGTGATTCTCCTGCCTCAGCCTACTGAGTAGCTGGGATTACAGGCACCTGCCACAGCTCCTGGCTAATTTTTGTGTTTTTAGTAGAGATGGAGTTTCACCGTCTTGAACTCCTGACCTCATGATCCACCCTCCTCGGCCTCCCAAAGTGCTGGGATTACAGGCATGGGCCACTGCGCCCGGCCAATAATTTTTCTTTTTTTTGTGCTAATCATACTACATTTTCTTTAGAATAAAAGATCACATACTTCAGTTTGCCATTCGCAGTCTGGCCCCATTGTGCCATTCTAGACTTACCTCCTGCCACTCCCCACCAGCTTTGTTTTGTCTTAGCCACACAAAATAATCTAGCGTCTCTAACCAGTCAAACATTTTACCTTGTGCCTTGGCTCACTCTGTGCCTTTTCTCCAGAATATCTTTCTGTGTACTTTTCTCCCATCCTTTTACCTTTAAACCTGCTGCTATGGTTTGGATGTTGTTTGGCCCCTCCAAAACTCACGTTGTAGTTCAATTGCCAATGTAATAGTGTTGGGAGATGCTGCTTTTAAGAGGTAATTAGGTTGCTAAGATGGATTAACATCTTTCTCTTGACACTGAGACTGGGTTCTCCTGGGAATGGTTAGTTCCCAAGAGAGTGAGTTGTTATAAAACAGTGCTGCCTCTTCTATTTTGCGCTTTTTGTTTGCACAAACTCGGTCCCCTTCTGTTTCTCTACGATGTTTTGATGCAGCATGAGGCAGTCATGAGAACCCACCAGATACAGCTGCCTGATCCTGAATTTCCCAGCCAACAGAACCAAGTGCTAAATAAAACTCTTTTTAATAAGTTACCCACTCTCAGGTATTCTATTATCGCAACAGAAAACAGTTTAAGACACCTGCTAGGCTCCTAACCTTGAGGGGCTAGAAAACAAAGCCAGAGGTCCAGTACCAGCCTCCTCAGAGTTAGAATACACAGCTCATGAGTGCTGAGCTCAGCCTTGGCCCCTACAATCTTCCAGAAATGAGGCCACTTGGCTGAGCCCATTATATGCAACATTCAGACCC
This sequence comes from Homo sapiens, assembly GCF_000001405.40. Taxonomy (NCBI): domain Eukaryota; kingdom Metazoa; phylum Chordata; class Mammalia; order Primates; family Hominidae; genus Homo; species Homo sapiens. Next base: position 148,766,122 of record NC_000001.11, on the reverse strand, counting down.
CCAAGGGCATCAAAGAAGACAAAAGCAGAAAAACCTATCCAAGAAACAGCAACTTCAAAGGTTGAAGCAACATCAGACCACACAGGTGAGAACCAGCACAAGAACTCCGGCAACTCAGAAAGCCAGAGTGCCTTCTTACCTTCAAGCAACTGCGCTATTTCCCCAACAGTGGTTCTTAACCAGGCTGACATGACAAAAATAGAGTTCTGAATATGGATAACCTTGAGGAACATAGATGCAAAAATCCTCAACGACTCAATTTGCTGGACTAGCAAACCAAGCCCAGCAGCATGTCAAAAACGAATCCACCACAATCAAGCAAGCTTTATCCCTGGGATGCAAGTTTGGTTCAACATATGCAAATCAATAAATGTGATTCATCACATAAACAACTAAAAACAAAAACCACATGGTCATCTCAATAGATGCAGAAAGGGCTTTCAATAAAATTCAACATCCCTTCATGTTAAAAACCCTCAGCAAACTAGGCATTAGAGGAACATACTTCAAAATAAGAGCCATCTATGATAAGCCCACAGCCAACATCATACCGAATGGGCCAAATGCTAGAAATACTCCCTGTGAGAACCAGAATAAGACAAAGATGCCCACTCTCACCAATCCTATTCAACATAGTACTGAGAGTCCTAGTCAGAGATAACAGGTTAGAGAAAGAAATATAAGACATCCAAGGAAAAGAGGAAGTCAAACTATCTCTGCAGACAATATGATTCTGTAGAAAACCCCATAGTCTTTGCCTAAAAGCTCTTTGATCTGATAAACAATTAGCAAAGTTTCAGGATACAAAATTAATGTACAAAAATTAGTGGCATTTCTATACACCAATAGCATTCAATCTGAGGGTCAAAATCAAGAATGCAATCTCATTCACAATAGCCACACACACACAAAAATACCTAGAAATATAGATAACGAGGTGAAAGATCTCTACAAGAAGAATTACAAAACACTACTCAAATCAGAGATGACACAAACAAATGGAAAAAGATTCCATGCTCATGGATAGGAAGAATTAGTGTTGTTAAAATGGCTGTACTTCGCAATGCAGTTTATGGATTCAATGCTATTCCTATGAAACTACCAGTGACATACTTCACAGCATTAGAAAAAAAAACTTTTAAAATTCATATGGAACTTAAAAAAGAGCCTGAATAGCCATAACAATCTTAAGCAAAATGAACAAAGCTGAAGGCATTACACTACCCAATTTCAACTATACTACAAGGCTTCGGTAACCAAAACAGCAGGGTACTGGTACAAAAACAGACACATAGACCAATGGAACGGAAAAGAGCCCAGAAATAATGCTGCACACCTATGATCTGATATTTGAAAAAAGTTGACAAAAACAAGCAATGAGAAAAGGACTCCCTATTCAATAAATGGTGCTGAAATAAGTGGCTAGCCATATGCATAAGATTGAAACTGGACCCCTTCCTTATGCCATATACAAAAATCAACTCATATGAAGTAGAGACTTAGATATAAAACCTAAAACTATAAAAGCCGTGGAAGATAGCCTGGGAAATACTATTCTGGAATAGGACCTGGCAAAGATTTCATAACAAAGATGCCAAAAACAATTGCAACTACAACAAAAATTGACAAATGGAATCTAATTAAAGAGCTTTAGCATAGCCAAAAACAAACAAACAAAACAGTGAACACGGTAAACAGATAACCTACAGAATGAGAGAAAATATTTGCAAACTATGCATCCTAGAGAAGTCTAATATCCAGAATTTATAAGGAACTTTATAAGCAAAAAACAACCTCATTAAAAAGTGGGCAAATGACACGAACAGACATTTTTCAAAAAGACATACATGTGGCCAAGAAGCATATGAAAAAATGTTCCACATCACTAATAATTAGAGAAATGCAAATCTAAACCACAATGAGATACCATCTCATACCAATCAGAACGGCTATTAAAAAGTCAAAAAGCAATAGATGCCGGCGTGGTTGCAGAGAAAATGGAACACTTATATAGTGCTAATGGGAATGTAAATTCGTTCAGCCGTTGTGCAAAGCACTTTGGTGATTTCTCAAAGAACCGGCAACAATTACCACTCGACCCAGCGATCCCATTATTGGATATATACCTAAAGGAATATAGATTGTTCTGCCATAAAGACACATGCACGCATATGTTCATCGCAGCACTATTCACGATAGCAAAGACATGGAATCAACCTAAATGCCCATCAGTGGTAGTCTGGATAAAGAAAATGTGGTACACGTACACCGTGGAATATACACAGCCATAAAAAAATAAGATTATGTTCTTTGCAGCAACATGGATGGAGCTGGAGGCAATTATCCCAAGCTAAATTATGTAGGAACAGAAAACCAAATACCGCATATTCTCACTTATAAGCGGGAGCTAAACATTGAGTACACATGTACACAAGGGAACAACAGACACCAAGACCTACTTAACGGTAGAGGGTGGGAGGAGGGAGAGGACAGAAAAACTACCTATTGGGTACTGTGCTTATTACCAGGTAACAAAATAATCTGTACACCAAAACCTTAAAGAAAAGTGTTTTAAAAATGTAAAATAAAGCATATAGCAAAACAAACAAGACACCTGGTAAAGTTCTGCTCTTCCTTCAAAGACCCAGCTCAAATGTCTCTTTCATAAAGCCTCTCTGACATTCTCATACCCCCCTTCTCTCTGACCTGGGAGAAGCTGTGTTTTCATTCTCCCACAATAACTTGTTCATATTTCTATTATAAAACCTACAAATTTAAACTAGCTGTCAGTGCATACTTGTTTGTCTCCTTGGCTATGTGCCTCATGAGATGCCTGGGATAGAGATCAATTATTATTCAATTTGAATCCTTGGCATTGGGTGCGGTGGCTGACACATTGGAGGTGGGCAACAAATATTCGTGGTATAAGTTCATTGAATTACAGAGATGTATGCATAAGTTTTTTGGAACTGGGTTTCATGAATCATAGGTACACACAATTTGAATAAAAGAAGGAAACAAAGTGGGGCAAAAGGGTGTAGGTCTAGTAATGAAATGGGAAAAGAAAGGCACATTGAAAAGTCGCAACAAAAGAGAGAACCAGTACAATTATATCAACATATAGTAAACACATTGGAGAAGGGAAAACAATACAGCAAGTGAAATTGATTCTTTGGTGGCAGAAACAATTGAAAGGTATGGAGGCAAAGAAGGAGGAGAAATTAAGGCATAGAGATAAATTAGACTTGGGGAGAAAGCACAGAAGTCAAATATAGCAACAGATCTTGGACTGGGAATGTTTCCAATTGACCATTATGCTTACGATTACTTTTATGTTGTGGAGACAATATTTAAGGAGCATTTCAGATCTGTTAACTAATTTTTTGAAAAAGTGACTCCAGTTCACTGATAAATACCTTGACCAATATGCCATATAAAGTAAGAAATATTTTACCGTACCCAAGAAACTGGTTTTACTGGCTTAGTTTTGACCAACTGATGGCAATTTGTACTTGCTAAACTCCCAATTTTTTACTTGCTGGTTGTGTAGGTAGGCAGTGAGGTTTGTTGGACTGGGCATGCAGGGACAAGCAGTTAGGCCAATACATGGACTGAAGATTATATCTATTTTTCTGCCTTTTGTTTAGCTATTTGCATAAATATACAGAGTGGGTTTATTTGCACACTTAGAGCTTTAGAATAAAAGAACTTTGACTTTCAAATTGGTTTTTCTTGATTTTTTAAAATTTTTATACTCCACTTTTTCTTCCGTCTTTCTCAAACTCATTTTTCCCTAGTAGCAGAGTTGAGACTTAATATTACAAAACTCTGCTTGCTTTAAAGAATCTAAGAAGAAGAAGAAGAAGAAGAAAAGACACTAAAGAACTTCCAAGCAGAAGTTTAAGAAGTTCTGCTATAGCCCATCCACTCGTTTGTGGAATTTAAATATATCCGTTTTTGCCACAATAACAGCGTAGCCTTGCTAGAATCATATACAAAGCAGCAGATTTCTTTCTATAAATTACTGGACACTGTGGTGTAATGTAGACATTGCTGAGGAGGGATGTAACTGCAACAGAAACAAATTACTTACATTGCATGCAGTAGGGAAGTGGGTGAAAAGAGCATTGAACTCTGAGTCGGGAGACGACTTCAAGGCCCAGCTCAGCACTCTAGCAGAACTTTAGGTAAGTTTTTTAGACACTATGTACTTCAGTTTCCCCATGTGAAAATGAGAATAACGTCTGTTCTGCCTACTTCACTTGAACTATTTGAGGATAAAAGAAGGTAAAATGCAATAATGGTCATGAAGATTTTATAAACCTTGAAGTGATGTACAAGTATACCATACTGTTTCACTTTTATTACTATTATAACTGTTTAAAAAAGCATTTGTGACCAGTACAATCCTGGCTTTTCTCTGGAGACTAACATCCAGTTTCATAGTTATTTTACTTTTGATAGGGAAAAGGGAATTATTCCTGTTATATATTGCAATATTTAGGATCCTCTAGCAATTTCTCAGGCTATGACTTCATGTTCCCAGAAGAGGGCAGCAACACTCCAAAGGCTCTGCCTTTTCCTCAATTAAAATGTCTAAAGCAGTTTTTCCTTGAGAGGAAAAGAACTATACTGTAAAGAATAGCCCTTTAAAAATGATGGTATTTAGGTGACAAAGCTAATCCTATTACAATAAATATAACATTCATTCCAAATAAGATTTTTCCTTTTCTCTGTCCTGTGAAGAAAATAATTGACTGTTTCTTCAATCTCATGTTAATTATTTGACTTATATTTCCAGAAACTCCTACCCATGTTTTTCCATTTAACTCTAGATTTGTAGATCCTACTTAGCACCAGTTTTTAAATAAATTGTTTTGTATGTGTAAGAGAAAAGGTGTTCAGGCCTGATTTATAGTTTAGGATGCCTACCTAAGTCCAAAGAGTGATCCTCAGCAGTGTCTAAATGTGTTCCTATCATAGAGTATATGTTTGTCATTCAGATAAAATGTTGTCTACATCTAATCTTTCTCATTCTTTCATTATTCAAATATCCCCGTGCCTTTCTATCTTTAGTCAGTGAATTATCTTGTAATGACAAGAGCAGCTAACATTTGAACTGTTCTTAACTCACTTAGGCCGGAGGTTGCAATTTTTTTTTGTCAAAAAATCAGACCTTGGTGATAACTTGAGCAGTAGGCTATAAGTAACTAGTAGGCTAGCCTACTATAAGTAGGCTAGGCATATTAATAGCGTATAAGGTGCTCTCACAGACATGTTTTCCCTTTGATACTCACCATAGCCCTGTGAAGTTGATAGCTACTATCCCCCATTTTACAGATAAATTTTCTAATCTGTAATCAAAATAGCTGCTCTTTGCTTGAAGAAAAAGTCCAGAGGGACACCCTATATGTCAAGAGAGCTCCAGGGGGTGGGTAATTTCTTTCATAATTGCTAGAAGAGCCAATTCTGAATATGAGGCTTTTTCTGTCTGCTTTATTACAACCAGAGATGGAATAGGAAGGCTTTCAGTTACAGTTTATCAATTCCTTCTGCTTTTGCCAGTTAATCTCTAGCTTTACTCTTTTGAAAAAACTACCTGTTTCCCACTCCACTTCTGCTACCACCACTACCAAGTCAGAGTCCTCTTTCTATTCCAGCCAAACCTCTTCCTGTTCTTGAGAATTGCATCACATTCTTGGCTTAACGTAACCAACACCCCCACATTGGCACCAGGGAGTGTGTAGCCCTTCTTTATTGGCTGAAAGTTCTTGTCTGGTGAGCATGGAATAAGTCACTCACTTCCTGAATTTCAGCCCTGGCTAAATTTGCTTCTGGAAAAACATATATATATTCCTCAGATTTTTGTCTGTTGGTTTGCAAATCTCCTTCACTCCAGCCCTGTCCTGGAATGAGCAAGATTTACCAAATAGGGACAGCGTGAAAGGGAATTTAGAGGGTAGAGGTAGAGGGAAAAGGAATAGTATGTGTAGCTTGCTGAATGAGATGTCTGCTCTTGCTGTTTCCATTTCTTCACTTCTCAAACAATTTTTAACCCAATCTAAACTGGCATCAGCTCCCATTGTATTGAAAGGGCTTTCACTCAGGACACTAACGCCCCCCCGCCACCTCCCATATTACTAAATCCAGTGGATACATCAGCCTTGATCTTACTTGGCATCAGGGTAGCATGTGATGCTTTTGGTCACATCCTCTTTGATAGATTCACTCTTCCTTTGCACTATTATTTTTTCTCTATCTTAGTCATGGGTCTTCAGCATCCTGTGCAAGCTCCTCTTTACTCCTAAAGTACTGGTGTTCCTCAGAACCCTGTTCTATATCAGCCTCTTTTCTCTCTAAACATTTTCTGTGAGAAATATCATCCCTTTCCATGGCATTATTGAGATCCATCTGCCAATTATTTCCAAATCTCTATCTTCCCTGACCTCTTTTGACTGCTTTCTAGAACTTCTTCAATTAGAAATTCCTGAAAGCCTGTTAACCAACTCCCTCCCTCAAACCTATTCCTCCAATAATGCTCCTCATCCAAACATATGCCACACCATCTACCCAGTTTTTCTAGGCAGAAATGTAGGATTCATCCTTAATGCCTCTTTTGCTCACCTTCCACATTCAGTCAATAACCAAATTCAGTATAATCTACATATTTGAATCCATCAGTTTCTCCCTGTCCCCACTGGCCTAAGTGATCACCATCTATGTGGCGTTTTGCACATCCCTTTGCTAGTTTCCTGCCCCCAGGTTTTCTCCCCTTGGATCATTTTCCACTAACCACTAGATGGTTCTTTATGTAAATGCAGTTCTGTAAATTCACCACTTGTGTTTAAAATCCTTTAGTTGCTTCTCACTGTCCTTAGGATGGAGTCCGAACTTCTTATCACGGTTCATAAGCCTCTCATGATCAGTAACTTGCCATCAGTCTGAACTCCACTCACACTGACCTCCAGTGTTTCAAACATACCCTGCTTCCTTTTGCCTCTAGGCCTTCACAGATGCTGTTTCCTCTGCTCGGAGCGTTCTACTGTAGGGCCTCTAACATCTGTAGACTAAATTCTAGCCTCAAATTATCAGTTATCTTATTCCTGAATCAGAACTGAACTGGGATTCTTAATATTTTTTTTATTAATTCTTGAATTAAAGCCAGGATTTATATTATCCTATATATTTCTTTGAAAAATGCAAAGATATTTTCTAATGAAACTGTATTTGAACTAATTAACTTAGGGTTCAGTTTTTAAAAATCATAGCTGAATGTAAACTGGAACGTATTTTTTTTCATGGTACTGGAATGTTTTCTTGGTTGTTATTCATCATGACATTCTAGCTTTGGAATTTTTCATTTCCAGCTGACTTCTAGCAGTCTCCTTTCTTACCTCTCAACCCCTTACACTCTGGTTGCCCTATACTTGCCCCTAGATGGATCCAGTTTGCATGCAGTGGTAGTTGCTGTGAGGCTGCGGTTAAATAGAGCTGCTCAGACTGCAACAGGAAAGCATTGAATCGAAAGCAAAGGGGAGGAAGCACAAACCGATACCCACCACAAAGCTGCTGAGTGCCCAGCATGACCCAAGCCGCACCCTCTGATGAGGAGTCTTGTGGAGGAGTAAGAAGCCACAGACTTTAATAAACCATCAGCACAGCCTGTCCTCCACTTCCCTGGTCCAGCCTTCCCGGATCACCATGAGTATCACCGGGTACTGACCTAAGAAGCTGGGTGATGACAGAAAAGTGACCAGAAATGTAGAGTCCAGAGGAAGGTACCCGAAATGAATGACTGTAGACCATTTTATCTCAAACTCCCTACACAGTCAAGCGTGGTGAGCACGAAGGTCCGGGGCATGAGAATGTTTCTGAGGAGCTCCCTGCTTGGGGTGATTCCCAGATGAAGACTCCTAAAAATGTTCCCTAAAAATGCCTTTGCTACCTCCCTGAAAGGCTGCTTCTAGTAGTGGCCAAAACAACTTATAAAAATTTTGTAACTAAAAATAAAGCCCTTGCGAGATACAGTTAAGAGAACTTTAAACATACACTAAGGTACGATGACTATTTTTAGATTCCTGACTTCAATGGAGGGAGGAGAAAGGAAGGAGATGGAGCAGCAAAGACATGTGTTACCTACTTGATTTTGCTCATGGCCTACCCTGTTTACATCTGTCCCTTTTGCTATCAAAGGAGATATTAAGGAATTATAGGAAAGGGAATGAAAAGTGTGGAAAAATATATAGGAACTAAGTACAGATTTTAAACACCGGTAAGGTGGAGAACTCCTTGGAAATCTAGAGCTTCACAGTGGCTCTATAATTCACCTGCTCAGGTTCACTACCTCAGAATCTAAGAAGGTGAGATCTGGGCCCTACTTTTGCAGCTGGAAGGTCAGAACACAAAGAATGGAGGTGACTGACTCAGTCTGGAGGAAAGGTTGCTTGGCTTGGCTGGAAGTGGGCACTTGTGTCATCATAGAGTGCCAACCTCACACTTCAGATAACAGAACAGGAAATATTGTTAGTTCAGATGGGAGAGCAGAGGACTGACTGTGTATCCAAGACCATTAAGTTATTCAGTCACCTCTTTGTGTTGTACTTTCTATCCTACAAGGGACCAGAGCTGGCTGTGGGGAGCTTGGGCAATAGATGAAGCAGGCCATCAGGCCAGTCCCTGTTCCTTGCAGCTTTCTTCTCCCTTCTATCACGTTCAGCTTCTTTAATCTGCTCAACCCAGAAAGTCTTCCAAGATTGACATCATTACCAAAGTTTAAATGGAAGAATCTCAGGCATTTTGATAGGAGACAGGGGTGACAATTCTGGAGTAGAGGAACTGTCTCTCACAAGGCCTCTCTACTACAAGTGGTAAAAATTTGTGCTTTATTTTAACAACCACAACAACAGTGAATTGGAAAGGATCTAATAACAGAACAGAATTTGTAGTCAGACAACTTTGTTTTGAAACTATTCTTCCTTTCTTCCCTTCCTCCCTCCCTCCCTTCCTTCTTTCCTTCCTTCCTTTCCTTCGGAAAGGAAAGGACAGGGAGGATAGCCATAGAATGGGAAGCTCCTTAGACCTCAGAGGAATGCCGCAAGCTTCCCAAGTCTGAGTGCCTGCCCAGAGTTTGCCTACTTTCTTCAGTAGTCAAGGATATTCCTCAAGTTGTGTTTAATATCTATGCATGAGCCAAACTGTGGTAGGTGGGTGACTGCATTCCCCAGGTGCAATCTTTCAGCATGTGACCTGATGTAGTACATTACATTCCTTAGACAAGGAAAAAATAGCGATATGAATGCAAAGAGGGGGAGGCAGAGAGTGTAAGCTACTCTAAAACACTTAGTTATGAAAGAAGAAAGATTGGCTAGAAAGCATGTATAATAAGGAATGAATTCCATTTTTTTAATTGAGAGAGGTTCAGGAATGTTTATATACTTGAGGAAAAAGCATAGTGAGAGATCTTAACAAGTCACTTCATTCCTAAGCTTTGATACCCTCATCCGAGGTGAGGAGGAGAGGAGAAGAGTTTCTATAAAGATTAAAATTGAATTAAAATCATATGCACAGTAGTGGCTTATATGCCACAAAGCCCTTTACACATGTTAATTTTTATAACTATTATCATCTAGTGACTGTACAGATGAGTAAGCCCTGGTCACAGCTGTTCTATATTTTCTACCCTATATGACAGAGCTGTCAAGAGGAGACAGGCTCTTGAGTAGGCAGGGCTAAGACACATAAATAAGAGGCTAACACTGGTGTGATTTGTATCTTGACATGCTTTGAGCTTTTGGAGGATGGTGTGTGTATGTGTCTGACTTACTAGACGCAATGAGTTACCATTTATTTCAACTTGCCCTGTATTCTTATTTTAAAAATCTTACTTAAAACATGGACACATGTCAAATCCAACATGTCTCTAAAAAGAGCTAATGTTTGGAGAAAATTTTAGAAATATTCACAAACTATGCATCTGATAAAGGTCTATTCAGAATCTATAAGGAACTTAAACAATTCAACAAGCAAAAAATAACCCCATTAACAAGCGGGCAGGCCAGGTGCAGTGGCTCACACCTGTAATCCCAGCACTGTGGAAGGCTAAGGCAGGTAGACTACTTGAGGTCCGGAGTTCAAGACCAGCCTGGCCAAGATGGTGAAACCTCCCCTACTAAAAATACAAAAATTAGCCAGGTGTGGTGGTGCACACTTGTAATCCCAGATACTCGGGAGGTTGAGGCAGGAGAATCGCTTGAACTCGGAAGGTGGAGACTACAGTGAGCTGAGATGGTGCCACTGCGTTCCAGCCTGGGCGACAAAGTAAGACTCCGTCTCAAAAATAAATAAATAAATAAATAGAATACATTTAAAAAGTTGGAAAAGGACATGAACAGATACTTTTCAAAAGAAGTCATACAAACAGACAACAAACGTGGAAAAATACTCAACATCACTAATCATTAGAGAAATGCAAATCAAAACCACGGTGAGATACCATCTCACACCAATCAGAATGGCTATTATTAAAAAGTCAGGCCGGGCTCAGTGCCTCACACCTGTAATCCCAGCACTTTGGGAGGCCGAGGAGGATGGATCACCTAAGGTCAGGAGTCTGAGACCAACTTGGCCAACATGGTGGAACCCTGTTTCTGCTAAAAATACAAAAATTAGCCGGGTATGGTGGCACATGCCTGTAATCCCAGCTACTCAGGAGGCTGAGGTAGGAGAATTTCTTGAACCCGGGTGGCAGAGGTTACATTGAGCCAAGATCGCACCATTGCACTCGAGTCTGGGTGATAGAGCAAGACTCTGTCTCAAAAAAAAAAAAAAAAAAAAAAAAAAAAAAAAAATAGTCAAAAGCCACAGTTGCTGGCGAGGCTACCAAGAAAAGGGAATGCTTATCTATTGTCGGTGTGAATGTAAATTAGTTCAGCTACTGTGGAAAAGTAGTTTGGTGATTTCTCAAAGAACTTAAAACAAAATTACCGTTCAACCCAGCAATCTTCATTACTGAGTATATATCTAAAGGAAAATAAACCATTCTACCAAAAAGACACATGCACTCACATGTTCATCACAGCACTATTCACAATAGCAAAGACATGGAATCAATCTAGGTGTTCATCAACAGTGGATTGGATTTTTTAAAATAGGGTATATACATAGCATGGTATAATACACAGTCAAAAAAATGAGTGAAATCATATCCTTTGTAGCAACATGGATGGAGCTAGAGGTCATTATCCTGAGTGAATTAAGGCAGAAACAGAAAACCAAATGTGTTAGTAAGATCTCACAAGTGGGAGTTAAGCATTGGGTACTCATGGACATAAAGATGACAACAATAGGTACTGGGGACTACTAGAGGCAGGAAGGAGGAAGGGGGACAAAGCTTGAAATACTTACCTATTGGTCACTATGCTCATTATCTAGGTGAGGGGATCATTCACACCCCAAACCTCAGTGTTATGCCATATACCCATGTAACAAACCTGCACATGTACTCCTGAGTCTAAAATAAAAGTTAAAATTATTTTTTAAAATAAATAAATAGATCGGGCGTGGTGGCTCACGCCTATAATCCCAGCACTTTGGGAGGCTGAGGCGGGTGGATCACTTGAGGTTAGGAGTTCAAGACCAGCCTGACCAACATGGTGAAACCCCATCTCTGAAAAATACAAAATTAACTGGGCGTGGTGGCATGCTCCTGTAATCCCAGCTACTTGGGAAGCTGAGGCAGGAGAATTGCTTGAACCCAGGAGGCAGAGGTTGCAGTGAGCTGAGATCGAGCCATTACACTCCAGCCTGGGCAACAAGAGTGAAACTCCATCTCAAAAAAAAAAAAATTAAAATTAAAAAATAAATAAATAAACAAAATTAAAAGTTGCCATGTTGAAAAACACTAATCCATCTTGAGATGCAAGGATCTGTACAAATAAGACTATATACATGAACTTCAGGTTACATAAAGGAGCAGTTTCTGTTTGTAGGTGGGGGGAGTAAACTTTTTGTGTTTCTTTCTGGCTCATTGCAGGATCACATTATAATTTTGCTTTGATACAAATTTGGCAACAGGAATCATAATTCTTTTTCCAACTGACTACAGTGCTTGTATACTTTTAACGAATAATCGCTGTGAGTTGTACAAAGCCTTATATATTCAACAAATCAGTGAAGTTTTTATCCTCTTAATATTTACTTTGTAGCTTTGCTTTGAACCACCTCAGCCCCAGTTCTACACAGTTGGCAGTAAAGATATCTGCAAATTCCACTCCCCCATTTCCTTTCTGTTTTGCCCTTGGTTTTTCAACAGTGAGATGATTGTGCCTTCATTTCTGGGTGCATCCCTTCACTTATTCCTTATTTCCCTTCTCCATCCCTTACTCCTTCCTTCTCTTCCCCAGGCCTTCACAACCTCTAGATTTTATTACTAGCAACTTCTTAGGCCAATCCCATAGCATGCTCCTTCATGCATTACATGAACAAATTTTTTGAGGGTGCTGAACCAAACAATCAGGTGTCTTTTTTCAAGAGTGAACAAGAAGCCACTTTTTAAAAACAGTTTTACTGAGATATAATTTGTATTCTATAAAATTCGCATTTAAAGTGTACAATTCAATGGTTTTCAGTATATCTATTTAGCAGGGCACCCGTCACCATAATTAATTTTAGAATATTTTCATCATCTCCAAAAGAAACCTTATATTCATTAGCAGTCACTCATCAATTCTGTTCTCCCATACCCCACCCCTTTATTCCCTCTAGTCCTAGACAAACACTAATCTGCTTTCGGTTTCTATGGATTTGCCTATTCTGGACATTTTATATAAATGAGATCATATAATATGTGGTCTTTTGTGACTGGCTTCCTTCACTTAGCAGAATGTTTTTGAGGTTCATCTATATTGTGGCATCTATCTGTACCTCATTCCTTTTTATTGCCAAATAATATTTCATTGTATGGATATTTCACATTTTGTTTATCTGTTCATCAGTTGATGACAAATGGATTGTTTCTACTTTTTGGTTATTGTGAATAAAGTTTCTGTGAACATTTGTGCACAAGTTTTTGTATGGAAATATGTTTTCATTGCTTTTGGGTAGATTCCCAAGATAAAAGAATTGCTGGGTCATATGGTAACTCTATTTTTAGCATTTAGAGGGACTGTCAAACTTTTCCAATGTGGCTACACCATTTTACTTTCCCACTAGCAGTGTATGAGCTTTCCAATTTCTCCACATCCTTACCAACAATTATTATTTTCTGCCTATATTATTATAGCCATTCCAGTGGGTGAAAATTGATATCTCATTGTGCTTTTGATTTATATTTTCCTAGTGACTTTTCATGTGCTTATTTGCATATTTTTCTCTTGAAAAATATCTTGTAATCCTTTGCCCATTCCCAACTTAGATCATTTGTCATTTCTTATTGATTTGTGTTTTTTATATTCTAGTCCCTTAACAGATAGTATAATTTGCAAATATGCTCTCTGATTCTGTGGGGCTGTTCTTTCACTTGTTGGTGTCCTTGAAGCACAGAAGTTTTTCATTTTGATTAAGTTCAACTTATCAACTTTTTTTCTCTTTTATTATTTGTGCTCTTGATGTTGCATCAAAGAAATTACTGCCTAACTCAAAGTCACAAAGATTTACTGCTTAACTCAGGTCAAAAGAGTTAGTTTTCTTCTAAAAGTTTTATATTTTAGCTTCTTTTTTTTTTTTTTTTTCATTTTTTCCATTTTTATTTGATGTTTCCAAATATAAAAAAGTCAGGATGCTTACATCAATTATCTCAAATGAGACCATGCAAAGCAATTCAGTGTATACAACAATCATTTTTCCCCTTCAGTTCTGCTGCTTTATACAACAGTGTGATTGACAGAAAATTGGATGGCATGTGCCTGGTCAGAAAATGTCATCTGTTTACAAAATAACATCATGCAGCACAGTTTCTACTTTGTCTGCAAGTCAATTCACAAAAACTACTTATTTTCTGTTTTTTATTTGGGAGGCACATGGAACTGAAAAATTTAGCTGCCCAATTTTATTCAACTACCCCACCAAAAAAAAAAAAAAAAAATCACAAATGACAGTCCCAACACTCTGCAAATTTTGGAGGGTTGAGATAGTAGACACTATTTGTCATACTCAGCAGAGTTAACTATTTAACAGAAATAAATCTCCCTAGGGCCTTTCCTCTCATTTTGCTAGACTGGGTTCCAGGAGAATCGTGAAGAACCCCTCATGTAAAATTTGAAGTGTGAAAACTGTGTTGTTGCATTATGCAGATTTTTGCTAGTTGCATAGACTAAAGACGTTTTGCTAAATGGCACTGAAAATCCTTACCGAGTGTCACTATTCAGTACAAGTGTTTCTGACCAAAGAAAATTATACAACAATATTTATAGGCTAACTTTAAAGAGATGGTTGACGTTAATACTGTACATATTTTACATGTCAAATACATAGTCCAAGAGTTTATAAAATAAATTCATGCATCATTACCTTATTACCTCTAAGAATATCATGTACAAGATGGGCACTCCCCCACCCCCCCAGTACTTATGACAGCATTTCAGGTGGAAGCAGTCTTATATACAAAAACAATCCAGTTTCTCTGCTATGTTAAGTATATAATTTAAGGAAATTTCAGAGATTACTGACCAAAAAAATCTTAGTCCATTGAAGATAGAAAGTGTCAATTTGTGGGATTTAAAATGTTTCCTTTATAAAAGAACACCCAGAATATGTAACCTCTGTACAAAGAAAAAAATATACAAATTCTGGATGATCATGTTTGATCACACTACGTACTTGAAATGTTGCTGGTTAAAAGTTTTTCTGCTTTACTCATTCCTTTGACAGCATTAATTTGTGAACATTTATATTCAGTTCAGCTGTATTTATGGCACAAGATCTCATTTCCAAAATGGCACTAATTTTCCTTAAGTGTAACAGCACTCTATTTTTAGCAGTAATTATATTTTTAAAGGTTAATTTGTAGAACAAATGTTTTAACTATACTTTTTTTCTACTCTATACTCCCCAGTTACAATATTTACAAAGGGCTGAAGTCTATATAAAAAAATGATCTTTGGCTGGGCATGGTGGCTCATGCCTGTAATACCAGCACTTTGGGAGGTCGAGGCAGGCGGATCACGAGGTTAGGAGTTTGAGACCAGCCTGACCAACATGAAGAAACCCTGTCTCTACTAAAAATACAAAATTAGCCAGGCATGGAGGCAGGCTCCTGTAATCCCAACTACTCGGGAGGCTGAGGCAGGAGAATCGCTTGAACCTGGGAGGCGGAGGTTGCGGTGAGTTGAGATTGTGCCATTGCACTCCAGCCTGGGTGACAAAGCGAGTCTCAAAAAAAAAAAAAACATCTTTTACTTTCCCCCATCCCTCATTTTAGTCAAACTTCTCCCACCTCATTTCTGCCCTGGTTGGGGAAGTGCAAGAGTTTCAGATAAGGTACCTATGTGTTTTAGATGGGATTCTTGATTTTAAGTGAGTATAAAGTAAAAGACTTAATTCTTAGTTCAGGTATGTTCCAGTGCCTCGAAAGTTAGTTATGTGACAAATAGTACCTGTTGACAACCTAGAAAAGATGAGACATTCTAAGGTGCCCTAACAATCTTCAGTCTCTAACAGCTGAACAGGAAGGCCATTTCACTCAACTGTGATGCGATCATCACTGACTGGCATTTAGAATTAGATTTCAAGACTCCACTCCTGTGGGGGCCACTAAATAACTGAATACATTTTAAGAGCAATCTACACTGAGGGAAATAACGGTTCTAAGGTATTCTGCATAGAAAGAGTATCGATAATGGGAACTGGCAACTGAGCATGCTAAATCAAATTCCATGAATACAGTTTTCATAAGATGTCTTTACTACATGCATTTTGCTAATATTTCCCTAAAATATTCACCAACTCTACAGAGTTATACTTTGTGTTAAGGTACTATTGAGTTATAAGGGAAATAGCCATATCAGGTAGCTAGTGACATAATACCAGTTGTGAAAATTCAGACAAAATGAGTCGACAAATCCCCAAAAATGGCAAATTAAGCCCTGTGACAAAATAAGTTATTGGATCATACAGAAATAGCCCAAATCTGGAAATTTTGAATTAAAATTGTAATCCTGTAAAACAAGTTTTGGGGTGAATGGATTTCTTTAAAACCAATAATATTTTTAATTCCCACCACAGATGGATTTGCTGAATATGCTAATGCTGTGAATGAGAAAACAATTTTGGGGTAGGTATACCCACAAGTAATCTGATGACAAAATAAACCACAGACTGATGTCAAATGGACAAAAAACTGAAAATATGCTGTGAGAAATAGACAACCAAAATAATATAGGGGGTTGTGGGGTGTGGCACAGTTAAGGCATCTAAACAAAAATTCCACATGGCTTTGGCTTATTAAAATATTTTACACTATTTTTTTAAAAAAAGATTTGAAAGCATCTGAAAAACATGCAAATTGTTTGAAAACCTTGCATGGCAAATTCAGACAGTTTGCAAGCGTCAATCAGATGTTTGACGAGGAAACGAAAGAAGCCTCTCCCCATGAGACTGCACATGGTGGGAGAGGCCTACCCAGTTCTCTCTATCTTACACTAGATGGCAACCCAGAGGTCTGTGCAGCGGTTACAAACAAGGCATTATTATCCGGAAGGGAAGGGACTGTAGAATTTCCATTGGCTGGGGAACAACCCAGCTTTAGCTTTTCCAGATACTCTGCATGTACAGGTTTATGACACTGGAGAACTTTGATAGCATCTTCTACTTTGAACCACTCTCTCTTCCTTCCAATATTAACAGAATCTTCCCAATCTTCTAATATTTCAGTGACTGTTAGAACATAAACATATGTTCTGTGCTTTCGGTCTTGGTTCTGCTCAAATATGCCCAGAAGTCTGCCTAGTTTTCCTTTGACTCCAGCCTCCTCATAAACTTCCCTCACGGCAGCACCGCCAGGTTCCTCCTCGGGTTCCATTCCTCCTCCTGGGACAATCCACTGGTCTGGGTACCGGCTGCTACTCACCAGCAGCACCTCGTCCTCCTGCTCGCTCCGGAAGCACAGGCACGCCGCCCGCTTCTTGAAGCCCTCGCGGTCGTAGGTCCGCGTCTGGTTGGGCTTGAACTTCATCATAGAGGCGGGCTCCTGCTGCTGCTGCTGCTGCTCCGGCCGCCGCCGTGGGGGCCCGGCCGCCGCCACCCCGCCGGGGAGTGGGGGCGAGGGCGAGTCGGGCGCAGGAGCGCCCGGGAGCGCTAGTCGGTGCGGGAGGTGCGGCGAGGCCGGTCAGTCCCGGGGCCGGCGGCCGCTCCGACGCGGGCGGGACGGGACGCTAGCGCGGGTCACTGGAACCAGGGTGCCGAGATGAAAGCTCCGCCTCTGCCCAGTTGTCCGCCGCTCTCCATGGAGCCCGACTCCCGCTCGCCTCCGCTCCCTCCAGCCGTAGCCGCCAGGGGAAGGGCGGCTAGAGGCGCGCGCCACGCGGAGACAGTTGCGAAGACCCGCTCCCACTGAGCAGCAGCACCACGGCGACTGTATTTTAGCTTCTACATTTAGGCCTATGATTCACTTTGAGTTAATTATTGTGTACAATCTTAGGGGTCCAAATTAATTCTTTTGCGTGTGGATATCCAGTTGCCCAGCACCACTTGTTGAAAAGACCATTTTTTTTTCCCCATTGAATTGTCTTGGCTCTTTCGTTGAAAATCAATTGATTGTAACTGTTAGGGTTTATTTGTGATTCTCAATTCTGTTCCATTGATCTGTATGTTTATCCTTCTGTCAGTAACACACTGTCTTTGTTACTGTAGTTTTGTTGTAAGTTTTGAAATTGGGAAGTGTGAATCCACCAACTTTGTTCTTCATTGTTTTGGCTTTTATGAGTCCCATGCATTTCCATATACATTTTAAGAGCAGCAGAAATTGACAAGTTGATTCTAAAATTCATTAAAAACCCTCACTTCTAAGAAACAATTAAAATATTTTCTTTCCAACTTAGGATGAAATTGGATAAGGAGGACTGAGCAGGTACATTTTTGAGTTGTGGTGATGGGGGATGGGTCATTTGAAAGGGGGACCAACCTGATGGAGGAGGGGAATAAAGGAGCCACAAAGTTTGGTAAACTTCCCACCCTGGTGAGAGGAATGTTTGTTCAGAGGAGGCAGTTTGTTCTAACACCAGGGAATATTATGAAAGATAATTGAAATTGTAAAGTCCATTGATATCTCCCCAGAAGACAAAAAGGTCTCTAAGTAAGCAGTATTGTTAGCTTGTTGATTCTTACAGAAGAAGATTTTCATCCAACTAAGGGAAGCAGCTGGGACTTTCTCAGGGCTGTAAGACAGAAAAAAAATGAAGAAATCCTTCTGTATCTTTTCTTACCTCTCCCTGTGGCCAGCCCTAACTTTTGTCCATTTTTGTTACCCTTCCCTTTTATAAGCTCCCCAAAAAGAGAGAGAGGAGAAAGAGAAAAAGAAGAAAACCACAGTGGGAGAGAGGGTTAGAGATCCTGGGGATGGGGGAGGAATCCTGGAGCATTTCAAATTAAAGATCCCTAAGGTACTATGGGTGGAACCTACTAAGTAATATGACAACTTGTAGCAAGAGTCATAAGGATGATCACATCTTCAACTCAGTGATCCAATTCCTGGGAATTTATGTAAGGAAATAAGACAGGCAAAAAGTGTGAGTGGGAATGTTAATGAAAATATTACCTATAATAGTGCAAACAGGAACAACCTAAATCACCAAAATAGAAGCATGTTTTATGACATCATGGCATGTAAAGATGGCAGATTATAATACTAGCTTCACTGTCAAAATATACTCTGAATTGTATCACTTTTCACTGCATTCTGTATCACTCTGGATCAAGTCACTATTATTCCTCATCTGAATTATTGCAATGGCCTCCCAACTGGCATTTCTGCTTTCACCCTTGTTCCCCACCCCCGGTCTACTCTCAACACAGCACCCTTAGCAGTCCTTTAAAAACTTAAATGTAAAATTCATATGGAATCATAAAAGGGCCTAAATAGCCAAAGCAATCCTAAGCAAAAAGAACAAATCTGGAGGCATCACATTACCCAACTTCAAATTATACTACAAGGTTATAGTAATCGAAACAGCATGGTACTGATATAAAAGTAGATGCATAGACCAGTGGAACAGACTAGAGAACCTGGAAGTAAAGCCAGATACTTAGAACCAACTGATCTTCAACAAAGCATACAAAAACATAAATTGGGAAAAGGACACCCTATTTAGTAAATGGTTCTGTGAAAACTGGAGAGCCACTGGATAGAAGAATGAAACTGGATCCATCTCTCTCACCACATACAAAAATCACCCTAAGATGGAATAAAGACTTAAATATAAGACCTGAAACCATAACAATTCTAGAAGAAAACATAGGAAAAATTCTTCTGGACTTTGGCCTAGGCACAAAATTATGACTAAGACCCCAAAAGCAAATGCAACAAAAATTTAAACAAATAAACGGAACCTGATTAAACTAAAAGGCTTTTGTGCGGCAAAATATATAATCATCAGAGTAAAGAGAAAACCCACAGAATGGGAGAAGATATTTGCAAGTATCCATCTAAGAAAGGACTAATATCCAGGATCTACAAGGAGCTCAAACAAATCAGCAGGGAAAAAAAAACCAAATAATTCCATTAAAAAGTGGGCAATTTACATGAATAGATGCTTCTCAAAAGAAGATACACAAATGGCCAATAAACATGGAAAAAATTTCAACATCACTGAACATCAGGGAAATGCAAATCAAAGCCACAATGAGATACCACTTTACCCCAACCAGAATGGCCATTGTTAAAAATCCAAAAAGCGATAGATGTTGTCACAGATGTGGTGAAAAGGGAACACTTATACACTGCTAGTGGGAATGTAAATTAATATAACATCTATGGAAAACAGTATGACGATTTCTCAAAGAACTAAAAGTAGCAATCCCACTGTTGGGTATCTACCCAAAGGAAAATAAGTCATTATATCAAAAAGGAAAATAAATCATTATATCTGCACATGTATGTTTATCGCAGCACAATTGACAATGGCAAAGGTATAGAACTAACCTAAGAGCTCATCAACCAATTAGTGGATAAAGAAAATGTGGTATATACATGCCATGGAATACTACTCAGCCACAAAAAAGAATGAAATAATGTCTTGCACAACTTGGATGGAGCTGGAGGCCATTATTTTAAGTGAAATAACTCAGGAATGGAAAACCAAATGCCATATGTTCTCACTTATAAGTGGGAGTTAGCTAGGATTTATGTATTTTGCTCACTACTATATCCTCAGTGTCTTGACTATTCCTGGCACAGAGTAGCTGCTTAATAAATAATTTACTGAATGAGTGAATACATCCACAAAAGTAGTGATTATGAAAATTGGGTCATAATTTGAAAAGTGGAAAGTATGTTACTGTAAGCTGTGATGTGCACAGTGGCTGTGGCAATGTGGTGTAGCATAGTCTGGGAGCTGCAGATGAGAGAGATCTGGATTTGAATCCTGAGTCCACTACTTCCTAGTTATGTGAACTTCGGCAAGTGTACCTAACCTCTCAGTTTTATCATCTGTGGAACAGGTAGAATAATACCTCCTTCATAGCATGGTGAAAATTAAATGAGAAGATGTAGGAAAAACCTGGCACATAATAGGTGTTCTATGAACATTAACTCTCTCTCTTCTCCTAAAGAATATATACACAGTGGGTAAGAATTGCAAAATAATTGGGTGTTTCAAAGACAGGGATGATGCACTTTTATAAAAAAATTTTAATACACAAGTCCTCTCTAAGCATGGATATATATATAAAAACAGTGCCAGACTAGGAGTATGGAGACCTGGGTTCTGGGTTCACCTCTGATGCAGGCTGTGTGACATTAAGCAAATCCTAACCTCTTGGGACTGTCTTTTCATCTGCAAAATGAAGAGGTAGAATTTAGTAAGTTTGCGTCCCATCAATGCTTAAAATTCTATAATTCAGAAAGGCAGGCCATTCTACCTAGTTTCATCCCGCTTTAGCTCAGCCTTACTCAGATATGCTGGCCAGATGTTTCTAATCTTACACATAAAAGACTCTGGTATTCAGAGGCCAAAAGAAACTGGACAATTTAAGAAAAGTACTAAGCAGATGAGTTTTCCTTCTGTCTGATTCTTAAACAGCTACATGACAATTATTCAAACTTAAGAAAACAGGAAAAGAAAAGCAAGTATGCACATTTAGGTTTGAATCAACTATGTGAATATTTAGCCATGAAGAAAAATGTGTTTTTTTGTGTGTGTTTTATTAATTATTATTTGTACAACAACCAAAAAGTAGACGTCAGCAGTTTTCAACTGTAACTATAACCTTGTACCATGTGGCTGTGGGCCAAAGTGCAGGAGGGAGTAGCTGGAAGGGAATCTGGCTAGAGCCTTCCCCTGCTCTGGAAAGCTCGTGGCTTTGTTTTTTTCACATTGCTACACCGAGACGGAGGAGGGGAGGATGTTTGGGTTTACAGGCCACCAGCCACTGTCAGCAAGTTTGTAGCCCCAGCTTCACTTCCCTGAAAGGGCGGGGGAGTTTCAGCTGCCCTGGCCTCCCTCCAGCAACTGAGCCACAGAGGATTCAAATACCCCATCAGTTGCAAGGCCCTGACTTTACCCAGCTGAAAACTGACTATCTCATCTGGGAAGGGTCAGTTAAAAAATGACAGAACTGCCTAAAGTAAACAAAGGGAACAACCACAACAGAAACTTTCTCTGCAGTGTTTCCTTATAATTACCGGCCCATCCCACCAGGGCTCTGGCTTGAGTCCCCATCCACTCTCCCTGTTGCCCCCACAGGACCTTGTTTGAGTAAGCCCTAGCTGACCTGAGGATCGCCTCCCTGTCTACATGCCTCTGTCCCACCCTCTCCATGGAGGGGAGGGAGACTCCCGATTGCAGGAAGTTTTGAGAATGGAGTTTGAGGATTGTCAGGCAAAAAGACCCTCTAGAGCTCATTCATTAGGACCCCTAATAGATGAGTAAACAGCTTAAATGAAGTGCCTAAAGTTGAGAGCAAGTATGGGACAGAACTGGTTTTCTTCTTGCTAACCGAGTGCTCTTTCCAGTAATCATATACTGTTGTAAGGCACTAAAGATAAGGAAACTAACATTGAAGTTCTTTCTCCACCTTTTCATTCTAACCAAATCCTACTTTGTTGGACTTTTACACTTTATAGATAGGCTGGGCATGGTAGCTCACACCTGTAATCCCAGCACTTTGGGAGGTCGAGGTAGGTGGATCATAATGTCAGGAGTTCAAGAACAGCCTTGCCAATATGGTGAAACCCCATCTCTACTAAAAATAAAAACAAAAAAAAAATTAGCTGGGTGTGGTGGCGGGCGCCTGTAATCCCAGCTACTCAGGAGGCTGAGGCAGAGAATTGCTTGAACCCGGCAGGCGGATGTTGCAGTGAGCTGAGATCATGCCACTGCACTCCAGCCTGGCTGACACAGCGAGACTCAATCTCAAAAAAAAACAAAAACAAAAACAGAAAAACACGCTTTATAGATAAACATATTTTGAATTTAGACTTAAGGACAAGGACTAAATCTTACACTCTGTGTACCTTGTTCGTACTTCAGAGTTCATGAAGTGTGTTCATGGTCAGCAGCCAAGTAGAGCGGGTAGGACATTTGCTTCAGAGTTGAGCAAGCCTCAGAATCCCATCTCTGCACATTCTAGCTGTGTAAACTTGTAGGCAGATTACCTACTCTAAAACTTAGTTTCCACATTTGCAAAAGGGGAACAATAATAGCTCCACCTCATTATTTTGTCATGAGGATTTCATGAGATGATACATGTAATGCACATTGAAAAACTCAACAAATGTTAGAAATTGTAAATAGTTCTGGAAGGCATTTATCATTCCCATTTTACAGATGAGAAAATTAAAGCTCAGAGAGTTTAAGGGCTAGAGTCATACAATTGGTTAGTAAGATAGCTAGGATTTAGCTCAGCCTCCCAGCTCCATATCCACAGTACTTGCTGCCCCACCATTGAGTGTAGACAATTGGGGGTGGCTCTAAGCCATGGGCCAAGTATGTCTGTCCCTATCATCATGGAATGACATGTTATTTATTAAGCCCATATATGCTTGAGGTGCCAGGAAATGGATGCTTCTGGGGTGAGGTAGGCTCTTCATGTGCAGCCTTCATGTACAGATTCCAGCCAAGGAAACCAAGCCTGGCACTAATCCCTTGTCCAAGCCCAGAGACGCTGTGCCCACGGAGTAGGTCAGAAGTCCTTGAATATCCTCAGCTTTCCTTTCCTCTGGCAATGCTTCCTTGATGCCCTAAGAATATTTTGCTTACCCTGACATTAGAGCCCTCTTCACACTCCCAAGCTTTCTAGTATTTTGGGTGTGCATCTGATTCTCCTGTTGAAACTGGACTCCAAAGTGAAGTGCTCAAAATGGTACATAGAGGTATGAGAAAAACATATGTGAATACTTGCTTCTATTTATTTTTTAATCTAAAATATTAAGAAAATTAGGCTTTACTAATATTAAAATGTCACAGTAGAGTGTACGGAATTTATAGCAAACATGCAATTATTAGGCATGTATGCTGGTTTTCTTTTCTTTCTTTCTTTCTTTCTTTCTTTTTTTTTTTGATGGAGTGGTATGAAGAAAAGAGACTAGAGGTAACTGTTCTAGAAAGTAAGGTCCTACAGGCAGAAGATGTGTCTTTTTCTAATGTGTATTCCACCCCTCCCTCATTAGCACTAAATGACTCCTCCCTGATTAAATAAATTTGGCATCTATGTAAACTTGGTGGTCTTTCTTGTTTTTCCCCTCCTTTTGTCATCCATCTGATATAATGTCTTATTCAATATTCTCCCAAGACCTGAACAAATAATAAAGCTGTGTTAGTAAAGAGTGCAAATTGCCATAAAAAGACTGAAAAGTAAGATTCATAGTCCCCAAGGAGATGGTTAATGGTAGTCAATAAGGCATATAGCGGGCAAAAGAAAAGCTAAATGTAAAACTTCATGGAAGAACTCATGGACACAGTCAGGCAGGGAGCCCCAGCACTACAGCCTGAGAAATCAAATGTAATCTGAGCATATGTGTGTTTTCAAACTAACCACTGCCCTCTCTCTCCTCTGAAACTTGCAGAAAGCAATGCAACACAATGCAATGAGCCAGGGTCTTGGAGAAAGAAAGAAATCCCAACTCTGTCACTGTCCTGGTTGGGTGATCTTGGGCAAGGTCCATAATCACCCCCACTCCCAGGAAAAATAGTTCTTCACCTACAAATGAGGTTGAGCTAGATGATTTTGGAGGTTACTTTCATGCTTTGAAGCAGCCCATGTTTTCTTCCTGAGGCAATTTATACTTCAAGTGACACCATGAAGCTCACTGGACCAAAAATATCACCTTACCACCAAGCCTTTCATGGTTTGTGACATCCTCTCCTCAGGCACCGTGTCTCCATGCGGCGCTTCCCAACCTAGCAATAACTTACTGGCATGAATCCACTTCAAGTATCAGTTATGTCCATGATGCATGTAGAGTGGGAAAGCAAGATATGAAAGGTTATATATGTGGTATGCGTATGTCTATAAATACCTACAAATATATGTGCATACACATAGAAAAAGAACTGAAAGATACTCAGCATACTTTCAACACTGATTATTCCTAGGGAGTAGGAAAGCAAGATGAAGGTATGAATTTTACCATTTACTTTAAATCCTCCTATATTTTTGTTGTTTTTTAAAAATAAATGATTTTACTATTTACAAATAAAAATTTTAAAAAATAAACATTAAAGTCCTATACAAATGTTTAATAATATTTGTAATAAGTAGCACCAGTTTCTTCAAGAAGCCCTACCAGAAGCAAATCTGCATCTTGATACTGCATTAGAGCCTTGGCTGAAGTACTAATAATACCCGAACATTCTATGGAGGATTGGGCCCTGGACTGGGAGAACCTAATCACATAATCAGAAACTCTTATTGAGTAATTTTGGGCAACTTGAGTTTTCCCAAACTTTACTTGAGTTTGTTTTTCTCGACTAGAAAACAATGCTTTTGAACTAAATCCTCTATCGGGAACTTTCTACTCTGAAGTCCTGTGATTCTTAACAACAGTACATGCAAAAGACACAGGAAAGTGAGTATGTCATATGGCATCCAGGATACTTTCCCCCAAAGCAAAGTGAAAACTGATGTGAAACTCCTTCTTCCTTCCTTATTTTCCTCTCTCTCTCTCTCTCCACCTCTGTTATCTAAATGCTCTATATTTGAAGCATTCATCACTTTATAGGCCTTGATGGGATACAGAGGACAACCTTTTACTTTAGAAGCTGAAAATGTCAGATACTTGTTTTCCAGCTTCCCTTACAGGTATGCATAGGCATAAGGATCTGCATTGCTTTTTGACTCAGGAGCTAGTGACCTCAAATAGCAAAGACTGTTGAATCTGTTCTGCAGCAGGGAGTGGCATTAGTTGTAATAACAACATTCATTTTTTAGATGCTACAGTGGTGGTGGTTCTGGTGGTTCTAGCAGCAGGGACCAGCATCCAGGCTTGGGGCATTCACTGAGCAGTGGTTTCCATGCAGTGGGGGCATTGATGACTTCATGATATTGTTCTGCAGTACAATTTTAGGTGTTGCTTCTGGCTATGTAGCCTCTAAACCTGGGTTTCTAGTCCTCCTGGAGAGCTTGTGAACTACCTAATATTTTTTAATAAATTCATTTACCGCTTAGATTAACTACAAATTGTTTCTGTTGCTTGCGACCGAAAACATTTACTAATGTACCTATTATTTTTTTTAAAAATCATGCACTTGGAGATTATATATATATACACACACATATGTTTTTAAGGGAAAAAAACTCCCCTTCCCTTTGTTGATCCCTTATTTTCCCAGTTTCTTCTCTGGAGGTAGTAATAATGATTTGTTTCTTATGTATTCCTCCAGAGATATCTTGTGTGTACACAAGCACATCTATGTATTTAAGAAAAGTTACTTAAAAATCACTCAAATAGGATCACTCCATATACACTGTTCCATAATTTGCTTGTAACCTTAAGACTACATGTTAGAGATAATTCCATAAATATAAAGCTGCCTCATTCTTTTTCTTATTTTTATTTTTAGAGACAGGTCTTGCTCTGTCTCCCACGCTAGAGTGCTGTGGTGTGATTATAGCTCACTGCAACCTCTAACTCCTGAGCTCAGGGGATCCTCCTGCTTCAGCCTCCCAAGTAGTTGGGACAACAGGTACGTGCCACCACTCCTCGCTAATTTTTTATTTTTTGTAGAGTCAGGCCTTGCCATGTTGCCCGGGCTGGTCTCGAACTCCTGGCCTCAACTGATCTTCCCATCTTGGTCTCTCAAAGTGCTGGGATTACAAGTGTGAGTGACTGTGCCTGGCCTGCCTCATTCTTTTTATTGGCTGCTTAATATCCCTCTGAATGAATATACTGTAATTTATGTAGCCAATTTCCTCCTGTAAGCAGTTGGGTTGCTTACAGTTTTTGTGACTACAAATAATGCTGCAGTGAATATCGTTGTAAATATGTATTTTTAAAAAAATATGGAATGCTTCATGCATGTCATCCTTGTGCAGGGGCCATGACAATCTTCTCTGTATCCTTCCAATTTTAGCATATGTGCAGCTGAAGTGAGCAAGTAAATATGTCTTAATGCCCAGTGCAAGCAGATACATGTCTGATAGGGAAGTTGCAGCGTCAAAAGGTAAATGTAACTTTAACATTTTGATAGATAGCACCAAAATGCACTGCAAATTTAGTAACAATTTTTAATCCTACTAAAAATATTTTAGACTCCCCCCCACCAAATCTTTACGTCACCAGTGTATATTATCAGATTTTATAATTTTGCTGTTCTAATAGGTGAAAACTGATTTTCTCATTGTTCTGATTTTCATTCTTTAATTTATGAGTGAGGTTGAACATTTTTCATGTATTTAAAAGCCATTTGTAAGTATTCACCTGTGTAGTATATTCATGTCCTTTGCCTGTTGTTTTCTATTGGATTTTTATCTGTGTTTAATTGCTTTGTAAAAACTTCATCTTTTTTTTTTTTTTTTTTGAAATAGGTTCTTGCTTTGTCACCCAGACTGGAGTTGCAGTCTGGCACCCTCCTGACTTGGCCTTTTTTTTTTTTTTTTTTTGAGACAAAGTCTCACTCTGTTGCCTGGGCTGGAGTGCAGTGGCGCAATCTCAGCTCACTTCAACCTTCGCCTCCCAGGTTCGAGTGATTCTCCTGCCTCGGTCTCCCAAGTAGCTGGGATTACAGGCATGTGCTACCACTCCCGGCTAATTGTTTTGTATTTTTCGTAGAGATGGGGTTTCACCATGTTGGCCAGACTGGTCTTGAACTCCTGACCTCAAGTGATCTGCCTGCCTCGGCCCCCCACAGCACCCAGCCCTGCCTCAGCCTTTTAAAGTGCTAGGATGACAAGTGTGAGCCACTACACCTGGTCAAAATTCCATATTTTAAAGTAAATTTGCCTTTTGTCATACTTGTTGCAAAATTTTTTCCCAATTTGTTTTTGGTTTTCTGATCTTTTTAAATTTGATCTGATTTTTGGTTTTTGCTTTGCATAAATCTTTAATTTTCACAAAGCCAAATTTGTCTATATTTTTGCTTATGGCTCTGGATTTGTTTGGAATGGCTTTTGGCTGGGTAGCTTCTCATGGTTTCAACATTGAAGCTGCTAATTTAGAAAAACAATACTTGAGACTTCTGGTTAAAGACAGCAGATTAAACACATGCTCCACTCCCTCCTAGAACTCAACCAAAATTTAATGTTTTGATTAAGTGATACATTCACATGGTTTTAAAACCAGAAAAATACAAAGATGCACAGCCTGAAACGTTTCCCTCATCTATGTCTCCCATCAGCTCAGTTTCCACTTTCTCCCTGTCCAGAAATAAGGACTGTTATGCTTTCTTATGCGTGTTTCCAGAGTTTCTTTATGCATATGTAAGCAAGTAAGAATTTTGGTGAGTTTTTTTTAAGGAGAAACCTACAAGGACAAAAGAATATAAAAAGGACAAGAGTAAGAAAGATAATTTTAAAAGCTGGAACATAAGGCCGGGCACAATGGCTCACGCCTATAATCCCAGCACTTTGGGAGGCTGAGGCAGGTGGATCACTTGAGGTCAGGAGTTCAAGACCAGCCTGGCCAACATGGTAAAAACCCATCTCAACTAAAAAAACAAAAATTAGCCGGGCATGGTGGCGGGTGCCTGTAGTCTCAGCTACTTGGGAGGCTGAGGCAGGAGAATCACTTGAACCGGGAAGGTCGGGGGTGGGGGTTGCAGTTAGCCGAGATTGCACCACTGTACTCCAGCCTGGGTGACAGAGTGAGACTGCGTCTCAAAAAATAAATAAATAAACAAATAAAAGCTAGAACATAGATGAATGAGTGGTAACTGAATCAAGAGACCTGAGAAAGCTGAATCCTAAGCCTGCAGATGAGAAAGGTAAAGCAACTCACTTTACATTTCAGAATCCCCCAAATGCTCAGCAATTGGTGGCACCAGGTACTTTTGGAAATAAGGGTGAAGTTGTGGCTAAAAACAGTAAGTTGCATTGAAAATCAGTTCAGGAAACAATGAAAGCTCCAGGCCCCCTCTTCCTCTTGCTGTTAGATGGATTGCCCCTTCCCCACGATGTCCAAGAATGGAGGTTTTTCTGGTGGGAGAGTAAGACAGAGAAGGGACAAGGCACTATTGTGTGAAAGGACAACATGCTGGGAAAAAACAGGAGATTATAAGCCCATTGCCTTCTGCCATCTTCTCTTACTTAGGAAACCCTGACAGCCAGCCTGAATATTAGGAAAGCCTTCTCTGAAACCCTGACACACTGGAGAGAAATGCTCCAAAGATAACTCAGAAATGACAGCATCTCTGAAAGAAAAAGAAAACAAGAAGTATTAATAATATCTCCAGAGAAATAAGAGAACTAGTGCATATATGAAATAAGAACAGAATGCTATGTTTTAAAAGGAACATTCAGAGAACAAAAAAAACTTAGAAATTTAAATATGATAGCAAAAATATAAAAAAGCTTAGTAGATTTGGAAAGTAGAAGGGAAAGCAGAAAGATAACAGATAGAAAATAAAAAATATGGCCGGGCGCGGTGGCTCACGCCTGTAATCCCAGCACTTTGGGAGGCCGAGGCGGGCGGATCACGAGGTCAGGAGATCGAGACCATCCTGGCTAACACGGTGAAACCCCGTCTCTACTAAAAATACAAAAAATTAGCCGGGCGTGGTAGCGGGCGCCTGTAGTCCCAGCTACTCGGGAGGCTGAGGCAGGAGAATGGCGTGAACCCGGGAGGCGGAGCTTGCAGTGAGCCGAGATCGCGCCACTGCACTCCAGCCTGGGCGACAGAGCGAGACTCCGTCTCAAAAAAAAAAAAAAAGAAAAGAAAAGAAAAAATATAAGAGCAAAATTAGTTTATTTGGGAGATGACCCCAGTAAACATCTGTACGGGAGTAAAGTAACGAGAAAAGGATCCTACGGAAGTTAATATATCTTTTTTTTTTTTTTTTTTTTTTTTTTTTTTTTGAGACGGAGTCTCGCTCTGTCGCCCAGGCTGGAGTGCAGTGGCGGGATCTCGGCTCACTGCAAGCTCCGCCTCCCGGGTTCACGCCATTCTCCTGCCTCAGCCTCCCAAGTAGCTGGGACTACAGGCGCCCGCCACTACGCCCGGCTAATTTTTTGTATTTTTAGTAGAGACGGGGTTTCACCGTTTTAGCCAGGATGGTCTCGATCTCCTGACCTCGTGATCCGCCCGCCTCGGCCTCCCAAAGTGCTGGGATTACAGGCGTGAGCCACCGCGCCCGGCCGGAAGTTAATATATCTTGCAAGTTACTGTGAACCAGTGGAACTTGACTCCATCGGGGAACTCTGGGAGACCTGTGTAGAAAGCATGCTTCAGGGTTAAACCGCCTCATGGTTGAGCAAGCTGGGATATTTATCTACTAACTCTCATCAGTCATTGGTTAAGGGTCTCTCCCAGGGAAAAGGGGGTTAATTCCCCAGCACTTCCTGAGCAAACTTTCAGTAGCTAGAAAAAGCCCTCAGGCAAACAGACATATGTGCTGGCAGTTTTGAAGGCCTGGATGTTAAGTGCCAAGAGAATTTGGGCAGGGCACTGATGGCAAATGTTATATCTTCCCTGCACTCTCTCTTAGGAAACTACTGAAGAATGTGCTCCACCAAAACAGTGTTGTGAGTCAAGAAAGAGGAAGAGGCGGAATTCAGGAACCAGAGCACTCAACACAGAGGTGAAGAGAGTCCCCAGGATGTGGGTAAAGGGAAGTCCCAAGATGACAGATGCACAGCAGGCCTAGAGGTCAGTTAGCCCAGAGAGGAGCAGATCAGTAGGCTCTGGAAGAGCTCTCTTCCAGATGAAACTGATGGAATACCAAGTTTGTTTGGACATATTGAGAGGAGACTTAAACAACTACAGAGGAGTATGGATTAAATTAGTGGCATATGCATAGAAAAACTAGGCAAATGAAAAATGAGACAATTATTAACTCCAGAGAAAGCAAAATAGTTTTGAAGAAAGTGATCATAATTTATTATGCAACACAGGTGTGAATAGTATTTATTTGATCATAGTAATATAAACACTGAGTGTCAGTTTAATAGTGACGTAGAAATATAGGCCCATGTGGTATAGGAAGAGGCGAAAACTGAATCCCCATCTTCCACAGTGGAAAGTCAATAGAGAAAACTAAGAGGTAGCTATTTAGAGATACAATGATTTCCCTCCTCCCCCTAAAAAAAGATTTAGTGAAAGCATTGAAAGTGATTTCCTCTGAGGAGTGGGAAATGAAGGGGTGGAGTAGGGGAATGCTGTTTCTTGTAATTAGTAATTTAGAAATATTCGATTCTTTAAACTATGTGCATATTTAACTTTGATGTTTAAAAAAACTAAATAAAACTCAGTAATTTTTTTCCTTTGCTGTATGAAAAAGGGAGGAGGTGAGATGGAAAATGTACCTCATTCCTAGCTGATAAGAAAACTGGGCAGGCAAAATGAAACTTGCTTGTTCCATGAGTCCATCAACCCAGCAGGGTCAATGTCTTTTCCATCTTCTTCAGTCAGAAGAAAAGCTATGAGCAACTGGGAAATCAAAACTGAAATTCCTTTGAAAGAGCCATTGATGCCAAACTGACCTGAAATCTGGGGCTACCCTAAGAGGGCTTTGGCCTAAATAAATGGTCCAGGGTAAGTACAAAGAAAGGATTCTATCAAATGCAAAAATGAGACCAGGATTATATTAAGGGAGCTAGTAACAGCACTTGAGTGCAAGTAGAATACATTCTTAATTATGTCTAGTATGAATTTCTTTAAATTCTTTAAAAGCCAGTTGTTTTAAAATACAGAAATTAAAAATATTACTATATTGATTTATAGTTTTAATTTTAAAAACCATGGGAGTACTTTGTACAGTCTTTTAATTAACCGTATCTATGACTGAAATTGCACATCGTTTAGGTCTCTGGCCCGATCATGATACCAGAGTCTGTTACTTTCTGATTGCAGGCAAAATAACTACAGGAATGAGGCCTCCTGAAGGCAGAATCAGTTCTCCTTTCTCTTCCTGCCTTCAATCTTTACCTACTAGATCCTTCTCCTCAGCCTAGAAAAATGCCCAAAAAGTTCCAATCTAAAATAAAAATAAAGAAGGAATTCTCACTTAAGCTATCACCCAAACTTTCTCTTTTCCTTCATCATAATACTTCTAAAAAAATACGCTAACTTCCTTTTCTTCCTTTACTTCCTCACCACATACTACTTCTTAACTCCTTGTAATCTAGCTTTCACTTTGACCGTTGCACTGAACCTGCTGTCTCAGAGGTCTCAAAGGACTTCTTACTTGCTAAATTTCGGTCCTGCTTAGCCCTCATCCTCCTCAACCTCTCTGTTTTTGACTTTCAAAATGTCTCACTGTGTCTCTCTCTGTTGCTCTGTCTCTCTCTCTTCTCTCTGTCTCTCTCACCCACCCACCCTCTAGCCCCCTTATTCTGTGTTATTCCTCTCTTTTGGTTTTCTCTCCTCCCTTATTATTCTTCCTTTGAGTCTTCTGTCCCGCTCATTCTCTTAAGAATAGGCATCCAATGAGATCCCATGACTCCCTGCAATATCTGGGATCTGCCTATGTCTCCAAACTCATATGCACCCTGTTCCCCCTTGTTCATTTCACTCCAGTCACACTGATGTTTCAGTTCCTCTAATGGGCCAATGAGCTCTTTATTACCTTAGGACCTGCTCTCTCTACCTGGGACACTCTTCCCCATGTTCCCCCACACCCAAAGCGCTTCATCTGGCTATTTCCAAATCAACTTTCAGGTCTCAGCTTCATATTACTTCCTCAGAGTGGCTCTCCCTAAGTGCATCCCCTCCCCACCCCTCCAAATTAAATCTGTTTCCCCATTTTTTCTATTTTAGAAATAGTTTTTTTATCAAATTATTATATGGTTTAAAATGAAAGACTACTTGTGTGTTTATTTGCTTAAATCTCTACCTTTCTCTCCAGAGTGTAATTTCCATGAGGACAGGAACCATGTCAGTTTTGTTTAACACTGTATCCTTAGCATTCAACACAGACCTTGAAGCAGCAGACAACAAATATTGGTTGAATAAATGAGTGAACGAAGTGCCAGGCACTACAGTAAGTACTTCTTCCTGCCAGGCGCTATGGCAAGTACTTTACATATATCACCTCGTTTTTATTCTTACCACAACCCTATGCATAGGTACTACTATCAGATGAGGAAATGGAAGCTTACAGAGACAGACCAATATGCCCAAAATCTCACAGAAAAATGAATGTAGCTATCACGACGTGAAAAGATGTAGAGGAACCTTAACTGCAGATTATTAAGTTAAAGAAGCTAATCTAAAAAGCCTTCATACTGTATGATTCCAACTATGTGACATTCTGGAAACAGCAGAACTATAGAGACAGTAGAAAGGTCAATAGTTGCTGGGGGTTGTCCTCGGGAGGGATGAAGAGGCAGAGCACAGAGGATTTTGAGGAACGAAAATACTCTGTATGATATATAATAGTGGATACGTGTCATACATTTGTCCAAACCCATAGAATGCACGATGCCAAGAGTGAATCCTAATTGACACTACGGACTTGGATGGTGATGATGGGTTGATGTAGGTTCATCAGCTGTAAAAAATGTACCACTCTGTGTGGGGATGTTGATAATGGAGAGGGCCTTTGCATGTGTGGGGACAGGGAGTATATGAGAAATTTCTATTCTTTCTGCTCAATTTTGCTGTGAATCTAAAACTGCTCCAAAAAATAAAATATTTTAAAAATGAGTGTCAGAGGTAGGATATGAAAACATTTGTTTGACTCTATGTAGGGCTTAATTATAATATTATACTGCTTCCCAGTTGACAAATCTAATACTTTCACCGTCCAAAACTTCCCTCACACTTACTTCCTGTTGTCTGTTTCTATGGTTTCTCTTGAGTCCTCCTTCCAGGATCCATTCCAAGCCAGACAATGGTATGTGGGTGAGAAACTGTGGTCATGGAGGAGACTGGACAGACCGGAAAGCTTTTCTTTTCTAACACATGTTTCTGAGGAGCCCTCAGGAAGCCTGTGAACCAGGAAAACCACGGTGATGGTCAATGCTCTGACAGCTCCCCTGCCCCTTTCTCCATGCTCTTCTCCTGCCGTGCCTTCCCCAAGGCTGTGGGTTGCTCCCCACTGTGCTGCTCCCCTTGGGCCTTCTCTCCCTGCCCACATATGCATGTGCCAGCCCTTTCCCCTCACAAAAATGTCAACATAGAATGGTAAGTAGAAAAAAAATAAGATGCAATATCGTACAAATAGTTGTTATGGGTTGAATTGTGTCCTCCCAAAATTGATATGTTGGAGTCCTAACCCCCGTTACCTCGGAAGGTGACCTTATTTGGAAATAAGGTTGTTGTAGGTATAATCAATCAAGTTAAGATGAGGTCATAATGAAGTAGGAGGGAACTTAATTCAAAATGACTATTATCCTTATTAAAAGAATGCCATGTGGAGAGACAGACATGCACCAAGGATACTGCCATGTGGAGAGGAAGGCAGAGACTGGGGTGATGCAGCAGAAGCTGAGAAACACCAAAGACTTCCAGAAAAACAGCAGAAGACAGGAGAGAGGCCTGGGACATATTCTTTCTCACAGTCCTCACTAAGAACCAATTTGCCAACACCTTGATCTCAGACTTCTAACCTCCAGAACCGTGAGACAGCAAATTGCTGTTACTTAAGCCACTCAGTTGTGGTACCTTGTTATGGAAGTGCTAGCAAGCTCATAGAAATAACAGAATCCTGATCTTGTAAAGCAAAATAAACTCATGTATTACGGGTTATCATCTTGCATACGCACATACACATATACATAGATGAACACATAGAAACAATGAAAGGCAATATATTTTAAAAGTTATCAATACTTCTTTGGGGATAATGGATGCTGAGTAATTTTGCTTTGTACTTTTCTCTGCACCTTTGGGTATTTTCTCAGTTATCTTACCTCTCTACAATATTATGCATTATTACCTAGACCAGCGGTCCCCAACCTTTTTGGTACCAGGGACCTGTTTTGTGGAAGACTATTTTTTCCACAGGTGGGGCAGCAGTGGGGATGGTTTCAGGATGAAACTGTTCCACTGCAGATCATCAGGCATTAGATTCTCATAAGGAGCATGCATCCTAGATCCCTTCCATGCACACTTCACAATAGGGTTTGTGCTCCTATGAGAATCTAATGCTTCCACAGATCTGACCAGGAGGTGGAGTTCAGGGGGTATATGGCCTGGTTCTTAACAGGCCATGGACTAGTACCTGTCCATGCCCCGGGGGTTGGGGATCTCCGACACAGACAGATCCCCAGACCTCAGTTTCCTCATCTGTAATTTGAGAATAGTTATACCAATCTTCCAGCATTGTTGTGAGGAATAAAGTGCCTGACACAAATAATAGGTCAGTGGGTCTTCCTAGAATAGGGAGAGCAGCTCCAAAGAAGTAAACCTGGACAGACCTCTGTACCTCTATTCATCATCAGGCTTCAGTGTTGCTGCTAAGCAGGCATGCGGATGCTGCTCAGCACTGGCCTCCCTGTGTGGTAAGGGTGGGTGTGCAGAGATGAGATGGCACAGGGGAGCTAGCTGGATGTCTTGGGTTTGGGAAGGTCAGCAAAGAAAGGTAAGAGAGGGTGAAAGTTTGATTGAAGAATGTTGGCTATGTAAGGACAACTTAACCCATTGGGGTAACATTTCTTAGTTTGGGTTGGGGTCCAATGGGGCAACTGAAAAGGAAAAAGGAACCAAGAGAATAGAAAGCATAGCCAAGAAGCCCAACAATCCCCTCCTACAGGAAGAATGCCTTGCCTCCTCATTTCTTCTCTGAAACCCCTCTGGAAATGGGAGTGGACAATGTAACTTACTTATCATTTTCCACAGCCCATGGGAAGGTGTTCTTTCCCCAGGAGGAATGTTTCCCAAACAGCCCTCCTTCTGGCCTTATCTGTGATAAGTTGTTCTTTTCTGGGGACTGTTTGGGTATCCTTGACTCTGACATACTCAGTAGGGCAGGTTAATTCTCTTGAATCTTAAATTTAGCCATCTGTGACTTCATATTAATCTTTGGTCTCCAAAAACATTGGGCTGTTTTGCCTCTTTCTACTCACTTATGTCTTCTTTATCTTAATTCCAAATCCCAGCAACTCAGAGAAGAAATGGGTCCTGCAAATGATATTCACAATCTATTGCTTTATGGGAGGTCAGTGAAGGCCTTTCCCATTTACTTTGTTAAAATCTATATCTATTTTCATTCCTAATTTTTTATCTGCAAGATTATGTAGCAACATGGGAAACATTTATAATATTAAATAGTGAAAGAAGGGGACACAAAAATTGCATGTAAATTATGATTCTATTTGAAAAAAAGACTGAGCAAATAGACAATCAAAAAGACATACACACATACGAGAAAAATAAAACTGGAAGAAAACAGAGCAAAAAATGAATAATGACTATGGTAAAGTGCTGGAATTGTGGATTTTTTAAATTCTTCTCTATTTACCTAAAAATTTTAAGGTAATAAGAAAATACTTTTATAATTAAGAAACAGACTTACTAAAATAAAGTAGGGGCAGAAATGAGGAACAAAGTTTGCTAAAATAAATAAAACAGGAAAGCTTGTAGATAAGGTTTTATGGAAGTAAATATACGTAGCTCCCAGCTTAGTGTGTGTGAGCTGATGGAGAAACACGACTACAGAGCTCTTATGGAAAGCATTTAACCATTTGTCACCCTTGCAGTCTACTTCAAGAGTGACTAAAAGGAAGAACAACATGAGGAAGACTTCAAATGTGTTGAGGATTTGAGAAGAGGGGCTAGAAGTCCAGGCATGTTAGAGGTTTGGGGGCTGTAGAGAGATACTGTAGAAGTTACTAAATTGGGGGTTTTATGGGAAGTGCTTCAAGCATGACATTGTGAGGCTATGATACTGTTTATTTTTAGAAGTCCTGTTGAGA
Source organism: Homo sapiens (assembly GCF_000001405.40). Lineage (NCBI taxonomy): Eukaryota > Metazoa > Chordata > Mammalia > Primates > Hominidae > Homo > Homo sapiens. Next base: position 148,729,465 of record NC_000001.11, on the reverse strand, counting down.
GGAGTATCTTTCACCTCTCACTAAATTAGCTATGCTCCTTGGAACCATGGACATCTTTCTGCTGTAGCAGCAATAGGATCAAAGCACGTGTTTAGAAAGAGAAGTGAAAAACACCAGATGTGAGCAAAACCACAAGGGGAATTTCAGACAGGCAGCATGCACCAGATGACCCAATTTGGAACGTGGCCCAGGCCCCAGGACAGGCAGACCCTGTAAGGATCAGGCTGGACAGTCAGAGGTTATTGATCCCGATTTAAGCCAAATGTTGCTAAAACTTGATCTGTGACCTTGCTTAAGCCATTGACCTCCTCTAAACCACTTTCACCATCTGTAAAATGCAAGGACTGTGAATTTCCTCTCAGGAATAGCTAATGGAAACCATGCTAAAAAGTAGAGATAAGAATGAAGCACGATCTTGCGATCTTGAACAATGGTGGTAAATTGTATTTGATTATATAAATACCACAACATACACACACTTACAGTGTATAGATGCGCACACTTTATGAGAAGAATGTGTATAAAAAACATAGAATTGGCCGGGCGCGATGGCTCATGCCTGTAATCCCAGCACTTTGGGAGGCCGAGGCAGGTGGATATCTTGAGGTTAGGAGTTCCAGATGAGCCTGGCCAACATGGTGAAACCCCGTCTCTCCTGAAAACACAAAAATTACTGGGGCATCCACCTGTAATTCCAGCTACTTGGGAAACTGAGGCACAAGAATCACTTGAACCCAGGAGGCGGAGGTTGCAGTGAGCTGAGATTGCACCACTGCACTCCAGCCTGGGCAACAGAGCAAAACTCCATCTCGAAAAAACAAAACAAAAAAACCCCATGGATTAAAGATTGTGTTCCATCAATTCACAGAGTAAATAATCTATGTGTTGACAATTGAAGGGGTAGAAAAAATATTTTTTCTCTTACACATAGCTCTTTAAGATTCCTAGGGCCAGATTCAGCATACTGTCTAGCACAGTTAGTGACAAATGAATGCTAGTATAGAATAGAGATTATGCTTCAAATTTCAACTGTCTTCACCACTTAGTTGCTATGTGGCTTTGGGTAAGGCACTCCATCATTTTGTGCCTTGGTTTCCTAATCTGTTAAATGGGAAAAATACTAGTATCTACCTCATAGACTTGTGAAGATTACATAAAGTGATATATCTAAAGAGCTTAGATGAGTGCTGGGTGGATAATGTTAGTTATTACTATCTTCTAAAGTCTTCTATGTGGACTTCAAAGCTCTCTGCATTTCTTTATTTCATCTCTGTTTTCTCATTTAAATGTTTCCCACATTCTTGCTCCATTCAAGAATATTTCTTGTTTGTCTTATTCATCTATGTAGGATATTGCTCCCTGTAGACTTTAAACCAGCTTACTCATTCCCCCTCAAAGCCATTACTGTTTTCCTATTTACGTCAATTTTGAGTCAGTCTCTAAGTTGACCCTACAACCAGAAATCTATGAAGCGTCACTCAATCCTCTGTTCTCCCACTCCTGGGCTTCTTATATAACAGGATGTCCTCTTAACCACAGGGGATGTTTCACTAAAATTAAAATGTATATCTTTATTTTCTTTAATAGAAGAAGTAATCAGTTATGGCATCACAGTATATAACAGAAAATCAGCTTGGGATCACTGAGCATGGCTGTCTTTAAGAGGATGGGGCAGTGAAAGGAGTCCTGGGTGCAGTGAAAATGCCTTCTACCCTTTGGAGAGATGTTGACATTGGAGAGAAAGAGGGATGCAGTACTGGGTCCAGGAAGGGAAGATGTTGGAATTCATCCTAGGTCTCATGTACCAAGGAAGTGACTCTGTATGAGAACAGAGGGGAAAATCAACAACTGATCAGTGATAACTATGGTATTTTGGCCTTAGGGCTATTAGGGGATGATGAGGGCAAAACTGAGAGGAATGTTAGGGAATCACTTTCTCTAAAGTATCAATATAAATTGACTCTACTTTTGGCACTCACGGAAACAGCAGAAAGAGGACATCACAACCCCTACCTGGACAACTTCTGATCCAGTTTCACCAACAACAGCGTCACTCCTTTCGAAGAGCACTCTTGTCTTCCACTGTTACCTTGTATGATTATGTGATTGTTATCGTCCTTATCATTATCACTCTCAAATCACTTGAATTTCTTGCATCCCTCCACTATGTTATCTTCTAAAATAATTTTACTATAAGATGATTTAATCCCATGGAAATTTTTGAGCCCCTATTATGAAGGCTAAATCCTAGGGAATACAAAGATGAGTAAAAGAGTCATTGCTCTTAAGGAGCTCATATCACAAGATTTAGGCAGATTGAAATTGCTAACCAACATTTAACCCAGGTCCAGGTGCTCCTAGTTATCTTCCCTATTGGTTTGTCTTGTCCTGTTCATTTATTTAACACATATTTATTTATTTCTTTATTTGAGACGGAGTCTCGCTCTGTCGCCCAGGCTGGAGTGCAGTGGCGCGATCTCGGCTCACTGCAAGCTTCGCCTCCCCTGGGTTCACGCCATTCTCCTGCCTCAGCCTCCCCAGTAGCTGGGACTACAGGCACCCGCCACCATGCCCAACTAATTTTTTTGTATTTTTAGTAGAGATGGGGTTTCACCGCGTTAGCCAAGATGGTCTCAATCTCCTGACCTCGTGTGAAAGTGCTGGGACTATAGGCGTGAGCCACTGCGCCCGGCCTTAACACATATTTATTGAGCACCTACTATGTGCTAGGCACTGGGCTAGCCTAAGGATGCAATAGCAACTAAAATAAGCATCATATTTACTTTTAGAGAATATAACTGCAATGTGAAGAATTAGGCTCAATGATATACCTGGTTGACTACAGAAGAAATATTAAGTATTCCTGACTCTCCTCCACAGAGTGGGGTGCACTCCAGTGCACTCCTCTTCCAACCATTACGTAGTGAAGTTATAGCTGAGACATATTTAGTTCTTATGTGAGTCCAACTTGAGAGGCACCTGACAATAAGAGGACAAATCTCCACTGTAATGCTGAATAGCTGGTAGTCTCATGTCCAGTATTCCTGTGCAAACACCCTTGCAGGAACCAAGTACCCTTCATATTATGCCCTGATTCTATATGGGTTAGACATATACATCAAATAATTTTGGTTTGTCAATAAACAATCTAAATAATAGAAGGTAAAGTCAATTATATAAAGTTTCCAAAGAAGGATAGGGGAAGAGTTTCCAAGAAAAGTTTTTTCTTATTGGAAGAAGCATATCAGATGAAGGCAAGCATTACTTTATGTATATATGTATGTTTGTATGTATTTTAAGGCAGGGTCTGGCACTGTCACTCAGGCCAGAGTGCAGTGGCATGGATCTTGGCTCACTGCAACCTCAGTCTGCTGGGCTCAAGTGATGCTCCCACCTCAGCCTCCCAAGTAGCTGGGACTACAAGCATGCACCACCACATCCAGCTAATTTCTGTATTTTTTTGTAGAGATGGGGGTCTTACCATGTTGCCCAGGATGGTCTCGAACTCTTGGCTCAACTGATCCTCCTGCCTCGGCCTCACATAGTTCTGGGATTACAGATGTGAGCCACCACACCTGGTGGCTCACTAATTTTCACTAATGGCAATAAAACCACTACTTACAATATCAGAGTGTACAACTAATGTATTAGCTGACTAAATAAGGGATGTAGTAAATTTAGTCAGGGCTTCTGCCTATATAGAGTAAGACCCCAAGGCATGGAAGAATGACTCACTGTAATAAACTAAGCCAACTAAATATTGATGAATAGTGCTCACATAACAGCATAATATTAGAACAGAAAAGAAAATTATAGATTGTACTGGATAACTCATTCAAGCATAAAATTTGGAATCTGATGGTCCTAGGTTCAAATTCCAACTCAGCTTCCTCTTTGCCACCTCTGTGGCCTTGGGCAACTTGAGTATTTTTAAATTTGAATACTACAGATCTATATTCCTAGCTAGTAGAGTTCTTTCTCTTATGGATTAAATAAAGTAATACAATTGAAGTCACATGGTGCACAGTGAGCACTTCATAAATACTCTAGTCTTCTTTTCATTGTACAGAAAAGGAACAAAAGCCTGGAGGACTGATCTAACTTTCCTGAAGGCCCACAGTTAACCAATGTCAGATCCAGATGAAAGCCCCTGGCTTCCTGACTCCTGGTCCAGCTGGCTGTCTATGATTTCCAAAACAGGGCTGTGCCAAAGACAACTGAAAATACATTTACCTCTGTTTTTTTAAAGCTGAAGAGAATGAAGTAAAAAGAGAGGAGGAGGCTGATGTGGGGTGAGAGGTATAAGAAGCAGATTTACTTTCCTGGTTTTGCATTACCTTCCTGAGTTTACACTGCCTGAGCACACACCCACTAACGGTGGGGGGAAGTGGCAGAGCGTAGCCAACATGGGATTAAAAATTGTGTTACATCAACCCACAAAGTAAATAATCTACCTGCCCACAGTTGAAGAGGGTGTAACAGGGTATTGTGTTTTTTCTCACACATAGTTCTTTGGGTCTGCTAGGGTCATTCCAGATCTAATTTTCCAGAAGATCCTATATACGCCTTTCCATTGGAGTTTTGAGCTTGCTAATGTGTGGATTTGGCAGACAAATGCAAATTAAAGAAGATATATATGAAAAATCACTTGTAGCCTAAACATGATTTCTGTGTGGGACTGGTGCTCCACATGGATAAAAAAGCCATGGGCCAGAGACAGGATGCTTGACTGCTTCCCTGCACTGCTGTTAACACTCGGGGGGACCCAAGAAAGGAGATTAACTTCTCTGGGCATCTATTTTGTCACCTATAAAATACCATCAAGTAGTCATTTGCTATACATTGAATGCAAGACGTTTGTCACATTTTATTTTTCTGTATCCTTTTAAGAGCTTCATGGGGCAGATTGTACTCCCACATTACAAGTAAAGAAATAAGGGCTTAGAGATATTGTGACTTGTCCAACGTCATTTAGCTGGTAAGTGGTAGAATCTGACAGAACCTGGATTTGAACCCAGAATCTGCTTTCAACCTCCAAGCTACACTACTTAATATTGTGAGGGAGGGAAAGGATGTTAACCTTCAAAGTACTTTACATCAGTTTAAACAAATGTTCAATACAATCATTTATTAGGGGTATAATTCCTAGGAGGTGCCTGTACTTAAGTCATTTTCAGCTCATTGACTTTCTCATTCATTGCCTCTCATCTGACCTGTGAGCCTCAAACCACAGTTATCCTATTTCATTTCCTTTGTTTTTGGTGTCAGTACTCCTCCCACATTGGCTGATTTCAGGGGGAGCCGGCACCACTTCTCTTCAAGTAGGGGAGTGTAAGTGTAGGAAGCCACTCATACACACACACATAAATATGCGCGTGCACGCACACACACACACACACATTCATATTAGTTTGTGATACACATACGTGGTTTCAGAAATTGACAATTTAAGAATATGTCATTATTATGACAGTGCATATATCATGTATAAATAATTCCCCAGAATTGGGGTTGGGTGAAAAAAACGCTGTGATAAGGTGATAGAAAGTGAAGAGACATGTACTAAGGAGAATACTAAGAGACTTAGAACCTTCTGGCTTCAGCCCCCACCTTGAATTTTAAAAGAAGTTCATGAATTTTTTCCTGCTCATTCGGTCTCCTGAAAGATCCTTACCCTTGGTAGGAAATGAGCTTGATACAACCCAGTGTTGTATCAACTGATACTGAGCTTTCACTCTGTTATCTGTATCTGCATTCCAGGTAGTGGTGGTCATCAGACTGTAAACTTTGGAGGCTCAGGGTCACATCTGTGGAATTCTCTCTTCTGTGGTCCGGCATGGCATACAATTAGCAAATTGGTGATGACAACGTTTTTCATTCCTTCTATTGCTTTTTATTTGGTTTGTTCAGGAGACAGACACAAAATATTTTGAGACTCATTTAATTATAGCCCACAACTGTCATGGCATTCAACAAGTGCAGTTATTCGTTAAATATGTACTTGTTGAACATCATGGTACTATTATTGAACATCACAATAATATTTCATTTTTTGCATTAACCCTTAATGGTTACAAAGTGCATCTATAATTAGTGTCACACCTAGGCTTCCTAAGAATCCTTTGAGAAGGGAGAAAGGGATAAAAGCATTACCTACCTTATGAGGATTTGTGAGAATCATACAATAAAAGACAAAAGTGCTTAGCACTGGAAGCTGATGCAGCGTAAACAATCATGAAATGTTACTACTAGCACAGTTATTAGCCCATATTACTGATGATATACCTCACTTCCTCAAGTTTGCACAGTGAAGTAGTAGAATTCAGCTAAGAATCTGTTTCCAGACCCCAAATCTGTCTTAGGAAACTATCAGTTGAGATCGCAATTATGGAAGGCAAAAAAACAGAGCCTTAAAGGGAGAGCAAACATGACAGGTTTTATGGTGGGTGAGTAGGCAGAAGTGTTTAGGGACCTTATGTGCATTGTCAAGTGCTCAGGGGAGAGGGTGAGGCCCAGGCTATGTACCACAGGCAGCTGTACAATTCATTTTTGGTTCCTCAAATGTTCTATCTTCCCTCAGCACCTTCACATAGAATGTGTTCCTTCTCCCCTGTCTTATTCTCTGTCTTCACCTCTCTTCCCAACACTTCACCCAACATTCACGCTTCCAGGCTCAACCCAAACATCTCTTCTTCCAGGATGCTCTCCCTGAGCCCCTGTCTGCACCTACTGACAGGCACTCACAGTACTCTGCATGCCTCCTTTAGAGAACAGTTGTCCAATATTTGTCTTCCCAGCTAGGAGGTAAGCACTGAGAAGTCTGCAACTTTCCCTTGCTTGCCGGCTGATGTCTCCCCAGCAGCAGTGTCCAGCACGTTTGTCAAGTGCGGAGCAGCTGCTGGCCACCTTAAAGATGGAAAGGAACGAGACTGAAAAAAGGGTGGGAAGTCATGAAAACAAATTTAAAATGCTTTACTATTTTGCCCTAGAACCACTCGGGGTGGTGCTATTGGGAAGAGCTAGGCAGTGAGAAAACATAAAGGAGGCAACGGAAAGGAGCGAGAAAAAAGACACAAGAAAGGCATGGAGAAGTCACTTGATGCAAAGAGTAGCAGACATAGGTGCTCATCCTGAAGAAGGCTGGGCCATGGATGCCAAGCCTTCCGCAGACATATGAAAGGTTGCTGAGAATTAGCCGTTTCTCTTTCTTTCAAACTTCCCCTTGTTTATGTCTGCCGTCTTTTGTCAGAAAGAGATGCAGGGGCCCTGCTCTCTCCAGAAGACTAACCCCTGCAGCAGTCCATGGAATCCAGGGCTAAGTCTGCTGAGGGGAGAGGGAGGGAGGGAAGAGTTTCCACCAGGATGACATATTTCTGACTCTGCCCTCTGACAACAAAGGGTGCCGGTGGTGGGACTTTTGGCAGGAAGCACCCACCTTTGGGGGAGTCAGAATCATGTTGCGGGGTGACAGTGACTGAGGCGGACCCTGGAGCCCTGGCCGTCTTCCCTGCGCGGCCCTAGGCAGCGGTGCCTGGATGATCTCCTGGGCGCCTCCTCCGAGGTTCAGGCAGGGCTGAGGGAGGATGCGATGCCCGAGCTCCGGCAGGGCCCATTTTGTTTATGTTCCCACTCCTTCGCCCTGGGAAGCCCCGAGTTCCCACACTCACTGAGGCAGGAAGGTCACCACGGACACCTCATCTGTCTGGGCCGTTGACTAACTACAGATAAGCAGCAGCTGCCACATCCATGTTGGGGTCACCTCCCAGTCTGCCCACCCTGGAACCAGGGGAGAAGCCCCCATCCCCGCCCACTTGCACATGATGCCTCCCCAGCAAGGTCAGCTGCTCCTGAGGCCAGGATGGCGACATGGGGCCACAGAAAAACTTGCTTTTGCGGGAGAAGCAAGACATGACTAAGGGATTGAAAGGTCTTAGACATGACTACCCGAGAGCCCAGGCTTATATTTCCACCTTACCTTTTTTTTTTTTTTAGATGGAGTTTCTCTCTGTCGCCCAGGCTGGAGTGCAGTGGTGCGAACTCTGCTCACTGCAACCTCCGCCTCCCGGGTTCAAGCAATTCTCCTGACTCAGCCTCCCGAGTAGGGATTACAGGCACGCACCCCCACGCCCGGCTAATTTTTGTATTTTTAGTGGAAATTGGGTTTTACCATGTTGGCCTGGCTGATCTGGAACTCCTGACCTCAAGTGATTCGCCCGCCTCGGCTTCCCAAAGTGCTGGGATTAAAGGTGTGAACCAGGGCACCCAGCCTACCTTACATTTGCTGAGCACTTTAGAGTTTCACAGCGCTCTACTGCCTGCATCTTTTCACATGACTCTGACCACCACCCGTGAAGATCGCAGAGCAGGTGTTTTTGTGTCCATTTTGCAGATGAGTAAACAGCCCCAGGATGTTCGAGACGCTTGCCAAATTCACACAGATAGTTAGTGGTAAAAGTCATGTTCACGGGGGCTTTGTGCTACCCCATGCAAACACACCACACCAGCTGAACAATCCCAATTTTTATCCCTAAAAGAGGACTCTTTCTCCCAGGTTTAACCTGTTTTCCACCCAAGCCTGCCGTGTAGTGAGAAACATAGCAGTTTTGGAGTTTGAATCTGATTCCTCTTCTTGTTAACCAAATGATTTAGCAGTTGTGTATTTGGGACTTGATTTCCCTGAATATTTGCTTCCACATGTATAAAATGCAGATAATGCTGCCTAACTTGAACGGTTGTTGTAAGGTTTAAGAATAACAAGAAACATCTATTCTCTGTTTTCCATACCCTAAGCTTGGTTCTAAGCACCTTATGTTCATTGACTTATTAAATTCTCACAACATGCCTGTGTGATTTCATGCATGCTATCATTATTTCATTGTACAGTTGAGGAACAATGGCAGAGAGGTAAAGAAACATACCCCAGGTTACACAGAGAGCAGATGGCAGAGCCAGGATTGCAACCCAGACTACAGAGCCGAGTGCTTAATCTCCAAGCTATATTGACTATGCAAATTATGTTTACTGTCCACAATCGGCACTCAATCAACAGCTATTACTAAGAATTGGGGAAGGGTTTGTTTGAATTACAAGAAAAATGATCAGCTAACTACCTGAACTAATTAGATGAATCAATAGTCCTGTCTACTCAAAAATATTTTCTATGTAGTATTCTGGTTTCTAATTTCTTCCCACTAGATTCATAGCTTTAGAGCACGAAGTCACCCAAGGGACTTTTGGCAATGTCTAGAGACATTTTTGGTTGTCACAAATGTGGGGTGCTACTGGCATCTAATGGGTTAGGCCAGGGATACTGCTAAACATCCTACACAGAAGAGTTCCTCAAAAAAGAATTATCTGGCCCGAAATGTCAATATGCTGAAGTTTAGAAACTACTTTAAAATTGAGTATTTAGAGTTGAGTCATGATTACTTAAGTTTTGAAGTGCCCTGCTGGATCCAAATTTGACACATATACTAATTTGTTTATTCAAATTGGACACATATACCAGTAAAGTAATGCCCTGTTTAATATCTAGTGATACATTAACATGGTTCCTTATATGTGATCATTTGTCATTACTTATTGTTGCTGCTGCTATTGTTACCAAGCAAAGCAGATGTGTGCCCTAGAAATGGCCAGGCTGATTTGGGGTTTGTGGTAGAGTTAGAAAATTGAAGCTGTTTTTCTGTTAAATTACGTTACCAACCTCCAAATTGCTGGCATTTCTTCCAATATATTGAAGTAGGTCATAAATAAACTCACAGCAATGCCATTTCCTTTCAGCATACAACTCTATGAATCCCTGGTATCTTTCAGTGCAGTCAGCTCTTGTTTTGTGTGTTATGTACACACCAAACAGATTTTTAAAGTTTAATTTTGTTGGCCCCTTTTGAAAACTCCTGTAGCTAATGACATTTTCAAAATGATAAAAGTTTTATTTTGTCAAACAGAACTTTGACCAACAGAACACCCTTGGTACCCGATGCACGTGTGGCGCATCTGTGATGCCTGGCAGCATACTGAACTTTCTTACTTTGTTGGAAAACACTGCGTGTCACATCATCAACACTGATTTTCATATCATCATGCATTAGCTTCAAAGACTGTGTTTATAATCCTCAAAGGAGTTGTATCAGTCAGTTTTAGCCAGGTTGTGATACAGTAATGGATAATCCCCATATCCTAATAACAAAATAGATTTGTATTTGTTCATGTTACATGTACACCGTAAATTGGCCACTGATTACTTCATGTCTTTTGCATTCTTAATCTAGACTGAAGGAGCTGGCCCTATTTGGGATATGGTAGCATCATAGCAAGGGAAATGAGAAAGATGAAACCACATGATGGGTCTTAATAGTTTCTGCTCAGCATATATGACATATGTTTGCCTTCTATTGGTCAATGCAAGTCCATGGCCAAATTCCTTCCATAGGCCCCATAGGCAGGGGCAGCAAATATTTTAAACAATAAGATAATCTGCTATAAGAGTCTGTTTTTGCCACCAAAGTCACAAACTTCTAAAGAGCCAGGGACTCAGCCTTGAATCATTGCTTTCTAAAGATGTTTTTATCAAGAAATGGGGAGAGAATGTAAAATGAAAAAGTTGAAGAAGTAAAATTATCAGATTCTAATGGTTAATTTGACAAGGAGCAGAGTTGGGTGGCAATGCCAAGGAAAAGACAGAAATGAAAAATAATTTCTAAGATTCCAGCTTGGGTGACTGATAAATGATAGTGTCAACAAGTGAGGTAGAGAAGAGAGAAGAAAAAGAGGTTTAGAAGGAGACAAAACAAGTTTCATTTTTGATGCAATGAATATAAGGTGTCTTTGGAACATCCGTGTAGAAATATGCAGTGGACAGCTGGATATACGAGTGTGGCTCCTGAGAGAGTACTAAGCTGGAAACAAAGCTCTGAGATGCAAGACCATGTAAATAATAATAATCACTATTAGGGTTGCATTTATTGACTATTTGCTATGTGTCAGGCACTATGCTAAGAATTTTCATACAATTTGCGTATGTTGTATTATTTAATTTTCATGTAACCATCTAAGCTGGGTATATATATATATAGTCGATGTTATTTATACTCATTTAGCTGATGAGTTTAAAAGAGGGAAGCTTAGGGCCGGGCGCGGTGGCCCACATCTGTAATCCCAGCACTCTGGGAGGCCGAGTCCGGCGGATCATGAGGTCAGGAGATTGAGACCAACCTGGCTAACACGGTGAAACCCTGTCTCTACTAAAAATACAAAAAGTAGCCGGGCGTGGTGGCGGGCACCTGTAGTCCCAGCTACTCGGGAGGCTGAGTCAGGAGAATGGCATGAACTTGGGAGGCGGATGTTGCAGTGAGCCAAGATTGCGCCACTGCACTCCAGCCTGGGTGACAGAGCGAGACTCCATCTCGAAAAAAAAAAAAAAAAAAGAGGGAAGCCTAAAAGTTGATATAATTTAGCCTAGGTCTCACAGCTAGGAAGTTGCAAAAAAGATGCAAGTGTTTAATCTGTGTAACTGACATTTTAGCCAGGTACAGTCTCAGTTGGAACCATGACGGCAAATGAGAACATCCAGAAACCAAAGATAGAAAGAAAAGAGAAGAGCAGTGGGCCAAGGGCAGGACCCTAAGGAATATGAACACTTAAGGAGCAGGAAGAAAAAGAGCCCTTGGAGAAGACAGAGAAGGAGCAGCTAGAGGGAGACTTGAAGAGCACAGTCTCAGAAGCCAAGTGTGCAGAGAGTGACAACGAAAGGGAGGGTCTAACAAAGTCAGGGATAACAGAGTAGCTGAAGAGCAGACCTTGGAAATGTTCCTTGGTGTTGAGAGTTAGGTCTGCTCCCTGACAGCATCTCTAATCTCAGGGAAGCATCTGTAACCAGCCTATTCCCCACCCACAACTCAGGAATAATAATAATAAAAAAACACAGGTGGCTAGTCACACACTGACTTTGGAAACATCAACCTGTTGCTGGTTCACTCTCTGAACTTTGTTTCTCAAGACTGCCTTGAATTTTTTACCTGTCTGGATAGATCTTTGTTTCTGGGTCTTAGTGACCTGGCTTTCAGTCTCTACCTATGTACACTTCTCTGAGGTTCTGGACTGTTCTCTCAGCTTAGGAAACCCAGCCTTACACCACATCCTTATTTTTGGTTACTACCCACTCCCACCTACAGTCAGTGAGGTTGGGCACTGACCCTCAATCCACAGGGCTGTATCTCCAGCTGATTCTCTGAAACTCAGCCTCCATACGGGAAATGAGTTGTGGTCTCAGCTGGTGGTTGCTGTATCTGTTCTGTAGATGTAGCAAATGTCTGACAACAGGGCTGCTGCCTTTGAGATCACAGGTTGCTGGTCAGATTTGCCAAGTCTTGCACTGCCTGTTGCCAGAGCAAGCTGTCTGTCTTCAGGTGGGCCTTCCCAGTTGCCATGTTATTTTTTGTCACAGCTCCAGTAGCTTATGGAGATAGAAGGCTTATATTTGGGGAAGAGGATACTTATGTAAATGGGACTTCTCATGTCTTCTGGATAGTGGCCTGGCTATAGTCTGGAAGCCCACACTGTGTGGACACCACTGGGACTTTCTCATAGCCCTGATTGATTGGCAAGAGTCCTTGAAATCTGTAGAGTAGGCAACTACAGCATCAGAGTGGGTAAGTATCCAGACCTGCCTCACTCTCAGAGATTTGAACCGAATGAGCCAGTATTATGAAGAAAAGCAAAAAGCATCTCCTCGAAAGTCCTGCAAGAAGAGTCCCCTCTGATGTGAGGGCACCAGAAACCTGTAGCATCTCTATTATTTTTGTTTAGTTGGAGGCTGCACCCACCCATCAGCCTTCCCTGACCATATCCCTCAGTGAGGGTTACCAGACTTAGAAGATGAAAATACAGGATGCCCAGTTAAATTTGAACTTCAGATAACAAATACATATTTGGTATAAGTATATGCCACACAATATTTGGGATAGATTTATATTAAGACATTATTCAACATTTATTTGAAATTCAAATTTAATTGGTGTTCTGAATTTTATCTGGCCTCCCTGTGGCCACCACAACACCCATAACTTGAGACTTGGTAGGAATTCATAGGCCTTGAAATCCACTGGGGCCCTATCTCTCCCAAGAAGGCAGTGGAGAACTTTGTGAGGAAGAAAAGCAGATGACTGGGCCTCTGCTAGGATTACTGGGATCCTAATACTGTCTGGTTCCCTCTCCTGGGCCAGCTCAGAAGGACCATAAAATTAGATCTTCTGAGTGCCTAGCACCTTGTCTGCCTTCCATCGTTGCATTTGGATGACAGAGAGTTTGCAGAGAACACAATGCCTCTTGACCTATGGCAGCAGCATGATCAGTATCCTGCAGGACTTTCAAGGGGATGCTTTTTGCTCTTCTTGGAAAATGTCCTAATATATCCTGAAACATCCACATGCAACCTGACTAGCTATGCTTCATACAATACTCTAGCCCCAACAGTTCTGAGTTACCTGAAACATCAGCACCTTCAAAACAGCACAGAAATGTGTGACATTTCTGAACCAAGTTCAGTGTAGCCAGTTATCTGTGATTCTGGAGTGAGAGACACCCTGGTCACTGAGGTTACCTAGACATTTTCAAGAGATATCTAACACCATTTTGTCTTTTTCTGTGCAACTGCCCTAGTAATGACCTCCTAAAATAGAGAAGGAAGTTTCCTGATGTGCTGAGGTTGACACTATGTTTGGCAAGTCAAGACTCGCTGCACCTCTGCTCCAGTACAGCACAAGCAAGCACTGACGATGTGCCAGGCACTGCTGAAAGGGCTTGCCTATATTAACTAATTTAATACTCATGATAACCCTATGAGCTATATGCTATTATTATTGCTGTTTTGCGGATGAGGAAACTGAAACATGGAGTGATAAAGTAACTCCTATAAAGCCATACAGGTAAAAAATTTACTAAGAATAGAAATGAATGCAAGCAACTCAGCTCCACAGTGTGTCCTCTGCACCTGCATGCCAGCTCTACACAGCTGGAACCTAGCTTCATTCAGCATCACACTGTTGAGACTGGTGCTGCCAACACTGTGGAGTGGGCCACCCTGACCCAGGAGAAGCTTTATGCCACACTTCATTATCCCTGCGTGGAAAGGGGAAGGGCCTGTGGTCAAGCATGTTTTCAAGCCCTAGAGGGTCCAATGTGTGATAGGGACTTCAGTCTGCCATAGCCTGAAAGCTCAGCTCATGCTATGCAAGGCAGCTCACCTTATCTGTGCTTGGGTGCTCCATCAGCTGTGTGCCCAGCACTCAGAATCACAGACCAGATTCTCTATCCTGAAAGCCTGAGTACAAGAGGTAACAGAGAGACTCGCTCTGGAAGACTATGGCTTGAGTATTTCACAATCATTCTGCTCAAATGATGTATTTTAGACATTTATGCATGGTCTTAATCCTGATACAGGGCCTCTTGGGGCAATTTGGATTGATGTTAAATGCCACGAAGCTCTTCATAGGAGCAAGGCAGTGCTCATCCCTGCTAGGAAGGCCAGAATGCAGCCTCAGCACAGCCACTGGCCCTCCCTGAGGTGATATGGTCTGGTACACTACCACAAAAGCACCTGGACCCAAAGCAAAGATACCTCAGGGTTCCTCTAGAGCCGCGGTGACTCCTTCTGATCCACACTCGCATCTGAAACTCCAGTTTTGGGACTTCTATTTGTTGTCTGCCCGCTTCCTGGATTGATTGATTGATTGATTGTTATAGAGACAGGGTCTTGCTATGTTGCCCAGGCTGAACTCAAACTCATGGGCTCGGGTTATCCTCCCACCTCAGCCTCCCAAGTCATTGGGAGGTCTGCCCCTCTTGACCTCTTCCCTGACTCTGCCCTCTTCCCTCCCTGCATTGCTCCTCCACCCATTCCAGTCATTTATACCCTGATAGGTAAAAGAGGGCTTCTACTTTCATGGTCTCTCAAAGCACTGCTTTCCAACCACAGCCCTCAGCTGTGCCTCAGTTTGGGCCTATCAGGTCTACATCCACATACCCACCACCCCTAGACAGGTGACAAAAGTAGTGCTTAAGAAACAAATGTGCTTTTTTGCCTCCCCCACACAACTGACTGCTCTGGCTAATATCACTGCTACACACTTTGCTTTCACTAATTATTATTGCCTGCCCTCCAGAACTGCTTTTTTGCATACAAAGGTTTTTGTCCTTAGTGTTTTTTTTACACCTCTTCTTGGTATTATTATTATTGTTTTTTATTTTTTTATTTTTCGAGACGGAGTCTCGCACTTTGGCCCAGGCTGGAGTGCAGTGGCGCGATCTCTTGACTCACTGCAAGCTCCGCCTCCCGGGTTCACGCCATTCTCCTGCCTCAGCCTCCCGAGTAGCTGGGACTACAGGCGCCCGCCACCATGGCTGGCTAATTTTTTGTATTTTTAGTAGAGACGGGGTTTCACTGTGTTCGCCAGGATGGTCTCGATCTCCTGACCTCATGATCCGCCCGCCTCGGCCTCCCAAAGTGCTGGGATTACAGGCGTGAGCCACCGTGCCTGGCCCTCTTCTTGGTATTATTGATATTCCTGCAGCTAGACAGTACCCGGGAAGGAATGCACCAACTAGAAGGAGCTTTAATGAGCCTACTGTGTTATGGCTGGCATCAGCCTTCAGAGAGGTTTGAGCATAGGATGCCATCTAATTCCCCGCCAGCCCATTCATTCTATCCAACTAATGGGAAAACTAGAGGATTGCTGATAATAATAGCATCAGCAAAAATAGTTACCATTTATCAAGCATTTACTATGGGCCAAGTACTACGCTAAATGCTCTGCATATATTTTCTCACTTAATTCTCAAAAAATGCAATGAGGAGAATGCTATTTTATCTCTAGCTCACAGCTGAGAAAACTGACCTGCCAAAAAAGCCGCATAATGAATAAGTGATAGAGCAAAATTTTGAACGCAAGTTAATTTAAAGCCTGGGCATTCAGCCACTCTGCTGCCATTATCATACATCATCTGACTTCCTTCATGTCCCATCTCCCAACTTCTGTTTTTTATTTTCTCTTTTCCTGATTCTCCAGTTACCCACCCTAGCAGTGGAGGTGATATATATGAACTGCATGCCAAAGTGGGTGTAGACTCATAATGACAACATAATGACACCAACTGGACCATGGGAAATGGTGAAGTCAAGAGTAGTTATTTCAACTTGGCCCTTTGAAACAGAGACCCTGCCGCAAGTTATGAGGGGTTTAAGTATTTTCCTGTTTCATTTGCCCTTAGATCCCAAACACCTAGAACTGTGCCTAGCTCATAGTAGGAGCCCAAGAAATACCAGCATGGAAACCTGGAAAGCTGGGGTAAATCTGATGAAGAGCACAGGAGCCTTAGTAAATCCGGGTGATCTGAAACTGGCTCTTAGTTGAGCCAGATGATAGGATCTTAATGACAATTGTGCACCACTTCTCATTTCTTGCGACTCTTTGCAGGTTTGCTTCTTGCTGTCTTATTCCAACTAAAAAATTCTGTTTACTTTTCATGTATTTTCTCTACCTCAGAATTGTTGCTTATTCATAAATTCTGCCTTCTTATCACATGGTTCTGCTTCCTCATAGTTTTGGTTTGCTATAATCCTCCATGGCTCCACTCCATTGTATGCCATCCTTTCAGCTTCAGCTCCCATGGCTAACTGCTTCTTTCTATCCATGTTTCCCAATTCAAATCCCAGAAGGAGAGAATCTGATTGATCAAACTTACCTTTTCCACTCAAGCCCTGGTTTTTGGGAAGGCAGCCCCTAATGTCAAGGGCCAATCACTGGTCCAATCAGGAGCCATCCCTGGGCAAAGAACAACCTACCTCTGCTTCTCAAAGCAGGGGGCTGTGGGTGGGGCACTTTCATCTCAAAGAGGAAGTTGGGTGTGGCAGGCACTGTGTTGACATATCCAGTATAGGAGTGCCCTGGGAGCCCATCTCTCATTTCTGAAAGAGATAGCATTGTAGATCTGGACGTTTCATCACATATTCCCAGGAAAGCCCAGCCAAATGCAGCTGGTAAGTTGCTGAATGTGGAATTCCTCTTGGCCTTCCAACTCCTTGCACTCTTCCTTCTGGGACTACTTTGGTTTTTCAGTTTATTACCTGTTTGGAGTTGGCTTGTTTCTGGACTCTCTCTTCTGCTCAGGTGAGCAGACTTCTAACTGGAACGCCTGGCTCTTGGACAAGGTGAGTGTTTGGATCCAACTTTGGTTCTGCACCATTCTTTCAACTTGGATGACATTGCCTCACCTCTTGTATCCTTGTCCTCTCCCTTCTACTCAATCCACTCTGCTCTGGGTTATTATTTACCTGAGGGTGCCTTCCCTTCCCAGACCCACCAACATACTCCTGAGGGAAGAACATTCAAAAGCAGCTGGTGGCTTCAGTGAGATCAATTTTTAGAGGAATGATCGGGGCAGAAGCTAGATAGAAGCAAGTTGAGGAAGTGGAAATAGTGAGTGCAAGACACTTTTCTGAGAAGTTTAGATGAAAAGGAGGGGAAGAAAACAGCTATGTGTCAAGAGTTTGGTGTGTGTGTGTGTGTTTTATTTTTTTTGAAAGAATTTGCTTCTTATTATATAACACATGATTTTGTAAAACATTTTGAAAAAAACAAAAATTATAAACAATATGTTTACAATTGCCCATTAAACTACTACCTAAGTAATTACAATAGTTACCAATTTTTGAATACCTACTAAACAGAAGAATTATGCTAGGAACTTCATGAATTATTTTTCTATTTCTTGTGCAATACAATGTCCCAGATGGGTCAGAATTCAGACAGATATGGCTGTGATGCAGAATTAGACAATGTCTCTTCCCTTTAAGCAATGATTGGCATCCATTGATTTATAAGGGGGCTGAGAAGTTTGCTGGGGGCAAAATGGAAATATTTGCCTCAGTAGGGTCTTCAGCATTCATGGGCATGTCTGGAGACAGTTCCAGAGGTAGGCAGAGTGCTGGCAGGAATGGTGGGGCCCCTGGAGAGAGCACCGTTGGTTGAGGAAGGAGTTTGTAACGGTAAGACTGGGCTTTAGACCTGGAAGGTCGTGGTAAGTCTGACTGTCACAGGGAAGGGCCTAACCCAGCTTCCTTGCATGTGTCTTCCCAGAAGAAAACAAAGAAGGGCCTCTGAGTCATGGAAAGAGCCATGAAACTCTTTAATGCTCTAGGGCCTATCGCCCAGTAACTGGTAACTCAGTGTTATATTAAGGAAGAGAGCTTTTCTTTTCCCACTTTGAAAGAGGATGCTGACAGACATCACAGGGGCTATCATAGCCCTCAATTTCCCATAAAACCGGCACCACAGTGCCAGCTGTGATTGCAGAAAAAGGTTTTTATCCAAGTTGTGTTAAGGAAATAGTAGTTGATTTCAGTTAATTCAGTCATAACACTTTACCTTGAGCATTAATGCTGAAAAAGTCAACTCTCTTACTTCCTGTTTTTCAAAAGCATTATTGGCTAGGGTAACTGTGCAGGGCTCCACGCTGACACCGTTTGTGGACTTTTAGCTCACAGTGGTGCTGTCAGTGCCAGCATCTTGGTGTCTGGCTAACTATAACAATACACATGATGACAACACTGGCTTAAGAACACAGGTAAGATCTGTCCACCAATGACACCCAAATGTCTTTGTACAAAAACACCTACTCGATGAGGCCCTCCCTGACCACCTTATGTAAAACCGAGCAACCCCTCTGCCTTCCTACCCTCTGCCTACCCCGACTTTCTTTCCATAGCACTTATCATCATCTCATGTTTTGTCATTTTTGTTTCTTTTTCTTCTTTTTTAATCATCGTTTTTCCTGTCCCAAAAAGCAAATGCCAAGAAAGCAGTGTCCAGGTCTGTCTGTTTATTGTTGTGTCCCCAGAGCCCACATCAGTGACTCACACAGAGTGCTCAATATTTATTGAGTTAATCCATTTCATGAATTTCTCATAAATATTTGGGGAAGGATAAGAACTATGAAGATTTTTAATTAACATGATCACATTTGGATTTATGGCTCAGGAGAACCAAGGATATTTGCTTACATTTATACCACCCTTACAAGGTCCATACTCTAATATGGCCACTTTACAGGTGAGGAAACTGAGGATCAGAGTGAAAGCAACCTGCCTCAGCCCCCATAGATAATAACGATCAGAGCCAATATAAACTGGTGTAGTAAGTAAGAAGACAAAGTAGGTAGTATTGCTATAGGTAAAGCAAGAGCTAAGGAAAGCCTTAGTTGATATGGCAGAAATAGGAACAGAGAGAAAGGGACAGAAAAGGAAGAAACTGTGAAGCCTGATTAGAAATATGGAAGGCAGAATTCAATATACTCCTAGAAGCAGCCCATGAAAATAAAATGAAGAAAGAAGGATTGTTTTTCTAAGAGGAGGGTGGCTTCAATTTCTTTCAGAAAAGATTGGCTAACTGAAAACTAAGAAAGAAACAGACCAAATCCTTGTAGCTTCTAGCACATCTATGATAAAATTCTGTTAATTGGATTTCATACTTGGATTATAACTGCACAACACATGAGAGTAAAATGCCTTAAGACAAAAAGAGTAAAAATTGAGTCATAATATGGAGACGATACTATTCTGGCAATAGTATTCAAAGAATGGACCAGGGAGCAGTGCACAGCTTTGGGAAGCAGGGGTTGTCAACATTAGGACTCAGAGTTGTTAGTGATGAGGTTCCCAGGCAACATAAGAGACCCTTGAAAAAGGCTTTGGCTTAGGGAAAAAGAATTATAGGGGCCAGACGCGGAGGCTCACACCTGTAATCCCAGCACTTTAGGAGGCCGAGGTGGGTGGATCACCTAAGGTCAGGAGTCCAGGACCAGCCTGACCAATATGGTGAAACCCCGTCTCTACTAAAAAATACAAAAATTAGCTAGGCATGGTGGTGTGTGCCTGTAGTCCCAGCTACTCCGGAGGCTGAATGACTTGAACCCGGGAGGCAGAGGTTGCAGTGAGCTGAGATTGGGCGCCACTGCACTGCAGCCTGGGGCAACAGAGTGAGACTTCGTCTCAAAAAAAAAAAAGAATTATAGGACCCAAGTAAGAAGGTCTGGCTCCCTTGGCATTTCTCACCCCCTGGCCCATTAGCTGGTGTTGCAGACTCCACTGTGGTACTCCAAGGGGTTTTAGAGAAAGAACCAGGGCAGATGACCATCCAAATCAGAAGGGCCAGGTAGGATGGTCAGCCACACATGTGAGGGGCAGATAGGGAAACAGAAGATTAATGCATATGGGAAGCCCCAGGAAGCTAAATCCATCCCAGATCACACTGGATACTGGCTCTGTTGAGGCAGGTGGTGGGGGGTCAGCCTGGTGACAGCATATTTGTTCATTCAATCAATATTTACTGAATGCTCTTTATATTCTAGGCACTGTGCCAGACATTGGGCTAGGTGCTGGGAATTGAAATAATAAACTATTTCCTGATTTCTCTTCTCTCTTCTGGAGAAAGAATTGGATTAGAACAAGGTATGGTTCTCACTGGCACAGGGATTGGGCAAGGCCGTCTGCAAGAGGCAGACATCAGCTTGGGCAATGGGGTCAAGTTGGGGATGGCAGGCCCTGGCTGATACAATACTTATATTTTACCTGAAATCTGTGTTTATTTTCTATCTTGAACCTGGTATTGTTTATATTTGATAAGCAAATTTTATGTTTTAAGTAATTCCTAGACATACAGTTAGGACATTTTGCAGGGGAGGGCTTTTGATTTTTAATCCTAAAAGCATTAGTTTGTCTGTATTGCCGGGCTTGACAATCACATAAAATAAGTGTATTTCAAATCACTCAATAGGAGTGGCTGCAAATAGGGGAAAGAACATGATCTATTACTACTTTGGATTACTACTTTTTACTGGCAAACCATAAATCACAGTGGGGAAGCCACAGTGGAGTATAAGGAACTTAAATCATGGCAAGAGTGATTTAAGGTCAGTCAGTGCAGCAGATAATCTGGAGAGATGATCCCACTCATAACCCTTTAAGACATGACACTTGGTAAACTACCTAACTCATAAGGGTGTCCTGGCAGTGAACCTCCACACCTCCTGGTTGGGGTGTGTGCTCCATCTCACCCAGCTTAAGTAGGCCTGAAAGACCACCCTGTTCTCTCAGGCAAGAGTATTCCTCTTCATTACTGGAAGGGAATTAAAGACAAAGCTGGTCTAATCAATAACCGCAGGCCCTTGTCTCACTGAGAAGAATAAAAATGAATACGCAATTATTTGCCATTGTGGAATGTGTTTTCCCTAGTATCAATGCTGTATGTAATACTAAGATTTCTACAGCCTATTTAATATAGAATATATACATACACGCACATGCAAACACATACACACAGATATATATATATATATAGTTGCCTCTTGTATCTCTTGTATGGTATCCAGTCAAGTGTCTTTACTGTAACTGGAAATCAAAATTACATCAATAGAAAAAAATGCTACACCAGTAGAAAAGGTGGGGGGGGGGGAATAGGAGAATGAAAAAGGGGAGGAGCAAAAATGAAAATTCACTTTTAAACAAATGTAACTTTGGCTATATGGTTACAGGTATAGGTTCTGGCTGAAAAGATTTCAATGTCTGCTTTAATGTAAATTATAAGTATTCCAGAAGACAGATAATTTTATTTTACTTTTTTTTTTTTTGAGAGGGGGTCTTGCTCTGGCCCCCAGGTTGGAGTGCAGTGGTGCGATCTCGGCTCACTGCAATCTCTGCCTCCCAGGTTCAAGCAATTCTCCTGTCTCAGCCTCCCGGGTAGCTGGGACTACAGGCACCCGCCACCACGCCCGCCTAACTTTTGTATTTTTACTAGAGATGGGATTTCATCATACTGGTCAGGCTGGTCTCAAACTCCTGACCTAAGGTGATTCACCTGCCTCAGCCTCCCAAAGTGCTGGGATTATAGGTGTGACCCACTGCACCTGGGTGACAAGATAATTTTAGGAGCCACTTTAAAAAGTTTCCGGAACTGTAGTCTATTATTTCAGTCTCAGTCCCATACACCATGAAAAATTTAGGGCATTTCATTGCTACAAAGAATTTTAAAGCAGAATCAATCCATGTAATTAAATCTTAACATTTATTAAGTGCTTATTGTATATCAGGTACTTTTACTTTTCTAATCATTGTACAGTTATTAATTCATTCAAATCTTACAAAAGTCTATGAGTTATTGTTTCCATTTTACAGATGAGGAAATTGAGGCACAAATATTGCCCAAGATCTCACAGTTAGTGATTGACAGTAAGATTCACACTCAGACCATCTGACTCTGGAGGCCACACTTGTCATTCATGTTAATCTTACTTAACATGCTTCATGCTAACTACAGACTTAGTTATCTCCATATGCATCTTTCAAGTAGATGGCTTATCACAACAGCAATTAGACCTGTTTACATGTTTGGCGCTTATTTATTGAATGATTACCTACTACACACTGAAATTGGTTAAGTTTGTTTCTAAAACTGACAAGCTTTGTTTTAAAAACAATTCATCTTCTTCCGCTCTTTTTTTCACAAGAGGTAGTTGTTTGGATAGTAACCTTTTGAGAACCAAAAGAAGTGAAGGAGAGCTACTTTTGTGAGAATGAAAGGTGGAGGGTCATTCATTCAAGAACTTGTTTTTACCAGGTACCAGTTGTCAGTATGCAAAAGCAGCGAGGTATGCCAATGTAATTCATGTTCAATAAACATCATAAAATTTATTTCTATACATTAAAATCTTCCTGTGTAACAAAATGCATGTTTTATTTTTATCTGCCACTTTTCTTAAGTCAGTAGACAATTCCCTCTTCTTTCTCCCAGGCTTGATATGAGGTTAGCTTTTCACAATTGGTACTTCTGGGGGGGCAAAAAACAGGCAAAATAAGTGAATGGGAAAGCACTCAGACTTATTATTTATTAATTTGTGATATTCTAGCCTTTCAGTGACTCTTTTCATGCTATTTTTTCCAACTTCTGTGGGATGGGGAAAAAACTTATCCGGAGTGACAACATTTCTATTTTCCATTATTATTTCTTGCATAAGATATTCAAAAACAATTGTTTTGGCATCATCTCACTTCGAAGATAAAGAAAGCAATAGTAAATATCAGCCTGCATATTGGGAATTCTTCTAGAGAATATTATTTAGACTTCATGAAACAAAAGAGGAGCTAAAATTATGCTTTGTGTAAATCTCAGATAGTGGTTTTGGCTTAAAATTTGCTATCCCAGCACTTTGGGAGGCTGAGGTGGGCAGATCACGAGGTCAGGAGATCGAGCCCATCCTGGCTAACACGGTGAAATCCCGTCTCTACTAAAAGTACAAAAAAATGAGCTGGGCGTGGTGGCGGGCGCCGGTAGTCCCAGCTACTTGGGAGGCTGAGGCAGGAGAATCGCTTGAACCCAGGAGGCGGAGGTTGCAGTGAGCCGAGATCGGGCCATTGCACTCCAGCCTGGTGACAGAGTGAGACTCCGTCTCAAAAAAAAAAAAAAAAAAAAAGAACTTTCTGTTGTGTTAAAGTTAACTAGCGAGGAGACTCTTGATTCCTAAGAAATATTAACCTTATATCCCCAAATATATTTCATGTGCAGTTCAACAAATGAAAGTTAGGTGCTCTGAATAGGTTTTGGGGTTAATGAGTCTATTAGAATACAGGCTTTTTGTATAGCAGCCTCGGAGAGCTAGCCCAGCCAGGCCCAGTTGCTGCTGTTTCTCAAGCACAGGAGGCTGAGAGTAGAGAAAAGTGCTCTGTAAGAAGGCTGAGCCCCTCACTGGAGGTGGAACTACTACCCTACATGTTTTGTTTGTTTAGATGATACGCTGAGAACCAAATCTACCCTGTCAGCTTACTCTTCAAGAACAAGCCAAGCAACTGAAAACTGAGTCCACGCTCAGCTAAGTCAAAGCCCAGGGGATTACTGGCATCACCACCCACCCCACCTGGAGCATGACAATGTCTGTGAGAGAATAAGAGATGGGTGGTGTCACCACTATCTTTCTCTTTCTGTTCTCCAAATTATAATAATAACAGTCTCTTTTCCTCCTCTAAACATTTTTTATAAAGGAGGTTGAACTCAGTTGAAATATCTTGAAATTACTGTGGCTGGTTTACAAGCCACTCTGGAAAGTTATGCTCTGGCATAAATTTAGCAGCTATGTTTTACTGTAAAAAGAAACCCAGGGACATAGCTTATTAAGAAAATGTGGTCAAAGTGAGAATTTTCTTTGGTTTTATGAATAAATATAGATATTATATTACAAAATTAGATTTATATCGTTGAGCTTGATACTAGACAGTAAATATTATTTCTTAGGAAAAGGTTAATACATCATTAAATTTTAAAAGTTGAACACAAAATCTCTAACAAATTAAATTTAAATATTTCCATTTCAATATCATTGCAGACAGTTCATGGTAGTGAAGTACATTGAGAAAACTTGTTCTTTAAGAAAACAAACTTCTGGGTAAAAGATAGTAATATATCAGCAAAAAAAGATTTTTATCAAGAGGGTTGAAGGCTATAGCATCATCAAGGTAAAGATCAAATAGCATGGAGGCTAAAATAAACCTGTGCTTTTTTGAGCGGGTGGTCAATAGAAATTGGCTCTGTTGCTGGAGATCCTGAATTTTAAATTCTGGTGATCAGGCCAGTAATATGCTGATGAAGCAGAAATGTCACAGCATATTTTACCAAGTCAAAGACAGGCAACAGTTATGAGAGGGACATGGAGAACCTGGTAGAGCTCTGTGTACTATGCTGAATTAATAAATAGAGAACTAACTTAAGGTGGACAAAACTGCTGGGTGTCTCTCAGGCTTCTAATGTTTTCAAAATGTATTTGAAGACTTAAAGCCTTATAATAATAAGAAGAAGAGTAGTCCAAGTTCTGTTTATTTCCTTTTAAAAGGAGTCAACACTTGAGGAGACAATTCTGTACTCCCACAACAGGAAAAATGCATCCTTTTACCGTGTGAATAATTGAACCAGAGTCATTGCCCACTCTTCAGGAAATAGCTCATGTAAACTTTTGGCCGACCTGTGCTTCACAGTGCACTTACCTCTTGACATCCACCTCTGTAAACTTTTATTTGTATTACCAAATATTGACTGCAAACAAAAAAAAAAAAAGGAAGAAAAAGGAACCTCCCTTATACAATTACAGAACGTTAGAGCAAAAGAGAACTGAAAGATGATCTTGTGCAGGCCACCATTTTATAGATGAAGAAACAAAAGCACAGAGTGACTTGCTAATGCTTCACCAAGCTGGCACAGCCTGGCCTAGAGCTACATTCCCCTGTGTCCCAGACCCACATGCCAGCACCAACATCATGGATCCTCTCTCTCTCTCTCTTTTGAGACAGAGTCTCACTCTGTTGCCCAGGCTGGAGTGTAGTGGTGCAATCTTGGCTTACTGCAGTCTCTGCCTCCCGGGTTCAAGAGATTCTCCCGCCTCAGCTTCTTCAGTAGCTGGGACTACAGGCATACTGCCACCATAGCCGGCTAATTTTTTTGTATTTTTAGTAGAGACGGGATTTCACCATGTTGGCCAGGCTGAAGATCCTCTCTCTTATTGCTTGATGAAAAAATGTATTAGGCACTGGGAGGATAGAAATTAAAGAGCCCCAATACTTGACATCTAGGAGCTCACAACCCAATAAGAAAAGTACACATGTAGACCACCCTCCAATATTTTACTGTACTCTGTACACTGTTGCTAGAATGATCTTTCTGAAAATACAAATTGTAATGTATCTAACCCTGTGTAAAACCGTGCAGTGGCTCCTTGTTGCCTGTAAGGTAAAGCTTTCCCCTTGTTCTCCAGCCTTCTGTCTAACTGGGTCTATGCTGATGCTCAGGATCCAGCCATAGAGAACCAATTGCTTTTCCCTAAATATAGCAGGCTTTTCCCTAAATATAGCAGGCCCTTTCATCCTGCCAGGCCTTTGTTATGCTGTTCTCTGCCTGGAATGACCTCCTCTCATTACCCTCCAGGAGGGTTATCTCTCTTGTAATAGATTTCCTTAGGTTTCTCTCCTTCCACCTCCAACCCCACAGACAGAATTAACCATTCCTTCCTTTGTTTATTTGTCCTGCCCATATTTCTCCTACAGCACCTATAGTGCTTTGTAACATTGATTTTTTTTTTTTTTGAGACAGAGTCTTGCTCTGTTGCCCAGGCTGGAGTGCAGTGGCGTGATCTTGGCTCACTGCAAGCTCCGCCTCCTGGGTTCACGCCATTCTCCTGCCTCAGCCTCCCGAGTAGCTGGGACTACAGGCGCCCGCCACCATGCCCGGCTAATTTTTTGTATTTTTTTTTTTTTTTTTTTTTTGAGACGGAGTCTCGCTGTCGCCCAGGCTGGAGTGCAGTGGCGCAATCTCGGCTCACTGCAGGCTCCACCCCCTGGGGTTCACGCCATTCTCCTGCCTCAGCCTCCGGAGTAGCTGGGACTACAGGCGCCCGCCACCTCGCCCGGCTAATTTTTTGTATTTTTAGTAGAGACAGGGTTTCACCGTGTTAGCCAGGATGGTCTCGATCTCCTGACCTCGTGATCCGCCCGCCTCGGCCTCCCAAAGTGCTGGGATTACAGGCGTGAGCCACCGCGCCCGGCCAATTTTTTGTAATTTTAGTGGAGACGGGGTTTCACCGTGTTAGCCAGGATGGTCTCGATCTCCTGACCTCGTGATCCGCCTGCCTCAGCCTCCCAAAGTGCTGGGATTACAGGCATGAGCCACCGCGCCCGGCCGATTGTTTTAAAATACATAAATGTACTTGCCATTTACACTTATGTCTTTCTCTACTAATTGAAGATAAGCTCCTTAAGAGCCATCTTTGTAAGGGCCATCTTTATCTTTGTACCCCTAGAATCTAGCTCAGTGCCTGGCTCAGAACAACTCCATTGAATGAACCATCCATAGAGGCCCTTACATCATGCTATGGGAATGCAACAGAAGGAGCAGTGAACTGTGCTTAGAGGAGTTGCCTTGGAAGCTGAAGCATGTATACCAAATAGAGGAACATCAGGGCAGGGCAAGGGTTGGTTCATAGCTGGTCGCCAGAATAGAATGCTCAAAGGTACAGGGGCCTGAGAAGTGGTGGAAAGGTTGGCAGGTTTGGGAAATTTGAGGATACCTGAGAGGATGGACTGTGGGATGTGGTGGTTTGCTGTTATTATTGTTATTGTTAAACCAGAAGAAGAGGCTATGAGTTAGTCAGGGGCTGTGTGTTAAAAGGCCTGGCAATTCATGCTGAGAAAGGAGTTTTGATTATATTACAAAGAGCTAAAGAAAGAAGAGTTTTGAAGGTCAGTATTCAAGAGTAGGGATGATTGGATATGCCTGTCAGAGAGAAAGGACAATGCAGTGACCAGGAGAGGTTGCTCCAGGGAGGAGTGGGACTGCATCTTAGAGTCTGGGTGGGGCATTGGTGATCTGAGGGTTCAGAGAACTGAGAATGGTCCAGGTGAAAACTGATGAGGGCCTGAGGCAAGGCAGTGGAGATGGAGAAAATGAGAATGATTGGAGAAATAAACACAGCAGTGGTGGAATGGTGAGTGGCAATCAGCTGAAGATGGGGAATAAAGGGAAATGAGGAGTCAAAAATGATCCCAAGTGTTTATCTTGAACGTTTAAGCAGATGGCGTTGTCCTGATATGGAATGCAGAAAAATAACATCGAGTTGAGTTTGTGATGCTTTCGAGATACTTAAATGAAAATGTTGAGAAAGCAGTTGAAATTACATGTCTCATATTCAGGAAAGAGTTGAGGGCATGAGTCTCTCTAGGTAATAACTGATTCCATAGGACAGGATGAGAGCATCTGAGAGCATGTGAGGGCGAGAGAAGGTCTAGAATGAGGCCCTCGGTTAAGGAGGAGAGAGAGGAGAATGAGACAACAAAGAAATCCAATGTGGAGTCATGAGAGCCATAGAAAAAGAGTTTATTCACAGGGAAGAAAGAGTTTGTAGTGTTAAAAATCAAAGAAAGGATATAGATTGAAAAAAAGGTCCTGAAAGAACTGTAATATAAGGCTACAAACATACTCATTGGGGGCTGGAGGAAGTCCAACATAAGCCAGCCCCAGCGTTGAGCCAGTGAATCGGAGACAAAAGGCTCCTTCTCTTTTTTAGTCCCAGCCAGTTCATAAGCCTGAGGTTGAATTGCAACTATGATTTATGCTAAATAGCTTTATCTAATTAGGGCTGGTAAAATTGAAGTGGTTGGAATACCTCTGGCAAGAACTTGATAAAAATTTGAGAGTCTTTCACGTTAATTTTAATCTTCGTTTGCATGAAATGGGATGGTTAAGGAGAAGTAAAAGAAAAACATGAAAAGGAAGGCACAATAAGAAGCATTCATTCTTTAAAGGAAAATGGTGTACCAAAGAGTCGTCCCAGAGCTCTTCCTTCTCCTGCCTCCACATAGTCTAAGGTCTGTTTACAGGAAAAACCTAAGCTAGCATGGCCAATATAGGTTTTAATGGGTGAGCCAAAAAAAAAAAAATGCTTTCATGGCAAAAATACCAAAAGCAATTTCAATAAAAGCAAAAATTGACAAATGGGATCTAATTAAACTAATGAGCTTCTGCACAGCAAATGAAACTATCATCAGAGTGAACAGACAATTTACAGAATGGAAGAATATTTTTGCAATCTATTCATCTGACAAAGGTCTAATATCCAGAGTTTACAAGGAACTTAAACAAATTTACAAGAAAAAAAAAACCCCATTAAAAGATGGGCAAAGGACATGAACAGACACTTCTCAAAAGAAGTCATACATGTGGCCAAAAACATATGATAAAAAGCTCAAAATCACTGATCATTAGAGAAATGCAAATCAAAACCACAATGAGATACCATCTCATGCCAGTCAGAATGGCTATTACTAAAAAGTCAAAAAACAACAGATGCTGGCGAGGTTGTGGAGAAAAAGGAATGCTTTTATGCTGTTGGTTGGAGTGTAAATTAGTTCAACCATTGTGGAAGACAGTGTGGCAATTCCTCAAAGAGCTAGAGGCTGAAATAACATTTGACCTAGTAATCCAACTATTGAGTATATACCCAAAGGAATATAAATCATTATATTATAAAGATACATGCATGTTTATGTTCATTGCAGCACATTCACGATAGCAAAGACATGGAATCAACCTAAATTTCCATCAATGACAGACTGGATAAAGAAAATGTACATACATACCATGGAATACTACGCAGCCGTAAAAAGGAATAAGATCATATCTTTTGCAGGGACATGGATGGAGCTGGAGGCCATTATCCTCAGCAAACTAACGCAGGGACAGAGAACCAAACACTGCATGTTCTCACTTATAAGTGGGAGATGAATGATGAGAACACATGGACACATAGGGGGAACAACACATGATGGGGTCAGTCAGAGCAGGGTGTGAGGGGAGGGAGAGTGTCGGGAAGAATAGCTAATGGATACTGGGCTTAATAAGCAGGTGACGGGATGAATTGTACAGCAAATCACCATGGCACACATTTACCTATGTAAGAAACCCCCACATCCTGCACATATACCCCTGAACTTAAAAGTTGAAGGAAAAAAAAAAAGTAAAAAAATGCCATCATGATACAATTAGGCACTTATAAAAAATGTGTTCCAAATCCCTCAAAAGTGTTTTAGTAAGGGGCTTACTAAGTATGGAGATTTCAAATGTGGTATGTGGATGGTGCTAAAATTGAGAGTAAGCATTTAGAAATTTTTAGAGCAAATCGAGAATGCTGTAACATACAAGCACATTGTCAGTGGACTCATGTCAATGAGCAGGGTATGGACTGGTCTGGGTGTTGTGGAATTCTCATAGTGAGTCACAGGTGGCATGACCTGTGCCCTAGTCATACGCAGGAAGACACTTAGACCACAAGCTTGGAAATTAAAAAAAAATTAACCACACAGATAGTTTGAAAATCACTGCTTTAGATCACAACCCATTTGTAAGTTAAGAGGCCCTACAGCTCGTTTGGTGCAAGGAAGTTGACAGAGAGCTTGAGCATACACCAAAAAATTTAGATATAAAGTGACGGGAAATTTGAAGCCATTGTAGAAGATACGAATTGGAGATGGAACTACCCAAAATTACCTTCTATAAGGATCTTCTAGATTAAATGCAAGCTAACTTATTCTTAAAATTGTTTTGTTCATTATGATATGAACAGAGTCTATATCAGAACCTGGAACATGGCAGGCACTAAATAAATATTTTATGAATATTGAATTAGTTGTTCTAACAACATCGTGGAGAATAGCTTGAGAAGGGTAAAGGCTAGAATCAGAAAAAGTGGCTAGGAAGACTTTAAAGACTGTCTAGACATAGGTTGATGGGTGGATTAGCCTAGTGGATACAGAGATTCAGAAAATATGAATCTAAGAAATATTGGGAGGAACTTCCAGTTTTTCCCATGTCAGTAAGCACATGGACATTCATCAAAGTCCAAATCAGAAATGTGGGGTCATCCTTGACTCTTCTCTTTCTCCTTGCTCCTCATATTTGGTCACTCTCTGAATCCTAAATATCGCTACCCTGCCTTCTCCTGCTATTCACACTGCTTTAGTTCAAGCCCCACCACGTCCCTCCAGGACTTTGTTATAGCTTCCTTAAATGGTCTCCCTGCCCTGGGTTCTTCCCCATTAAGCTTTTCTTCCAAAATTGAAAATTCAGTGTTTTTCCTTTTTTGTGTGAAACCATGAAATGGCTCCTGATTTACCTTCTAAGCTTCAGCATACCTAAGCTCCATGGTAGGGCTGCTCCTTACCAGGCCTTGTGTCATCTGGCACTTGCTTTGCATGCCAGTGCATTCTTCTGCTCCTTACTTGGTGGTTCTTAAACCAGACCAACACTAAACAACTGGTAACCCCTGCCCCAAGGGTTTGCCATGCTATTTCATGCCTCTGTGCCTTTGCTTATGCTATTCCTTCTGCCTGAAATGCTCTCACTCCCAGCACCCTGGCTGCTTTTCCATCTGTATTCATTTCCTGTTGCTGCTGTAACAAATTATCACAAACTTACTCTTTTTGAGGTCAGAAGTCTGAAATGAGGCTATTTCATGAGGCTAAAATTAAAGCATTGGCAGACCTTCATACCTCCTGGAGCTGGAGGAGAGACACTGTTCTTTGCCTCTTCCAGCTTCTAACCACAGTTTTTGTTTTTGTTTGTTTGTTTTTGGTTTTGGCTGATGGTCCCTCATTGTCACATCTCTTTCTCTGACACTCCTGCCTCCTTTTTCTATAAGGACCCCTGTGATTACATCAGGTTCGTCTGAATAATCTAATCTTCCCATCTTCCTTAAACGTAGTCATATCTGCAAAGTCCTCATTGACATGTACGGTAACATTTACAAGTTTGGGATGTGGATATCTCTGAGAAGCCATTATTCTGCTTACTGCACCACCCAACCCCAATTAGTCTCTTAAAGCTCTGCTATCACTTTTTCTCTGAAACATGTTCTGCTCAGAGCTAATCACTCTCTATTTTGTGTCATATACATACTACCTTCACTGCATGGGTTGGCTTGTATTGCACATAATAACTTTTAAAACACATCTACCTCTCTATTATATTTTGATTTCTTGAGGGGACAGCTTATTTATCTTTGTATTACCAGCGGTAAGCATGTTACATGGTATATAGCAAGTAGTAGGAGCTAAATTATACTTTTTAAAAATGAATGTCCCAGGCAGTGCAATGATCCATTTGAATGTTAACTAGACATGTAGGTTTAAATGGTGACTACAGTTGTGGTGCATTCCTAACTTTGCAGGGTCGTTGCCTACCACTCTCCCTGCCCACGCTTGTCTGCTTCCCCTCCAGTCACATGGCCTTTCTAACCTTCCTTGGTCATGCTGTTCCTATCCCATCCTCATCTCTCTGTCTGTAATGCCCTTCCTCCAACTTTTCTTTTCATAAATCCCTAATTCATTCTCAAAGCACAAATCAAAACTTTTTCCTTCTGCAATGCCTTTTATTTGTCTCAAGACAGAATTCATCACTTCCTCTTTTGAGTTGCTAAGACATTTTGTACAGATCTGTATTACATATTTCACATTGTGTTTTGCTTGGTTTTATATATGTATCTGTTCCATCACAAGAATGCACAAAAGCCATATCTTGTTTATATCAGTACTAGGCATATAGCAAGCACTCAATAATGTTTATGACCTTAAAGCGAACATATAAACAGATGAGAATGGAGGGGCAACAGAAAGGAACCAAAAGATTAAAAGAGTGCCTTTGATAAAAGATAAAGAGGAAGGAAGAGACTGAGAAGACCCTCAAAGACAGCATTCAGAAGACCCTAGAGGCAGAGTGTGATGAAGGCTGGAGTTAGAGTGGCTGACCTCTAATTAAAGAGGAGAATGTGAGAGGCAGCACCACATGCAGTGAGCTGCAGGCCTGAGAAAGAGAAAGGCTGTTGGATGTGACCACGAAGAGATCCTAATGGTTTTAGGAAGCATAATGAGAATGCCCAGTCAGGACCCTGGGTCTGCTCCTGTTTTTAGGTTAGGAGAGATTAGGTTAGGTTAGGATCTCCAGAGGATAAATGACTTGAGGAAAAGGAATATCACACCTCATATCCAATCAACCTGCTTGAATGCTTGAGGCCATGAACACCTCAGCACAGCTCCAAGTCAGTTTGGAAGGCTTGGTTCTTTCATCTGATACCACGACTTCAAAGTACTAGGAGATGTAGATGGTTCTCAGGGAATACAGAAGCCAACATAATGTATTCCCCTATAATAATCAGAGATTTTCATCAATAGGGCACAGTTGGCTGGGTGGTCCAGGCTCCTGAGGAACAAAGGCAAAATGTCTAAATCTGGCTTCAGAACTGAGAATAATTTCTCTTTCACGGAACTTTTCTGGATGATGATATTTCTCTATATAAAGCATTCTCTGACCCAGTGGACAAATATTTCTCACATCTCTGCCTGCCTTGAACCTTGCCCTCCTATCTTCCATCAACACTGCTGTCAGCTGTATTCTCCAACCTGTGTCTTGTTTGGCTAACCTGTATGGCCAACTGTCTGTCTTTACCTTTACAAAGCCTGATCTAGACAAACTTCTATGCTGGACATCTGCACTGATTTTCGCCCAAATCAATTGTCTAGCATCTATTTCTGTGATCTGCTTCTGCTGTGTCCTGAATCAGTCTGCTGTGGTCTGATAGGTTGCACATTCTCAATGGGAGTGAGAATTGATCTTGGGGGATAAAAAACAACTTAATTTTTTAAATGTACAAAGTGCAGATATACATACAATGCATAAACCGATATCACAATATATCTGCGTGTATTAGGGCTCTCCAGAGAAACAGAACTGATAGCATATATTATATATAGATACACAGAAATAGATTTATTACGAGAGATTGGCTCATGCAATTATGGAACCTGTGAAGTCCCATGATCAGCTGTCTGCAAATTGGAAGCCCAGGAAAGTTACTGGTGTATTATAACTCCAGTCCAAGCCAGAAGGCCTGAGAACCAGGAGAGCCAATCCTGTAAGTCCCAGTCCAAGTCCAAAGGCCCCAAAACCAGAAACACTACTGATATCCAAGGGCAGGAGGAGATGGATGTCCCAGCTCCAGAAGAGAGAGTGAACTTGTGCTTCCTCCACCTCTCTGTTTTATTCAGGCCTTCAAGGGATTGCTTGATGCCCACTCACACTGCCAAGGGTGATCTTTTACTCACTCTACCAATTCAAATGCTAACCTTTTCCAAGAACACCCTCCCAGACACACCCACAAATAATGTTTTACCAGTGATCTCAGCAATCCGTAGCCCACTAAAGTTGACACACAAAATTAACCATCACACTATGGTACCAAAATTTGATAGAGGAGAGCAATTTTTAAAAACATCGGAAAAGCCTCCTTAGGAAGGCAATAATGAAAAGAAAAGGGTTGAGAAATATTGTGATAGGTGATGAGGCTGCAATTCCTGTAACAGAAGGAACATAAGGAGACTGGATTGTGAGGAAATGGAGGTAGTCACAGTTATTTGACTGAGAAGTAGACTACAGAGAGAATTCCGATGAAGCAAACAAATTATGAGCACTTATTATGTGCCATGAACTGTGTGAAACCCTTTCACATTTGTTAGCAAAGAGCTTCTCCTTTAGTAGTAATGTACATATTCCTTGCAGAAAAAACAGTGACATTTTCCATTGAGACAGTAGCGCACCTATCTCTCCTCTGCTTCAGCAGCCTTTATGCTAATTACTGTTTTGGAAGTAACTCCTCATTCACTTTTTGCAACATAAGATAATGAGAAATACAGCCCAGATTTTGTTTGTAGAAGCTCCTTTCATGGCAGCCTTTCAACAGTTTGGGTAATTTAAAAGATGCAGTTGTAATCGTGACTAACTCATTAAGATGCTTGATGAGCATCTTAATGAGTTAAAAAACCTGGACATTTTTAACGCACTTTTGGAAAGAGGCAAGAAAAATATAAGAGTGGGAATAATCCAAGGAAAACATTTCAAGTCTTTGAACAATAGACCCTAGAATTTCCTTAGCTTGAGATAGGTTAGGACAAGAAAACAGAATGTTGCTTAAAAGAAGCCCAGTGATCATTTGTGTCTACTTGCACTTCTGGAATATGACTTTTGTTTGTTAGTTGGTTCATTTTGACTTAAAAAGTGTTTTTCGGCCAGGTGCGGTGGCTCACACCTGTAATACCAGCACTTTGGGAGGCCGAGGTGGGCAGATCACAAGGTCAGGAGATCGAGACCATCCTGGCTAACATGGTGAAACCCCGCCTCTATTAAAAATACAAAAAATTAGCCAGGTGTGTTGACGGGCGCCTGTAGTCCCAGCTACTCGGGAGGCTGAGGCAGGAGAATGGCATGAACCTGGGAGGCGGAGCTTGCAGTGAGCCGAGATCGCTCCACTGCACTCCAACCTGGGCGACAGGGGGAGACTCTGTCTCAAACAACAACAACAACAACAACAACAAAACCCACAACATTTTTCTTTGTTCTCTCTCAGTACTCATTAAGAATTTACTACTGCGTCTTTAGATTTTATCTCAGGCAGATCAATGCTATGTATTTGTCCCCTGTACTTGATCCCTGTGCTTTCCTTCTCTCCTACTTTCCTACTCTTGTCATGAGTGCTGAGGCAGGGATGATGTTGGGGTGGAAAGCTGAAGGGCGAAGATGAATGAGCCACAGTGTCCACTTAGAATCTACAGCCAACTCTTGGCAGCTTATCCGTGGTAATTCTTGTTTCAGCTTCTTGTTGACTTTATCACCCACTCAATGTGCTTAATTCTATGATGGATGTTATCACCAGCTCTGTTTATTCACAATGCCAAGAACACCAGTGGAACAGGGAAATATTCAGGAAAACCCACTTTATGGTGTCAACTTGACCAGAAAACGAAACACAACTCCATCATTGCTTTATTGAATTTGGCATCGTTCTAGAAATAAACTATCATTTATATTTTGTCAAACAAAAAGAAGAGGAGAAGAGATTTCAAAAGCACTGCTTCTGGGGAGGGTCTGGATCAAAGGTAAATGTGTGACTTTAGGTGACAGAAAAGCATCTCCACTCAGATGCATCCAACTTTGAGGGGGCACTGACTACAGGACAGTAGAGACAAGGGACACTCATGAACAAGCAGCTTTTCCAATTCTGGGTCCTTTTCAAACTGTAGTATCAACATATATTTTTAAGTTTCATAAATTCTTGGAACATTAAACATATCCATTCAAACAGTTCTTTCAATATGGTGGATATTTGTAGGCTGCCCTGGAAATCAGAACACCTTGAATTTAATTCCTGCTATGACACTGGCTGACTCTGTAACTTTCACCTTTTTTAGTTCTCCAAGATGATATAAATAATGGAAAACATATAGGACTCTAAAATGGTTGCAACATAGGTTCAAATCTGACCCCTACCACTTGTTAGCTTGTCAACATTGGATAAGTTATTTGACTTCTTTGAGCATCAGTATCTTTATTTGTTAAATGGAGATAAAGATATCTTTCTTGCAGGAATGTTGTATGGATCTAATGAGATCATGTATGCAAAACACCCAACACATAGTTGTCACTTTATAAATGGCTGTTCTAGTAGCCATTTGCACAGAGATGGGGAAAGGCTAGGTGACAAAAGGCATGGGCATTCTGAGCTCATCAGTTGATAGGGCTTCCTTAACGCCATAGCTTTATTAGAGAAGGAGGAGGATACAGCCCAGCCACATAGGAACTCAGGCCTCTTTTATTTCTGCAGGATCTGGTCACCACAACAATCAGAATGTGCAGGGGTAAGACTAAGGAAGAGAGAGAGAGGAAGAATGGATGGTGGGGGGGGGGGGGCGGCTCTCTTCTTCCTAGCGGCAGAGAATCCCGCAGTATTCCTTCAGTTGCAGAAACTAAATGGAAGGCAAATGGCTGTCTGCTTGTGGTGCATGCACCAAGACAAACTACTAAAGTGTTTCCTGCCCAGTCCCCACAGGTGTTGCTTCTCAGCTTTGGATAAGTCCTCCAGCAAGTACTTTGTTGAAAGCGAGAAAGGCAGCTGCATAACTCTCCAGTCCACAGAGCTGACAAATCACTGTGTCATCAAAGAAGAGGGAATCATGGGAAATAGCCTGTGGTTCACCCTCTAAGGCAGGGAGTCAGGAGGCTGTGAGGTGGCACATTTGATTCTTGCTCATTAACATAGTTTCTCTTTGTGTCCTCCTCCTCCTCTTTGCCTGCTTGCCTGTTCCACTGGGTAAGCAGCAAGTGCCTACTCAAATCATTATTTATCAAATGTGTACTATGTTCCCAACATTCATTCAATACACCTATATTGAAAGCCTTTTATGAGAATAACAAAAATAACAAGATAGATTCAGAGTAAGATTCAGAGACTGAAGCAAGTCCGCATATAGTAATCACATGTTCAACTAGTTGTTAAGTGGTATATATAATACATAGAAACCAACCGTGGAGGACCTCAGGGAAAGGAGCCAGGAAGCTGAGGAAGGCTTTGGAGAGAAGATGACATTGGAGCTAGGCCTTCACCCAAAATTCCATAGGTGTTGGTCCATTTTGCATTGCTATAAAGGAATACCTGAGACTGGGTAATTTAAGGGGAAAAGGGGTTTATTTTGGCCAGGACTGGTGGCTCACATCTATTATCCCAGAACTTTGGGAGGCTGAAGCGGGTGGATCACTTGAGGTCAGGAGTTTGAGACCAGCCTCCCCAACATGGCAAGAGCCTGTCTCTACTAAACATAGAAAAATTAGCTGGGTGTGGTGGCACAAGCCTGTAATCCCACTTACCCAGGAGGCTGAGGGATGAGAATTGTTTGAACCTGGGAGGCAGAGGTTGCAGTGAGCGGAGCTTGCACCAGGGCACTCCAGACTGGGAAACAGAGCAAGAATTTGTCACGAAAAAAAAGAAAAAAAGAAAAAAAGAGGTATGTTTGGCTCACAGTTCTGCAGGCTGTAGGTGAAGCAGAGTGCTGGCATCTGCTTCTGGTGAGGGCCTTGGGAAGCTTACATTCATGCTGGAAGGCAAAGGGGAGCCAGTGTGTCATATGGCAAGAGAGGGAGCAAGAGCGGGGGGGGTGTCAGGCTCCTTGTAAACAACCAGGTCTACTGTGAACTAAAAGAGTGAGAACTTGCTTATCACCAAGGGGATGGCGCTAAGCCATCCATGAGGGATCTGCCCTCAAGATCCAACACCTCCCATTGGGCCCCACCTCCAACATTGGGGATCACATTTCAACATGAGATTTGGAGGGGACACACATCCAAACCATATATCACTATGGGTCAACTATATCACTATGGATCCAGGGGAGGATGGGATAGGGGAGGGGAGGCAGCAAGGGCATTATAGGCAAAGGGAAGTGCACATATGAAGGTGAAGAGGACATGAGCCCACAGCATGTCTGGGGACTGGCTGGTAGCTTGATGTGCCTGGAACAAAGGCTATGCAATCCTGGGCAGCAGCAGGGGGAGAGGTAAATGTGGTCGGAATGCCAACGATTTTCCATGCCAGTCTGTCCAGTTTGGGCTTTAACTGTAGAGAATGGGGAGCCATTGGTGAGTTTTAAGTATGAAGTGATGGGTTTATACTTGTATTTTGGACAATCCTGTGGGCTTCAGAGTACTGAATGGACTAAAAGAGAGGCTAAAAGCTGGGAGACAGTTAAGAGCTCACTGAAATTGCCAATGATGTCAAATGCTGCAAACTCATCAAGGAAAATGAAGACTGAGAATGAGTTCATTGCATTTGACAGTTGGAGATCTTTGGTGACATCTAAAAGTAATTTCACTATAACGACTGAAGCAGAAGCTGGATTACTAAGCCAGTAGTTCTCAAAGTGTGGTCCCTAGATCAGCAGCACTGGCATCACTTGAGAATGTTATAAATGTAAATTATCTGGCTCAACCCACACCCCTTTCAAAACTTTGGGAATGAAGCCTAGCAATTGGCATTTTTACAAGTCTTCTGGATGATTCTGATAAATGCTAAAGTTTGAGAACAACTAGCCTAAATGACTCTTCATCTCTTCCCCAGACGTTCCTTACTCTGATGACACCTGAATTATTTGATATTTCCTAAGTAATCATTAATATGGTTTCTCAGTTATCTGCATAAATTGTTCCTGTCAGTCATGTGCAATATATGTACAGTCTCTGCCTGATAATATTGAACTCATTGTTCAAGGCCTAACTCAAATGTCACCTCCCTAGGAAGTCTCTCCAATTTCCTCCAGGCAGCCCCCCATGGATACTTGTGCACATATTTATGTCATAAAATGTATATTATTTGTTGTGTTGATTTGGTTTACTATCTTCCCTACTAACTAGAAGCTCTTCGGGAGTAGGGACTGCTTTATCGATCTCTATTTCCATATTGTTTTTACATCTTAAGTGCTCAATAAATGTAAGAAGAGGAAGCTGTAATAAATTGCAGAAATAAAAACAGAAAGGGACAAACCACTGTTTTAAGAGGTTTGGAAGTGAAAGATGAATTTGAAATAGAAATACAATAGAAAATGTGTGTGTGTGTGTGTGTGTGTGTGTGTGTGTGTGTGTGTGTGTGTGTGTCTGGAAGAAAACTGTTGGCTGAGGGATTAAGCCAGTAGAGAGGGAAAGATGAATGATGAGACAGTGGGAATCAGTGGGTATTGAATGCAAAATGGTCCTGGAGAAGGCAGAAGGGAATTAAATCAATGGCCAATGCTGAAGAATTAGCATTGAAAGAAGGAAAGACTCTTTTTTTCTGAGATACAACACAAGGAAGTAAAGGTGGGTACATAAGTGATGAGTTGTGAGGTTGAGATGGGAGATGGTAGGGAGTCCTTAGATGGCCTGTCAGTGTAGAAATGGTGAGGGCTAGGGAAGGTTTTGCAGGGGAGGTGATATTTGAACTAGGAGATGTCTTTAGTGAAGTAGGAAGTGAAGCCTTTTGCTGGGAAGAAAATGGGGAACAGAAAGAAGGAAAGAGGCTACAGCAGAGAGGTGAAGACTTGTAAATGCTAGGGAGGGGATTGGAGAACAACAGCAGGGGATTCTTTAGGGCTGATCCATCTCCCTGATTCAAGACAAAGAAAGAGTCCACTTATTCATCCAATTGTGATTGGCAATAAAAGAAGTATGGAGGGATTGTCCCCAAAGGCTGTCTTTGAAATAAGATGGACAACTTCTGGATACAGATCCCAATACTAATATAGAAAGTATTCTAGCTCTATATATTAATTAAGGCTGGAATATTTTGCAGACAATAACAATGCTATGTATGGCAACTATGTACAACAAAGGAAAATATTTATGGTATATGAATTGCCTAAGAAATCTGGATAAAAACTATATGTATGTCGGCCAGGTATGGTGGCTCACGCCTGTAATCCCAGCACTTTGGGAGGCCAAGGCAGGTGGATCACCTAAGGTCAGGAGTTCGAGACCAGCCTGGTCAACATGGTGAAACCCTGTCTCTACTAAAAATACAAAAATTAGCCAGGCATAGTCACGTGCGCCTGTAATCCCAGCTACTAGGGAGGCTGAGGCAGGAGAGTCACTTGAACCTGGGAGGTGGGGGTTGCAGTGAGCCGAGATCGCACCACTGCACTCCAGCCTGGGCGACAGAGCAAGACTCCATCTTAAAAAAAACAAAACAAAACAAAACTATATGTATGTCTTGATTACAACTCTGTAAGAACATACATATGAAGAACAAATGAATAAAACACATGAAAATGCTATTAGTGGTGGTATTATAGGTCATTTTTCCTTTAAATTTTAAATTGATGTTTTAATGTTTATAATTAGTTGGCAATAAATAGAATTTTTTTTCCTTGCTGGCTTTAAAAAATTTACTAGGAACACTTAGAAGAGAGTATTTCAAAATAAAAAGTTGTAAGGTGAAAACAATCAGTAGAATTGTATGAACACCTCCCATATAAGGGACAGATGCCAGGAAAAGAAGTCCTTAAGTTGAGCCAGAGTTGGAAGCTGACAAGCAAGAGGTTGGATGCCACGATATAGAAGAGCACAAAAGAGGTATATGACCTAGCCCTTGACTCACAGTAAACTTGAGAGACTAGGCTTACAATAAATGATTCGAGGATAACTTATTCAGTTATCTAAACAACGGATGGGACTGGATCACTGAGGCAGTGACCTGTGGGCAGGCGGGACAATGCAGAGGTCAATTATGTGCCATCGGAGTTGATCAGATGGACCTGGGCTTAAATCCCTGTGCCACTGCTTAGCAGCTGTGTGATCTAAGACAACTTACTCAGGTTTCATTTTCTGCACTGTGAAGTAGAAATAATAATACCTTCTCATAAGCTGTTGAAGCATTACAAACAATAAAGCAGGTAAAATTCTTAATACAATGTTTGACACACAAAATTGCCATTATCGTTATTAACGCTTTATTGTTGCGTCATCTATGAGTATTTATGATGGAGGAAACTGATTTAGACTAGGGGCACATTGAATTCTTTGGAGGGACTTCAGGGAGGTATCTTAAGAGCCGTGAGAGAGTCTCAGGAGGCAGTGAAGACTCCCTCACTGCTGGAACAATGCTGTGGGCTCACCCTAGGCCTTCAGGAGGGGAGAGAGATGTGCAAGGAGGAACTCCATGGTGGTTCTTCTTTTGCTAGTGTTTGTGCTACTTCCCCACTTCTAAACAGGTGCATAGTACTCCATAGCACCCTTTCATCTTCCTTTCCCACTCTTCTGTTCTGTTTTTCTTCTCTTCAACTCTTCTTACTTCCCTTTTCTCCTCAAAACCAAGTGGTGGATGGGTAAGGAACTATACTATCTTTTGTGTGTTCTAACTTTGCCGTTTTTTTTTTTTGTTGTTGTTGTTGTTATTGTTTGTTTTAATTTTTGTTTTTTCTTGAGACAGTGTCTCACTCTGTCACCCAGACTGGAGTGCAGTGGTGTGATCACAGCTCACTGTAACCTCAACCTCTGGGGCTCAAGTGATCCTCTCACCTCAGCCTCCTGAGTAGCTGGGACCACAGGCACAAGACACATGCTAGGCTAATTTTTAAATTTTTCATAGAGATGGTGTCTCGCTAGGTTGCCCAGGCTGGTCTCGAACTTTTCGCCTCTTGTCTCAGCCTCCAAAGTGCTGGGATTACAGGGTGAGCCACTGCACGTAGCTCGGATATAATTGTTGAGTAGCTGAATAGGAGACCTAAGTCAGCCTTGAAAATCACCTGTTCCTGCTTATTTTCAGGGATCTCTTTCCTATTTGCCAATAAACACATTTTAGTGGACTAATCATGAATCGTTTTATGGTTGGCCTCACATTTAAAATGTTGGTGGTGCTCCTCCTGCCCTCCAAAGCCCTTTATGGAGCACATTAACAGAGCCCTGCCAGCGTTACAAGCTGGGCCCCACCTGAGGTTGTCTCCATTGCCCCCTCCACCCACTTTACTGGCCACAGAATGTTTGTGCTTTGGTGTTTTCATCAGTTGAGTTCCTTTTGCTCACCAAAGAAACACCACAAAAGACACTTTTGCCAGAAAACCTTTCTCCTCCCTTGCTTCAAATACATCACTTTACAAAGAGTGTTTTAATTAAAACAGCTTATAAAAGTTTATGCTTTGGATTTTTTTCCTCCCAGGGAAACAGTATTCAGGCTGCATAGAGTCATTCTACTTGGTGGGATGACTGTCCTAAAGATGTCCTTTCCCTAAGCCCAATTTCCCCACCAGAGAGAAGAGCCTGCCAGGGTTGTTAGGGCCGAGAAGATGGTCTCAGATGCAGCAGCGTGCTGGGCCCATTGCAGAGTGCTCAGTTCATCTTCTGGGTAGTCTGTGTCTGGTTTCATGCCAGGAGGGAGAGCTAAAGGGAAGCTACAGAAGCATCCACGGTTGGCAGGACTGTTGGACATTTGCGGCTTCAGCAGGGTCACCCTGTTTGGTTGAGCAGGTTGTTTCTGTACAAGGCAGCGAGCATCTAGGGTCTGAGTCAGGGACTGAGATCCAGACTGTGCCAGGCTTGACCTATGCCTGCCATGGGGCTGGGTATTAGTTTCCTGTGGCTACTGTGATGAACTGTCACCAGCTGGGTGCCTTAAAACAACACATTTCTTCTCTCACAGTTTTGGAGGCCAGAAGTCTGAAATCAAGGTGTCATCTGGGTTCTGGAGGCTCAGAGGGAGAATCTGTTCTTAGCTTCTGGCGGCTACCAGAAATCTTTTTTTTTTTTTTTTTTTTAATCTTAAAGGTTGTCTTCTAACTTCAGCACTCAGAGTTTACATAAGTAAGCCTGGGTTTACCCTACCCACTTTTTCCCTTATTTTTAAAATATCTATTTCCCCAACCATTGTCTTTAGTAAGTACTCTAAAATGACAGTCATCAGCAGAAACGCAAGGATTCCAGGCCATAAGAGTTTGATCAAGAAAGGATTTTTTGAGGTAGCTATATCTTGCAAAAGAAACAGAGGTGTGAACTGTCTGCAGGGCTCTTCTCGGCAATGAGGTGTTCCTTCTGGATTCAGATATAGATCTTAATGGGGTAAACATTCTAGGTCTTACCACCATCTGTTCTTCTTTTTCTGCTTAGACTGTTAGTACCTGTTATAAGAGGAAAGGAGGCAAAAGTGTGAAAGAAAAATGGTTGGATCAGTGGTCTGAGAAAGAGGATAAAGTAGTCATGTGACATTATTCTTAACAGAGATTAGAATGATTAAAAACAAAAACAAGTTGGTATCCAGGATATTCAGGTACAACCACCCCTTACCTGCTGATTCCAATTTCACATTCCATTCCACATTGATGAATAATAATAATGATGTACTTTTAGCTTTGTCAGAAATCCTATCTGCATATTTATAAGGTCATTATGTTTAGTTGTTGCTGATACCTGGTCTGAGTCCAGCAATTACCACCTCTGTCTCTTTGCACACACTGGTAGACATACACACCACTGATTTGTACTTTCCTATAAAATTACTCTTCCCCTTTTTAATTAGAGTGTTTTCAGAAGCAAACCCTATCGTTAAGGCCATGTATGCTTCCATTATAAATACCTGTTTCCAGCCATTAATTATCTCCCAATGAATTACTTACTTAGAAGGAGATTTTTAATGCATTTTTTTTTTTTTTTTTTTTGGAGACAGGGTCTCACTTTGTCACCCAGACTGGAGTGGTGGAGTGGTGTGATCACGGCTTACTGCAGTCTTGACTTCTCAGGCACAGGTGATTCTTCCACCTCAGACTCCTGAGTGGCTGGGACCATAGGCGTGCACCACCATGCCCAGCTAATTTTTGTATTTTTTGTAGAGTTAGGGTTTCAACATGTTGCCCAGGCTGGTCTTGAACTCCTAGCCTCAAGTGATCCTCCCGTCTTGGCCTCCCAAAGTGCTGGGATTACAGGTGTGAGTCATTGTGCCTGGCCTGTGCACACTTTTTATAATGGGATTTCTCTTCCTTACTTTTGATGTCCCCTCTCTCATACTTAGTTAACCATTTTGAATTCCACTTAGTAAGAAAAGTTTCCATTTTCTTTTTCTTCGGGGGACTTAGATATGATCTGCACCTAGATGGTAAGAAGATTTTCCATATTTTGAAGTAGAAACTTTCTGTATGCCTGAATCTTGCTGTCAAGAATGTCTTGGCTAATTATGAAGGAAGAATATAAGAATGTGAGTAAAAACAATTCAACAGTCCCTGAGAACAACGTCAATAAATATTCAAAATTGCATAACCATTTTAGTGACTAAAGCACTGAGACTCATCCAATAATACTGTGGTTTGATAATTACACAGTTGTGAATTTATGATACTGTTAAATTGGGGAGACATCTTGGTGCATACAG
This sequence comes from Homo sapiens, assembly GCF_000001405.40. NCBI lineage: Eukaryota > Metazoa > Chordata > Mammalia > Primates > Hominidae > Homo > Homo sapiens. The sequence goes on along the minus strand of NC_000001.11, from coordinate 148,685,122 downwards.
GTCAACCTTTTCATACATCATTATATACAAAAAGTACACACCTACTTAGGAATTGAAGTGTAATACCTCCTAGCATAAAATGCTTAAAAGAAGATTTTAAGGGAGTGATACAGTGAGCATTCCTATATGAATTTTCCTGCTTATCTCAAGCATAGCAGAAGATGTGAAATTTCTAGGTAAGTTTTTTTTTTTTTTTTGACAGGGTCTTGCTCTGTCACCCGAGCTGAAATGCAGCAGTGGTAACATGGTTCACTGCAGCCTCAACCTCCTGGGATCAAGTGGTCCTCCCACCTCAGCCTCCCGAGTAGCTGGGACTAGAGACATGCATCACCATGCCCAGTTAGTTTTTTAATTTTTTGTAGAGACAGGGTCTCACTTTGTGGCCCAGCCTGGTCTTGAACTCCTGGGCTCAAGCCATCCTTCTGCCTTGGACTCCCAAAGTGTTGGGATTACAGGTGTGGGCCACTGTGTCCTTCCTTAACATAATAAAATTGAGATAATCACATTCATAAAAGGGCAAAACTATGTCAACAAGCCCACTGTATTAGTCTGTCTTCACAGTGCTGTAAAGAACTGCCCAAGACTGGGTAATTTATAAAGGAAACAGGTTAACTGACTCACAGTTTAGCATGGCTGGGAAGGCCTCAGGAAACTTAACAATCATGGCAGAAGGCAAAGGGGAAGCAAGGTACCTTCTTCATAAGGCAGCATGAAGGAAAATTAATGCAGGAGGAACTACCAAACACATAAAACCATCAGATCTCGTGAACTCGCTCATTATCAGGAGAACAGCATGGGAGAAACCGCCCCCATGATTCAATTACCTCCACCTGGTCTCTCCCTTGACACATGGGGATTACAATTCAAAATAAGATATTGGGTGGGGACACAGGCAAACTATATCGCCCATATTACAATTACTTACATTACTGATTCCCTTAATTAGAGCAGAGGTAATTAATTGGGTCTAGGCTCAGTGGAAGGGTCTGGCTGGTTCTTAATTCTCAGAGCTAGTTTGAATCTTGAGGTTAACGTCTTGCCTTCTAGAACTTGTCCTGTGTTTGGCTGAACTCTGTGAACCTTTCAGAAAGTAGGTCTTTATTGAGCACATACTCTATGCAAGGCAAAGAACCAACTACTGTGGAGTTTACAAACATGAATAAGGGGTAAGAAATGACTCTTGTCACATGGTTTACAGTCCAGCTGTGTGGGCCACCACAGTTCATATCTTTCAGGCTGGGGACTGGATGAGAGGAAAGTGGACTCAAAATTAATCCCAGTGCTCTCTACTTTCCCATATCCCTGTGCTTTATCTCTGTTGTAGTTATGTTATTTGTATGTTGGCCTGCCTCACTGCTCTGTGATCTCCAAAGAACAGGGACTAGGTTTTATTTATTTCTGCATTGCCGCAGAGCCTAGTATGTGCTTTATAGAGAACAGGCTCTCAAAAAAATTTTAAATTAAAAGAATGTATTCACTTGTTTATGTTTCCTAGTTACAGTGGGCCAGCTTGTTCTGTGCTAATATGGAAGTGACAAGAAACTGGTGTCCCTCTACGCAGAGGTCCCCACACTAAATATCATCTTGGATGTGCTTCACATTGTTGCACAAAGGTACAGTGGAGTGAGACTGAGTAAGAGGACAGAAATAGTGGGGGGTTTGTCTCAGCTCACTAATTACTTATTTAACCTTGGGCAAGATACTTAAAGCTCTATCTCAGTTTCTTCATCTGCAAAATGGGGATAATAATGACTGGGGTGCCTATTTCCCACGACTGTTTTGAGGATCAAATGAGATAATATAATTAAAAGTGTTTTTGGAAGGTCTAAATCACTGTGCAACTGCAAGGCATTATTAAAAGAAATCTTCCTTTTAATTCCTGCTTCCACAAACATCTCATCACATATCCTTGGGTTCCTGGGTTACATGGAGAGATTCGTGGTGTAGCTCAATCTATGTGTCATAGCTATCCCACAATCTCTTCTTCAACTTCTCCAACACACCAAGACATTCTTCCAGTCTTGCACTGCTCCCCAGTTTATATAGATATATATGTTCCTCATTCAGCATTTATGTAAAACATATATTATTGAGCACTTATGTGATAGAAACCGGGGCAAAACAGAAAATAAAACAGAGTTTTATTTTGAGAGTTTTTTACAGCTTGTCGGCTCTGAGAGGACAGACATGAGAACAAATAAGTGCCCAATTCTGCATTTATTTTGGAAGGCAGTTTTATGTGAGTTTAAATCAGTAAAGACATAGATGTATATTTTTAGTTTTGATTAAAACTAAAACAATTGGTAGCCCTTACTCATATTTTTCTATCATTAAAACTTATCTTTAAAAAATGTCTTCAGTCATATTTTTCCCTTACTTCCATTCATATTTACTCTTTACTTCTCTTGTCCTTACCAGAATGTATGCAGTAAGTTTTCATATTGTAACACATTCAACAAAAGTTATATGTGAACATAATAGCTGCTTTCTTTAAAACGGTTACTTTGAGAAACTGCATACCTATTTTTTTTTTTTTTTTTTGAGACGGAGTTTCACTCTTGTTGTCCAGGCTGGAGTACAGTGGCACGATCTTGGCTCACTGCAATCTCTGCCTCCTGGGTTCAAGTGATTCTACTGCCTCAGTCTCCTGAGTAGCTGGGATTACAGGTGCTCGCCACCATGCCCGGCTAATTTTTGGTATTTTTAGTAGAGACGGGTTTTCAACATGTTGGCCAGGCTGGTCTCGAACTCCTGACCTCAGGTGATCTGCCCACCTCAGCTTCCCAAAGTGCTGGGATTATGACATAAGCCGCCACGCCTGGCCTGCACATTTATTTTAATAATGTTGTCATAGCTACAGTCGCTTCTAGAGTTGCTCTTTGGGGATAACTATCTTATATTCTTCTGAATATATTTTAATAGTGACAAAACTTATCTTTGCAGGTGATTTTTAAAATTTGTATGCAGCCAAGTCACTATGAATTATCTTTAGTGAGTAAAGAGGAAGATCGAACTGGTAACACTGTGGGTAAACAACTGAAAAATAATGTTATCTTTCTCTGAACATACTTGCACAAGACAAATTCCAAAAATATTTTGACTACGTTATTTTTGAAAAGGGTTTCCAGTATTTCAATGTGACTACTTTCACTAATGATACTTGCTTACCTAAAGTGCTTGTTAACATGCAGTTTTGGAACTTCATAGGTCTATGCCCATACTGACTTGTACTTGCTTAGTGTTGTTTTACATTCTAGTTCAACATCTATTATGTGATAGACACTGGGGATTAATAGGCTGTGGTCTTTGCCCATGAGGACCTCAAAACTTAGTTGAGAACACAGAAATACAAAGAGTCCTGTGTGAAAAATAAGTATCGGTGTTAAGATAAAGAAGCGGCAGTGGAAGACAGTGGAGGGACTGTCTGTTAGAGGGAGGAATTTATTGTGGTGTCGGCAAAGCCTTCTTTGGACTGAAGGATGAATTATGATTAGAAGTTCATTAAGAGGAGGAGGGAAGGGGACTACAGGAGTCATTCCAAGCCAAAGGAACAAAAGATACAGGGACAGAAACAGCAAGATATGTTTGGGGGAATCTCAAGTAATACTGTTATTGTGTGAAGTTCACAACAGGGGCAGGGAGGACAGGAGATGGGGCCCAATGACGAAAAGGCCTTGTATGTACCATGTTTAGAAGTTTGAATTTTATCCTATAGGAGTCAGGGAGAGGTTCTATGGGTAGGATTTCTCATCCCAACAGGATTGTAAACTCCCACATCCAATTAGTCACACCTCCATTTTTTTTTTCTGTTTCTTTAACATTGTCTCAGATTCATTCCTTCTGAAATCTACCTTATTAGTTCAGGTCTTCTTAAATTTGTGCCTGGACTGTTCACCAACTCTTGACTGGTCCTGGGGCTCCAGTTCACCTCTTGCTCCCAACAATCAATTTTCTACAGAATTATCAGAGCAATCTTCCTTTCCATCAATCTCAACTCTGTTCAAAAACTTTCAATAGTTTTATGTGACCTAAGAGGTAGCTGCCTCCCCACCCTTTCAGCTTGCCATTCAAGGCTGCATAATTTGGTCCCAACCCCCTTTCCGTCCTTGACTCCTCTCACTGCTAACAGAGACAGAACTCATTTACTTACTCTTCTGACTGTACCTTTGCTTTCACGAGGGCTCTTTCCTGGAATGATATGTCCATACAACTATTGTTGTTGTTCTTACTTTTAGCTCTTTTCTTAGAAGCCCACTTGTACCCAGGTTTGATCACACCCCCTACTCTCCTGCCCTGGAAGTAACTACTATTCTGGTTATAGTCTCTTAATATCTATATCTATATATATGCATCCACAGATAATGTGTAGTATTGTCTTGAAAAAAATATACATAAATGGTATACTTTGTCTCCCTCTGCGATTATTTTCACTATCATTTAGTTTTTAAGATTTATCCCTATTGACATAAATAGCTATAGTCTTTTCAATTACTGTGTTGCATTTCATTTTATAAATATACCATACATTATTCATCCATTCCTCTAAGGGTGGGCATTTATGTTGTTTTCAAGGTTTTGCTATTACAGTGTTACAACGAATATCCTTAGCTTAGCTGGTCTCCTTGTCTTATACAAATTTTACTGACCTTTCAAGATCCTGCTTTCATCCCAGCTCCTCTGGGAAAGCCTTCCCTGAATCCCCCAGCCCACAGCGGCAAAGTCTTGGTACTCAAAGTTGCTTGTGCATCTTTGGTATCATCCCACTGCCAAGCACACAGCTACGCAAAGTAAGGCACTTAAGAAATATTCGCTACACGGATGAACAAATGAATGAATGAATGGGGCAGCACCACTCCGTGATGGCTCTATTCCTTTTTAATGGACTTTGGCGCCTTGGCCCACTTTCCTTCTTTGACAGCACTGGTCCTACTCCAGAGCATTCCTCTAGCTAGCAAAGCAGTGTGTGGATGTGTGGGTGTAGGTGGCGATACAGACCTCACTGGATGAGGACCGCCTCTCCCTGCAAGTTCACGATCCCGGCAAACTCCAGTGCTTGAAGTTCAGAGTCCTACCCCACCCCCCTCACCCCCACGCCCCTTCTGCACTGGTCAAGCCAGCGAGCCGCTGCAGCCCTGATCGAGTTAAGGCGCGGCGGCCCCCGGGGCCGCTGGAGAAGGATGCGGACGGGGCCAGTGACTCGTAGTAGATCCCTCCGCGCGGAGCTCGGGCCGGCGCTTCTTCCTGCGGGAAACCCCTGGGTGCCCAAGGCGGCGGGGCCGAGGCCGCGGCGACAGTGGGGCGGGGCTTGCGGTGGGAGGAGGCGGCTGAGGCGGAAGGACACACGAGGCTGCTTCGCTGCACACCCGAGAAAGTTTCAGCCAAACTTCGGGCGGCTGAGGCGGCGGCCGAGGAGCGGCGGACTCCGGGCGCGGGGAGTCGAGGCATTTGCGCCTGGGCTTCGGAGCGTAGCGCCAGGGCCTGAGCCTTTGAAGCAGGAGGAGGGGAGGAGAGAGTGGGGCTCCTCTATCGGGACCCCCTCCCCATGTGGATCTGCCCAGGCGGCGGCGGCGGAGGAGGCGACCGAGAAGATGCCCGCCCTGCGCCCCGCTCTGCTGTGGGCGCTGCTGGCGCTCTGGCTGTGCTGCGCGACCCCCGCGCATGGTGAGTATCGGGCTGAGGGGCGCTGTCCGCGGCGCCCGGGGCTGCCACCTGGGGCGACCCTTCTCCCCCTCGGTCCTTCTCTGTGTGGGAAGGCCAGGCTCGGCCGCCGGCGCGGAGCGAGGCCACTCGCTGGGTTCCCGAGAGTTTGGACATCGCCGGGGGCCCCTCCCGTGGTGCCCCGCCAACCGCCGGGGTTCCCCGCCAACCGCCGGGGTTCCCCGCCGCCTCTGCTCCCCGCGGCCCGGGACCCCTCACACGCCTCCTCGGCAGGAGGGAGGCCGGCAGCAAGTCTCAGAAACTCCTTTTTCGTAGTGCCAGGGTGCAGGGAGGTGGGCAGTTTTGCCCTTCAGGTTCCGCGTTTCTTGGGGTCGAGCGAGAGCCGACGGCGGGCCTCGGAGGGGCTGAGCGAAGGCGTGCCAGATTCTGGCGTGGAGAGCGGGGGCAGGGCCGCCAAGCCAAACGGCCTGCACCTTCGCAGCCAGCCTCGCCTTTGCCAGGGGGCGGCACATGGGCCGGGTGTGTGGGCTTGGTTTGGATGGGGACGGGGTTTTGCGGCGCGCCTGAGTTTTGACACTCCAACCCCACCGAAAGTCCGGAGGAGCCGGGTGTGCTGCTCGCGTCTTTGAAAGGTGGAGGCAGGAGAAGTAGGGCAACTGGTGTGGCTGCATGCTGAGGCACATGATTTAAAAATCTCAACTGCTGTTATTCTTTCTGAGGCGCGGAGCTCTGCTGCTGTTTCAGGCTGTGTCCAGACCCAGGAATGTGGTGTGACGATCACCAATTCCTCCAACCTGGCAGCAGCATTTGCTGCTCCTTTGGCATGGCTGGGGGTGGGGCACGGGCGGGTGAGAAAAAGTGGATACGTCAATTCAAAGGGCTTCCTTAGAAAGCTTCTTTGTGGTTGGATGTTTCTAACACGGTTGGACCAAGGAAAGGGAATCAAATCATATCTTCCCCATCCCACCCACACTTTTAGATTCTACATTTCTTCAGACCCTTTAGTGGAAATAACTTGGGCTTTGGAGCCCTGCTCTGTAATCCTGGATTCAAATCCAGCTCTGCTATATGAACTCACCAATAAAATGGGAATGAAATTATCCAGCTAATAGGATTAATTAAAATAATGTATATTAAACGGATGACACTCCAAAGGTGTTCAGAAAGTCCTTTGAGGGCCGAGGCTGTGTTTTACTGCTTCTGAGATTGATGCTCCCAGTGGGATGGTGTCTTGTGCATATTTGTTGAACGGAAAGCAGCCCCTTCTTTTTCTGAGCCTAATCTGAATAAAGATTTTTACCTTCACCAAAAAACTAGTACATGAACTACATCTGTTTTCAAAGAAAAGGTTAGGAAGATGATGAGCTTCAGAAAAATATGGTCTTTGTTCATTGTTAACAGTCAGTCGACATGTCAATCGCAGATGTTTAAAAAGAGAACAAGGTTATTTATCACCCGAAAATAGTACTGGGTTGTTCAGCACCAACTAGATACTTCTTGGAAAGTTCAAATTTCGTACACGTCTAGGTCACTAAGAATTTCAGAAGTGGACCAGGAGGCTTTGTAGTGATGAAGCAGAGCTGTTGTTTCTGAAGCATTTAATAAAGAGCATATATGATGGTGTTTTTGCTTTTCCTTTTTCTTTGAGTGAAAGCTTTAAGTGTAGCTTTAGGATAGAGAGGAGTATAATCAATGAGACAGTCTGAGGGTAATAATCCTTGGTCTATCATTAACTTGTTTTGGTAAATAACTTAATCTTCATGATATGTAGTCTCCTCACCTATGAAGCAGGACTAAAGGAATAACCTGCTTTAGAGAATTGTAGGGAATAATAAATATGATTGTAAAGTGATTTGAAAAATTAAGTATTAAATAATATGTCAGAAATGGGATTACTCTGACACATAGGGCTTCTTTTATTATAGGATCTCAGTGCGTAAAACTATGCCCTCCACCTCTGCTCTGCTGAGGTGCTGCGATTATTAGCTAGCTTTTAGGTAGTCAAGTTGAGTGTTAGTCAAGTTGACTCAAAGGATAGGATTTAGATATTTTGATTTTTAGACAGGTGTTCTTTAGATGCTAAACTAATGCAGTAGAAGAGATTTAGAAGCCTGTTTCTTGGTACAAATCTTAAATCTTCTTAGAGTCTACAGTGAAGGCTTCTTGAATCCTCCTAATTTATTATTGTGTTTTGCTAAGGTACCAATTACAGCACACCCTTCTAAACTTTTGAGTGTTCCTGTGTTTGGCTTGTGGCCAATTGTTAATTTAAACATCACGGAGTTTCTAAGGCAAGGAGATGTTAGCAGTATGTCTGATTGTCTAAACAGCTATCCAGGACCATACTCTTGCTCCTTGTTTTCTTTTGCTTTGCAATGGGAAGTGACTCCCTGATTTTGCTGCCTGCTAGATAATTTCTCAGCTGAATTCTTCTCTTGCTTAAACAAAATCGGAGTAATTTTCTTTCAGATGGTGATGAAATTTAACCTAAAACTATTTTTCCTTTCACTTTCTTATTATTCCTTTTTTTTTTGGTGTGGTGGAGAGGAGGAGGAGAGTGATTCCTAGTCTCTCTTATTTTTCTGAATGTTTAGATTTAAAAAATATTTACCCATAACTTCTTGGGATCTCTCTGCTCCATTCCCACCCTACTGCCTCTCCTGTAGGCTTCTATGACATAGAGAAGCAACTTTTGGTTCACCTGGATTGTAGTTGCTGACTTCAGGACCTTTAGAGAATGTTTAAATTCAGTGGGATATGCTTGGATGGTTCAGAGCAGCCTTACAATACATTTTAAAAATATCACACCCACAGAAATTCTATTTTGCCCACAAAATTTGCATTGATCTAGTTCCCACTCTGTGTTGCCATTCCTAGTGATCCTCCTCCCTACCTCTCCCATTATGGTAGAAAAAAACTCTGTGTCCTGGCTACATCAAAATCTGTTGGGGTGGATCTTGGACTCAGCACCCAGGGATTCTGATAAGGTAAGTTTGAGAATCCATATTTTTTCAAGGTTTACAGGTGATTCTGACAAGTAACTTGGTTGCAACCCACTGATTAAGTACATTTTTTTTTTACCTTCAGGTGTGTGTATGAGGTCTTTCTAAATTTAAGAAATTTCCATAACAAATGTAACCTTAGTCATTCCAGTGTTTAACACTTCTGACTCAAGAATTTTAAAATTGCTAACGTAAGAGATATAGAATATAATGTCATTTCTTCTGTTTATCTGGGTGCAGTATGTCTGCATTGACCCTTTAGAAGGGCTTCATATATTTAGATGATATAATAAATTCTCCACCTCTCCTTTTCCCTTTTCTTCTGTTATCTCTTTTTCCTTAAATGTCATTCATACATGTTGTTTTTTGACCCTTTATCTATATACGTCTGCAATGATTTTAGAGTAAAAAACTGCAAGGCGTGATTTGAATAAGGATATAAGAAATTTTACATCATTTTCTTTATATTGTGTTCACAGTCCATAGTTACATGCTTCCTTTCTTGATGTCTCAGTTCGAATGCCTAAATTTGAACTATTAATTTTCCTTCCACCCTTTCCTGATTTTCCTGTTTTTGTTTCCCCCCCTTTCTCTGCAAATGACTTGAAACCAAAAGGTCTTCTTTTCTTTCTTTGTCAGTCTACCATATGTGTAGTATTTTGGACAGATCACTGAACTAGGAGCCAGAAGACCAGAATTCTTCTCCAGGTCTGTTATTAATTGGTTTGGTGACCTTGTAGGAGAGCCACTGTTTTGGTCCTCCATTTTCTGATGTTCATTGTTCATGGTCACAGAGCCAATTAGAGTTGAGACTAGAATTCCTTTCTTCTGGTGTCCAGTGCCTCATTCACTGTCCACATTGCTTCCATCTCGTGTACAAATGCGCTTATGTGCACAAAAACTCTTATAACATCCTCAAGTGCTTATTGTTAATGCGTACATGAGGAAGGAATCGTGTATTTTCATTTATGTGTTTATTCTAATGCCCATACCCTACCCCTGTACCTGGCATGATGCCTTGGTATCTAATAGGCACACAATAAATACTTGTTCAGTCGAACAATTATTTTTAGCCACTTTCTTATTTTGGACAACTGTGGTACTCCTAGACATTTTAAAAATAGTATTTGCAGGAGTCATGCTTACCTTACATTTGGGGAAAAACCAAATTTTTCCCTTCCCCAGATGTTTCATTTAAACTTGTAATTTTGAATTTCTTTGTGTGTGGGGTTTCTTTCTTTCTTTTTCTGATCACTTCTGCAATTTATAAAGGTCACTTTGACTTTGGAATCTCACTTCAAAGGCACTGCCATCCACCCCCTGCCTCTCATTCAAGTTTGCTTCCACTGCTTCCTGTATTACTGTATTACTAGGCCAGCAATTTCTGTTATTTTGTCCAGAATAGCCACACCTTATTGTAATTTCATCATTTTGGGGACTAGTCATTTTTGGAATACTATTTTTAAAATTAGAGTTAACTAAGTTTATATTTATTTTGATAATTTTTTTTTGAGATTTTTTTCATTGAGTTGGATATTGCAAACTTGTACTGGATTGAGAGAATATGTACATTTAGTAAAGTATATTTGCTTTTTTTTTTTTTGAACCAAGAGAGTCCCCTGAACACCCTACTGACAAAAACTAAAGGTGAAATATGATGAATAAATATTTGAGAGAATCACATGGTGTTGAGTTGTCTCTGCCACATGATTTTGATCCTTGAGGGCCAGGTCTGTGCTACACACATTTCTTTGTACTACAGAACTTGTCTGGCATGTGCCCCAAATTCAGAGTCAACTGAGCGGCAGGTCTTAGTCACAGCATCTGTGACTCCTGCTTTCCCACCTTTAGAACATTCTATAGGAGAGGCTGATGGTGAGTTGGAGTGTGTTTCTATGTTCTTTTTTCCTTTGAAGAGATAGGATCAGTTGAAAGCTGACCCCACCCACAGACTTTTTTTGCTATCTCTTTTAATTAATTAAGGAGTGGCTGAAATTTTCCTCTTTGTTGACTTATGCATTGGCGGGAACTTTAAAATTCATCTAGTCTTTCTGTCCATCCCATGCTGGATCTGATGTTTACAACATTCTAGTCAAGAGGTACCATATTTTCTCTCTTCTTGAACATCTCTTGTGGTAGACAGCTCTCCACAGCAGTTTATTCCATCTTTGGCCAGCTCTAATTCTTAGAAAGATCTTCTTATATTCAGCTGTAATCCATCTCCTCATGACTTGTCCTCATTGACATCTACTCAGAAATTTGTCTCAGAGTCCTGAGACCTGTGCAGGTGATAGGGACCCAAAGAGATGCTTGTCTGTAGACTTTACTGAGCTGACACCCAGCTCTCCATAAAAGGAGTCAAACCCAGTGAGGAGCATGTCTGGGGTGATTGCTCAGGTAAAGCATCTTAGCCCTACTTGTTTCATACCTCCCTGCACAGGTGGGCACTGGTGGGAGAATAACATTTATCAAGCAGTGTTTCCCTAACCTCTCTTATGATAAGAATAGCTCAGGTGTTCTCATGGAGATTCTGATTCAGTGCATCTGGAATGTCATCTGGGAATTTGTGTGTTCAAGAAATAGCCAGGTGATTCTTACATTAGGAAAGTTTTAGAATCACTGCAGAGTGAATCTGGGAAATCAAAGTGTTTGTTTTTGTTTGTTTGTTTTTTGAGAGTATTAGAGACAGGTTGCTTTGGCTAGATCCTGTGGTCATTTTTCCCCCTTGGAAATGCCTCCTACTTGCTGGCCACTTAGTACAGAGAAGAAAGCTGCTATGGTATAAGGTTAGTAAAGTTGTTTGTTTTGTCTTAAAAGAAATTTGCGAAATCCAGCATTTTCGGACTTCTGTTTGTGTTGTATGACTTTGTTGTAAGCCTCCTTATTCCTCCATTAGAATGTTACCTGAGATGTTAGAATGCATAGGAGTTCCACAGCCTTTTTGGTGTCCACTAAAGAATTCTGTCCTCAGCCGTTGCAAATGGTGCTTCCTTTGAGGATTTCTGCTTCATTAGCTCATGAACACATATTTGGTGTCGGCAGTTTCCCTCAGATGTGTTAGTGTGGAGAGATATAAAGGTCACTCATTTCTGGTGGTCCTGCTTTTGGGGTTTCTGGGCTGCTGCAGCAAATGAAATAAGGAAAGGAAAATAAAGGAGGAATCTAGGGCTTCTTGAGCAGAACAAAACAATCTGCAAGAAGGGGCACAGGATTGCTCCTCTCACAAAGACACTTGATAATACTGTCCTTGATAGGAAGAAGGAAGTGGCTTCAGATCTGAAAGGATATGCTCATAGGCTTGAGACGGGACAAACTGCATCACTGGTAGTGGTAGGAGGTTTGCCGTAGATCTGTTTTTTCTCCTGTCTCTCTTTTTTGAGGAGAATATTATCTGTATGGCAGAACATACATTGTGGTCTTAAAAAGGAGAGTAAAGCCAAGAAAGGGGGATGATAAAGCCATAGCTTGGAATAAGAAAAGCAAAGGAATTATTGTATTAATTTGTGTATGTAAATACATAGGTTTCCATGTAATTCACTGGTAGGATCACTAGCCCTTGGCACTAACATTTGCTATCTTTGTAGCTCTACTGTCTTAGTGGTGTATTGGGGGAGCATTGTGGTGTGTTGTCACACTTAATTTGTGTGCTTCCCTTGGCATCATGTGGTAGCAAGTACAGGGTATTCTACTCTTCTAGATGTGTGGGAATCATTGACCAAGTAGAAAATATGGTCCTGCTCCCAAGGAGCTGACATCATCATGGAGACAAGACAGATAAGCACACAATTAGGAATATGAAATACAGTTATTTTATCATTTATCTATGCTCTCTGAAAGCAGTTTCCTGCAGTCAGGGTGACTCAGAGCTATAGGGTCTTGGGAGTAAACTTCAGGTCTTAATACCACCAGGGAAAGGCGACCTCCAGCTCACCCTTGCTGGGCTTGTCTGCTGTCGTGAGCTGTCTGCCATTTTCCTCTTTCTGTGTTGTAATTTAGAAGTATTAGAACTTGGCTTGGGGAAAAGACAAAAACCCCTTTGTCTGGTGAGGGTGTAAATATAAATTTGGCACATGTTGTGGTGTCTATTATGTCTGTTAGTGGGTTTGCGGCAAGAGAGAGTGCTGTGTTCTTAGTCCCGAATGCCAAGCCTGAACTAGGACAAGTTATGGTGGAAATATCTTCCTTGGAAGATGCAGTTCTCAGTGGCAGTGGCTGAAGGAACTTCTCGTCACAGCCAGGCAGTGACTGAAGTGTGGTGTGGACACACCCAGAGTTGCTGCCTCAGGTGGCATTGATTAATCATACTAATATCTCCCTCACCCTTTTGTACTTGTCTTGGCAAAACCCTGTTCTACTAGCTCCCCAATAGTTTGGCCTTTACTAGGTATGATTGAACAAGCTCTTGGGGGTTCACCTTAGTGTCCCTTGCCCCTCTCGCATTTCCAGCCAGCTACGTCGCTCCAGCCATGGTACCCCGGGTCCTCTGGCCAGGCAGTGAGGGGCTGGGTTTTTCTTCCCATTGGACTGAAGCACCTTTCCCTGGAGGCTTGCCTAGGGCAGTTTCTGGTCTCTGAGTCAGTTCCTTCTGCAGGATACTGGCAGCTGGCAGAACTCTGGGTTATTTGAATACATCAGCCAAACATCTTGCCAAGATGGACTCATTGTTGCATAACGACAGGTTGGATCTATGGGTGTTGCAGAACCTGTTTCTGGGTTAAGAGTAACTCTCTCACCTTTATTATATATGTTTATTCATATGATGAATGTATGTGTGTATTTTGTGAAGTAAGGAAAACATGATGATAATATTGTGGTTGGAGTTAGATACCTTATCCTAAATATGTTGTCTTTTTAACAAATAGCATTCCTTTAAAATACAGTTGTGCTTGATGAATAAGGTGTTGTACAAGAAGCTGTGGTTACATTCTAAAATAAACTGCCTTGTTCTGAGGCAGGCACGTTTTAAAATTGTTGTTTGCTTCTTTTTCATCTCTTTTTATTTTCATCTTTTTTTGTGTGAGAAGATTCTGGAAGTTTTTAAGCCTCAAATATTTTCAATAATCTATTTTAACGGGTACCTAGCAGGGAGAGGTTGTTCTATTGGTATACCTAACCAACATTCAAATAAGAATAATTGAATACTGTTTACTCACTAATCTATTCTGTTGAGTTTCTAAGTATGAATAATCACAAAACTAGATAGTGCTGATATATTAACTTCTCTAAATGGTAAATGTGGTAAGTAGCAAAGACATTTTTGTTTAATTCTCTCCTTACACATGCTTTGGTTCAGACGCTGTCAAGACACATTGAAGTTTGAGGACATGTGTATTTCGATTATTTTATTATATTTTTATTTGCTGTGAATATGGGTTTATTTATTTGCTAGATCTTCTTTAGTTAGAAACATTAAGGGCATTTACTTTATTACAACATTTAAAGTGCATTCTAATCTTCATGAGGAATTTTAGGTAAAAGACCGTATCCTGAGATTCATGCAAGTCTTTGGCATTATGTTACTATTTAAAGTAAGTAATATGTAGTGGCTTCTCTGACATATTCTTTCTAAGAGAGTTAAGGAAAATAGTTGTAACTAAAAGCAAACATTGAAACAGTTTAAGGTAGGTTTACGTAGCAACAGAATTATTCGTTATGTTTACAGATAATTAACTCATATTTATACTTTGCTGATTTTCTCTGGCACCTTTACAAGATTTTTTTATTTTTGTAATATAAAAAGTAATTATGTTTGAAAAAGTAGTTAAGGATGTTTGAAGAATCTAGAAAAGCATAAATAAAATGTCCACAATCATGCTGCCATTAATTTTTTGGTATACGTCTTTGGTTTTTTTACCCTTAGATTTAGAAAAGCTGTTGATTTATTTATATATATATATATATATATATATGTATATATATATATTTTTTTTTTTAGTTTATGAACAGATCTACATATATATATATGCACACACACATAATATACTATTGTCAACACTAGGTTTTATTTTTAAAAATCTTTACCATTTGATAAGTGGTAAATATTACTTAATCTTAATATGCCTCATTACAGTGATATTGAATGTTTTTTCATATCATCAGTGGCGTTTGTATTGCCTTTTTTTCTACTTCTTTTGGTAAATTGTGTCTTTTACTCATTTAATTATTTTCTTACTGGTTTGAAAAAGCTCTTTAAATATTAAGGGTGTTAGTCTTTTGTCTTAAATATGTCACAATATGTATGGAAATAATTAGCAGTATATAACAACATCAAATTGCTACCAATGTTGATATAAAAATTGTTCATTTCATAGGTTAATTTTTTTTAATCCTTTGGTTTCTAATGATATTGGTTAATTCATTTGTTAACTGCTATTTTCTGTAGCTACTTGAAAGTTCTTATCTGACTGTATCGTAAATCAGCATGCTTTCAGCTGTATATGTCTAGGAAATTGACATTTACTTTAATACTTAATAAAAAAATATGTTGGAGAAAAGCAGTGTATTCTGGAGTCAAATACATGATTTTGGGTGGGTGACGTAATCGGCTACTGTCCTCCTTTTCTAGATAGCCAAGATTTTTGAAGCATTTAACATCCCTGAAAGGCAGGACTAATGCTATGTCTACCATGCACTGCTAATTCTGACACTTTGACCTAATGGATAAATGCCAGTACAGTGGGTCTAGCCAGTTAGCTTGGTCAGAGAACAAGATGACTAAGATTCTCTCCCCCTTTCCTCACCAAATTGATTAGTTGTAGGACAGAACTGACTGAAGCAACCTGTTGTTTTGGCAACCCATGGACACCACCTGTTTCTTCCATTCCTCCGTCCAGCCTCTCACTGCCCTAGTGCAGTGCTGTGTGCATAGTGGGTAGGAGATCAATGTTGTTGCTAAAGAAAGTAGCAATAAAGAAGAGTAGATTGCTTTTTTTCCAAGCTTTTGTGTTTTTAAGGCACCCCGCTGGTTTTGACATTCGTTGCTCCAGCTGAACTGCTCTATGCTGAAGCCCTGCAGGTCTCAAGTGTTTGGTTCAGAGTAATTTCAGGCCATATGAATGCTTTCTTAAGTATCATTGGAATTTACTGGGCTGGCTGTCTGCCAGCTATTACCATATTTAGCATGAAGAGACCTGGGGAATGAGGACATTTCTGATCAACCAAGGAAGGAAACCTATTTGAAGGATTACAATATTTTCTTTTTTTTTTTTTAATGGTGTAGTTCAGAAAACGCCAGTTAGACTGAGACTCAGATTTATGTCCACTGGTCTTTGTTTCTGTGCCCCATCCCAAAATTAATTTATGAATAGGAAAAGAGATTTGATAGTGAAGTTCTTTCTCACTCTGAAGTCTAATACTGTTTCTGGGAGGAAGTAAGAGAATTATTATGCCCACACTGTGCACTGAGAGGCTTAACCAGCAGGTGAAGCTGTTGATTAAAAACATAGGTTGATGAGTATTCTCATTTTTCTCCTTTGAAGCTTTCAGAAATTTTCTGCTTTGTCCTGGTCTAAATTTATTTTGGCCCAGCCCTTGTCTCCACCCTACATTTCAAACCAGTAGCCTTCCCTCTATGGCTCAACATTTCTCTGCCTCAGTTTTTTCCATTTTAAAGATGAAGATATTGTTTGGAAGGACCAGTAAATACAATTAATATAAAAATTGCTTCTGTAGAATCAAACAACCTCCAACATTTCTGTTGGAAATTTATAGTTTATAGAGTATTCTTACACAATGATCTCCTTTAATCCTCACAAACTTGGTGGAAATGGAGCCTCACAGGGGCTAGGTGACTTGTATACATTGTTTACCCCTACATAATAAGTGACAGAGCTGGTACTTAAACTTGTGGCTTGATTTTTCTTTTTTTTTTTGAGTTGGAGTTTTGCTCTTGTTGCCCAGGCTGGAGTGCAATGGCGCAATCTCGGCTCACCGCAACCTCCACCTCCCGGGTTCAAGTGATTCTCCTGCCTCAGCCTCCCGAGTAGCTGGAATTACAGGCATGCACCACAACGCCTGGCTAATTTTTTGTAGTTTTAGTAGAGACGGGGTTTCTCTATGTTGGGCAGGCTGGTCTCGTACTCCTGACCTCAGGTGATCCGCCCGCCTCAGCCTCCCAAAGTGCTGGGATTACAGGTGAGCCACCGTGCCTGGTCCTTGCAGCTTGATTTTTTAAACATCAGATTTTTTTTTCTTTTTTGATTTTTATTATTATGTGTCTGTCATTCTGCTAGGGGCTTTGCAAATATTGCTTTATTTAATTCATATGGCTATCCTTTGGAGTAGACAATATTTTTCTACATTATAGGTAAGGAATTTGGAACTTAGGTTCACAGCTTTGGATGTTGGCCTATGGTTAGTGAGGGGTGTAGCCAGGATTCAAACCCCTGTCTGGCTCTAGGGCCGCTGCAATAAATCATGGTGTTTTATGTACATTCATACACTTAACACTTTGCAACAACCCTAAGAGACAGGGGTAGGTATTTAGGGAAACTGGGGCTTCTAACTTGCACAGGATAATGCAATTAGTAAGTGGCTTAGTCGAGATTCAGAGCTAGATCTGTCTCCATAACCCTCACTCATTCCAGGATACTGCAGATGCCTATTTTTATGATATGTATAAGTAAAAATTAATTTAAAAAACTACCTTCTTTGAAGGGTCAGCCAGTTAGAACTCTTTTGTATCTTCTGAATAAGTAAGAAGTGGATGGACATTAGCTGACCGATACATTGATGGCTTTTAACCTTCTATCAGTTGATTTCCATTACCAGGACAAGCAAATATAATTTGGAGGGAAAAGAGGGGAGTTTCCATTAAGGATGAATCTTTAAGCCGAAAAGGGCCACAGTGATGAACTCTTCAGAGGACTGCTCTCAGGAGCAATGGCCCTTCTCCTCTGGGCTCTGCTTGGGGCATTCCTGTTTGTATTTATGGAGACATCTTTTTGAAAGGCAGATGCCAGCTTTGGTGGGGAGAAGGTTGGAAAACATACAAGCCTTGCTCTAAATTTACTAGCCCCGTGTCTTTGGGCTAGTTTCTGAAGCATGGTGTGCCTCAATTTTATTATTTTAAAAATAAAGATAGTAGCAGTATATTTTGGAGTTGTTATGAAGATAATATCAGTTAATAAATGTTAGATTCATTGGACAGTACCAGGCACATAGTTAAAGTGCAGTAAATAGTAGTTATTGTTGGTATTGGTGTTATTTTATGTTGCAGTACAGACTGGCTTCTTGGTGCATTCACTTTTCTTTAATCAAAAGTGGATGAGTGATTGGGAACCTTCATGAGGAAATAGGAACATCATCTTTGCAGCCTGTGGATTGTTCACTGGTTTCCTGTGATCTAATAATTATTTAAGGGTTTCATATTTGAGTCTTTTCCCTTAATGAGGTACACTTTCAGTTTGGGGAGATTTTATCTATAGGCATACCTTATTTTATTTTGTGTTCCCTTTTATTGTGCTTCACAGATTTTGTTTTATTTTTTACAAATTGAAAGTTTGTGGCAACCCTATGTCGAGCAAATGTATCAGCACCATTTTTTCCAATAGCATATACTCACTATATGTCCCTGTGTCAGTATTTTTTAGCAATAAAGTATTTTTAAACTCAGGTATATGCATTATGCTTTAGACATAATGCTGTTGCATGCTTAATGGACTAGAGTATACTGTAAACATAACTTTTGTATGCACTGGGGAACCAAAAAATTTCTGACTTGCTTCATTGTACTGTTTGCTTTATTGAGGTGAGCTGGAGCTGAAGCCACAATATCACAAAGGTATGCTTGTATTATGCAAGTTGCATTGATAGGTGTTAAATCATTTTCCCAATTTTTATTAACCACACATTTGTGATTGGATGTTATGTTTAGTAAAGATATTGTGATTTTCTGAGGTACAGCTTTGAGAACAGTATCAGGTCTAACACTCTTGTTTCCAAATTTCCTATGATATGACAAACATAATCACATGCCATCCAGTGTCACCATGCAGAGTACTAATGTGAAGCCAAAATACTTGGTGTTTTAATTAGCCTTAAAGCAGTTAATGAACTATCTCTGTTAGACATTTTGAAATAATAAAAATATCCCATTGTCTTTTATTACAACCTCAGGGGCTCCTGGAGATTTTGGGATCTTGTGTGGGGAACCACCCATCTAATCCATCCTTGTTTTAAAGAGAGAAAACCAAAGAAGCAAAGTGACTGGCCCAAGTACCTAGAGCTGGGTCAGGGTTGGGGCCAGAATCCAATCTCTTGACTTTTAGTCAAGTGATTTTTCCACTATGCTCAGTACTCAAATTATGTATCAATATGTCGGCCCTTGTTTTTTGAGGTCTGAAAAGGGTTAGTGCCAGTCAACAACAGTAGAGGAGTAGAAAGGGTGTTGGGATGGGAGAGGTGTGGCTATATTTAAAATTTCAATGACAGCAGTGAAAATAATTTGCCTGTGAACCTCTGCCTGTCCCTTTGGACTTCTTTGTAGTAGTTGAGACAGCCCGGCAGGTCTGGTGTCATTAGTGATTCAGAATTGGATTAACCTGGACTGGTGGAGTTACTTTCTCAGAAAAGGGCTTTATATTTTAACATTTGTTTCCCTTGACAGTTTGCTTCTTCTCAAGTTTTGGCAGCCTTGAACAAGTGGTTGTCAGGTTTTTATTTTGTTTTGTTTTAAGAAAAAATTCCAAATTTTATTTTGCCGATTTAGTAAGTTATCCTCTACCTGCCACTCCCTTCTGCTCCCTCTATAATTATTTCTAAGACTTTATTTTTCCATTGTGGGAACATTATGGAAGGTTTTCTTTTACAGTCTGAGATATTTATAATTATGTGTAAGCACACAGTTTATAGAATATGTAAATGGTCCATATGTTAACTTAAATACCCTTAAAATATTTTCCAATAATTTAAATCTTTCCATAAAAGTAGCTGAAGCTGCTTATAATAAAAGAGAAGTATACACGAAGGATAGCAGAATTTGGATGTAGTTAATATAGATAAATATGAATGTCACTTTGGAGGAACTGGAAGTATTTGCATGAATACTGATCAAGTCATGCCTCCTTGTTAATAGAGTGAACAAAACAGATGAATGTTTCTGTTTTCATGAAGTTTATGTGACTATCAGTAGCTTCCATATTCTGAGGGTTTATTATGTGACAGATGCTTGGGGACAAAATACTTTACTTGTTTCCTTTAGTCCTTAAAATAGATGTTAGGATTCTTGTTTACAGAAAAGTTAAGGAATGTTCATCCAGATCACCTAGCCAGTCAGTGGTAAAGAACAGTCACTGGAACCCCTCTTTCCTGATCCAAAGCCAACATACTTAACCATAATAAATAATGCCATTGTCTGGTGGAATCCTGTAGTCCCTTAGATAGTGTAATTTTGTATTTAATGTAAACATTTTGTGCACTAAACTGACTTACATTTTACTTTTTAAAACAATATTTTAATTCTGAATGAACATTTGCATAATAGGAGAATGATCTAAATTGCAAACTTCCATTTTGAAGAGTTGTAGTTCTTTTAAATCTTTTTGTAACTGGGAAGAAGAATGGAATTATGTTTGTTGTAATCCAAGGAAAGTTGGTTAGCATTCTTTCCTGTTACTTTTTGATCCCAAAAGAAATTCTTTAGTAGATTAAGACCAGGAATGAATGTGTGGATTTTTTTAAATAAAAAATTGAGAGAGATTGCAACTAGCAATTCAGAGCCAGATTTATGTTCAGAAATGTTTGATGCCAGCCGTTTTAGTTACAAATAGCTTTTTCTTGACTGTACAGTTGTGTTCTTATGGTACCATTCTGAAAGTGATGTAAGAGACCATGTAAAATGATTGGAATGCCTCAGCATCTGAACAATGCACATAGCCAATTATTAAAATTACCCAGTACTAACCTGTCTTGGCTTAGGAACTATGAAATTAACTGTGGGTAGCATTTCTACACATATCATTACAGAACAAGCATAAAGACAAGCTTGTTTTTTTCCTTTTCTGTGGATTTGTTTTTTCTTATTACCATATCTTTTGTTACTGAAAACTGGTGGTCATCTGTACTAATAGATAAGAGAAGTGTGTTTGACACCAATACCTAATCTTAGATTATCCCTGCTATTTTAAAACACAGTCCTTCGCCTGCATGCTCAGACATGTGGGTTCTTTCAAACATACTGGACTTCCTCCTTAGGTTTTAGTTGTGTTAGTCAATAGTTGAATGTTGAAGGAGAGGATGCCAAGGGATATTAAAGAAGGTAAAAGAGATAAGTGACAGCAAACATTATTTATTTTTAATTATCTCTCAGAATGACTTTTAGATACCCTTCCCTACTACCTTTTGATTTTTGCTTTAGCATAGCTGGTGAGTTTTGGAATCAGAGAGACTGGGCTCTGATTTGTACTAGCTAAGAATATTAGACAAGCCACTTAACTTCTTTAAGTCTCAGTACCCGTATTTATATAATGGGAATAATAGTAATATCTAACTTGCAGGATTGTTTGTAAAGATTGAAAGCAACATATTTAATTGTGCTTGCGTGGTTCTGGGCACAGAATAGGCACCCGAGTGTAGGGGCCCCTGAACTTTAAAGTTCATTACTTTCATGGTAATTCCTCCTTTGGAATATATAGCCTGGGAACATTTGTCTCTAGACCTTGTTTCAGTTTCTTTTAATGACTCCCTTTAGGCTCTGCTTCATGGCCAATGCAAGATTATGGATCACCTAAAGAGTAGACTAAAAGTACTATTGTCTAGTAACTTCAAGTTTGTAGGTTAACTCACTGTGAATCAAAAGCTTTTAAAAATCTTTTGTGTGGTCATAGTTTGTAGTGTCTTGTACCTCTCATCTCAGAAGCAATTGATTCATAGAAAAAATTATTTAGGATTTCAGATTAAAGATGAAGAACTCTTTCAATAAGAAGGAACTGATTTGGTTGGATTATTTGTTTCTTTCACCCCTGAGTTTTCATGGAAATCAGGTTTAAAAGGTTAGAAGCAGTTGGTTTTCAGCATTGGGAAAGCTTATCTGATCAGGCATGCGAAGTGGCCTATGTCGGATTTCTGAGCTAGGAAAGGCTAGGGGAGGTTGAGGAGATTATTGTACTTGTAATTCCTGAGCATGGTTGAGACACAAGGAGAGGATTGTGGAAATTGTTTTTAAAAAATTGTTGAAGTTAATGCATTCTTGGGTGGATTTGCAAAACAGAACAAAACAAAAAGTTGTTGAAGTTAGTTACACTGGTCTAACAACGTATACTTACCACCCCCATTTGGGCTGGAGGAATGGATCTAATAATAATATAGGTGTTTGTGATCTAATTTGAATCATGTAATCATTTATCATTTCTGGGTTAGATGGTAAGGATTTTCTGTTTCACAGATTTTTAGACTGGGAATTGTGCTATTATAAAATAATATTTTACATTAAATAATGCTATCTAGGTTGTAATCACCTTAATAGACATGATTTATTTGGGCCACAAATGAACTCTGGTAAGAATGGAGGGCTGGTTACATTATTTTAGTTTTACAGATGAAAATAATCAGTCTCAAATAGCTTAAGGGAATTCCTTTAGACCATATGGTTAGTATATGGAAAAGCCAGAGCTAGAACCCAGGTTCTGATTTCCAGAGCAGTTCTTATTTCATGATACCGCATAATTTTATAATGTCCCTAAATCCGAATTTCATTTCTCATGATGTGAAAGGATTCTCTTTATTTCTGTTTGGTTAGCTGCATCAGAGCATGACAGAAATGGAGCAGAATTTGAGTATTCTTTCCCCAGATGGGTCAGTTAGCTTTTCTTAAAGCTATTCTGTGCTTACATTGTTAATCAGTTGTCCCTGGTTCCTAGACAGGATGTTGATACATGTGAAATAGGCAGGAATATGTGTCTGACTCAGCTTAACTCATCACAACTTTCATATGTCCTGCTAGTGGGTCTATAACGTCACCCTCGTTTACAGGCGTTTTTAATTTTCTGATGTCTATTTCTTAGTATTTTTCCTCAGCCATTTTTAATGTCTCAAGCCGTAGTTCTTCCTGAGTGGCCTGAAGTGATTTTGCTGCTCTTTAAAGCTTCCTTAAGGTTTTTCAAGAGCGTACAACATAGGCTGCTTCTAAGTGTATTTTTATTTCCTAGCTCTTAGCATTTCTCACCTTATCATTATAACTTTAAATTTAAACAGAATACAAATTGTGTACACAGATGGTGTGTCACTATTGCACTGTCACTTATGTAAGTGCAGTTTAGCATTTCTTCTTTCCTTTTAATCAAAATGAGGAAATAGAAAATGTTTTGTTATGGTAGTTTTACACATACACCCACAAGGAAATGTGTATCTAGAGTCTGTGGGAACTGTGACTGATACATTTCAGGGAATAAAATGTATGATGGCTAAAATTTTAACTCTGCCAAATGTTCACGGGGAAAGAAAAATTAACAAACTCACATTTTACACTTTATTTTAGCCTAGTCTCTGCCTTGTTTACATCTATATGATAATGAAGCTATACTTGTCTTTCCACAACAGTGTATTTTATAAGTTGTACCTTTTGTTTAAGGGAGCCTTCTTAACAAACTTTCTTTCAGTTGTCCAGTGTACAGAAGCTTACTGGAAGGAGTGGCCAACTAGTTAAAGGTTTGACACCTCAATATCAACAAAATGCCAAGTGGATCATTTTGACTCTCACAGCAATCCAACTGGACATTTGACCATGCCCCGTGGTCAGTGGAGAGCTTCTTCTCTGAAGGCCACTTTTATCTAGCACATCAAGGCTATACATCTCTTTCACTAAGAAGAATTTGGCACTTTTATGTTGTGAGAGCTGAGATTCACCATTCTCCACCATCCTGAGAAGAGCTTTGATAGAAGGGCTACTCGTGAGGTACATAGATTATCTAAAATACATACAATTTTTTCATAGAAAATTATATATGTATTATAATTTTTATTCACGACAGGTTGAAATTAATAGATTTCTTACATTCACTGCATTAAAGGAATATTTATGGCTTTGGTAATATTTTAAATTTCAAATTAAAAAATTTGAATATCTGAATTAAGTATCTCTGATTTAACTCTGTGTGTGTGTGCGTGTGTGTGTGTGTGTGTGTTGGGAGGAGGAATAGACCTTGGAATTGTTTTTTCAAAACTTTTTTTATAATAGTGCCTAATCTCAGTTGGCAAGGAATAGCTGTCCAGAATGCTGCATAGATCTAGTGAAAAGATTTAGGGAAGTTGTAACTAGTTTAATAACCATCTGTGGAGTGACATAGATTGACACACCCAATTACACAAGACCTGAGTCTGAGAACTGTTGATGTGCAATCATCCCATCAGCATCTGCTCGTCATTATCAACAACAATAATGGCTCAACTATTTCTTTGAGGCCACATGAAAAGACAGTGTACCCATAGCAAAAGATAAGTCAGACCTGAAAAAAACATAGCCCTCTGCATCCCCTTGTTCCCAAACTTCTTTTTAAACATAACCTTTTGTGAAGTTCTGAAAGAATTCATTTTATGTTTTCTTTTTATTAATTTTTCTTCTTAAATACCATGTCTTTCTGGCTGAAATCCTTGCCAAAACCAGGAAGGGCCAGTGTACTGTGGGTGATTTTTCTAATTCATTTCTTTGTCATTTGAAGCCTTCTGTGGCTTCATGCTGCTTTATGTGTGTGTAAATATTCAGTATCTTTTCTAGTTTACACTTTTGTCACAACTGCTATTAAGCCACCTATGGACACATTCTAATATAAATTATTTTGGCCACTGTGAGTGGGAGGGAAAGAATCAGTTCACAGGGATAAATTTGCATGTTGAGAAGATAATATATAATAGTTTGCAAAACACTTCTATGTACATTGTATCTTTTATAGAGACAAGGCCATGTTTTTATTTGTGGAGACTGAGACAGAGACCCCATGAGATCTAATGCAGAGTCACATGACTCCATAGCCAGGTCTTCTATCTGCTCTTTGGTATATAACTGGATCATTATTCTATTGACAGAATTAAGGAATCTTCTTATTTTTCAAAGGCACCCTTTTGCCCTTGGAAGGTATATTTAGAAATCCTTTACCAGACTAGAAAGAAGACAGTTATATTTTCCTGCCTTTTGATAAAAAACAGTGTGTTTTTTCTAAATCTTGTTGTGTTTGACTAGAGTCTGATTAAGGTACCTTTTGGGAAATTAAGGTTCTATAGAAATTACTGGGCTCAATCTAGTGATACAAATATGTGTTGTTTGATTTATCAACACATTACAAACCTTAACTTTGGAGTTTTAATATCTGGTTATCTTTAATATCTGGTTATCTTCTTTCTGAAGTGTATGTACACAAAATTGATGCTAAATAAGGTCTTGTTGTTTTGGCAAATAGTGAAATGCAAGGTATTGGTAGATCAGTACTGTTATAACTTTGGTGCAAAGTTGCTGCATGCAGATTGGCTGTGGGACCTTGTTCATTTTTTGAGAACTAATGTAGAGTTTGAAAAAACACCGTAAGCCTGCATTCCAGAAGTTCTGGTATGGATAGTGTGAGCCCAGGGAATGTGCTTAGATAAAAGATCACTTAACAAATAGGTTTTGCATTTTTTTAGCAATCAGGCTTTGTGCTGAATATTAGAGTGGTTGTTTCAGAGAGTTTGCAGCAATTAGGCTTTATTGGTGCACTAAGGAGAAGCAGAGAGGAGAAGCAATTCTTGGTAACTTCCTTGGAAGTTGCAGCTAACTCTGAAAAGTCTGGGTTGAACTAGGTAAGTAACTAATTCCTAGAATCAATAAACTTTGCAGGAGTCCGTTTGATTGTACATGTAGCTCCCTGGAATTGCTATTGGTCCCTAAATCATCAGTTTGTAATGCTGGTTTTCAAACTTGAGTGCACATCAAGTTTTGGAGGACTTGTTAGAATACAGATTGCTGGGCTCACCCCCAGAGTTTCTGATCTGGTAGGTCTGGAGCGGGACCTGGTAGATTGCATTTCTAAAAAGCGTCCAGGTAATACTGCTGCTGTTTGGGAAAGTACACTTTGAGAGTCACTGGCTTACAGCAATCTCAAGGTGTTTGGATTTTTGGGCAGGGGTGCTGTGCAGGCGTTGCTGGGATCTCTTCACAGCACCTCCACTGCATAGAGGTGAGCCTCCAGATGTTTTCATTCATTCAACAAATATATGTACCTATTGTGTGCTGGGCACTGCTTAAGTTGCGAGGGGATATTGTGAAGAAAGTAAGCAAAACCCCTTTGTTTGTAGAATTTCAGTGAGCATAGTCCTGGGTTAACCTGACAACAGTCCTACTGTTTATTGATGCTTATAGGTGAGCCTATTTCTCTTTCTAGCTTTCTTCCACTTAATTTACTTTCTTTTGGAATTCTTGAATTTAATAATAATAATATTGATGTTATTAGTCATCACTATAACTTTTTATTGAGTATGTATTTTATGTCAGACACAGTGTGGCTAAGTGCTTTACATACATTATCTCATCTAATCCTTAGAAAAAACCCTGGTGTATTAGTCTTAATTTAAAAGATGTACTTTGGAAAGGTTAGTAGTTTACCCAAGATTATGCAGCTAGTTAAAAGTGGTGCTGGGGCTGGGCTTGGTGGCTCACACCTGTAATCGCAGTGCTTTGGGAGTCTGAGGCAGGAGGATCGCTTGACACCAGGAGTTTGAGACTAACCTGGGAAACATAGCAAGACCCCATCTTTACAAAAAATAAAAAAATTAGCCAGGAGTGGGGGTGCACACCTGTGGTCCCAGCTACTTGGGAGGCTGAGGCAGGAGGATTGCTTGAGCCCCAGAGGTTGAGGCTGCAGTGAGCCATGATTATGCCACTGCACATCTGTCTGGGTGACAGAGCAAGATCCTGTCTCCAAAAAAAAAAAAAAAAAAAAAAAAAAAAAGTGGTATTGGGCCTGTCTAATTGCAAAGCCACATTCTTTACTGCATGCTTTAGTCCATTGTTTTTTAAACTGCAGATCATGACCACGAATGGGTCATGAAACCAATTTGGTAGGTCTCCAACAGCACTTTGGGGGAAAAAGGGGTAGAATAGAGAGTATCACATAGTATGGACAAGCATTGTTTCTTGAAATTTTTGTTTTTGCTATGCACGTATATATGTGAATATTGAGGTCTGGTACAAGATATATTTCTCACTGTAGGTCACAGTAAAACATGTTGGTAAGCTACTATTTTCTTGGCTATGGGACTATATGTCATCTAATCACTTTTTAAAAACAGATTACAAACTGTAGGCCTTAGAAAGGTAAGTAATTTTTCAGCTGGGCATGGTGGCTCATGCCTGTAATCCCAGAACTTTGGGAGGCCAAGGCAGGCGGATCACGAGATCAGGAGTTCAAGACCATCCTGGCCAATGTGGCAAAACCCCGTCTCTACTGAAAAAAATGCAAAAATTAGCTGGACATGGTGGCGTGCACCTGTAATCCCAGCTACTCAGGAGGCTGAGGCAGGAGAATCGCTTGAACCTGGGAGGAGGAGGCTGCCATGAGCTGAGATCACGCCATTGCACTCCAACCTGGGCAATAGAGAGAGACTGCATCTCAAAAAAAAAAAAAAAAACACCAAGGTAAAGTAATTTTTCAAGAGCACAAAAATAGTCAGTGGCAGTACAAAGACAAGATGACTGACTTTTTTTTTTTTTTTTGAGACAGGGCCTCACTCTGTCACCCAGACTGGAGGGCAGTGGTGCGATGTTGGCTTACCACAACCTCCACCTCCCAGGCTCAAGCGATTCTCCTGCCTTAGCCTCCCGAGTAGCCGGGATTACTGGGGTGTGCCACTACCACCCGGCTAATTTTTTTGTATTTTTAGTAGAGACGTGGTTTCACCATGTTGGCCAGGCTGGTTTTGAACTGCTGACCTCAAATGATCCACCTGCCTCAGCCTCCCAGAGTGCTGGGATTACAGGTGTTAGCCACTGTGCCAGGCCAGATGTCTGACTTTTTAGCCCTTGGTCCATTGCTTTATTCTTCACACCATACCACTTCCTTAGAAGTGCACCTGGGAATGCCTGGGAATTGAATTTTATCTTTCCACATGATGGCAGATATGCTATGGAACCTTCAGGGATGTCGGTGAAACCTGAAAAGGGAAGTTGAATCTCAGCCTGCTCTGCGTAGGTGAAAATTCTGCCTTGGATCCCCCAAAGTCTGCAGATAAAGATGTGACATTTCTCGTGTTCTGCTGTGCTTGAAGGAAAGAGGGTAATAATCTTAACAGTGCCAAGCTGTAAGCATGTTGCATATATTAACTTGTTTAATTACTAATTATTTTGATACAGCGGCCATGCCTGGGATATGAACTCAGCTGTTTTGAGTGAGAAGGGGCATCCTACCAGTGTGAGTTAACACTTCTCTGTACTCTCCCCGGTTCCTCATTTTGTTCCTGCTGAGTTCAGAGCTATGTTCCTCATAGCCTGGCTTACCTGTGGATGTTCTCAGCCTCATTTTCTTTTGCTAGATCATATATCTTCATTAGGTGGGTGATTTTGGTTTCTGTTACTTTTTCCTTAATATTAGTATATTGCTGATTTGGATCAGGGGCCAGGCTGTAGATTTTCAGCATGGTGAGGTGATAATACATGTTGGTCCCCCATGCAGAATGCTGCCTCTAGCACTTTAGCCAAAGGAGCTCTACAGTCTGTCCAGAAGTACTGGGGGACACTGGTAATAACCTGAGAACACTTACAGAGCCTTCCAGAAAGTGCCCTTTCACATCATATAAACAGATCATGGGAAGCTGAGGGAATGCAAAGTCAAGGCCTCATTGGAGAGCGGAAAGGAGGCTGAGATTGGTGGAGAGGAGTGGCTGTTACATTCTAATTAGAAGAATGACATG
This sequence comes from Homo sapiens, assembly GCF_000001405.40. Taxonomy (NCBI): domain Eukaryota; kingdom Metazoa; phylum Chordata; class Mammalia; order Primates; family Hominidae; genus Homo; species Homo sapiens. The sequence goes on along the minus strand of NC_000001.11, from coordinate 148,656,593 downwards.
TGCAGGGCCATGAAGCAACTAAAGATGGGATGAAAAACTTAACTTGTGAATCGCAAAATTTGAGTAGGAAGGAGCTGGAAAGGCCTGGAAGTGCGAAGTGATTGGCCCTTGGTCAGATGGCTAGAAGATAGAGAGCCAGGCATAGAACCCAGAATCCAGGCCATCATTTTGTGGCCTCTTTTATCCTAATGACATGTTAGCCAGAGGTGTCTTCCAAAGCACCTGATTATAGGGAAGAATGAATGTCACTTACCCTAGAGTGAGTGAAATAGAGATGCCAGGAAGATATACCAGGTTTATCCAGTTTCTTTGCATTTTTCTGGCATACTGTATACTCTTGAGCGCATATGTATCCTACTTTGTGAAATCTGGGGGTAAAGCAGGACCCTTCAAACCCTTAAAAAATGTATACCCCAAGAAAAACATTTTTAAAGCATGAACGCTTCCTCAAGTAAATACATATTTATACATTATATAAATGTCTGGCTATTAAACCATGTATGCATATGTTAACTCTAAGTAAAGCTTATTATATGTTTTTTAGCCCATAAATATGGAGATGTTTTAAAATTTCTTCCAGTGCCCCAGTGGATGATCTTACACCTCCCGTGCTTCTGGGATACACACACCTAATTTTGCAGACCACTGGTCCAGAATGTAAATTGAAGAGTTTAATGTCTAAGATATTTGTTCTTTTGTTTGTAGCTTATCTTTTACTCCCCACGTTTCAAATATCCGTTTGCAAAATAATTTTTGAGTTAAAATTTTCAATTAAAAAACTGTATCCTTGAGGTAGAAAAGATAAAGATAGAAGATATATGTGAATTAGGTTGTATCTCTCCTTAAGAGGGAATACTGTTTTTTATCTAAGGAGAACTAACAACCCTCCCTTTCATTGTCTGGGTTGGTATAAGTAAAAATCCTTGTTTGAAGTTATTAAGCCTTCCCACCCATATGATGATTAGTTTGGTTCATAAGCTAGAGTTAGGGCTTGGTAAAGGCTCCTTTTTTTTTTTTTTTTTTTTTAAAGTCTTTCCACCTTAACTAGCAAGTAAGCTAGAAATGACAGAGCAGTAGAAGGGGGAATCTACCAGAGTGTCCTACAGGACCTTGTTGAATGCTACTGCTGCATGCAAGGGTTGTGGATTTGGTGTGGGCCTTCTGCAGTATCACCCAAATTTGAGCAGTACATGTAACTAAAAGTAAGAAAAATAAATTAGACAGTTTATTTCATTTCAGACTTTGGAAGCCCAGGACTGTGGGGATTAGCTATTAGCTAAGACAATGATTCACTGAGCAAATGCAGTGAAAGATTCTTTTGTTACACTGATCATCATTTGTGGAGAGACTCTGAAGAAGGATAAAGCTCTGGCTGCATAGTCAAACCAGACCTACTACTCAAGGACATGCATACTAGATATGTAGGTGTTTCCAAATATTTTTTTCAGTTGTGGGGGTGCAAATCATTTCAATAGTAGAGTAACTCAGTTCATTACTGTTACTGGAAAAACAAGTTTAACCAAGCACATATCCTACTGAGGGTGAGTCAACAGTGTCATTTTAACATAAGAAGGACAGTACATGAAGTGAGTTATTCCAAGTCCTGTGGTTTTCCTACAGCTGAGCAAAGACAGCTGTTCTTTCGGAAGTGGGGCTCTAAAAAGAAGTTGCCCATCTCCTTTCTTTCTTGATTATAGCCTTTTAGTTTTCTTTTGGCCTGAGACATTTCAAAAATTCATTTCCTCCTTAGATTTCTATCACCAAATACCCTGAATTTTGATAATTTATTTATAGAGTATATTATTTATTATAGACTTATTATAGCTTAAAACTTTATTTTAATTTATCTCCCATTTCAAGATCCACGTTTGCTATATGTTGTGTCAGATAATAAAAATGCCATAAGGAAAACAGAGGAGTGATCTTTTTTAATATGTCATTATTTTCTATAGTTCTTTAGTGGTATGGACATGGAATAAGGTGGCATTTTGTGGGACAGTATACCAAACTTAGTGATAAAATTTATACTTTTAATTTTGGAGGACAAAAGTCTTGTATTCTCAGCCTTGTGGATAAGACAGTGCTCTGAGCTGTCTGAGGTTTCCTAAATTGGGATTCAACATCATGAAGGGTATGTGTCTGGATAGTTTATTTGTTGGTTTGGGAAGGTGAGTTTTTGTCTTTTTTCCCCCTCTGAGTTGATTTCTTTAGTTGGAGAGAAGCAGACCAGATGAAGAAAATACTTTATCTCTTATGGCATTTTTGGTTTACCACATTAGTGATGACCCGTCTTCTCTGAGCAGCAGGCCATGCTTCTCTGTTCAGTAGTTCAGTTTTCACTAACTTAACTGCAGATGTGTTCTTGGAGGGATTTATTTCTAATCAATTGAATTATGGGTACTTGGATAAAATGATGATGGGTTACCTACTTTTAATAGGGCCGTCATTTTTAAGAGTAAAATCTTGTCAAGATAGGGTATATCATACTTATGATCTGGTTCCATCTCTAACTCCATAATTTCCTTTTGCTCCTGTGTTGCTACTCTATTATTGAGAAGAGATGGTATCTTGTCAGTGTCAATTTTACAAAGAAAAAATTCTAAACAATTTCAGTCATAGGGTAGTTTTTTTTTTTTCCTGGAGAAATAATGCATAGTGTAGTATGTTGAATCCTAGAGTTGGCAGGTTTTCAAAAGTGGAGTTCTTTTGTTGTGTAGGTAGGGGTGATGCTAGTCAATGGGTGTTAGTCATTAGGGCATGTGTATGAGTGGTAGTTCTGAGATACAGCATTGGCAGCCCCTCTTGTCCCTGGTTTTGTTTTTGATAAGCAAGTCCTGGTTTTGTTTTAATAAGCAGGTCATTAGCTGATCTTTCGTGTAAATGTTTTTGATGTGCATAGCTGGTATGTGGGTGGTTACCTACCTGAGAATGTTGTAGTCACAAATGTATATTATGGAAGTTTGCAGATTATGGTGGATATCAGGTTTTTCTAACTGCGTATTTACAGATGTAGTGAGTGAAAGGAATGTTGGGTCAGTAGGTAAAAGACTTGTGCTCTGGTCCTGGTTCAGACATCTTGATTTGTGTGACTTTGGGCAAGCCCCTTATTTCTTTGAGTTGCAGTTTCTTGTGTAAAATGGTGCTAATACCAATTTACATGCCTCATAGTGTTGTTGTGGGGATCAAATGAGATCACTGTTTATGAGCAGCCTTCTCAGGAGTGAGAAATAGAGGGTTGTGAGCTGACTTTCTGATTTGTTTGGCTGAGGTGTTCACACAAGCCATAGAATGCTTTGTAGGCTTGGGTGGAGGAATGTAGATGGAAATCAGCTGAAAATCCCTGCCTATTAGAAGCTGAGATGTTAATCCTAAATATATTCTATGGAGTACTATCAGATGCCTTGCTTTTCTTCATGATGCCCTATTAGCTTCATCTTCAGGTAGCATAGGTGCCTGTTACTCTCATTTTACTTGAAGAAACTGACCAGCCAACTGATTTAGGATATGGCTGGCTATCTTCTGGAACTCACATTAGAGTTACTCCTTGAGAGTAAAGTCTTGTATTTTCTGAAGGTTGCTGCTTTTGGGGTATTTTCCGTGGAGGTGGGTGGGCACACACAAAAACTCACTGTGCTCAAATTTATAAACTTGTTCTTCTTAACAATTTTAAAGCCAGATTACATTGGATTGGGGGAGGGGAGGATACTAGATTTAGTGTTTTTTAATATAAAACTTTGTATTTGAAACTTTATGTGGTAACATATATTTAGGCTCATAGCCAAAGTGATTACAATGCATTGGTTTTAATATTTTCAGTGAGGTAATGTGTGCTTTAGTGGGGAGGAGGAGAAATATTATTTAATCACCAGCACTACACTAATAACCACATTTACTAAATCCTTTGTCCCTTTGCTTGAACTGAGGGTTCCTTGCTTTTATACTGGTTTTCCAAAGGACTTAATCTTGTTAATGTGATGAGGTGATGATGGGAAGGACATTCCCACTGGGCCCGAAGTGGTGAAACTGGTAAAACTCCCTTTGTAAGTCCCTCTTGTTCAACATGAGTGTCACTCCCATGTCCCTAAAGTAGAACGGAGTTTTATTGAAGAGAGAATTTTAAGAGTGATAAACAAAAGAGATGGAAATATCTCCTGTGCCAGGTCATTGTTACCATTAAAGACTAGAATAAACTGTAATTTTGCAGATTTTCTTTTTGTCTTATGGGAAATTAAAGACTTGGTTATCCTCTCTCGGAGGAAGATAGAAAACTACTGGGCCTGCTCATTAACAGTTTAGCTTGGCTGACATTTTTCAAGCACTTACCATGGTATTATAGCTGGGCTGAAGCTAGGTGGAGCAGACCTCACTTAGGTGTTGCCTAGCTCCAGAATCTGTCTTCTGGTGGAATTCCCTTAGGCTTCCAGACAGGAGTGGCAACAAAGCAGATGAAATGGAAGGTAGGCCAGGGCATCTGCTCGTTCGCTCGCTCGCTTGCTCTTTCTCTCTTTCCCTTTTCTTTCCTTTCCTTTCCTTTCTCTCTCTCCTTTCTTTCTTTTGCTTCCTTCCTCTCTCTTTCCCTTTCCCTTCCTCTCTCTCTTTTCTTTTTTTCTTTCTTTTTTTTCTTTTCTTTTCTTTCTTTTCTCTCTCTCTCTTTCTTTAGCAGTTTATTACTCATTTGTGAGAATCAGGGAAGCACTGGGCTCAAGAAAGCCAATACCCCTTCTAGGGCTTACCCCCCATTTTAAAATTTAATATATTGGAATTTATATTGTTTCTTTTGATCCGAGATCTTCAGGCTGAAGCTGGAGAGAAATCTTTTGACCTCTCTAGAACAAAGAAAGCCTTTATCAAAGACAATGTAACTTTTTGAGTTTGCCAAATTAGGTGTTGCTGCAAATGGAGAAACCTAGAGTTCTCTTCTGTGCTTAAAGACACAAACATGGAAAGTTTTAAGTTCCAATATGGTCACTTAATATATACAAAATTTTCTGTCTTTGCTGTCTTTGTCATTCCAGCAACAACTGGATGAGCAAATAGAATGATTGTGAGCACTTGCAAACCAAATTGTGACTGTTAGTGTGTTGAGCTGCTTTTTTATTAAAATGACTGCTACAACTCTGCAGAAATCTGAGTAGTCTTGAAGATAAATTCTTGCTTGCATTTACAATAAAGAAAGAATATGAGTAATCAAAAGGCTGATGGAGTTGGAGGACTGGCGTTTTTAAGAGGAACTGATTTGGACATTGAGATTATCAGCTCCTCATCAAATATCATTAAGTACACATTATTATTTTTTTCTGTTGACCAGGAGACCCAAGTTGTGTTGATGTGGGACATAGTTGTATGTCTGAAGAAACAAAGCAAGGGAGAATAAAATAAATAAAAATTGAAGTTCAGGAATATATATATATATATATATATATATATATATTTTTTTTTTTTTTTTTTTCTCAGGCAGAGTCTTGCTGTGTCGCCCAGGCTGGAGTGCAGTGGCACAATCTCGGCTCATTGCAAGCTCCGCCTCCCGGGTTCATGCCATTCTCCTGCCTCAGACTCCCTAGTAGCTGGGACTACAGGCACCCGCCACCATGCCCAGCTAATTTTTTTTTTGTACTTTTAGTAGAGATGGGGTTTCACCGTGTTAGCCAGGATGGTCTCGATCTCCTGACCTCGTGATCCGCCCACCTCGGCCTCCCAAAGTGCTGGGATTAAAGACATGAGCCACCGCGCCTGGCCGTTTAGGGCTATATTTTATGTTTTCTTCTCCCTTTGGTATTTAATAAAGATTTGATATTTTTCTATTATCTGCTTTCCTCTGTTCCAAGGTTTTTGGCCTCAGGTGTGTTCTCTGGAAATGGCAATGATAGGCATTTATAATCTCCATATTTAGATATTTCCCTCACAGTGCTAGTTTCTGAGCTTATTAGAACCTAATGTTAAATGACGAGTTAATGGGTGCAGCACACCAACATGGCACATGTATACATATGTAACAAACCTGCACGTTGTGCACATGTACCCTAAAACTTAAAGTATAATAATAAAAAAAAAGAAATATCCTGGCTATGAGTCAAGGGTTTAGGACCTTTTGAGGCACTTGGGTTTAGACAATTCTCAGTGATGTGTACAGGAATTTGGGTACAGGAATACTATTCACAGGTGAACAGAGTTTGATTTTGGCTGAAGGCATATTATTTGATCCAGATAATAATATAAAAATAATCCAAATGTTAGGACCTTAGCTTCTGCGAACCCTGACTTGAGAATAGTTAGCCATACATGTAGTTGGACTTTATGTAGGACTAACCAATCTCCTCTGCACTATTTTTGCACAGTACATTGATTATGGTATCCCTGATGACCTCTGTCCCCATCCTTGTGAGTAGCCTTCATTGCTACCACCCAAGGATGTTTTAAAAAGGCTATGAGGAAGGATGCATGTAGGGAAATCTGAGGTTGTTCTTTGGATTTTCCCTGTTTTGTTTTAGGAAGTATCCATGATTTTATATAATAATATGTAGCAATCTTAGGTTTTTCCATTTTCATTTTTAACATAATTTTGTTATTCATTCTGTTTGGGTGTCTACCTCTAAATTAACAAACATGAGAAATTGTGTACTCCATTTAAAAAGTGTCCTGAGCAATTTAAGCTAAAAGAATATGTTGTTTCTTTTGTGTGTATAGCAAGAAGATTATATATATTTATAAATTTTTTTCCAGCAAGTGTACTTAAAAGCATGTACTTAAAATTAAGGACTTAAAAAAACTAAGCTGTACTTAACAAAATAATCTTTAGAAAGCTTTAAGGCCGGGCGCGGTGGCTCACGCCTGTAATCCCAGCATCATGAGGTCAGGAGATCCAGACCATCCTGGCTAACACGGTGAAACCCTGTCTCTACTAAAAATACAAAAAAAATTAGCCGGTTGTGGTGGCGGGCACCTATAGTCCCAGCTACTCGGGAGGCTGAGGCAGGAGAATGGCGTGAACCCAGGAGGAGGAGCTTGCAGTGAGCTGAGATTGCGCCACTGCACTCCAGCCTGGGTGACAGAGCGAGACTCCATCTCAAAAAAAAAAAAAAAAAGCTTTAAAAAGGGAGTTTACTAAAAGCACAGGAAATTGGTGACAGGCAAAATTTGTCTTGATAATAGTACAAATACAGATAGTGGAACAGAACAGATAATACAAGATATAAGACAAGACATGGAATAACACTTCATATTCACTTTCTTTGACCACTAAGCAGCACACAAATATATAGCACTTTTTGTAGAGAATAATTAAATTTCTAGATATGATACAGCTTCTTCCTCTCTGTTGGGTTTTATTACACTGAGATCCTGAACCTTTTGGACATGTAAACTGTGATCATGTTGGTCAGTGTCATTTGGATCTCGTTGGTGCTTATTGTTCTGCCGATGTGTATTAGTGAACCTACTCATGGGGAAGATAATACTATACAATGAATTTTCCCATTCAGTTGGAATTTTTTTATTACTCTGTTTTCTATGTTTTTCATTTAGATGTAAATTATTTTGGCTTCCATTCAACCTATTTCAGCTAGTTTTTACCATAATACACATGGCTTAAGATTTATAGGAGGCTAAGAGTGGAGAGTGTATCTTCATTCAAACAAATGGTAAGAAAGGAACTTTCAAAACTGTTTTAGTTTTGCAAAGATTAGAAAAGTACAATTCTACTTTCTCAACTTTTCATCCTTGTTAAAGGCCTGGAAATTTGCAGCATTTTTTTCTTTCTTATTTTACTTTTCTAATTTGTTACACAAAGTGAAATTCCACACATAAACATGCAAGCTGAAGGTTGGGTTTATTCATAGGTTTTGTCTTAATTATAGATATTTAGTTTATTGAATATCTTATTGAGTATTGAGTACCTGCTGTGGTCCAGGCATCTTCTGAGGTCCCAGGTGTACAAAGAGGAGCCAATTGTGGTTACTGCCTCTATGGAATTTGCCTAGAAGTGGGAGAGAGAGAGATGAGTGAGCCAGCACTTATAATACATCTACCTAGGATAAAATGGGAGCACAGAAGAGGAACATCTGTATCAGTGGGTCTCTGAGAGCTTCTTCAGGAAAATAATGCTTTATCTGTGATTTGAAATATAGTAGGAATTTAGCAAGATAGAGAAAAAGGAAAAGGAGGTAAAATATTTTTCAGGTAAAAGAATGTACATGGGTATAGAGGTGATCATTATTAGCAAATTGGCTACATCCTAATTTGTAAGTATTTGTGGATTTTTCAAACCTTATATTTCATGTAGAAGAGCTGAATGCATTAGTCTCATCTCCAAGATCCAGGTATTGAAATTTAACCCATGCATAAATTGAATTTTTTTCTGAAGTCTTTAATAAGAGAAAAATAAAAGGAAAAACTACACAGTGTATAGTAGATTTCAATATAGCACAGCAAACACTGATGAATTTTTTTTGCAATGAGTTCAATATTATAAAATAGAACAAAATTGGAATTTTTAAAACCAAAAATTATTCTAGATTTATCAGCTAACTGGAATGATTTTTTTATAGTATGAAAAGTCTGTTAGTAATACAAAAAATATTCATTTATAAGTTGTTATCGTTGATTATATTTTCTTAAGGTATATTTTCAGTTTTTGAAAAGCAGTAATAATTTGCTATGACCCTATAGCCCAGTTCTTAATATCTGGATCTGATACTAGCATCTCTTAGGTAGAAAACACACTTTCTATATGATAATATCTGTAAAGAGCACATAAATCCTTGGAACACTATTAGGAAAACAAAATCGATTTATCTCTTATTGCTTTTTTTTGGTTTTTTTTTTTCCTTTTAATCAAGACAAATTTCAAGGAGGAAGACATGTTTCTCCGCTTCGTTTTTATTTAAATGTACCACTTGGGATTTGAAGCTTCCGCACTTCTTCTGTTTGTTTGGATTTTTTTTTCATGGCTTGATCCCAAAAAATGGAATACAAAATTTAGAGAAAGTTTTGTTTGAAATTGCAGGGCGCTATGAGAATTATTGCAAATCCCTGATGTCTCTTTGTCTGCCCTCAATTCTCCTATTTTTGGTAATAATGCAGGCAGTCATTTTAGAAAACTTTGCTTTGTTCATTTTACTGAGCCTCTTCCAGAGGCCATGTGCCAGAATCAACAGCAGCCAACCACAGCCAAGATCCTAGGGCGTAAACTCAGACTTCATCTCTCAAATATTGCTACTTGAAATTTGCATAAACATTGAAGAAAAAGTTAAAAGAGCCTGTATAACTCCTCTTCATGTATTTTAGGAGCCTCAGACAGTCAAGACATTAAAATACCTTCCGATTGAGCAGTGGGTCTAAGCACAGATACCACACTGCAGATAGGGAGAAGGATATGAAAAAAATCATGTGAGATAGACGACAGAGGCTTATTTGAAGAAGCTACAAAGCAACAAGTAATGCCAGTTTAAAACGATTACATGTTAATGCAACAAGTAAAACACATTGAAGGCTGCTCAGATTACACTGGCTGAAGTACAGACTTAATTACTCATGTTAGAGATTCCTAAAACAAAGGGAGGCTTTTAAGCCAGTGATATGTAGCTGGTATGATATTGAAAAGCATTGGAAAACCTAGGTAAATGCCTAGAGGAAATTTTAAGGAAGAGTCCATCAAGTCTGGATACCTTAGCCTTATCCTTAAATGAATAAATTTCTGAGGCGCTGGAACTGGTTAAAATCAATGGCAGCTTGTTCTGTTGTTGGCAGTTTTGATGTATAATTGGGGCTGATAAACCTGAATAAATAAAAGAGCCTTGTCTGGATTGAGTTACAGTTAGTGCTAAACATCAAGGGTTCCTATTGTATTTCTTAAAAGTTCTTTTTGGAGTGATTCCAAGATTGGTATTAAGAGGGTATGCCAAGGGTATATATTGGCAATTTTTATTTTGTTTGTATTTATCTTAGAGTCATTTGGGTAGGTCACATTCTCTCTGCCCCTACTCCCAACTTCTCATTAGATTGTAAGGACCATGAGGACAGAGATTGTTTGTTTTATTTGTGCTTAGTTTTCATGCAGTGCCTAGTAGGGGACAATGCTGACAGTAGTTTCTCGACAAATATTAGTGGAACTGTATTAAAATTGAGTTTTTGCTCACATATATTGTTTATTTTACCTTTAGTGGATCACTTCTCCTTATGCCTTCAGTGCTATAGTTTTTTAAAAGAAGTATGTTAGTCTGTTTTGCATTGCTCTAAAGGAATACCTGAGGCTGAATAATTTATAAAGAAAAAAGGTTTATTTGGCTAATAGCTTTGCAGATTGTACAAGAAGTTTAGAGCCAACATCTGCTTCTGGTGAGGGCCCAAAAAACTTTCGTGGCTGAAGGTGAAGAGGGAGCAGGTATGTAACATGGCAAGAGAGGAGGGAGCAAGAGAGATGTCAGTCTCTTTCAAACAACCAGCTCACATGGTAGCGAGAACTCACTCATTACTGTGGGTGGGCACCAAGCTATTCATGAGAGATCTGCCCCCATAACCTGAACACCTCCCAGTAGGCCCCACCTTCAACATTGGGGATTATGTTTCAACGTGAGATTTGGAAGGGACAAAATAGCCAAACTGTATCAAGCACAAAGAAGATACAGAGATAGTCAATGGTGGAGCTAGTATTCAAACCCAGATTTGTCTGATTTCTGCATCCATGCTTTCAACTGCTTAACTGCATTGCTTCAAATACTCAGAAAAGACGAAATGTTTTCCATATCCCAGGAACTTAAAAGTGAAAAAGCAGAGAGCTAGAAGACCCTGTAGTGCTGAATTGAGAGTCATGAGTGTTACAAGGATGGGTGGGGGGGTGGCCCTGTGAGGACCAGAACCCTCCAGGGGAAGCTTTCTGGGTGAGGCAAGAGGTGAACTGGGCCTTGAAGGAATGGGTAGAATTTAGATAGTAATGAGGAAGGCAGAAATCAGTGGAAACACAGACATGCATGGAGGAATGGAACTGAGTTCAATGACGATCTGTTCAGGAAAGAGGGCATAAACTGGGCAGAGAATGCAGTGGAAGTGGTGGGGAGTAATACTGGGCACGTAAGGTAAGCTCTGATCTGGAAGGCCAGCATGGGAGCCTAGACTGGTTAAAGTAAGAAATGGCTTGTCCTTGGAAGAAAAAGTGTCAAACTTGGTACTGTGTGAAGGTACTGCACAGACCTCCCAACTGGTTCTTAGGAGAGCCAAACTGAGGCTAAGTTCTGAGAACTAAGTAAGAACTGACAGCCATTGTAGGTTAGAAAGTAGTGGGGCAACATGTTACAAGTAGTGCTTCTGGAAGGTTAGATGCGGTTAGAATAAAATCATTGCCATTTTGGGGAGCTGGGAAAATGGATGTCTTCAGTCTAGTCTAAAAAGGGATGACTTGAATAAGCTTATATAAGAAAGAAAAGAAAAACCTTTTTACTCACTGGACCATTTCATAATCTTGACTTTTTTCAAACATAAATCTGTGTCATTTTTCTTATTTAAAACAGCTGAGCAGTTTACTCTCCTACTTAGAGCTGTGATCCTTATCATGGGCTCTTGTGATCTAACCCCAGCCTGCCTCCCTGGCCTCTGTCCTTGCTTAATAACCTCTAGCCATATGAACCTGGAATACCAGTCTAATTCCCACTTCAAGGCTTTTACACTTGTTGTTTCCTCTGCCTGGGGTGCTATTCCCTCATATCTTCATGACACTTGTTCATTTACATTGTAGCTCAAAGCATACCTCCTCAGGGAGGCCTTTCCTAGACACTATCTGAGGTACACTCCTGCACCCCCAGCCTTCATGATTGCTTTTTATACATTACTGGGTTTTGTTTCCAATGGAACTTATCGCTTATTACTGTCCTAAATTATTTTATTTATTAATTTTTTAGCCACCTTTCTCTTATAGAAATAAGGTTCCTGAGGACAGGGAGTTTATTCTGTATACTACGGTATCCCTGACATCAGGGCTTGTGCCTGCCGATAGTAGATGCTTTCTAAATATGTTCTGAATATTAGATAGCTAGTTCCCAAATGCACTGCACTGAAAGTGTATGAAAATTGGAAATTGGCTTCTAGATTTTTGTATTATATTGCCAAATGATGGAGTGATGAGATTGAAATCTACTACTTCTTTTTGCCTTTTTTTTTTTGGTGGAGTAGAGGAGGGCCTGCACAAACAGCAGATACACACACAGTAAATAAGATTTATTTCAGCCAGCAAGTATTTATTGACATGAAAATTGGGGTTAAATGTGACTCTTTGTGAGTGACTAGTTTCTTGGAGTCTATTAAAGCATCAGTTTAAACATCAATTCTCTATGGTATGATTAATGTTTCTTTTTTTACTTTATAAGCATGAAGCTGCCTTCAATTTTATTGTTAAATTTAAGTGTTTTACATTGGAAAAAAGTAAATTGAATTTTGAAATGAGGTCTGTCCCGGTCTCACTTTCATGGCTTCAGGTTATCAAAGTTTTAATTTCTCTTTGTATGGAAGATAATTATAGTATTCATTTTTGCTCCTGAGTAAAGCCACGAGTCTCAAGATTATTTTTCTTTTTTAAAAATTAGAATTGTCAGTTTATAGTTGTATACATTTATAGGGTACAAAGTGATGTTATAATTTGCTAATACAATGTAGAACAATTAAAAGGTAGGTAGTATATCCTTCATCTCAAATATTTAACATTTTTTGAAATTTACTCTCTTAGCAATTTTGAAATGTATAATACCCTATTATTAACTATATTCACCACACTATGCAATATATCTCAAACATATACAAAAAAATTCTTCTTGTGTAACTGTAGCTTTTTGTACCCATTGATCATCAGGCCCACAGCTTCCGTAACCACCATTTTCCTCTCTGCTTCTATGATTTTGATGGTTTTCAATTCTACATATAAGTGAGAACATGCTGTATTTGTCTTCCTGTGCCTTATTTCACTTAGCATAATGTTCTCCAATTCTATCCATGTTGTGTCAAATGACAGAATTTATATCTAAAGGTGGAATAGTATTCCATTTTATGTATCTACCACAGCTTTTTTTTTTTTTTTTTTTTTTTTTTTTTTTTTTTTTGAGATGGAGTCTCTCTCTGTCACTCAGGCTGGAGTGCAGTGGAGCAATCTCGGCTCACTGCAACCTCCGCCCCCCAGGTTCAAGTGATTCTCCTGCCTCAGCCTCCTGAGTAGCTGCAATTACTGGCGTGCTGTAATTTTTGTACTTTTAGTAGAGATGGGGTTTCATCATCTTGGCCAGGCTGGTCTTGAACTCCTGACCTCGTGATCCACCCGCCTCAGCCGCCCAAAGTGCTGGGATTATAGGCGTGAGCCACTGTGCCCGGCCTATCTACCACCTTTTATTTATCCATTCATCTGTTGATGGACACTTCCATAACTTGGTATGGGTGTACAGACATCTTTTCAATAAACTGATTTAAAATATCTGGGGTAAATACGCAGCAGTGGGATTACCAGATCATGTGGTGATTCTATTTTCAGTTTTTTGAGGAACGTCTGCACTGTTTTTCACAATGGTTGTACTAATTTACATTCCCATTAACAGAGTAGAAGGGTTCCATTTCTCCACATCCTGTTTATTCAGACGATATGTTATCATCTAAATCATCTAAGACCTCTATATTATATAGCTTTTGAGTATTTTTAAAAGTGGACACTCAAGCGTTCATATAGTCATAGTCAGTGTGTGGTTCCTCAGACCTGTGGTATCAACATCACCTGGGAATTTGTTAGGAATGCAGATTCCCAGGCTCCCTGCAGACTTAGTCAGAAATTGTGGGGGTCGAGTCTAACACTCTTTTTTAAAAAGCCCTCCAAGTGATTCCAATGCTTACTAAAGTTTGAGAACCGTGGCTCAGTAAATGCTAAAGGTTCAAGGTAGCATGATCCCACACATCAGCCAAGTGGCATTAATTATTAGCCTGGTAAGCCCACCTTCTTTTCAGTCACTGAGTTTGATTGGTTCACTAGGGCTAGGCTGTAAAGTTATTTGCTAGATTGATTGCTACATATTGACTTTGGGTTGTTTGTATTTCTCTGAACCTGTCACTGTAATGATTTGTCAGGACACTTAATAGGAACAGGCCGTGATTTTTGCACCCATGGCATTCTGAGTCATGGGTGGCTGGGTCATTATGTACTCCAGGTTTCTTCAGGCACTGGGCATGCCATTCATGTACTTATAAGGAGGGAGCTGTCGCTGGTGGATCACAGGGAACCTTTAGGGACATTTAGTTCGCTCTCAGCTTGGTACAGGTAGGGAAATTGAGCCCCCATGAAGTTGTGCTTTGCTTGCAGTTAGGGGTACAGACAGGATTTCAGGTCTCCTGAGTCCCTCCACTGCACCAGGATTCCTGCAGGGGGACAGAGCTACAGCTTTTTCTGTGCCTACAGGACATTCCTTTCCTACTGTGAGGGTTTTATTTATTTATTATTTTATTTAAAGAAAAAAAGTAAATAGAAAAAACCCCGGAAGTTCTCACTGAAACTAATAAAAGTGTCTAAAGAGAATGAAAAAATCAGTTTGAGAACTTTGGTATGGAGGAAATAACCTGACATTAACTGTTTTAATTATAGTTGTTGCATTGGGCTTATCAGTGTGGGAAGAGGGAGCATTTGAGCCTTACAGGGAAGTGGGATATGGACAACAAGATGACCCTCTTCCTGAATTTGCCTGTTTGGGCCTGCAGCCTGGTGACTCTTTGTGTGATCCCAACAGCTGTCATAGAGATGGGTTGGACTTTTACTGAGACCTGGGTCCTAGGCCCAGCACTGCCACCAGCTAGTGGCGCGATGCCCCGTAAAGAGGCCACTTATTCTCTCTGGCCTCTACTATTGGTAAATGGGTATAATAATATCCACCCTGCCAATCCTGAGAAATTTCAGGTAGTGGGAAGCAGTGTATCTTGGTGGTTAAGGGCAGAGTCTCTGGATTCAAATTCTAGCTTTCTAACTCACTGGCATGGCAGTAGGCAGGCCACTTATCCTCCCTGTTTTCTCACCTGAGAATGGGTATAATGAAATTTACTTCTAAGGGTTGTTGTGAAGATTGAATTAGTTAGCTAATTTATGTAAAGTACTTAGGATAGTGCCTGGTATTTAGTAAGTTCTATGTGTTAGCCTATTATTATTACTATTACCATTTAAAAATACTATTTCAAGGATGGGATGCATTTTCTGTAAACATGTTCTCAAATGATTCTACTACTGGATACAATACTGGGCTTTTATGCAGTAATTGTTGTTGGAGGAGTTGTTCTGACATCCAGCTTGCACCTGGGCTACTGGTTTCGTGGCCAGGGATGGCCAGGCCTAGCGTCTCTGATCTTGCACAATTTATGCATAGAGTGGTGTGGTTAGAGGAAACTTGGAGGGGGGAACTTCTCAGTTTTGCTTTCAGGTATTTATACATTAACTATCATAAGAGATGGACATCTTAATAACTTCCAAGAAAGAGTTCATGAGCTTCAATTTGATATTTATTGTTTGACTAGGTTTCTTTCTGTCTTACCTTTCCAGTTGTTAGGGTTCTTGATATGTATTTTGGTGATGAAAATTTCAACTCTAAAAGCTAAACAATCAAGATATTGTAATTATCCAGCAAGTGATTAGCAGATTTCGAGTAGACTTCTTCCATTCTTGGCTGAAATCAATGAAAATGTCTACTATTGCTGTTGTTTTTGTTCTTTTCTCTGAAAAGTCTGTTTTTGGGAGGGCCTGAGATGGTAAAGTGCCTTTTTATTGTCTCTTAAAGGGAATGGGGGAATCAACAGTTTGAGAATTTTTGTTTTATCTGTATGTATAAAATTGCCTTCTCCTTTTATTTCTTTTGATACTCTCTCTGCAGTCTCTATTCATGATCTACTCCCCATCTTTTTATGGGCCCCTTAAAGCTAGAGATTATGTTTATTCGTTTATTTATGTATTCCATTTCTCCTTTTTTCTGGATCCTAATTTTGTGCCTGGTGCATACTAGGCTCTCAATTTTAGTTTGTCGAATTACTGTTATTGCTGTTTCTGATTACTTCTTGAAGCGGTCTGTTTTAAAACTTCACCTGAAGGCTAAGTAATTCATCAGTATAATGGTGATCTATTATTTATCTAGCATTTTCCTAAACACTCATTGATGAATCCTTATAATACTCATCTGAAGTATCTAAATCCCAAGATGATGTGTCATGTCATAGATGGTATGGCTTTAATTTTTAATTGGGAGATGGAGATGTAACAGCTGGAGATACTGAAACACAGAGAAATAAGAGCATGATTCAAGACCACAAACGTGGTTATTGTTGGAAGATAGTTTTGGGATGGGCTTCTGTGCTAGAAGCCAAAACATAAAAAACTGATTAAAACTCTAAAAAGAAACCCAGATTAGGTGGGAATGAATGCTGATCTGGATTGGATTACACTTCTTTGGTGTCTGAGGGTTATGATTAGTGACTTACTTCTAATGTGCATTTGTTTTTATTTTTGGCATTGCAGTGTCGAGATGGCTATGAACCCTGTGTAAATGAAGGAATGTGTGTTACCTACCACAATGGCACAGGATACTGCAAGTAAGTTTTTCTCTTCATATATTTTCTTTTTGCGATAGAACACTGGACAAGATTTGATTCTACTCCTCTATTTTTAATGCTTCTGTGGAATGTTACTGGTTCTTGAGCTTTCCTGGTACAGATTTTGGTTGGGGGTGAGGATGGAAGGATGTGGATGCCAGATAATTGGCTAATAAGAACTTCTTACTATCTTACTGTTATCTTTCTCACTATGAAAAAGACTTTTCAGTGAGTGGCTAGTTAATGTATATGGGGTAGACCAGGCATGGTGGCTCATGCTGGTAATCCCAGCACTTCAGGAGGCTGAGTTGGGCGAATCACGAGGTCAGGAGTTCAAGACCAGCCTGGCCAACATAGTGAAACCCTATCTCTACTAAAAATACAAAAATTAGCCGGGTGTGGTGGCGCATGCCTGGAGTCCCAGCTACTCAGGAGGCTGAGGCAGGAGAATGACTTGAACCCAGGAGGCGGAGGTTGCAGTGAGCTGAGACCACATCATTGCACTCTAGCCTGGGTGACAGAGCAAGACTCCGTCTCAAAAAGAAATAAAAAAAAATAAAAAAATGTATATTAGATTCCCTTGTGTTTTTCAGATTAAGGAATACTCTTAGAGTCTCCCCTTAACATGTTACCTATTATCTTGTTTTTAAGTAAAACCAAATAGATATCAACTTTAATATTCGGCCCAGTATATGTGAATATTATATTCATATTTTTTTCTAGTGTAAAAAATCTAATTCTGAAAGTGAGACAGTGAGAGAGGAAGATGTGTGCATATGTGTAGATTGAGGGGGAGCAGGGGCTTTGGGTGTGTATTATTATATGGGGATAAAAGAGTAAGGATGAAGGAAAATGTAGGCTAGTTCTTGGCTTAAGAGCATTTTTTTTTTCCTTTTTCTCCAACCATCTACTCTAGCCAAGACGTTTTGTTTGTTTGAGGAAGGCTGTGAGATAATTTCATAATAGCTTTTCTAGGTTTCCTGCAAATAATTTTTTTTCTTCTGCCTCAATTGAAAATTTTTAAGAGGAATATGTATCCATTCTGTTTATTTCAGGGAAGATGCTGGAGAAATAAAATTTGGTAATATGAAATTTCTCTTCTTTTCCTTCATTTTTGTGAGGAGTAGTTCTTCTTTGCTTTGGTGGAGGTACTTGCTTAGTAAGCATTTTAAGTGAGTTTATCCAACACATTTTTATTTCTTACCAGGAATGTAATTACAACTTTTTTCCAGTGAGATCTGTTCTGACACTAGGATTTAGTTTTTTAATGTTATAAACAAGATTTTTTTTTCAAGTCAGAAATAATTTTCTTCACTAAAGTGAAAATTAAGCTGTGATGACAGTAAAGCTTAACAATAGGTTGTTTGGATTGGAGTAAAGATAACATTGGAAATAAAGGTTTTATGTAGCTTATTATGGGCTGCTCATTTAGTTTTTCTAGCTGGGGGAAAAAAAACATGTGGTGCATTCTCCTCTAAGAATGGAGATACAACTGGAGATAATAAGGGAGGGAACTTAATACCTTAGAGTAGGCCACTGAAATCTTGTTTAGTCTTTTTGTGGCATTTGGTGCCTTAGTTGCTTGCTTTATTCTGTTATGCAACTCTTGTGGTAGTTAACCCCATTGCATTATGGTCATTTGTTGATGTGTTTCTTTTGCTAGAATGTGAGGTCTTAGTCTTATGCATTTTTTGCATAGTTAATGCCTATTACAGTGCCTGGTGTAGTTATTGTTCAGCAATGTGTTTCTTAAACTAAAAGGTGCTAAGTAGATACCGTCATGCACATGTTTCTTATCTATTTATGTTAAATAAGAAGACACTGGTTCTCTCCTTTAAAAATTTCAGTGTGGCGATTCCTCAAGGATCTAGAACCAGAAATACCATTTGGCCCAGCAATCCCATTACTGAGTATATACCCAAAGGATTATAAATCATTCTGCTATAAGGACACATGCACATGTGTGTTTACTTCAGCACTATTTACAGTAGGAAAGACTTGGAACCAACCCAAATGCCCAACGGTGATAGACTGGATAAAGAAAATGTGGCATGTATACACGATGGAATAGTATGCAGCCATAAAAAAGAATGAGTTAATGTCCTTTGCAGGGACATGGATGAAACTGGAAGCCATCATTCTCAGCAAACTAACACAGGAACAGAAAACCAAACACGGCATGTTCTCACTCATAAGTGGGAGTTGAACAATGAGAACACATGGACACAGGGAGGGGAACATCACACACTGGGGCCTGTCAGGGGGTGGGGGGAAAGGGGAGGGAGAGCATTAGGATGAATACCTAATGCACGTGGGGCTTAAAACCTGGATGACGGGTTGATAGGTGCAGCAAACCACCATGGCACATGTATACCTATGAAACAAACCTGCACATTCTGCACATGTATCCCAAAACTTAAAAGCAAAATTTAAAAAAAATTTATGTATTTCACATAGCATTCAGGGTGGTAATACCATACAGAGAGGCAAATTGGTTCTATTTGAAGATCATTCAACTTGGTGACTTATATATGGAGAATTTCAAATATGTTCTAAGTGTTCGCCTATATATTTTTGGTCTGACATGGGGAGAGAAGGTTTCTAGGGGAGACTAATCTCTGAGCACTTACCAGGAGAGGACACCTAAGGGTCACTGTTGGGAAGAAGTCCAATAGTTCTTTGTTGGACTGTTGGGCTGCTAGTCTCATACTCTCCAACCAAGGTTGGAGACCATCCTGGCTAACACGGTGAAATCCCATCTCTACTAAAAATGCAAAAAATTAGCTGGGCGTGGTGGCACGCACCTGTAATCCCAGTTACTCAGGAGGCTGAGGCAGGAGAATGGCCTGAAACCAGGAGGCAGAGCTTGCAGTGAGCCAAGATTGCACCACTGCACTCCAGCCTGAGCGACAGAGCGAGACTGTGTCTCCAAAAAAAAAAAAAAAAAAGAAAATGGAGCTGCCTAAATTCTGTCCCTGGCTACTTGTTAATTGTTGATAGGATGGAATGCTTATGGATACAGTTCTGGGTATGTCCCTCAGATGTCTTTCCTGTTTTGAGGGAAACAAACTCCTTGAGAGAAAGAAAAAATTTGGTGAGGCCATCCTTTTGGGAGATCAAGATGAACAACAAAACTTGTATAAAGAGAGTGATTCCCTACCTCAGCAAAAGTAATATTAGCATATTTAGGAGTGGCAGGGTCAACATAAGTGGACAAAGAAAAAGCAAGAACAATATCAAGGCAGCCATGTCAATCATTCTACAGTGCTTTGCCAGCCTCCACAGAATTTTAAGCAAAATTTTATGCAAAAGTAATGTGTACCTAGCAGAGCTTTCAGTGTATTTTCACCAACCTTACCTTTTTTTCTGTGGAGAAAGAAGATGATCTAGCTTGTTCAGTAAATATTATTTTCACAAAATAGAAAATAAATATTAAAACACTTAGAAGATTTATAAAAATTCTATCAGGCATGCAGGGCATGTGATTATCTTTTTATTCATGCGATTGCTTAGTGGATTAAGAAAAGAAAGTTGAAGCCAAATTCCTTTTACAGGGCCAGCGTGGGGGTGAGTGGTGAGTGGTGGGATGGGAACTGGTAGAAAGTGTTTTAAAATAGAAGGAATCTGACTATCTGTTTAGACAGCATAATGCTACTGATTCAGCTAAAATATAATGATTGTTTATAGAAATTATAAAAATCCTTGATAAGATCACATTGACAGATGAAGATAACTACTTTTGAAGATTAGTTTTGTACTCAGCTCCACTGTTTTTTCTCACTGTTAGGAGCCTAAGTACCCTATCAGTCTGTGATTAGATTTTGATGCCAGATTAGGAGAACGTGTATAATCTTGCATAAAACTCAATTATTGCTGTTAAATAACTACTGTCAAATCTTAATAAAGCCCTCTCACTACAGGGAGATAAGATATTTTATTCTTTCCCTTGTCCTACTGGGAGGTGTAAATATGTAATTAAATTTGATGTCATTAATCACTTTCAAGTTGTTTGCTTCAGACTTTCAAATATAAACCATTCTAAATCCCAATTTGATTAAAGATCATGGACAACTCAAGTTCACTAGGATTCTGGGGGTAGGTTAGGTTATGATTTGTATAATTGACAAAATATGTATTTTAAGGACATTTATTGTAGTTATTTAAAATCTTTGTCTGCTGGTTCTTAACATCTGGGTTGTCTATGGATGTGTTTCTGTTTCTATCAACTGCTCCTTCTTTGGACCATGGGTATGACTTCCCTTTACTTTACACATGTATGGTAGTTTTACATTACTTACTGGACATTGTGGGTGATAGATTTTAAAGTTTATCTCCCACTAAAGAATGTTGAATTTTGTCAAGATTGGCAGATCATCTTGATCCTATGGATGCTAGGTTTTAGGACACGTTAGGGTGGGCCTACTTCTGTTCTGCCCTTAGTCCGATGACACAAATCTTAGTCATGGGATAGGGCTCTTATTCCCAAGATGTGACCCTTCTAGGGGTTCAGTGGAAAGTGTGAGGGGCCTACCAAGCCCTGAGGTGTTCATTAAGCCCCTCTAAGGCAGAACTTGTCCTCCCAGCCCCAGGAGCCTTCTGCTCAGTCTTTTCAGCCGTCCAGCTCTTACTTTCTCTTGGGTTTCTGAATCTTATCTTGCTCATGCATAGTCAGGAATTATTTAAGGATTTGAGCAGAGTTGTATGCATACTTTGAAGCTACCCACTCTGTGGTTCTGTCTTTTCCAGGAATTTTTCTCCTCATATTCTAGCTGCTGTGACAGCTCCAGATACCTCTGACTCCTCAGTATCGCAGGACTTCCGTTTTCTGCTTGCACACTCTTCCTCTTCTGCTGCATGAACTGGGGTGTACCTTCACGATAAAAAAAAAACAAAAACAAAACTGTAAATGTGGGTTTCATATAGTTTGCTTCGCTTTTTCTGAGGCTTATATCCCTTCTAGTTTATGCCTGCTTTCAGTGATTCTCCAGTGCCTTTGATATTTTGTCCAGAGCAAGAGGGCTAGTCTGATATAAGTTACTCTGCAATTATTTTTAATGATGAAAATTGGAAATATAAAGGGGCCTTTCAGAATTTCATACATACCACTTGGTAAATATCTAACATAGTGTTTGTAAAACAGCAGAAAGTCACCGTGAGTTGTATACGTTCCTGTAGATGGGTGCTTGCATTTGAGAATGTCCACTTTTTGCTAAAGTGCTGATCTAAAAACTACACTTTAAGGTAAATTATTATAAATATAAAGTGTTATAAAATATAACTTTGTGTCACATTTTGTCTAAAACTTGTCTGCTAGCTGTAATAAACATTAAACATTAACAGCTAACAATTCTCCTTGCCAGGATTAGGCAGTCATGTTGGTGGTCCAGATTTCCTGAATCCATCCAAGAAAAACTAGAGCCATTGCCTTCTTTGTCTTCTTGGTAAATGTCTGTATAGTAAGTAGAGAGTAGAGACACTCATAATCCCTTAGAACTTAGCTTTTTATGGAGGATGCATTCGCAATGTTTCTGTTGTGGTGCTTCTCCCCCAAAAAGGCGTTTTCAGAAGTCATGGCTGACTCAGCATTTCCCCCTTTCCTTCACCTTCTTGTGAGTGCATTCAGGGAGGCACAGGGGCATTGTCAGATCAAAGAAATAGACAGGGAAAAATATCAACTGTTAAATTACTTTCTCTTTCGTCTCAGCTGAAACTGGTTCTGCCAGCCTAGTTCCTTCAAGTACGGTGCCTATTTAGCTGAACATTGTGTATATAGTTTTTCTGGAAAATGATAGCAGAAGCTTGGCCAGTTTTCCATAGTTCATTTATCTTTTTAACATAAAACAAAGAATGCTGTTTTTTTGGCTCATTAAATACCTCTCATAGAGTAATCTTTTCTTAAAATGTAATATGTTCAGGTTTTATTAATTCAAGAGTTATTTATTGCATGCTATTTATGCGTACCACATATAACAGATAACTCAAGTCTGTGGTAGTAGTTGCAGTTAATCAATATTGTTATCATATTATTTCACACTTCTTTGGGAAGTCATAAAATAATTACCAGTTCATTAACTTGGGCTTCTTAGAGAGGTTCAGAGTAAAGCCAAGTATGAAAAAAACTGACTATAATGTGGCCTTCTGTACAGGGGCCACCAGTGAATGGCAGGGCTGGGACCATGGTGAGGCAAGTAAGGCACAGGCCTCTCTTGTGAAATTTAAGAGAGTGCCAAAAAACTCACTAATCAAAATAATGTTTGTATGTAGTTGTTCAAAAAATCAAAATTAATGCAAAATAAGTTGAAAATTATCAAAATTTTAAATAAGGAGATCAGTAGTACTGATTTTTTCTTTTGCCTTATGACCTAGTATGGTTCAGCCTGCACTGGTGAGTGGAGTAAGGGTCCTGGAAGATCCTTGACTGGTGACATGAAGAGGACATAGTTTTTTGTTGTTGTTTTTTTTTGAGACAGAGTCTCGCTCTGTGGCCCAGGCTGGAGTGCAGTGGCGCTTTCTTGGCTCACTGCAAGCTCCGCCTCCCGGGTTCATGCCATTCTCCTGCCTCAGCCTCTCAAGTAGCCGGGACTACAAGCGCCCGCCACCACGCCCGGCTAATTTTTTGTATTTTTAGTAGAGACGGGGTTTCACTGTGTTAGCCAGGATGGTCTCTATCTCCTGACCTCATGATCTGCCCGCCTCGGCCTCCCAAAGTGCTGGGATTACAGGCGTGAGCCACCACGCCCAGCTGAGGACATAGGTTTTTTTTATGCCAGATAGACTTAAGTTTGAGTCCTGATTCCTATTAACAATTGGATCTTTGGCAAGTTAAAGTCTATAATGCTAGCTAACATTATTGCGTATTAGGGTCTGTTCTCAATTTGAAAGTATACAAAAAGGGGACTTTTCAGATCAGGAATATGATTAAAACACTGCTTTATGTAATTTCTAAATTTAAAGACAGTAGCATTAGGTAGGCCTGAGTACCTCATATCATTCTAGAACACTAAATCTGCATATAGTTACATGAGTGTACATGGGCCAGGTTTGGTGAATACTGCATTTCTGAGAAATGGCCTTTAACATGAAAGCTCAGTGTAATAACTGTGGATGAAATAGAAGAAGAGGGCAGTGAAGGTGGGGATAGAGGATATTGTCTATTAAAGTGTGCTTCAGTAGAGAGAACTAATTTGAAACTTCTCCTTTCTTTTTACTAATGGAACAGGAGCAAGTCCAGACAGATTTATGCAGTTGTGAAATTGAGACAGGTTAAATTCAGTGATTTTTGATAAATGTTGTTGCCAGCACAAAAGTCACAAGTTGTTGAATATGGCACCTTACATTTGCATAGTGAGTTACAGATGCATAGGAGTATGTCCTGTGAGGCTTTTCCTTGTATTAGGACTTGAGATCTGGACCCTTTAACAGTACCATTCCTAAGTGATTCTTATTAATACTTATGTCCTATTAAAATCCTTTATCAAATATGATGTTTCCCTAAGGGGTCTTTTGTAAAGGAAGTCTTGGTTACTAGCATCTCCATCTGTGGCCCAGGCTTGAGTGCAGTAGAGCAATCATGGATCACTGCAGCCTCCACCTCCTAGGCTCAAGCCATCCATCCTCCTGCCTCAGTCTCCCATTTTTAAAACTTTTTATAGAGACACGGTCTCACATGTTGCTCAGGCTGGTCTCGAATTCCTGGGCTCAAGTGACCCTCCCACTTCTGCCTCCCAAAGGGCTGGAATTACAGGCCTGAACCACTGTGCCTGGCCAGTTAGTAGCTTCTTAACACATAGCAACATAATTTCCATACTATTTTCAACTAATTTTTATTCTTTCAGTTGGGACCTTTATATATTTCAGTGTTCAGTGAAGAAGTAGGAGAATCTGGTTCTTAGGCTCTGCCTATATCCTTTTACCTGTCTTGGGTAACTGCCAAGAAATTAAATCAACAAATTTTGGCCTGCAGTCTGGCATTAATAGATGTGAATTTAGCTAGGTTTCTTTCAACACAGTCTCCAGGTCAATCGTAATCTTATGTGAAGTTTCTTATTCAGGCATGTCTCGTTAGCACCATTAATTTCACACAGGAATTCTTTTTTTCTCCCTTTTTTTGTGACTAAGCAAAATGAGAAATATTTCTCTTTCAGGATATGGAGAGGCTTAATTAAATTCTTTAATTTTGTCTACATCTGCCCTTATGAATGATAGCAAAGGAATGGGGGATATCAGAATATGAGAAAAAGTAATCATCTAAAAATTTCCAAGCACTTTAAAATTTATTAAGCTAGCATAAATATGTGGGTGTGATAGAGGTTTTCATTAGGCCTCCTCTCAACATACAGTAGTTAGGAATGAAGTTTAGTGTCTCTCCGTCCTCCTGTCATATGTGTGTATGCACACATGTGTGCACATGCGACTGTGTTATGCATTTTGTTTTCATATTTCTTTTAGTTGAGTTTTACCTTACAACCCAACGTAAGGTAAATTAAAATTTCTATTGGATTTCCGCACATTTTCTAGATCCTATTTATTCACTGTCAGTGACCTTCACTAGCACTTAGTCCTCTGTGTCCAAAAATGTATTGCCAATTCTTAGACTCCATCAGCCTTCTCCTATGAAAAAGTAATGCAGTTAATTTCTGCTCGAAATGCTCTTCTCCTAAACAGTCTTCTACTTGATCTTTATGAAAAGAGTTTTATGAAAGAAAAGTGAAAATAAAGACTAAGAAAGGCATTATTTAAGTGATGGGTGATATTATTCAGCGAACACATTCAACTAGAGCATTCTATCCAGTTTTTTGCCTTCACGTAAATATGAGGAGAAAGGTAGGTGTTAATAAGAAAATAATCTGATTAGGATTTATGTAGAATGGTAGCATTTAGGGTATTAAATCTGTATAGATTCAGGTCATTTTCCTGCAGTCACTGTCTATAATCCTGTGTGCTGAACACTGAAAGTTAGATGGACTCTGAAGCACTATAGAATCCTCACTTTTCAAACAAAAGTTTAATTTTTATCACACTAGTATTTATTGAGCAGGCTACTATAACTGATCACTGTACTGGGTATTGTGAATAGACAGAAAAGCCCAAGAGGCCTGTATTACCTGACTTCTTTATTCACAAGTATACGTACCCAGAGACTGTCTGACAGTGAATGCAGTTTCTCCTGCATAAGACATGGTGGCAGTCTTCTGAAGTCTTGCTGGGGAGATGAAGCATACAGAGATGTGTAAAATAAAACAGTTTGTAATATCCCAGTGTAGGGGCACAGATAATAACTATGGACACTCAGACAAAGGAACAAGTACTGTGGGACAAAAGAGTAAAATCAGAGGACTTTTGGTGCACTGCTTAGATCCTAAATCTTTGAATATTAGTGGTGCCTTAGAAGATGGATAGGTAGGAGAAGGGTGAGAGGAAGGGAGCTGAGGAGACTAGAAGGGACTGTTATTTCCTGGAATAATCATTACCAATTTCTTCATCACGTTTTCTTAATGACACAGTTTCAAACGTTTTCTTCATCTTGATTGCTGTCTTCTGTGTATATGCTGGTTTGTGTGAGGTTTTACTAAACCAGTATGTGGATTAATCTAGTTTCACAGTGACAGGTAAGTGATTTAGAAAATCATTCCTTTAGCACATGTTAACTTGAACGTTTGGAGGTAGAATGCCTAGAGTGAGGGTGAAGGAGAGGACCTGGGGACAGGAAGAGAGGGCAGCTGGGAGCAATTATGCTCCTTCCCTCAGACCTTTTTGGCCTTGACTCTTGATTCTTGTACTTCTACCAGACAGAGAGGCGGTAGGCTTGTGGCCATGTTTTGCGAGGCAAATCAGAATCTAAGAATCTCTAAGGCAAGAGCAAGAATGGATTGGGATAGGGGAAGTGATAGGAAAACAGAGGCACTAAGAAGAGGGTTGGTTTTCATGTACTGCATAGTTCATTCCCTTAGTTGAGAAATCAGGTATCTCAACCTCAGATATCTTCTGTCCAGCATATCACTGGCCAGATCTGATTCATATGAGGGATCCAGAGTAAGGAAGCATCTGTTAGCCAAGTCTTTGGTTACCCCAAATTAGCTCAGGTCCTTTACTGCTTGTTTCCTCTGATTATATAGTACATATCCAAACCCTCAATTTTCCAGAATAAACTAGGTCTGCCTATTCTGTGTGGAAAACATTTGATGGTGGTTAAGATTCTCTTGCCTAGACGATGGTAGTGCCTTAGTCGTTTAACTGCCTGTCACTTTAAG
The DNA here is from genome assembly GCF_000001405.40 of Homo sapiens. Lineage (NCBI taxonomy): Eukaryota > Metazoa > Chordata > Mammalia > Primates > Hominidae > Homo > Homo sapiens. Next base: position 148,629,765 of record NC_000001.11, on the reverse strand, counting down.
ATTTTGAAATACTGGTTCTCGTTGTGTAAGCCAGACACATCTTGAGAATATTTTACGGGGCAACTTGCCCTTTCTGAAACCTCAGTCATCCTGAAAAGTAACTCTGTACCTCCTTGACTTTAATTTTTCTGTCTTAATTCTATTTGTATACAATGTTTGTGTTGTCTGATTCTCTGTCTCGTATTGCTGAAACTCATGGCCTTGAATTTCTGGGTCACTCTTAAAAAATAGACATAACTTGATTACTAATGAAAAAGTGACTCATTTTCTTCCAGGCAAAGGCTGACACTGACTGTCACAGTTTGTGACAGAAGCAGACTCTCTAATTAGGAGACATCACCTATTCTTTTCTAAATTTTATAAGAATTGATGATAGCATCATGAGATGGGAAGTGAGTAAGATAAGCGTTTATGCTTGTAGAGAGGATGCATAAAAATGAAATCTGGATAAAGTTCTATCTGAATTTACCTTTTTAAGTGGTTGATTCCCTGTGAGCTTAAATTTAGTGCTTCTCTTCCCAGACCGTTGTCTTACATACACACTTCAGTCAGTTTTAGCCTTGTATAACTAATCAGCAGGTCAGATTCCATCGAGGCTGAAATACCTACCACCATTCTATGCTCAAGAAAACAGGCTCTCATGTTGGCCAGTTGTTTGGGATAGAAGATGGTTAGACCTTTCTATCCCTTTTAAACACAAGATTCTTTTTCATTCCCCTTATCTTGTTTAAATATATTGTTCCTTCTCTTTGGTTGTTCTTTGCTTTCTTATGCATCTGTGAGGGGCTAGCTGAAAGTGTGAGTTGTGGAACAATTCATTTACATAAGTGTATATTGAATTATCTGTGCACCTAGAGGGTGATGGGCACTGTGAGGGATATTAAAAAAGAGACACAGTACAGTTCTTACCCTAGGATCCCCTGCTTGGAGTGGGACAGTGGTCAAGACATATACAACCACAAACACCCAAACATTAACATCAGCAAGCATCATTACATCCTTGGGTGGTATTGCCAAGGGACTTCAAAGGCCAAGATTATAGAGTCATCACACTTAGGAGGTCAAAGGGACTTTGGAAAGCACCTTTGTCACTCATTTTGTTTTATAAGTGAGGAGGCTGAGGTGTAATACAGCTAAGCGAATTAGCCTTTATTACATAACTCATTAGGATGTAGACTGGGACTAAGAGCTGTTTCTCCAGATCCCATTAGGCAATCTAAAGATTCTGCACTATTTCTTTTTCATTTTTGGTATCCAAATAGGTACAGTTGTTTTTGATCTAGGAAAATCCTTTTAGACTAAACAGTAAGCTTTTTAAATTACTCTGCTTTTAGATATTTTTTGGACTTCAGAACTTTGAAGGTGGTCATCCACCAACATTGGGGAATGGAAAGAAGGCTCCAACACTTTTCTTTCTAGAGATCTTCTTTAATTTTCAATGGCAGTCACTACAGAATCTAGCAGTTCATGCTATTGAGGCCACTTTGTAGGATTTTTTTTTTTTTTTTAGTCAGGGCTCCAGGTCCCTGGTGGTTTATGTAGTCAGTCTTATCAACAACCGATGAAAGACCAATAAAAGTGCAAGAGGGAATGAGGACTGTGTGTGTGTATGTCTGCACATGCACACATGCCTCTTTGTGTGTGTTGGTTAACTTCATATTTGGTAGGTGGGAGGGAAGGTGATTAAAAAATAATCTACTTTGCATGGAGTTGGCCCAATTTGACTGATATAGGGGTGAGTGGGGGTTAAGAAGTAGTCTATATATCAGGAATCTTAATTAGTTTTGAAAATCCTTTAGGTAAATAGCTCAACCCAGTTGTTCCCAAACTTCAAGTGTATTTATAGGGTCTTTTTAAGGGGTAAAGATTCCACAGAGCCCTTCATTTTGACCTTTTGCTTCTGCACTGAATAGTCGAATGCCTTCTATATGCCAGTCATTGTGTTAGGCACTGGGAGTATGAGAATTAATAATTTTAGTCTGTTGACAGATAATCATAATAAGGGCTAATGAGTAACACAGGCTCAGGGTTATAAGAACAGAGGGGGTGTCAAGGCTGTTTTTCACAGGAAATAACATTTAAGTTGAGACAATGAAATTTTAGGGCTTAGCCATGAGAAGGTGGGGAAAAGCATTTTGGGCTGACTGAACAGCGTGTACAGAGGTCTGGAAGTGAGAAGTAGTGTACTATAGCATTTTCTAGGAGCTGAAAGGCGTTTAGCAAGAGTATAGCGCATAAAGGAGAGAGCTTGAGATGAAACAATTTCTCAGTGTGTTGTTTGAATACAATGTATACTGTCAAAATCTAAGAATTCAAGAATCATTTAATATATCTTTATGTTTTACTAGTCATAAAAGCATATACATATATTTAAATATGGACAAGATACTGTTTAGTAGTTTAGAAAGTGATTTATGAGGATTGCAATCCCTTGCAATAACTCCACAGCCCATACCTTGGGAACAACTGAGCTAACTCATTCAGTTTTGTCCATTACATCGAAGGGTGTTTTTTGTAAACTCATATGTCTAGAATGTGTTTGCCATGTTTTAATCACAAGTAGATATTTTCTCAGAGTCCAGTGCAGTGAAGTATGGTAAGATCCTGATTGTGTTCTGGAACACAGAGGAAAGACCACCTTCTGTTATAGCAACAACACAAGTCTTTTAACACTGTGTGCCCCTTCCCAATCTTTCAAGTGATGATTGAAGAGACTAGGTGCTCAGCTCAGCCTTTGAGTTCTGATAAATGAGCCCAGACTGTAAACTGGAAGATAAGGATGTTTGTAAAGTTCTTGTATAAATAAAGCATGGTTTCTCATTGCAGTGGTTACTGATTTCATAGTCTGAGTGAAGATGAATGATGCTGTGAATCAACAGCTTTAAAGTCCGTACCACTTCAGCTTCTTTTTGGTTTAGGTTTCTTAAAATCAGTGTGTATTTAATGCTTTATTCAGATGAGGGGGTGAAAAACCTAACACATGTAAACTAAGTGAGGTGGGGTTTCAGAGATAATTCCCAGCCTCACAATTCCTCATGAAGTTCTTTTCCTGTGGGAAACTTTTAATTTGGAAGCATGCAACCTAATGTGGGAACCAAGATTAACATTTTCTGAAATACTTCTACAAGAAAAGCAGAAATGGTCTGTCCAGGAAGCTGAATTTACATAGTAGAAAAATGAGCTGCCCTGCAGTATTTGGTAGTCTTTGTGTATTAGTTGTGATAAAAGTGTGTATGTGTGTGTGTACGTGTGTGAGAGTGAGAGATTGTATACTTGTCTTTGTTTCCTTCACATACAACTAGTAAGGCCCTAGAAAAACTACACTAGAAAGTGTGTTTTACCACAAGCGTCCCAGTTCTGGACACCAATCTATACACAAATACTTTTTTTTAAAGTTCTTTTTGTTTTTCCTTCTTGCTGAGTAAGCTATAGTATTTCCTTTTTTTTCTTTCTTTTTATTTGAGAGAAGGGGGGGTTGAGAGTAGAGTGGGAATGGCAAGAAGTAGTATGACAGAGCTTCTTCTCTTTTTTTCCCCTCTTTACCAGGAAGTTAACTAGAAGTCCTCATGCATGTTTTTAAAACAAAGTTGGTAATTAGCATAACCTAGTTAGTTACCTTTACACAGAGTGACAGAATTAAAAAGTTGACAAGCCCATCAGACCTCAGCCAGGAGGTACTGAAAGGAGGGAGACCAGTGAGTCTAGACCAATAGGTGGGTTAGGCCTCCTGAATGCCAGCCTAGAAGTTTAGACTTGATTCTATAGGCTCTAGGGTACCTACAAGTTTGTAGTCGCAGCCTTGGGAATTGAATGTTACATAGGAACTTTCACTGGTTCCAGCTAGCCTTGGCTGTTAGCAATTATTTTTATCTACTTTAACAGGGGGGACAGAGTAGGGGGGCAGGAAACTAAGCTGGCATTATGGTCACAGGAAAGAACAGACTGATTTGGAGCCTTTCAAACTGCAGACCTTTGTTACTGACCGATGCTTAATTTGGTTTCTGGGTTTTGTTAGTTTTTTCCCCTGCCCTTACCTCATTTACCTTAACGACAGCTCCCCCCTCTAGAGCTCAGCTAGGGCAGGCTGCCACTGCGGATTGGGGGGCCAAGAGGCCCAGTGCAAGAAGAAAGTGGGTTGAAAGCAAAGTTCTGTTTAAAGAATTTTCTGCTGGAAACTAGCCCAGAGGGAGTAAAGAGGAGCTTTAATGAGGAGCAGCTGCAGTGCCGACGCAACCCACATGAGACTTTTTTTTCCCCTTCGTTCCACATTCTGTATAGTTTTTTTAAAAATCATGACTTTGAAATAGCTGTTTTGTAAAGCATGCCTCTCTTTTTCTTCTTGTATGTGGTGGGATTTTGCTTTGTTGTTATTGTTGTTGTTTCTTGAATGGCCAAATCCTCGTTTTAAAAAAAAAAAAAAAAAAAAGCTAAAGACAGAGCTGCAGCAAAGCCCTGGATGCAATTTGGCCTCACCCTGCTGATACAGAACATTCGGTGGAGAAAACAAGGGGAGAGAACACTGGCTTTTATTTGGAAAAGGGGCTTATTTCCTGCTCAGACTTCAGTCATCTTGGAGCTGACACAAGCTGCTACACTGTTTTAAGCTTTTCTGTAGACGAGTGGCTATTCACTTAGGAAACGTGAAAGAACAAATTTTTCTGTCCTGTATTACTAGGGAGACTGATCCTGAACTGCAGCCATTGCCAGATAGATTGGAATTGCTATTCAGATCCCAGCTTCGTTGAAATCTGTAAAGTGGCTACATGTAAACTAATCCAGGCTGCTAGTGAGATGTGAGGGTTGGGGTCTGGTTTTCATCTGCTTAAGTGAGAGGAAACTGTAGGGGTATCCTTCAAATGGAATGTTTTCTAGTTCCATTAGGAGGAATCCCTTGTTTTTCTCTGTTTTCTTCCTTCCTTTGCTTTTCTACATCCAACCCCATGCGTATGTTTGAACAGTAACAATGGAAATGTGGACCTCTCAATGTCAGAAATGACACTTTTTTTTTTTTGAGATGGGGTTCTCACCATGTTGCCCGTATTGCCTAGGCAGGTCTCGAACTTCTGCTCTAGCAATCTGCTCGCCTTGGCCTCCCACAGTGCTGGGATTACAGGTGTGAGCCACTGTGCCCAGCTGAGACTTTTAAAGAAAAAGTCATAAATATATCTTTATGGACCTGGTAAGTATTCAGATTAGTTTATAGAGTTTAAAATGGAAAAATGCTCCCCAAACCTTTCTCTGTATTCACAACCTCATCTGCGAAGTATGTTCTTTCAGAGTTCCAATGCTAGAGAAGAGAGAGTAAGTAGAAGTCACTGAGAGACATTGAAGAGACAGTTATGAAAATAATTAATAAACTCCCTACAGGAGGGAAACATTCATATAGTTTTGCGGATGAAAGGCATCTGTTAGATTTTTGTGGTTATTTTTTAGAATATACACCTTTAGTTCAAGTGGTAGACTATTTTCCAAAATGTGTGCTGGGTAGCTTAATGGAATTATAGATACGTAAGGGATGTTGGGTGTTTAGCCATGTTTTCACTCTCTAACCAAATTCAACTTTAGCCATCTCAAGAAGACAGCTATTTAAGCCCTTGTTTTCAAGCAGAGAACCTTACTTTCCACCAAGACTAACAGAGTATATTTTCTCCTTATACCACAGTTGAACAGGGATTTGCAAGTTGAAAGATCTCCTGCCTTAGGAAACAAGGGTCTGTTATTTCTGACTGTCTTAGCTATTACTCCCCTTTCTTCCCATGTCCATAATGCTGCTTAGCTTCCTGGGGTATGAAGGATAATTCTATACCTCAGGGTGACTATTAGGTTGATTTGGCCTGTTATTCTACCAGACAGATCACAGAGTAGAGATGGATTTTGTGGAACATTTGGATTGAGAGACTGACTTTATCCATCACATGAAATTTAGCCTGCTTTGGAACCAGCTGCTTAGTGGGGTTTAGGTACTCAGGTATTCAGGGAACCTACACCAAGGGTTCAAGACAGGCTCTTCCCCACAAAAACTATCTAGATGGGAGTTTGAGAAAGGTACAGCAAAGACATAACAGTGGCTTAAATAAAGAAGAACCATACCAGTGGAGACAATGTAGTGCATGACATGGCACTACATCTGCTGTTGGAAGGATCAGAGACAGGTGGGATGATTTGTAGAAGGCTTACTATAGGACAGGTTTACAGCAGATTTTTGAAAAAAGGGTGGAAGAAAGGAACCTAAGTTGGAGATATACCAGAAGGGAAGCATGATGTTTCTCACTGGAAATTAAAAAGATTTTAATATAGGGGACAGTAAACAAGATTGTGGAAATAATATGGAGTGTTCGAGTTATGGATTACTAAAGAGTAAGATGGTTAGATGATTGGAATGGGACAGACAAGCAGATCAGAGATTGTAAAGAACTTGGATTTGAAAGGCTTGGTATTAATACTGTTGCTAGTTTCTGAGCAGAAGAATGACATGAAAATTATGCTTAGGAAAGATTATTCTTTTAGTCATATGCTTAGGTTCAGCAAGGAATTTCCAGACTGTCCTTAGGGAGAGGAGAGGTATGGATAGGATGCTGGTCCATTTAGGATGTTAGAGCTGATTGAATAGGTGCTAGTCTTGGGGCAAGACTTAGTCATACACTTTCAGTTAAGTACTGTTTCATTGCAAGGTCTAGGTGAAGATAGGGATATATTTGTAAAACTGGGGAAATTGCTAGATTCACAGATAACCAACTTTGGGTAGATCAGTTAGCTTTGGTGTCCTTCTCAGTGCTATAGGGGTTCAGACCATTTGGTTTCTGAGATCACTGCTGAAATTCTGTGATTGTATGAGTATAATGTAAAAGTTGTCTCAATCAAGGAAACTTGGAGTAAAGACTCAATATGATGGATTTAAAAGGAATGAATGATAGTTCCAATTATTGGGTTCAAAAAACGTGCTACAAGTATAAGATGAGAAAAATAGGGTACACTAGTAGTTCATGTGAAATAAGGCTCTGAATATTTTAGCTGAGTGTGTATTCCATAGCACATAGTAGTATTTTGTGGCTTCTAAAAAAGTACACATATCCATTGGGTATGAGTCGGAGCGTTATTCTTTCTTGAACTGCGCTCTCACGATGCCTCCTCAGTTTAAGAACTTACTCTGAAATAGTAAAAGCATAGTGTCCAGATCAGGAGGTCATGGTTCAGCTCTGTGCTGCACTGGTAAGAACATGTGTTAAGCCTTTTTCCATTTTGAGCCTCACTTTTTAAAGAGGTTTTTGATGAACTGGAGTCATCCAGTGATGGGGAGGCAGGATAGCCTAGTGTTGAAGCACACGCACTCTAGAGTCTACTTGGGTTTGAATCCTGCCTCTTCCATCTACTAGCTGTGAATTTTTTTTTTTTTTTTGAGAGGGAGTCTCGCTCTGTTGCCCAGGCTGGAGTGCAGTGACGCGATCTTGGCTCACTGCAACCTCCAACTTCTGGGTTCATGCCATTCTCCTGCCTCAGCCTCCTGAGTAGCTGGGACTACAGGCGCCCGCCACCACGCCTGGCTAATTTTTTATATTTTTAGTAGAGACAGGGTTTCACTGTGTTAGCCAGGATGGTCTCGATCTCCTGACCTGGTGATCTGCCTGCCTCGGCCTCCCAAAGTGCTGAGATTACTGGTGTGAGCCACCGCGCCTGGCCTAGCTGTAAAATCTTAATCTTTCTAAGCTTCGAGTTCCTCATATATAAAATGGAGATTATAATATAGCACTGGAGCGAGTAATACAAGAGACAATAGCTATCAAATGCTTAGCAAATATACAATACATAGTTAAGTACTTAGAAAATATGTTTTCAGTTACTTCAGGTATATACCTGGGAAGGGAGGCAGAAAATTTTGGTCATTCTGATTATTATTACTACTGTTAAGCATAGAAGCACCACTAAAAAGGTGAAGAAGCCTGGAAATAACCCTATACTGAGGAATATGCCAAACCATTGAATCCTGGAAAAAAGAAAACAAAAGGCCCACATAACTATCTTCAGATTCTTGAAGGGCTACGTGTAAGAGAAGCAGAAGGCTTGTTCTTTTTTGTTCTAGAGGGTAGAGATAACCTGGAAATTGTAGAGAGACAAAGTTTGTTCTTTTCAAAGTTAAGACATAATTTATGTATCATAAAATTTACCCTTTTAAAGTGTTTAATTTAGTAGACTTTAGTATTTCCAGAGTTATGAGACCACCACCATTATCTAATTTCGAAACATTTTTATCACCCTGAAAGAAATTCTCTACTGCTTAGTAGTCACTGTCTATTTCCCTTCTTTACAGCTCCTGGCAACACTAATCTACTTTCTATCTCTACGGATTTGCATATTCTGGACATTTCATATAAATGGAATTATATAATATGTGGCCTTTTGTGTGTGGCTTCTTTCACTTAGCATGTTTTCAAGGTTCATCCATGTTGTAGCATGTATCAGAATGTCATTCCTTTTCATGGCCACATATTTCATTTATGGATATACCACATTTTATTTATCTGTTCATCCGCTTATAGGCATTTGGGTTGTTTCTACTTTTTAGCTATTATGAATAATGCTGCTATGAACATTTTTATTATCTGGGCATATGTTTTCAGTTATCTCGGGTATATACCTAGGAAGGGAGGCAGAATTTGAAGAATTAAGAAAGAGCTTTCTCACAGTGGAATCCACCCACATTGAAGACTGTTCTTTTGTTGAAGTAGTCAGCCAGTAATTTCACTTAACAAATGCATAGTGTTTACTATGTGCTGGATAGTGTTCTAAGTGCTTTACCCTTATTTAAAAATCCTATGAAGTAGGCACTGTTATTACATCTCTTTTACGACAGGGAAGTTTAGTACCTTGCCCAAGATTACACATTGAGTAAATGGTGGAGTTGGGATTGAAATCCAGGTGGTCTGGTTCCAGAGTCTGTACTCTTAAGAGCAGAACAATAATAACTCCAAGCATTTATTAAATTCTCAAGATTTATCCGGCACCATGCTACATGCTTGTATTCAAGCAGAGGCTGGTGATCATCTTTTAGAAATATTTTAGAAATGATTACTTAATTGGATAGAAATTAAATTTCTTGAATCTGAAGGTTCTGTTATTCCAAGGATGGCTGGAAATGGGGGAAAAGCCAGCAACAAGATGATGTCTGGCCTGAGGCTTTTAAGATGATCAGAATTTGTATCAAAAAGGAAACTGTGAACACGAATGATAAGTATTATAGGAATTCAGTTAACAAGTCTTGTCAGAATGTGGTAATAAATTATATACAACTTAAAGAGATGAAGTTACTTTAAATTGTGTGTGGAAGCCTTAGAAAAATTGAATAATTAAAGTTTCTTGGGAAGATGATCTCCTTTTACAAATGTTTAGTTTCAAATAGTGGCAGCACATATTAGGATAGAGAGATGACTTCTAGAAAACTGAACATATGGGACTGGAACAGTGTATTTTGGAGTCAGTTACAGGAAGGAAGTTGTTTAAAACCAAGTGAACAACAACAGTAACAAATGCATTTGAGAGAAAGAGCAGTGCAGTCCAGACTTAAACATTAGGGTGGCCATAATAGATGGGGAAGAAGGAGAAATCAGCAATCCAGACTAAGACTTCACTGGGTTTTGAGTTAGACAGAGGGAGGCATAGAAGCCAAGGTAAAATGATTAAAACGGTACATGGAGTGGTTAGCAATTCTCCCTATAGGAGAGAGAATTTCCTTATGAAGTTTCAGATGAGACCACTGAACTTGACTAGAGGAAAGTCATTGTTTTTAGAAAACAGTTTCTAAACAATAATTAGAATTAAAGTTTTGTTGCAGAGGGATAAGTAAGAAGTAGATGGAAAAGAAAGAGGAATATCTGAAATTAGGCTACAGTCATAGAAGGTTAGCTGTGAAACAATAATTTGGAAAGGGAAATGGGACCTCATGAAAGTGTGGGTTAAAAGAGACTTGTATATCTTCTAAGGTAAAAGTAAAGAACTAAGCTGATGTCCAGCCCTCTAAAACATTTTAAATAGAAATCAAACTTTATTAATACAGTAGGTCTAGTTTCACGTAAAGCAAATATATGGTTCTGTACACGGGCTTTAGGAGAGTAAGTCTGTTGTACCTCATATGTAAGTATTATCCCATTTAGAGGAAAACCCTAAGTCTTTCTTTACAGTGGCTTAAAGGCCCCAATTGATCCACATCCCAGTTACAGCTCTCATCTATTTTCTGCTGCTCCAGATATTCTTGCTGTTTCTCAAACACGCTAGGGCTGCTCTCTGTGTTATGGCCTTTGCATTTGCTGTTCCCTTTCTCATGAATGTGTTTTCCTAAGATACCTGCATGATTACTCTCACCTTATTTAGGTCTCAACTCAAGTATTGTCAGTGAAGGTCTTCTCTGATTTTCCTATTCTAAACTGAGATACTTCTCTTTGCTCACCCCACACCCTCATCCCCAGCTCCATTCCTTCCTGTTTAATTTTTTTTCACAGCACTTAACTCCATCTATTGTGCATCTTTTACTTAGTAATTTTGTTTTCGTCTTCCGCTATTAGAATGTAAACTCCAAGAGTGTAAGAATTTTTCTAGCACTGGAAAAATGCCTGGCACATAATAGGCATTTACTAATTGTTGTGTGAATGAACGATTATAAGTTTAATATTCTTTGTGGAAACTAATAAGGTTGATTTCCTATCAGAAACCGATCATTATTAATAAGCATATTGGATGGTATTTATAGAATTAGCCTTCATATGTTCTCTACTCAGAAGTTGGCAAACTTTTTCTGTAAAGTGCCAGAGAGTAATTATTTTTGCAGGCTTTGTGGTCTCATTACAGCTACTTGACTCTGTTGTTGTAGTGGAAAATCAGCCATAGACAATCTATAAATGAATGAGCATGGCTGTGTTCCAGTAAGACTATTTATGGACACTGAAATTTGAATTGTATATAATTTTGAAATGTCAGAAAATATCCTTCTTTTGTTCTTTTTTTCTAATCATTTAAAAATGTAAAAAACTATTCACAGGCCAGACAAAAACAGGCAGTGGTCCAAATTAGACTTGCAAACTGTACTTTGTCAATCTCTGGTTTTACTGATTTCTTAAATATATCTTAGGTTAAAACTTATTTTTCCATACTTGATAGGGAGCAACAATGTGAATTAAACTGTAGAAACAAATAATTCAGAAATACATCTGTTTAGCTTTAGAAACTTCCATTTTGCTTCATTTTTGTTTTCCTGGGAACCTTATATTTCCATTATATGTTTATGATGCTACCATTTAAATGACTTTGCATTCTCTTAGCATATGCCACATGATAGTGTTAGGGTGGTGTAATAGTTCAGGAGCAAAGCTGAGCAAAGCCCACCCACGTTTAAAAATTTGCCATTATTTAGAAGGTGCATAATTCCCATATGGGAGAATGAAGAGTCATCTAATAATGCCCAGAGGGCTGCACTGTGAGTGAGAATTGTGTTGCAGTTTTTAACATTCATAACACATTTCTTGAATAAGCTGCAAATGCTTTTAATAATATATCTCAGAGTTAATTTTAGCTATGCTACATTGGCACTTTTTGCTCCTCCACTTCAAAAAACCAACACAAGAAACTATTCTCAAATCAAGCTGTGATTTGGATGGGGCATTGTATTTTCCTCAATAAGCACAAAGAAGAGAGAAAAGATGTTTTCACTTGGCAAAACTTTTTTTTTTGAGATGGAATCTCACTCTGTTGCCCAGGCTGGAATGTAGTGGCACAATCTCGTCGGCTCACTGCAACCTCCGCCTCCCGGGTTCAAGCAATTCTCATGCCTCAGCCTCCCGAGTAGCTGGGATTACAAGCGTGCACCACCACCCTGGCTAATTTTTGTATTTTTAGTAGAGCCAGGGTTTCACCTTGTTGGCCGGGCTATTCTCAAACTCCTGACCTCAGATGGTCCTCACACCTCAGCCTCCCAAAGTGCTGGAATTACAGGTGTGAGCCACTGTGCCCAGCCCACTTGCAAAACTTTTTAACATTTATAAGGTTTTTTACATACTTGATTTTGTTCAGTTCTTAGAATAATCTCATGATGTAGGTGACCTTATTAACTATTTACAATGTGAGAAAATGGATAGTCAATGAAGATAAGTAACTTGTCCAAGGTCACAGCACCAGAACTCCAAACCAGACCTTCTGACCTTCTTGATACAGACTCCTCACAGTCACCTGCATGCCATCTTTGGTTTCAGTGCTATGAACTTTCTTCACTGCCTGTTGGTCTGTAGCTACACCTACTCATGAAGATGCCCAGAGCCTTAGCCGCTCCTTGCTCTGCCATGCTTATCTTATGCAGCTCTGGGAGGGGTGAAGAGGCTGTGGCCAGTTACCTCACTACCACTATAGCTATTCACCACCCTGTTTTCTCCTTTAGCCATTTTAGCTACTACACAATTCTTCTGGGCATTTTCTGTCTTAGTTCCCTAGTATCTGGCCTTCCTTCTTTTCTCAGTAACTGTGACCCCTGCTAGCTAGCCTTGCCAACCAATGGTTAATGAAAGGTCTTGGATATGACTGTCAAAGACAAAAGCACTCATGACCCCAATGTTTCAGGTCACAATGATTAGGAAAATCAGGACAACAAGGCTTGGGCACAGAAAAGCTGGTTTTTGAGAGGGGGATTTAGAGTTTGGTTTAAATGTGTAATCTTTGAGGTAATGGTGGAACAGCCTACTAGATTCAGTTTTCTAGTCCCTGAAAACTAAAACGAGGAATAAGTTGAATCACATATTTGGGGCACCAGCCAAATATATAGCAGCATTTATAGTTAGAATCAAAGTGTTTGTGTTTCTTAATTTAAATGCTTCTCAGAGATTCCATTTAAACAACTTCATTATGAAAATGGAGACTTACCATGCCTTTTTGATATTGTTCAGAGAAAATTGTCATAAATAATACACACAGTTTGAAATGGTTGTACATCTTATGAATCAAGGGGTGGCATGTAAAAAGGTTCCTCAGTGCCTCAATGTGGAAAATATCATAGAATGTTATTCTTCAATTGATTCCTTCCTTGACTTTGGTGTTTATATGGTATCTTAGATATTTTATGTTATTTTAATTATATTTTGTGTCTTTTTATTTGGTTAAAAATGCCTACTTAAATATTAACAGATTTTTAAATATCCCTTTGAACTCTTCCCCATTCCTGTACCTCCTTTCCCTTTTTCCGTTGTAATGTCAGCCACCTGAACATAACCCAGAAAACTAGGTATCAGCCAATTGATGTTTCAGTGGAAATAAGAGAAAGAAGCACTTACTATTTCTCAATGCTTAATTGAGGAAAAGCACATGATATCTTACATATTTTAAATTGGAGGGGATAATAGGGTCAAGTTCATGCATTATATTGTGGACATCTTAATCCTATCAAATGGCTTAGTCAAAATGAGAAAGTTAATGAATTTAAGCAGACAAGTACGAACAGTGCTCTAAAAAAGGTGCTGTTACACCATCCCAACCTGTACACACATGAAAAAAAGCTGGGGTGCATTTTGCGTTTGAATAAGGGTCATGTTGACTGGCCATGGCAGACCCTGCTAGACCATACAGCTGATACTCTGTCACCTGCCAGGACTCAAAAGGACATGGGAGTATGTGGTTAAGTTCTCTAAGGACTCTTTCTTCTAAAGGGAAGCAGTTTTATAGGTGGTCCTTGTAGGTCTGTTGATTCACAATCTCGTGCTTTCTTGATTGGACTGTATTGTTTTACTGTAATTTTTTGGACTTACAAGAAGTCAGGTGTTTTCATGGACTCTTCTCTTTTCCATACAGATGTCCAGAAGGCTTCTTGGGGGAATATTGTCAACATCGAGACCCCTGTGAGAAGAACCGCTGCCAGAATGGTGGGACTTGTGTGGCCCAGGCCATGCTGGGGAAAGCCACGTGCCGATGTGCCTCAGGGTTTACAGGAGAGGACTGCCAATACTCGACATCTCATCCATGCTTTGTGTCTCGACCTTGCCTGAATGGCGGCACATGCCATATGCTCAGCCGGGATACCTATGAGTGCACCTGTCAAGTCGGGTTTACAGGTAACTAATGAGACCAAAGCCAGTGCTTTCCTACCTTCAGCAGATACCTTTATTTAGCATCTTTTAGATCATGGTGTCTGGCTCTTAAATGTCCCCCAGCTCTGGTGCACATTTAACATTATGATAAGGAACTGGGATGTTCCAGACAACTATCCCTAACTTCCTTTTAAGAGTTTCAGGGGGCAGAGAAAGAGAAAGAAAAAGGACCAAATACTTTGACTGCTTAAAGTATATATGTCAGGGCCAGGTGCGGTGGCGCACGCTTGCAATCCCAGCATTTTGGCAGGCCAAGGCAGGAGGATCACTTGAGGCTAGAGGTTTGAGACCAGCCTGGGAAACATAGCAAGACCCCATCTCTACAAAAAAACAAGAATAAAAATAAAACAAAATTAGTCATGTGTGGTGGTGTGCACCTGTAGTCCTAACTACTTGGGAGGCTGAAGTGGAAGAATTGCTTGAGCCCAGGAGTTTGAGGCTGCAGTGAGCTATGATCGCACCACTGCACTCTAGCCTGGGTGACAGAGTGAGACCCTGTCTCAAAAAAAAAAAATATGTACACCAGGATGGGGAATCAGAGTTTACTTCACTAAAAGAAATAAGTACACTGTCACCAGAGGAAAAGTTGCTGATGTTATTGACTATTTGCTTTTAGAAATCTCCCTCCCTAGACATTCAGGGCACTGGCTTTTCTGGTTTTCTGAACCCTGTTCCTTTTGCTTCTTCATTACCTTGTTCTTATCCATTAAATGTTTGTGCTCCCTGGAGCACTGTTTTGCGCCCTCTTTTGAGCCACATCACAGCTCTCCCTAGGGAATTTCACTGTCTGTATTCGCCTCCACTGCCACTGTCTTCATTAGCTTGCTGATGAATCTCACCATCATTCCCTTAGCTCCACCCAACCCTGACATTCAGGCTCATGTTTCTAGTTATCCTTTGTATGTTCTCCTTGGAGATATTCTACAGGTACTTTCAGCTCACCTTGTTGACAGAAATACGTAGCAACCATGTACATCCCAAATACCCACGCTAGAAACTCCCTGTCCCTTGTTCTGACCTCATTTCAACTCAGTCACCCAAGCCAACCTCTGAGTTGCCTTTCACCTGTCTATTCCTCCCATTTCCTCTGCTACCCTGTAGTTGAAGGCCATGTTATCTCTCACCTGGGCTTCTGAAGTAGTTTCTGAATACGTTTTCTTGCCTTTATTCTCTCCCCATCTCATTCACCCATGATATTACTACATCTTTGATTATAAATGCAAATATTCTAACAATCTCACCTGCTTACAATGTCTAATATTTTTTCATCATCCGCAGAATAAACTGCAAACTCTTTTACATGACTTCCATAGCTCTCTACAGCCTAGACTTTACATCTTTTTATAGCCTGGCCTCCCCACAAGCATCTAGGCCTAGTCACACCAAATTCTCCTTATTTCCTGAAAATGTTGTACTTATTATTGCTTCCATACAGTTACACACCCTTTTGCCTGGAATGCCCTTTTCTACAACTGGTGATTGTCCAATGTTATTTAAAACTGTGTCTCAGTGACCCTTTCATGATTCCTTTAGGCAAATGGTCTCTAAGTTTTATTAGTTTTATGTATCACATTTTATTGTAATTTTTTTTACACATATCTCACCTGAATAGATTGTGGGTTTTTCTAGGTGGGTCTGAGCTTTATTCAAAAGTGTTTATTAAATTAGATGAGAAAAGGAGGAACATTCTTCATTTTTTCTCCTGCTTTAAGCACTAAACCAAGAGTTCTATAAATGCAATAAGCAAAAAAGTGAAAAATGTACTCAGAAGACTATACTGGATCAGTTAGTGTAGAATACTGTTATATTAATTTTTCATTGTATTAGGGTTCTCTAGAGGGATGGAACTAATGGAATATATATGTATGTATATATATTCCAACCCAAAGTGTCTTGGTGGCAATCTTAATATATATATATTGGCAATCTTTATATATATATAAAGGAGAGTTTGTTAAGTATTAATTCACATGATCACAAGGTCCCACAATAGGCTGTCTGCAGGCTGAGGAGCAAGGAGAGCCAGTCTGAGTTCCAAAACCGAAGAACTTGGGGTTCGATATTTGAGGGCAGGAAACATCCAGCACGGGAAAAAGATGTAGGCTGGGAGGCTAGGCCAGTCTCGCTTTTTCATGTTTTTCTGCCTGCTTTATATTTGCTGACAGATGATCAAATGGTGTCCATCCAGATTAAGGGTGGGTCTGCCTTCCCCAGCCCACTGACTCAAATGTTAATCTCCTTTGGCAACACCTTCACAGACACACCCAAGATCAATATTTTGTATCCTTCAATTCAATCAAGTTGACACACTCAGTTTTAACCACCACAAATCTACCCCTTGTCAACTTGAACCCATACACATCTCCTGAGATCACACATAATCTTCAAATAAAGACAATAATTAGGTCATAATTACACCTGATGTAGTACAACTATTCTTCATACATCCGGAAACACACTAGTCCCCAACTGAAACACTCTTACATAAAGTTAACGATACTTAAATGCTGATGTGAAGTCAATAAATCTTATGTCACATGATAAAGGAGAAAGAAAATAAAATGAAGATATTTTCTTAGTACAAGTGTGTGCAAGCACAGACATGTTTTTAATAAAAGAAGGAGGAAATACTGAGGACAATTACAGTCCTCATTTCTGCAGCTGGTCACATGGTAGTAGCTGGTATTGATGACTACCTTCTTCTACCCATTTTGTATTCCTTTTGCCTTCAGCAAACACCTCAGCAGGTTGTGTTTTTTTTTTTCCTGATGGAGAGGCCCAAACCTTCATTCATCCAGGCGGGACCATTTGTAGTCCCGCCTGGATTGGGCTGTTGTAGTTGCCCATTGACCTTAATCACAGGGCATGGTAATACTAAGAGACGCCCTAATGGATCTCCTGTATTCCATGAATACTCTTTCTTACCTCCGTTCTGGAGTAGTAGACTGATTTCATCTTGATAGCCTGGGTCTTGATAGCCTTGATGTCCCAGCCAACACTGTAACGCCTTTCTTAGCCTGTTTACTTAAAGGTAGGAACCCAAAGTGTCCTGGTGGCAATCTTAACTACCAGTTTAATGGAATTGTTGTTGTGTCTTCTGGTGGCAGCGTTCCTCCCTCTGGAACTAAGACCTCTAGGCCAGCAGAACTTAATGTTGCGGGAACAGGAAGCAAACATTTTGCTAGTGGATCACTAGGGGTGATGGTGAGTGGTACCACTTCCATTTCCACCCCTTGATTCCTGGACCTGTGAATCCTGGCTATGGGAGAAACAGTACCACATATTGGACGCTGATTCAGAGCATACACAGCCTTCTTGAGAACTTTGCCCCAACCCTGCAAAGTATTCTCACCTAGTTGGCATTGTAATTGTGACTGCAAAAGGCCATTCCACCGTTCTGCTTCAGGATGTTGGGGAACATGGTAAGACCAGTGAATTCCATGAGCATGAGCCCACTGCTGCACTTCTTTAGCCATAAAGTGAATGCCTTGGTCAGAGGCAATGCTGTGTGGAATACCATGACAGTGGATAAGGCATTCCATGAGTCCGCGGATGGTAGTCTTGGCAGAACCATTGCATGCAGGATAGGCAAACCCATATCCAGAGTAAGTGTTTATTCCAGTAAGGACAAACATCTGCCCTTTTCACAATGGAAGAAGTCCAACATAATCAACCTGCCACCAAGTGGCTGGCTGATCACCCTGAGGAATAGTGCCATATCAAAGGCGCAGTGTTGGTTTCTGCTGCTGGCAAATTGGGCACTCTGCGGTGGCAGTAGCCAGGTCAGCTTTCCACCGGCCCATCTTGTTTTCTGCACTGGGAAGGTGGGGCATGAGCACAAATGTTAGGACCTGAAAGGTGGTGAACTCTGCCTGGGCAGGGCAAAGCCAGAGGAAACTCTGGTGGAGGTCCGTAGCAGTCCTGATGTGCAAATCGGTCATCCAACCTGGGTGTAGGGGCGAAAGACTAATTGAACCATCTAGTAGCTGGTTCCCTCCAAAGTTTCCCTCGGGATAGCTGGCACTCTCGCAAAAACCCCACTCTTGGTACCAATTTACTGTATTAGTCCATTTTCACGCTGCTGATAAAGATATCCCCGAGACCGGGAAGAAAAGAGGTTTAATTGGACTTACAGTTCCATATGGCTGGGGAGGCCTCAGAATTATGGTGGGAGGCAAAAGGCACTTCTTTCATGGTGGTGGCAAGAGAAAATTAGGAAGAAGCAAAAGCAGAACCCCTGAGAAACCCATCAGATCTCATGAGACTTATTCACTCTCATGAGAATAGCACAGGAAAGACTGGCCCCCATGATACAGTTACCCCACTGGGTCCCTCCCACAACACATGGGAATTCTGGGAGATACAATTCAAGTTGAGATTTGGGTGGGGACACTACCAAACCATATCATTCATCAAAAGGTGTTGGTGGGGTAGAGGGTAGTTAGGATGATCCATGATCTCCATCATGATGATGATGGTATTGATGATGTAAGTCACTGAAAATATTTGGTGTTATAAGAATAATTTCTTCCTGATTGTCAGTTTTGAGTTGTTTTGCTATTAGGAGGCAAAGTAGGGGGGCATATACCCACTTAAAATATTTTAATTCTGGCTAGTGGAAATGACAGTAATGCCTTCTTCATAATTAAAATGTCACTCTGAAATGGTCCCAAATTAAAACTTCTTCCTTTGTTGTTAAGAAGGATCTCTTCTTGGTGTGTTCTGCAAGATTCTGATCACCTTTTTTTTTTTTTTTTTTTTTGAGATGGAGTATTGCTTTGTCATCCAGGCTGGAGTGCAGGGTGCAATCTCGGTTCACTGCAAGCTCCACCTCCCGGGTTCACGCCATTCTTCTGCCTCAGCCTCCTGAGTAGCTGGGACTACAGGCACCTACCGCCATGCCCGGCTAATTTTTGTATTTTTAGTAGAGATGGGCTTTCACCTTGTTAGCCAGAATGGTCTGGATCGCCTGACCTCATGATCCACCCGCCTCGGCCTCCCAAAGTGCTGGGATTACAGGTGTGAGCCACCACACCCGGCCGATTCTGATCATCTTTTATACATATGCTATTTTTGTCTATCACTTTAGGAATCATCACAGATCAAGGTCATCCTTTTGGTTTTTGTGATAGCGCTATACCTCAGTCAGCTTACTAGCTCATCTCCACTCAGAGATGAAGAAGCATAGGCAGCAAGTTAGTGCCTATACATAATATATATGGAAACCAAATTCAGGGTTGATTCTTTCTTTCTTTCTCCCTTTCTTTCTTTCTTTCTTTCTCTTTCTTTCTTTCTTTCTTTCTTTCTTTCTTTCTTTCTTTCTTTCTTTCTCTCTCTTTCTCTCTTTCTCTCTCTTTCCCTCTCTCTTTCTGTCTTTCTTTCTTCTCACTCTGTTGCTTAGTACAGTGGCGCAGTCTCGGCTCACTGCAACCTCCACCTCTTGGGTTCGAGTGATTCTTGTGCCTCAGCCTCCCAGGTAGCTGGGATTACAGGCATGCGCTATGAAGCCCGGCTAATTTTTGTATTTTTAGAAAAGATGGCGTTTCACCATGTTGGCCAGGCTGGTCTCAAACTCCTAACCACAAGTGATCTGCCCACCTCAGCCTCCCAAAGTGCTGGGATTACAGGCATCAGCCACCACTTCCGGTCCGGGGATCTTTCTGTTTCAGTTGTGGGCATCACTCTGAAAATCACACTTGCTAGAAGTGAGCATTTATATCTCTTCTCCACTGTAAATAAGTGCCTCTTAGTGACATGAGTGGAAAGACAAGAAGAATTGCAGTTCCTTCATTTTCTGTCTTAGCTCCCTGAGATGTATATGCTGTGCCTAAATTTGTGTTATAGTTTTCTCCTTTGATTTGACATTCCTTGATAGGCAGAGAGCACTTTTCTGTGCTCATATGTCACATCTCGCATCTTTTTCCCTTATAGAAAAACTCTTGTGTCTCCCATTTACCTTTCTATGAGGTCAGAGATTTAGATACTTTCCTAGACAATCAACTGGAGTATTAACAAATTCAAGGAGTTCTCGCCATCCCAGTACTGGGTATATACCCAAAGAATTATAAATCGTGCTGCTATAAAGACACATGCACACGTATGTTTATTGCGGCACTATTCACAATAGCAAAGACTTGGAACCAACCCAAATGTCCATCAATGATAGACTGGATTAAGAAAATGTGGCACATATACACCATGGAATACTATTCAGCCATAAAAAAGGATGAGTTCATGTCCTTTGTAGGGACATGGATGAAGCTGGAAACCATCATTCTCAGCAAACTATTGCAAGGACAAAAAACCAAACACCGCATGTTCTCACTCATAGGTGGGAATTGAACAATGAGAACACTTGGACACAGGAAGGGGAACATCACAAACCGGGGCCTGTCGTGGGGTGGTGGGACGGGGGAGGGATAGCATTAGGAGATGTACCTAATGTAAATGACGAGTTAATGGGTGCAGCACACCAACATGGCACATATATACATATGTAACAAACCTGCATGTTGTGCACATGTACCCTAGAACTTAAAGTATAATAATAATAATAATAATAATTCAAGGAGTTCTTATCTCTGTAGTTTAAATAATAAGCTACTTAGACTAATGACAACAAAAAGCCAGCCATGTGAATACCAAATTTACTAGTTCTGTGAGGATATTTTTTTCTCTTTCTCTTTCTGCCTCAAAGAATCTGCTTTGCTTCCCCTGGCATCATGATTTAGTTTTCAACCCGTCAGAGTCTTCCTGCTAGTGCTGGTACTTTCCTACTTGAGAAAGTCCACGGAATACCTTCAAGACCTCTGTCCTCCTGATGGCTTCTATTTCATTTGTTATATAGGGACCCAGAGGTCCTTCATCATTTTCAAACACATCAACAGATATTTATAGCAAGGCCACAATTAATAAAATGTTTCCCAGAATATATGTGTGTGTTACATTTAGAGGAAACAGAAGTAGTATTGACTTGTTTCTATCACCAGAGGTCTATTTAGTAACTATATTTTGTGGAAAATATCGATATATTTTATCCATTCAACAGACATGATTTGAGAGCATACCACGGAGACCCAACCCTGCCAGTGTGGCAGGTGGTATAATAGAAGAAAATAGCAAACTTGGTGTATCTGTGTTTGCGCACATGTATGTATGTGAGGGGCACTAAGGATGACTTTACAGAGGTTGGAACTTTTGAGTAGAGTTGCCAAGATAGGGAGAGTTCACTAGGAAAACAGAAGGGAAGTTGATTTTTTTTTTTTTTTGAAATGGAGTCTTGCTGTGTTGCCCAGGCTGGAGTGCAGTGGTACAATCTCGGCTCACTGCAACCTCCGCCTCCTGGGTTCAAGTGATTCTTCTGCCTCAGCCTTCCAAGTAGCTGGGATTACAGGTGCGCGCCACCATGCCCAGCTAATTTTTGTATTTTTAGTAGAGACAGGGTTTCACCATATTGGCTGGGCTGGTCTTGAACTCCTTACCTCATGATCTGCCTGCCTCGGCCTTCCAAAGTGCTGGAATTACAGGTGTGAGCCACTGCTCCTGGCCCGGAAGTTGATATTCAAACAGGAGCAGCATATGCAAAGACAGTGAGCTCTGAGAGAGTAGATGGATCCAGACTCCTATTGCTGATAGCGTCCTGCAGGATTGGGCTTCAATGTGACTAACCTACAATTGCCTCCAGGTGCTCCACCCACTGAGTCCTTGTGTCTCTGCTGAGGTCCTTGGAGAGTTACTGGAGAGAGCTCTGTGTCAGATGACCTTGAGGAGGCTCTGATTTAGCCTTTTGTAAAATGCAAAGAGTTGAGGTCTTCTCCACGCAAGAGCTCGCTGATGTCAATGAGGTATTGAGGATGGGGCCATCTCCTATTTCTGTGGCCAGTACTGAGTTTTGTTATCCTTCCTTTAGGTAAGGAGTGCCAATGGACCGATGCCTGCCTGTCTCATCCCTGTGCAAATGGAAGTACCTGTACCACTGTGGCCAACCAGTTCTCCTGCAAATGCCTCACAGGCTTCACAGGGCAGAAGTGTGAGACTGATGTCAATGAGTGTGACATTCCAGGACACTGCCAGCATGGTGGCATCTGCCTCAACCTGCCTGGTTCCTACCAGTGCCAGTGCCTTCAGGGCTTCACAGGCCAGTACTGTGACAGCCTGTATGTGCCCTGTGCACCCTCGCCTTGTGTCAATGGAGGCACCTGTCGGCAGACTGGTGACTTCACTTTTGAGTGCAACTGCCTTCCAGGTAAGGAGCTCCCTAGTGTCCCAGGATTAGGGGACAAACCCCTAGCACAGGAGGTAGTGGGTGTGGCTCAATTGCTTTTTTTAGGAAGCGCAAGGAAAAAGGGAAGTGAGAATTTTGTGTGGGGTGGGTTGCTAGTGAGGGAGGAGTTTTATGGGCCCACTGTGGTCCATAAACTGAGCAGGGGATAATTTAGCATGTCAGGGTTTATGATGATGAGTGGCTAGAAAATTGTTTATTGTCCCTTTTGTAGAAACAGTGAGAAGAGGAACAGAGCTCTGGGAAAGAGACAGGGAAGTCTGGAATGGAAAAGAACACGATGAGAATTAGACACTGGAAAATATGTATGTGTGGTTAATAAAGTGCTTTAAACTGAATTGACATTAACAGTGGGTGATCAACTTTACTATGTGCTTGTGCTTTTGCTTTTGATGGAGTAATTCATTGTTTTCTTATCCACCTAAATGCACCCAGCTGCCCTTGATTTTCTCTGGGCTACTGGCCTTCACAACCCTCTCCCATGTACCCTCTCTGACTTTGGGGTAACCCTCCCCTAACTTAAAGCTAGAGAATTCTGAAACTGAGGAGGGGATCCTCTGTTAATCAGTGAGCACTTTTTGATGAGCTGATAGATGATATATGAGAGACTATGCGTGGCACAATACTTTGTTACACTCTTCACTGATACAAGTGTTCTAGAGTGTACACACAACCCAAAGATAGAAATAAAAAGAGGAGCAGTGTCGGGGAGCTTGGGGCCTGGTGTTCCATGGAGAGGGAGAAAGGAACAAGCTTGACCAATTCATTCAACTCCTTATAAAAATGATGAGGAGGCTGAAAACCAAGAATTTTGATTGGGAACAGAATACAAGCAGCTGAATCAGATGAATTACTAAGCCACAAAGATCCTGTTTTTATACAAATATCCTTAGTACAAAAACAAAAGAAGGAAAACTGTAGGGGGGAGTAATGTGCTAAGTAAGCAGAATTGCCTCAAAAAGAAGTTGTTCTAGTTACTCTTTCAGAGTGGGAATCTTAGATTCTGGTATTGTGGATATGGTTCACATATAATGGGATTGTGTGTTTTATTTTGGAGGGATTAAAGGTCATAGTTTGGTCCTCAGTATAAAATCAACTGGTAATTTATTCATTTCATTTGGTAAAAATGTATTGACTGCCTGCTATGTTCTAGGCACCATGCTATGTATTTGGAATACAGCTATACAAAGCATTGTCACATAATTGAAATGAAAATTTTATATTATTTAAGTCACAAGAACAAGCTATTTAATTATATTACTTTTAGTTTCTCTTTTAATAAAGAATAGATAATGCTATCATTCTAGATACTAAATAAGTATTTTCTTAACATAATATTACTATCCACTTTATCTTGTAGAAGAAATAACTAAAATACATCTGTCTTCACTCCTGTATTTGTTTGCATTTTAAGGATTAAAGACAGAAATAGAAATGTAAACAACTTTATTTTGAAAATATTTCAACACTGCAAATATCTCTGGGTCTGATATTCTAGTAATCTAATTGGCTAGTAATTGATGTTAGTGTGATTTATTGTTGAAGGCTAAATGTGTTTTTCAGTTTCAAGAAAATTGCTTTTAATAATTGCCTAGAACAAGAGGTTGATTTGGCAGCAAGATGTTGACGGGAAGTTAGAGAAGTCAATAAAGGAAGTTTTTAGCTGAGAGAGAGTGATTATTCACTCCCATAGCCTCTGCATTGTTATCCATTAGCCACGATAAGAACCTTAGGGAATTCTGAGAGTGTGTCCAGGAAAGGATCTGTCAAACTAGAATAGTATCTCCTCCTTGAGAAAGGAAATAACCAAGGATTCTGCAGCTGAGAGGCTGCCAGGGCTAGTGAAATAGAGTAAGGAAATCTTGGCTGTCTCTTATTCTCTGGTTGTAGTTTAACGCAAGACACTTATTTACTCACTGATGGTGTGTGTGTGTGTGGGAGGGGAGATTAGCATGAGGAGTGGGAATGGGGAGATTCAATGAAGAGAAAACTGACATTTTTTTGGTGACTCAGGAACTGTGCCAGGTACTTCCATGCTTATTAGCTCAATTACACAAAAATCTTGGGACCAGGTATTATTTTTCAAGTCTTCCCACATGAAGTAACTGAAGTTTGGAGATGTTAAGTGATTCACCCAAAGTTGTACAGCTAATATGTGGTTAGGCTGGGTCCTGAAACCGAGGCAGTTTATTTTCAAAGCCTTTGCTTTGTGCATCTTACTGCGCCACATTGCACTGCACATCTGCTTCCTGAAAGCACTTTGTAGGTGTGTAAAACTTTTCGTTAAATGCTTTAAGCTGTTTGGGTTAAAAATATATGTTCATGTTATAAGAAAACCAAGACACTCCTAATTATAATCAAATAGTACTTGTTACATATCAATGTGTGTGTGTGTGTGTGTGTGTGTGTGTGTGTGTGTGTGTATATGGCGTTGTGCAGATGTTTAAAAGTAGTTACATAGACTAGTTCTTGCTTTTCAGGGTCCCATAATCTAAACCAGATGACTTCAGCTTTGGATAAATATATAGAAGGAAATTTAAAGAGAATTCAAAACAATAGATGATGCAGTGACACTGTGAATAAATGTTATTTATACAGTTTGTAAGATTTCATGCTCATTGTTCATATGTCCCAGGTGGAGTTCAGAAAATATTCTCTTCATTTCCACAAAGGGGAATAGTGCCTAGAGATGGTTTTCTTTTAAAAAGTCCTTTTCATAATGCAGTGCCCTTCCTTCCATTGCCCTTCATTCCATTGCTTCCCATGCTTGTCAAGAGACTAAAATGTTACTTATAGTAATAGTCACTATCTCAATGTAAATAGCACCCTTATTTGATGAGAATTATTATTTCAGTTCTAAAAATGGGGAAACAAAGTCAGCAGGAGGCAAAGTAGCTTGTTAAAGTATTCTGCAACTTTCAAATGGTTGCTTCCACTGCATTTCACGTCTTGGCACTTCTAATTGAGGGTTACTCTAACCACCCTATTTAAAATTGTAACTGTCCCCCACCCCCTTAATTACTAACCCTGGTCTACTTTTTGTTTTCTTTTTCTGTAACTCTTATCTTCTTACTATATAATTTATACTATATAATTTACTTCATTATGTCTATTGTTCATTGTCTGTCTTTTCCAAATTCTACTGCCTCTTACCCTCTCCAGAATGAAAACTAGTATCTTTGTTTTTGTTTACTGATGTAACCCAAACACCTACAAACAGTGCCCAGTATATACTAGGCCCACAAATATATATTGGCTGACTGACTGTATGGTTTAGTATCATGTCATAGTATTGAGACTGTAACTTTGGTCTTCTCATTTTCTTCTTTGTATTGTGCGTCCTAGACTTAGTTTGGCCTCTCCTTTTGTCCTTGTATACTCTAATACTGGATAAGAATTTTGGAGTCTTTTTCAACTCTGAGTCAGTGAATGCCACATAACTTAGTGACTATATTTAAATGGTTAATTTACAATTTTTTCCCTGCAAAGGATACTGTAGTCACTGTGAGTATTTTAGTATTATTGTAGGACTCAAGAGGGAATTAAAACTACAAAAATGACTCATCTTGTATGACACAGAAAGAAATGTTTCTTCACAGAGGGAGGAGAAAAATATCTTCAAGAGAGAACTAATAGAATCAAATCAATGAACCATGTCTCATCTTTTTGGATAAGTAACTGTTAGTAATCCAGACACTTCATGAGCTTTCATTATGTAAAGTC
The DNA here is from genome assembly GCF_000001405.40 of Homo sapiens. Lineage (NCBI taxonomy): Eukaryota > Metazoa > Chordata > Mammalia > Primates > Hominidae > Homo > Homo sapiens. The sequence goes on along the minus strand of NC_000001.11, from coordinate 148,603,650 downwards.
TTTAGCAGAAGCTAAAGGAGGGGCACCAACCACAGTAATTTTAACTTAAGAACAAAATGGAGCATGAAAATAAATTATTAAATCATTTACTCCCACTATTTTTGGGTTAGGGCCAATAATGGGGAGAGAAAGAGGTAGACTAGTTTTGTGTTTGTGGCTATTTTAATAGAGTAGCACAAGTAATCAAAAAACAGTAGGCTGTTTTGAATTTACTGGCTGTCCCTTATGAGTTCACAGTTAGATTGGACTGTCCTCAATGTACTTTCTTTTTTTTCTTTCTTTCCCACATCTCTTTATTTCTCTGATTTTGTTTAAACTTCATAAAGAGCTCTCTGATCTTTCCTTTCCAAACAATGAAGGTTTATCCTTTGTAAACTACCTCTGTACTCCACAGGCTGATGATATGTGATATCCCTATATCATTAAAGTAAAGCCTAAGCACATTCTATGGCTTTTGTGTCTACTCTGTTGTTGCTGAGCTTATGAACTATTAGAAATAACTCCCTCTTGCATTTTCACACATGGGGAATGTGATGTTCTCTTGGGTATTATGCTAATCATATTTTGGCAGGTTTCTCTGGAGCAGATGCAGAAATGATCATACCACTTTCCAGGGTGTATTATTTTAGCTCCTTTGACTTGGGCCCTAAGTCTGTTTTACCTGATGTTCCTGAAAGATGTTCCTGATGTCCTTCACTGTTCTTTCATGCTGGATGTTCTTGCCTATGCTGCCTCCTCAGCTATCACCCTCTCTTCCCCTTTTTAATGTAGAACTCATTCTTAATGATTTGTCAAAGGCACCCTATTTCACTGAAATGCCTTCTATATTCCCTACCCTCCAAGTGGATTGTAGACCTTCTAAGGTCTTTTGACATCTGCATATCTCTAGCACAGCACTTATCACGGTGATTATTTATCTGTTCATCTTTCCAAGTAGACACTCTCATTTTAACTCCCTACCCTAGTCGCCAGCATCCCCAGCATAGTGCCTGTCATAAAATGGTGCCACAATGAAAATTTGAAAAATGAATGAACGTGATAAACATAGATGAGAATCCTATATTCTACAATTTTTTAAATGTACTGAAATTATTCTTTTTGAATCCTCCTATTTATTTCTGTGACTTCTTTGGTGACAAAGTTAGAAAAAAGTGGAGGTCAGTAGGGAGATATGAAGGGACGCAGGTGGAAGCAGTGAGCCTGGGCGGGTGATGGAGTGGGAGATACGTGGCACAGGGGTCAGTGAGTTAATCTGGGCTCATTCAGAGAATGGAAGGTGTGTGCCAAGAAAACTGGTTGGATAGGGATAGGTCAGGGATTCCCTCTTGCATTCTCACACTTGGGGGCATGTGTCATTTTCTTTTCTTTTCTTTTTTTTTTTTTTTTTTTTTGAGACGGAGCATCGCTCTTTCTCCCAGGCTGGAGTGCAATGGTGCTATCTTGGCTCACTGCAACCTCCACCTCCCGGGTTCAAGCTATTCTCATGTCTCAGCCTTCCAAGTAGCTGGGACTACAGGTGCCTGCCACCATGCTCAGCTAATTTTTGTATTTTTAGTAGAGATGGGGTTTCACCATGTTGGTCAGGTTGGCCTCGAACTCCTGATCTCAGGTGATCCACCTGCCTCGGCTTCTCAAAGTGCTGGGATTCCAGGCATGAGCCACCATGCCTGGCCGCATGTGTCATTTTCTTGGGTGTTATACTGATCGTATATTTGCAGGTTTGCTTTTGTGACAGACTTCTTCTGGGGGAAAAAAAGTATCCTTCTATCTTTTTACTTTTGTCCAGTTCCAGGTATCCCTGTTTTTTTCTTCACTCTTCCTTCCTTGTTCATGGGAGTTTTTCTTGAGGACTTCAAGCCCAGCTTCGGAGAATCCTGGTTGTGTCATCTCATCTCCTTTCTGCTCTCTTCTCTACCTAGCCTTTCCACCCTCACACCTCCCGGGGTCTGAAAATGGAAAGATAAGGGTGTTTCCCTGAAAGTTGCTCTTCTGTGTGGGGATGACAGGTTCTAAAGACTCTTTTCTGGTCCCTGCCCTCATTGCCATGATTAATCAGTTAAGTGGCCCGAGGTTTTATAACAGCACAGTCTTAAAATGCTTCTCCCAAGTTTAATTTCTCTCCATTTGACCTTTTAAGGATGTGAATTGGCTTTAAGCAGTAGACTCCCTTTAGTACGGCGCTGTGAGCCTCTCAGTGAATCTGCTACATCCATTCCACCCACGGGTCTGGAAACTTGTCTGTTTACCTTTCCCTAAAAACCTAAGATATATTTTTAAGAAGTGCCTTGTAACTTTTCATATAGCCTTTCCCCTACTTTGGGTAGACTGTTTCTTACAGGAATTTGGTAGATCTTTCCAAAGAGAATTCTGTATCTGTATTTTTAAAGCATAAATCCTGTCAACTTTGGAGGAGAACTGATTTGGCTTGAGTTTTCTCAGACATGGGAACTTTTGACCTAAGTTTGTATTTTACATTGTTGAAAGGGAACTCCGGGATCCCAGAAAACATATGGACTGCAATTGGGTAAAGCTTCTGTTCCAGAAATGCCTCTTCTGGACATTTCATACAAATGGAAACATGCAGCATGTAGTAATTTATGACAGCTTCTTTCACTTAGCATGAGGTTTTCAAAGTTCATTGATGTGGTAGCATTTGTCAGTACTCTGTGCCTTTTTATGGCTGAATAATATTTTATCATATGGATTTACCACATTTTATCATTTTATTTATCCATCATCAGTTGATTGACATTTGAGTTGCTTCTACTTTTTGAGTATTATCAATAATTCTGTTATGAACATTCTTGTACAATTTTTTGGTAGACATTTATCTTCATATTTCTTGGATATATACCTAGGAGCAGAATTGCTGCGTCAGATGGTAATGCTGTTTAACCTTTTCAGGAACTGTCAGACTGTTCTGAAGTGGGTACATTATTTTACATTCCAACCAGCAGTGTATGAGAATTCCAGTTTCTCCACATCCTCATCAACAGTTGTTATTGTCTGTCTTTTTTATTATATTCATCTGTAATGTGAAGTGTTTATCTCATTGTGGTTTTGATTTACATTTCCCTGATGGTTGATGATTTTCAACATCTTTTCATATACTTATTAGTCATTATGTATCTTCTTTGGAGAATGTCTGTTCAGATCCTTTACCTACTTTATAATTGGTTTATCTTTTTAATATTGAACTGTAATAGTTTTTAAAAAATATATCCTAAATACAAGTCTCTTATCAGATAATATGATTTGCAGATATTTTCTGTCATTCTATGTACTGTCTTTTCACATTCTTGATGATAGACTTTTCAGCCCAAATGTTTTTAACTTGATGGAATACAATTTATTTTTTCTTTTGTTGCTTGTGCTTTCAGTCATATTTGTGAAAACTTTGCTTATCCCACATTACAAAGATTTACTATTTCTAAGTGATTTATAATTTTACCACCTACCTTTAGGTCTCTGATCCATTTTGAGTTAATTTTTATGTGCGAGGAGGGAGTCTAACTTGATTCTTTTACATGTGGATATTTAGTTGTCCCAGGACCATTTGTTGAATTAAGTGCCCAGAACAAGTACATCTATATATAGAGAAAGTAGATTAGTGGTTGTCAGAGACTGTAAGAAGTGGGGAATTGGAGAGTGACTGCCCATAGGTACAGGCATGCTTTTTGGCATTATGAAAATATTCTGGAATTAGGTAGTGGTGATGGTTGCAGAACTTTTGGAATATGGTAAAAGACACTGAAATATATGCTTAAAAATGGTGATTTTTGTGATATATGAATTATACTATAGAACTAATAATAACAGTAATAAAGCAAGGTGTCTTTCCACATCTCCATGCCTTGTATTTTCATTAAAAAAAAAAAAAAAAAAAAGCATTTCAGGGCCAGGCTCAGTGGTTTACTCTTGTAATCCCAGCACTTTTGGAGGCCTAGGTGGGAGGATCACTTGAGGCCAGAAGTTCAAAACCAGCCTGAGCAACATAGCAAGACCTTGTCTCCATGAAAAATAAAAAATTAGCCAGAAATGGTGATGTGTGCCTAGAGTTCCAACTACTTGGAAAGCTGAGGCAAGAGGATCGCTTGAGCCTAGGAGTTCAAGGTTGCAGTGATCTATAATCACCACTGCACTCCAGCCTGGGTGACAGAACAAGACCCTGTCTCAAAAAAAAAAAAAAAAAAAGGCATCTCACTTTAATAGTAAGAGGCCAGAATATGATGCTGGCAGCATGTTGTGAGGAAATGTATTAGATGAAAGAAGTTAAATTTCAGTTCTCCTTTTTTCAGAAATGAGGTATAGGGGAGAGAAACACGTACTTTGAAAGAATTGACCCAGCTGAATTGGAAAATGTGGGAAGGGGATGGGGAAGAGGCTGCTCCACCTGAGATCTGGCTCCAGGACTTACAGCAAGGGGAACTTGGGCAAGTTACAGACTGTCTATGCCTCAGTTTCTTTATCAGCAAAACAGAATCATCCCATAAACTATAAGGTCGATGGTATCAGCGGGTCCCCAAACTGACTGCACATCTGAGTCATGTTAACAAACACATTCCAGGCCCCACCTGAGCCCTCTGAATCAGAATCCCTGTAAGGAGGATGATGAACTTGAATTTGCACTGACTTTCCCAGCTGTTTCTTACTCTGATCAACTTGGGGGTAGGACCCATTGAGCTGCATCACATCATTCCAAAGCCAAAACACAACAGCAGGACAAGAATATTTTCAAGGCAGTCTCTAAAGCAGAGGAGAAACTGTTGAGGGAACTTAGAAGTAAAGGAGATCTGGCTTGCTGGGCTCCATTTGAACTTTGAGTACAACAGAGACATGAGCCCTTCGGGACACATGCCTGAGGTAGTGACAATCCAACTTTGGAAGAGTGGAAGCCCTAGTTTCAAATTCAAGCATGCTTTGAGTATAAATTAAGTTTACCTCTTTTTGCACAGCAACATGGCCAATCTTTCCTAAGCTGCTCAGCTTACAAGAAAAGGAATCATACTGCTAAGAATTCAAACTTCAGCAGTCATAGGTAAGTAAGGAAGTCTTATAAACCTATTCTAGCCACCTAACCAGAAACTCGAAATTTAGCAGGTTCTTTCAGTTTCAGGACAGTTGTGTTCACTAGATCAGAGGCATTGAGACATGAAGAACAGACCCTTAAAAAGGGAAAGTGTTCCCTTCAGTTTGAGGACATCACTGGAACATTAGGGAAGTGGGAACACAGCTGCTCACTCTACAGTGTGGGTTGCCTTTGTGTCTGGAATGTGTCTGACGTCCTGATCCCTGTGCACATTTCAGGGAGCCTTGGGAGGACCCCGAATCACTGATGGAATTGCGCAGTGCATGGAGATGGCTCAGCAGGATGAGGGTAAATGCAGGGGCAAGTCCAGGCCATACTGAGAGACAATGAGTGGCGCTGATGAGGACAAAGATAAAATCAAAAGTTTGTGCTTCATCTTCAAAAACTCAAGCTGATAACAAACTTGGCCTGATGAGAAATAATAAGTATTTTTCTATTTACATGAGAATTTAATCTCAAAACAGAAATCAGAAAAATATGAAGTCCAGGGCATAAAACCTAAAACTATTGCTCATATTTATTCTTTCTAAATAGAGCAAAGTGTACAATCTTCTCCATAAGACATACATTGTGGTTATAAAAAGGCAAAAGTCTTAGTGAGAATCATTGGTATTCCATAGAAGAGTGAATTAAACACAGCCAAGGGAAGACCCACGTCTCATACTTCTCTTGTATATTCCAAAGTTCCAGGGAAATTCCAGGTGATAGAGGTTATTTCCCATACTGTTAAAGCAAGGTTTCAGACACTTCTGAATTTTGGTCCCAGTACTCTAGAAGGGCACACCTCTGTCCTGGAAAATAATACAGGAATGAATACTCTTCCCGTGACCCATTCTGGTCATTCTTCCAGCATCACAAAAACCAAAAAATGGAAATATGGCCAAATACGTGATTAGCTGTCCCTCATCTTCAGGTTTCTTATCTGTTACTTATAGATAATAGCATTACCTTAAGGATTATGATGAAGATACAATGTCCAAATATAAACACAGTTTTGAGCAAAATGCCTTGTATGAATTGGTCAATGAATAATTACTAAATATGTGAATATTTACTGGATTGTATGGATCCTATGAATAATTACTGAATAATTATTGTGATTGCTTTTATTGGCAGTGCTGAAAACTCATCCCTTTGTGACCTCAAGTAACCCATGACACTTTGTGAACCTGCAGTTTTTTCATTTAGAAACTTGACAGATTTTCATTCTGACACAGAATGTCAGGTCTCCCAGACCCTAGAAAATACATTGACTTAAAGCCTTTGATACATCTCAAAGCAGTATCCTTACAGTGTCACTGGAAGATGGTGCGGGCTGCAGAGAGGGATGCTTTCAAATGGGATTAACCAGTCCTCCTTCCTTCACTTCCACATGAATGCTGGGCAGCCCAGGGTCAACCCACTGCACCCTCAACTCAGGCAAGTCCAGCAGCCAATCTTAGGAGACCTGGGCTACAGAACAGTCTCTCAAGTTCCAGGCTCACAAAACCTAGGTGGGGATGAAAGCTGAGAAAGCGAAGAGGTGGTTCAGGGGATCACTCTTTCCTACTTGTTCCTCTCACCTCAAACTCACCTTCTACTGCACAGCAACACTGAGGATCGCCAACCAACCCTGACCATAACCTTGATCTTGCCATGTTCTGTTAGTGGAATGCAACCCAAAATCAATGGTGTTAGGTCATCTCAACAAAATATATATCAAACCATATTCCATAAGAACTGCTCGTGGCCCTGTTCTTTTCAGTATATGGGAAAACAAAATGGAAACAACAAAATAGCATCAGGTTTACAAAACTTCCCAAGATAGATGGTCACACATGTTTTCAGGAGACCTCTATATAAATGACTTTGATCACTTGATACCTTGAAAAGAGGTCTTGGGGCACTAGAATGACATCTATAAGTGACAAGTATAAAATGTAGTGCTCAGTGACATTAAAAAACAAATCAACCCACATAGAGGAAGAGCTTTGGACGTAGGGATGTCAAACTGGTCTAGAATGTAATGAAAACCCAAGAAGGTGCCCCAGTAAGAAAGAAGAAATCAATCTAACAATGGGATGCAGCAGCAAGAATACTGAGACAGGAAAGAAAATATTTTAAAAAAATGAATTATTCATTCACTTTCTAGTGGATACAGAAAAAACTGCAGAAGACCCGGAGGATATCAGGGCAGGCTAAAAGTTTGATATCTTACACCTGTGGAAAAGCCTTAAGCTCTGTTTTAACTGAGAGCAGGTGGGGTGACTTCATGACTACCATTAAGAAAATATAACCTGTTGGGAAACTGTTTCTGCCTTGATGATGTTGTACAGACAAGAGATAAACAGTGAGGAATATGCTTAGATGTATTGGGAAAGACACGGGTCTGTGGCATTGTCACAAGGGTACACGAATACTGAGAGTGAATGCTGAAGGAATGATCCCCATTGGTGGTGACCCTCAGGTGAGAGTAGGGTGCCTGTGTTTCAGCAAAGCCTGGGCAATTGGAATGCAGAGCTCCTAAGATTCCATGACACCCCCACCTTCTAATTCTGTTATTGCAACTGCAGACGGTTACCTGGCACGCTGGCCACATTCTGCCTCACTCTTATCAGAGTCTGAGCTACTGGCAGTGCTTTCAGCTCTGAGTTGAGGCACCTCGAACCTTGTTTTTGTGGTGAAGGATCCTAAAGTGCTGTGGGGAGTGATCACATTTTTCACAACAGTAAGTTAAGAATTTCAGTTACTGACATCCCTCAGTCCTGATTAAACCGATTTGATTTCACCAGTTTTTAACCCATCATATGTTTGGGTTTCTTCTCCCCAGTCCCTGACTCCACCTCTTCTGCCACAAACGTCAGCATGGTGGTATCAGCCGGCCCTTGGTCCAGTGAGAAGGCAGAGATGAACATTCTAGAAATCAACGAGACATTGCGCCCCCAGCTGGCAGAGAAGAAACAGCAGTTCAGAAACCTCAAAGAGAAATGTTTTCTAACTCAACTGGCCGGCTTCCTGGCCAACCAACAGAAGAAATACAGTAAGATCTATAGGCTCACCATCATGAAAGTGATGAATGATATCCTGTCTTCTCTCTGAGACACTAAATGCTCTCTCCATCAAAAATAATTTCATCCTTCCTGTACTTCTAAGAAAACAGAAATGGGTATTTTAACATTTTGTTAAAGTTGGAAGACAGAGGTGCCAAAGTATTTAGCAACTTTCCATGTTTGCAATCAGATGGGGGTGGAACTAGAGTTAAACTCACAGTTATTGATTTCTAACGCAGGCACAGAATGACCTGTTTTCTCCAAGGGGCTCAATCGTGTTTTCAAGAATCCTCTCTGTACCATATAAGATCCTGCAGACAAATAACATCTAGTCTGTTGTTCTAAATGTCTAGGACTAGTGAACTTTTATTCAGTTCAAGTTTCTGTTGAGGCCCAAGAGGCAAAGCTCTGTTCTAGTGACTCTGAGGGGAACTTGGTGATAGTAGCCAGTACCTGCTCTGAGGGGCTTCAAGGGGAGTCTGCTCCTAATAGAACCTGTGCTATCTATAAGTGACAGCATCAAGAGCAGGGAGTAGGGGCCGTGCAACGTGGCTCACTCCTATAATCTCAGCACTTTGGGAGGCTGAGGCGGGCAGAGCACGAGGTCAGCAGTTTGAGACTAGCCTGGGCAACATGGAGAAACCCCATCTCCACTAAAAATACAAAAAGTGGATGGGCATCCTGGCGGGCAACTGTAATCACCACTAATCGGGAGGCTGAGGCAGAAGAATCCTTTGAACCCAGCAGGCAGATGTTGCAGTGAGCCAAGATTGCACTATTGCACTCCAGCATGGGTGACGGGGCAAGACTCGTCAAAAAACAAACAAACAAAACGATAAATAAATCAAAAATAAAAATAAAAAGCAGAGAGTACCTTGGTGAGAGTGAAGTCCTGCTTCCTGGTGCACAGGCTCTTGTTCCTAAAGAGGAAAGATCACACCGGAGAATGTGTGGAAGCAGCAGTGCAGTGTGCAAAGCAGGGACCCTCAGCCTGTCTCCTGGGCTCCATCCAAGTTGCTTGTCTTGTCTGTCCCTCAGTTTCCTCATCTGTTCAGAGGGTACTACAATAATACCTACCTCTGTAAATTGCTGCAATGAATTACCTGAGGTATTTCCTGTCAATCTCCTTGAACATTAATTGGCACAGTGTAAACACTATCTATTAGTTCTTCATTCTGATGTTTCTAAATTAACACAAACTAATCTTATTCTGTTTCTAAATTAACACAACTAATCTAAATCTTAATGCTGCCTCTCATACTAATAAAGTATTTGGGCATATTTCCTTCATGGCCTTATTGTCTTATGTCTCACACTTTATGCTTCAGATATGATTCTTAAAACCATATCTGAATATTGATTTAAAAGTGAAATATTTTTAAAGTCCTTGACATATTTGTCCTTGAAATACCCAGTAAAAGGGAAGCCATCAGTCCCATAGTCCTAGGGGCCTTCCCGACTGTACAAGAAATCACTACTTCATGCCCCAGTGCAGTGTTTTAGAGGAGAGGCTGCAAGGCTTGGGAAAGTGGCCCCACATTCAGAGTCAGACCTCAGGGGCTGTGAGTTCTGACTCCACTTCGTTGTGGTTGAATCATCTTGTCAACTTCCTTGATGTGCCCTTGAGTTTCTCTTTCTTCGTCTTTAAATTTTGGAGGATCAGATGCCAGAAAGTCAGGAGACTGAAGAGTAAAGATGTGGAAATCCCTGTCTAGACCGTGGTACTGGGGAGAGTTTTGTCCTTGGGATGGACCTGGCTCCTGCCCTGTAGGCAGTGACCACAGCAGCATGTCCAGCCTTCCACTGAGGCAGGCGTGTCTGTCTTTTCTCAGAGTATGAAGAGTGTAAAGACCTCATAAAATTTATGCTGAGGAATGAGCGACAGTTCAAGGAGGAGAAGCTTGCAGAGCAGCTGAAGCAAGCTGAGGAGCTCAGGTGAGGGGACCCCGTAGGGGGAGGCAGGCGGGTAGGTGTGTAGATCTCTGAAGTACAGCAGCTCGGCGGGGAGAAGTAAGAACGAAGCTGGGCCAGGGGAAGGGCAGAAATTGCCATGGCAGGCTCATGACACAAAAATATTTATCAGAGAACAAGGATAATAATAAGTTCTCTGTTGCAGTTGTTTCTTAGAGCCTTGTTTTCTCTTTTTCAAACAAGTAATTGTTGAGGTGAAATTTACATAACACAAAATTCACCAAAGGAGTGGGAACCACCCAGCAGCATTCAGTATAATCAAAATGGTGTGCTATCGCCACCCCACTTACCCTTAGTGAGAATCACCTCCTGACTGACTGCGGCTTCTCATTCTTTCACTCAATCAATGTTGCCTCCTCGACCCTGTCCTTCTTTTCTTCTTTCATCTTTTCAATTCGCCCCATCTGCACCTGGCCTCATTTCTGTACGTGGCTTTGTATGTAGTGGCCGCAAGATGCACTATGTGTATTTTCACATGGAAATGTCCATGGCCAGAGTGAGGAACTGAAAGGATGTCTTTTTGAAACGGAATTAGGAAGACACCTACTTTTGTTTACAGAAGAGAAAGATGAATGGAACATCATCGAGGATCTTGCAGGAGCCCTCTCTGATAGAGGGAAAGCCTGTAGACCATTTTCTATTCTTTCTCTTGGCCACAGTCATTCCTTTCAACATGTGCTGACCTTCTGCTTGGAGGTCTCCTTGATGACATTGTCTCAGAAGTCTCTGTTGCAATATTTGAACGGATCACTCAACCCTTTCTACTCTTAAATTTTCTCTACCGTCTCACCTTAGGCAATATAAAGTCCTGGTTCACTCTCAGGAACGAGAGCTGACCCAGCTAAGGGAGAAGTTACGGGAAGGGAGAGATGCCTCCCGCTCATTGTATGAGCATCTCCAGGCCCTCCTCACTCCGTATGAGCCGGACAAGTCCCAGGGGCAGGACCTCCAAGAACAGCTGGCTGAGGGGTGTAGACTGGCACAGCACCTTGTCCAAAAGCTCAGCCCAGGTAAGGTGGCCATAGGCCCTGATGACCCAAAACCCCAGGCTTATGAGAGGCTCCAGACCTCCATACTTTCACAATGACAGTTGTATCAGTGGGGTTTTTTTCTACTACACCTATGTGGCCATGACATGATCAGGACTTCCTGGGTAAGAACAGAGATGGGAAACCCATGGGTTTGGAGGTCACAGTATTGCAAGTGTCCCTCCTTCCTTGATGGAAGGTGGTCTTTGGAGCAAGAGGCAGCATCTATCTAGTTTTAAAGGACAGGAAGGAGGCTGTGATGGAAGGGCGCTTGTTGGAGTGAAAAGAGCTCTGGGCTAAGAATGAAGGTTCCCAGGCTGTATTTTTGGCAATGTTCTTAGTAAGTGTCAGTGAGTGATTTATCTTTTCAGAGTTTCTCTCTCTCCATCTGCAAAGGCAGACAAATTGTCTCTTGCAAGGGTCTGAAGCATCCAAATATGGGAACACTTACGAATGCTTTTCAAAATGAGATGAAGCCCCTCTCCATGTGGTGTTGGAGAAGGCACTTGATGTGGGGGCATTTGGTGGTAGGAAGTGCTTCAGACTGGAGCACTCCCCATGGATAGAATGTCCCTGAATAACACAGCAGAAGCCACATGGAGGGCCTGTGCAATCTCATGACGCATAGAGGACTGTGGGACAAGTTTGTCCTCTCCTAAGAGAAAGAATGAGGTTTGAAATGCGAACTGTGACAGGACACCAAGCCTGTTCCTGGGAATCAGATCTGTGGCAGGATGGGGGAGACAGCTGCCAAAGTCCAGAGAGAGGCTGCACAAGCCTCCAGTGATATGGGAAGCAAAAGGTCTTTTCAGTATTTGGCCACATCTTGATGGTGGCCCTCCACATCAGAAATGCATTGCCCGATGGACCAGGAAACCATGCCAGGGCATTTTGTGAAAGATAAAACATGAGAGTTTTCAGTACAATGCTGAACCATACATAGATGTTCATGTCTCTGTGCACGTTGGGCTGACTGTGCTTGCAGAATGTGAAGTGGGAAATATCTGAACGAACATTTTGTATTTCTAGAAAATGACGAAGATGAGGATGAAGATGTTCAAGTTGAGGAGGCTGAGAAAGTACTGGAATCATCTGCCCCCAGGTAACACTGAATACTCAGGAGCAAGTAATGGGTGGTAACGTATGAAAATGTCTAGGAGGCACACCCTCTCTGGCATCTATGATGGGCCAAATGCCCGCATTCCCTTGGCCACAGTATGTGAAATTCAACCCAGCTTAGACACAGGGTGCGGCAGCTGTCGTGTTTCTCTATGTGTGCCAAGTGTCATGTCTGTACCATACAGGGATAGCTGAGTCTTCATCCTCCTCAGCTCCTATCTGTTCAGTGCACTGAACACCAGCTGCTCTCTTCCTCTCTGGCTCCCATGGCAGCCATGGTCTGTTGCAGAGAGAAGAGGATTGCCTGTTCCCTCTTTAAGGGAACCTCCGTTTTGCTTTCTGGAACCACTCTCTTAATGCCACCTGTCAAAACCAGCTAGGACTCCCTGGGGTCCAATCCCTCTGTGTTTAATCTTCTGTCATCTCTGTCCCACCTGGCTCATCAGGGAGGTGCAGAAGGCTGAAGAGAGCAAAGTCCCTGAGGACTCACTGGAGGAATGTGCCATCACTTGTTCAAATAGCCACGGCCCTTGTGACTCCAACCAGCCTCACAAGAACATCAAAATCACATTTGAGGAAGACGAAGTCAACTCAACTCTGGTTGTAGACAGAGAATCCTCTCATGATGAATGTCAGGATGCTCTAAACATTCTCCCAGGTAGCCTCTATTTTCCTTGTGTCTCATACCTCTGTCTAGGCTATGGAAGATCAATTCTGAGGACAGGCTGTATATACACATATTGTTATTGTTTTAGTCAGAAACTAGGATGGAGCTAGGTGCTGTGACTCACACATATAATCACAGCACTTTGGAAGGCCCAAGTGGGACGATGACTTGAGTTCAGGAGTTGAAGACCAGCCTACACAATATGGTGAAACCCATCTTTACAAAGAATACAAAAAATTAGGCAGGCATGGTGCTGCACGCCTATAGTCCCAACTGCTCAGGAGACTTAGGTGGGAGGATGGGCTGAGATGATCCTCCCACTCTCATTCACTTCTGTCAGGCTAGACTCTCTCTCCTTTTCATTGGCTTGTCTTAGCTATTAATAAGTCTCGGCTGGGAGCAGTGGGTCACACCTGTAATCCGAGCACTTTGGGAGGCCGAGGCGGGTGGATCATGAGGTCAGGAGATTGAGACCATCCTGGCTAACACGGTGAAACCCCATCTTTACTAAAAATACAAAAAAAAAAAAAAATAGCTGGGCGTGGTGGTGGGCGCCTGTAGTCCCAGCTACTCAGGAGGCTGAGGCAGGAGAATTGGCATGAACCCAGGAACCGGAGCTTGCAGTGAGCCGAGATTGTGCCACTGCACTCCAGCCTGGGAGACAGAGCGAGACTCCATCTCAAAAAAAAAAAAAAAAAAAAAAAAAAGTAAGTCTCTGACCAGGGGCGCTGGCTCACATCTTAATCCCAGCACTTTGGGAGGCTGAGGTGGGCGGAACACCTGAGCTCAGGAGTTCGAAACCAGCCTGTCCAAGATGGCGAAACCCCATCTCTACTAAGAATACAAAAATTAGCTGGCATGTTACTTGGCGCTTGTAATCCCAGATGCTTGGCAGGCTGAGGGATGAGAATCGCTTGAACCCGGACGGCAGAGGTGGCAGTGAGCTGAGATTGTGCCTCTGCACTGCAGCCTGCGTGACAGAGTGAGACTCCGTCTCAAACAAAAAACAAAAAACCAAAAAAGAAAAAAATTAAAAAAGCAAAATGAAATCTTTTGTGCTACACAGAAACATTGGCCACTCATGGGGTAAAAATCTCAGGGCCAAGCCTTGCTTTATAGAAACGTATAAGCAAGAAAAGTGTAGAAGTGTTTATGTCCTGGTTTCAAGGTGACTGCATAGCTAAGACAAGTTGACTTAAAGGAGATCAAGACTGGAGATGACAAGAGTGAAACCAGGGAAACATCATCTTCAAATAAGTAAACAAGGCTGCCAGTGACATCCCTCAGTCCTGATTAAGCCTATTTGATTTCACCAGTTTTTAACCCATCATGTGTTTGCCTTTCTTCTCCCCAGTCCCTGGCCCCACCTCTTCTGCCACAAACGTCAGCATGGTGGTATCAGCCGGCCCTTTGTCCAGCGAGAAGGCAGAGATGAACATTCTAGAAATCAATGAGAAATTGCGCCCCCAGCTGGCAGAGAAGAAACAGCAGTTCAGAAACCTCAAAGAGAAATGTTTTCTAACTCAACTGTCCGGCTTCCTGGCCAACCAACAGAAGAAATACAGTAAGATCTATAGGCTCACCATCATGAAAGTGATGAATGATATCCTGTCTTCTCTCTGAGACACTAAATGCTCTCTCCATCAAAAATAATTTCATCCTTCCTGTACTTCTAGGAAAACAGAAATGGGTATTTTAACATTTTGTCAAAGTTGGAAGACAGAGGTACCAAAGTATTTAGCAACTTTCCATGTTTGCAATCAGGTGGGGGTGGGACTAGAGTTAAACTGCCATTTATTGATTTCTGACACAGGCACAGAATGACCTGTTTTCTCCAAGAGGCTCAATCGTGTTTTCAAGAATCCTCTCTGTACCATATAAGATCCTGCAGACAAATAACATCTAGTCTGTTGTTCTAAATGTCTGAGACTAGTGAACTTTTATTCAGTTCAAGTTTCTGTTGAGGCCCAACAGGCAAAGCTCTGTTCTAGTGACTCTGAGGGAAACTTGGTGATAGTAGCCAGTACCTGCTCTGAGGGGCTTCAAGAGGAGTCTACTCCTAATAGAACCTGTGCTGTCTATAAGTGACAGCATCAAGAGCAGGGAGTAGGGGCCGTGCATGGTGGCTCACTCCTGTAATCCCAGCACTTTGGGAGGCTGAGGCGGGCAGATGATGAGGTCAGGAGTTTGAGACCAGCCTGGGCAACATGGAGAAACCCCATCTCCACTAAAAATACAAAAAGTAGATGGGCGTGGTGGCAGGTGACTGTAATCACCCCTGCTCAGGAGGCTGAGGCAGGAGAATCCTTTGAACCCAGGAGGCTGAGGTTGCAGTGAGCCAAGATTTTGCCATTGCACTCCAGCCTGGGCGACAGGGCAAGACTGTTAAAAATAATAATAATAATAATGATAAATAAAAATAAGAATAAAAAGCAGAGAGTAGCTTGGTGAGAGTGAAGTCCTGCTTCCTGGGGCACAGAGTCTTGTTGCTAAAGAGGAAGAAAGATCGCACCCGAGAATGTGTGGAGATAGCAGTGCAGTGTACAGAGCAGGGACCGTGGGCCTGTCTCCTGGGCTCCATCCAAGTTGCTTGTCTTGTCTGTCCCTCAGTTTCCTCACCTGTTCAGAGGGTACTACAATAATACCTACCTCTGTAAATTGCTGCAGTGAATTACATGAGCTATTTCTTGTCAATCTCCTAGAACATTTATTGGCACACAGTAAACACTATCTATTAGTTCTTCATTCTGCTGTTTCTAAATTAACACAAAATTTATTAGCATTTGGGCATATTTCCTTCATGGCCTTATGGTGTTATGTGTCACACTTTATGCTTCAGATATGATTCTTAAAATCATAACTGAAGATATGATTTAAAAATCAAAGATTTTAAAAATCTTTCGCATACTTGTCCTTGAAATTCCCAGTAAAAGGGAAACCATCAGTCCCATAGTCCTAGGGGCCTTCCCGACTGTACAAGAAATCACTACTTCATGCCCCAGTGCAGTGTTTTAGAGGAGAGGCTGCAAGGCTTGGGAAAGTGGCCCCGCATTCAGAGTCAGACCTCAGGGACTGTGAATTCTGACTCCACTTAGTTGTGGTTGAATCATCTTGTCAACTTCCTTGATGTGCCCTTGAGGTTCTCTTTCTTCATCTCTAAATTTTGGAGGATCAGATGCCAGAAAGTCAGGAGACTGAAGAGTAAAGATGTTGAAATCCCTGTCTAGACCCTGGTACTGGGGAGAGTTTTGTCCTTGGGATGGACCTGGCTCCTGTCCTGTAGGCAATGACCACAGCAGCATGTCCAGCCTTCCACTGAGGTAGGTGTGTCTGTCTTTTCTCAGAATATGAAGAGTGCAAAGACCTCATAAAATTTATGCTGAGGAATGAGCGACAGTTCAAGGAGGAGAAGCTTGCGGAGCAGCTGAAGCAAGCTGAGGAGCTCAGGTGAGGGGACCCCATGGGGGCAGGCAGGGGGGCAGGTGTGTAAATCTCTGAAGTACAGCAGCTCAGTGGGGAGACGTAAGAGCTCAGCTGGGCCAGGGGAAGGGCAGGAATTGCCATGGCAGGCTCGCTACACACAAATATTTATCAGAGAAGAAGGATAGTAAAAATGTATGGGTTGCAGTTGTTTCTCAGAGCCTTGTTTTCTCTTTTTCAAACAAGTAATTTTTGATGTGAAATTTACATAACACAAAATTAACCAAAGGAGTGTGAACCACACAGCAGCATTCAGTATACTCAAAATGGTGTGCCATCACCACCCCACTTACCCTTAGTGAGAATCACCTCCTGACTGACTGCGGCTTCTCATTCTTTCACTCAATCAATGTTGCCTCCTCGACCCTGTCATTCTTTTCTTCTTTCATCTTTTCAATTCGCCCCATCTGCACCTGGCCTCATTTCTGTACATGGCTTTGTATCTAGTGGCCGCAAGATGCACTATGTGTATTTTCACATGGAAATGTCCATGGCCAGAGTGAGGAACTGAAAGGATGTCTTTTTGAAATGGAATTAGGAAGACACCTACTTTTGTTTACAGAAGAGAAAGATGAATGGAACATCATCGAGGATCTTGCAAGAGCCCTCTCTGATACAGAGGAAGCCTGTAAACCATTTTCTATTCTTTCTCTTGGCCACAGACATTCCTTTCCACATGTGCTGACCTTCTGCTTCGAGGTCTCCTTGAGGACATTGTCTCAGAAATCTCTGTTGCAATATTTGAGCGGATCACTCAACCCTTTCCACTCTTAAATTTTCTCTACCGTCTCACCTTAGGCAATATAAAGTCCTGGTTCACGCTCAGGAACGAGAGCTGACCCAGTTAAGGGAGAAGTTGCGGGAAGGGAGAGATGCCTCCCGCTCATTGAATGAGCATCTCCAGGCCCTCCTCACTCCGGATGAGCCGGACAAGTCCCAGGGGCAGGACCTCCAAGAACAGCTGGCTGAGGGGTGTAGACTGGCACAGCACCTTGTCCAAAAGCTCAGCCCAGGTAAGGTGGCCATAGGCCCTGATGACCCAAAATCCCAGGCTTATGAGAGACTCCAGACCTCCATACTTTCACAATGACAGTTGTATCAATGGTGTTTTTTTCCACTAAGCTTATGTGGCCATGACATGACCAGGACTTCTTGGGTAAGAACGGAGATGGGAAACCCATGGGGTTGGAGGTCACAGTATTGCAAGTGTCCCTCCTCCCTTGATGGAAGGTGGTCTTTGGAGCAAGAGGCAGCATCTGTCTAGTTTTAAAGGACAGGAAGGAGGCTGCGATGGGAGCAGGCTTGTTAGAGTGAAAAGAGCTCAGGACTAAGAATGAAGGTTCCCAGGCTGTCTTTTCGGCAATGTTCTTAGTAACTGTCAGAGAGTGAATGACTTGTCCTTCCTGAGTTTCTCTCTCTCCGTGGCAGACAAATTGTCTCTTGCAAGGGTCTGAAGCATTCAAATGTGGGAACACTTACAACTGCTTTCCAAAATGAGATGAAGGCCCTTGCCGTGTGATGTTGGAGAAGGCACTTTATGTGGGGGCGTTTTGTGGTAGGAAGTGCTTCAGACTGGAGCACTCCCCATGGATAGAATGTCCCTGAAGAATACAGCAGAAGCCACTTGGAGGCTTGAAATCTTCTGATGCATAGAGGACTGTGGGACAAGTTTGTCTGCTTCTAAGAGAAAGAATGAGGTTTGAAATGCAAACCGTGACAGGACACCAAGCCTGTGCCTGGGAATCAGATCTGGCAGGATGGGGGAGACAGCTGCCAACGTCCAGAGAGAGGCTGCACAAGCCTCCAGTGATATGGGAAGCAAAAGGTCTTTTCAATATTTGGCCACATGTTGATGGTGGCCCTCCAGATCAGAAATGCATTGCCTGATGGATCAGGAAACCATGGCAGGGCATTCTGTTAAAGATAAAACATGAGAGTTTTCAGTTGAACGGTGACCCATGCCTAGATGTTCATGTCTCTGTTGCACATTGGGCTGACTGTGCTTGCAGACTGTGAAGTGGGAAATACCTGAACGAACACTTCTGTATTTACAGAAAATGACAACGATGACGATGAAGATGTTCAAGTTGAGGTGGCTGAGAAAGTGCAGAAATCGTCTGCCCCCAGGTAACACTGAATACTCAGGAACAATTAATGGATGGTAACATATGAGGAATATCTAGGAGGCACACCCTCTCTGGCATCTATGATGGGCCAAAAACCCGCATTCGCTTGGCCACAGTATGTGAAATATAATCCAGCTTAGACACAGGGTGCGGTAGCTGTCATGTTTCTCTGTGTGTGCTGAGTGTCATGTCTGCACCGTACAGGGATAGCTGAGTCTTCATCCTCCTCAGCTCCTATCTGTCCAGTGCAATGAACAGCAGCTGCTCTCTTCCTCTCTGGTTCCCATGGCAGCCATGCTCTGTTGCAGAGAGAACAGGATTGCATGTTCCCTCTTAATGGGAACCTCCATTTTGCTTTCTGGGACCACTCTCTTAATGCCGCCTGTCAAAACCAGCTAGGACTCCCTGGGGTCCAATCCCTCTGTGTTTAATCTTCTGTCATCTCTGTCCCACCTGGCTCATCAGGGAGATGCAGAAGGCTGAAGAAAAGGAAGTCCCTGAGGACTCACTGGAGGAATGTGCCATCACTTATTCAAATAGCCATGGCTCTTATGACTCCAACCAGCCACATAGGAAAACCAAAATCACATTTGAGGAAGACAAAGTCGACTCAACTCTCATTGGCTCATCCTCTCATGTTGAATGGGAGGATGCTGTACACATTATTCCAGGTAGCCTCTGTTTTCCTTGTGTCTCATACCTCTCTCTAGGCTGAGAAAGATAAACTCTGAAGACAGGCTCTATAAACACAAATTCATTTGAATAAAAAACTGTGATGGGTTTCTAAACAGATATCAGGGAGTTTGTTTGTCCTTCTCAGCTAATGTCATGACTTTGTCTGCCAGTCCCCAGTATCAAGTTACTCAACCCCAGGCAAGTGTGACAATCTCATAGTCACCTGAGTGCAGGAGGTGCACAGGCAGTATCTGTCAGGCCTCCTAGCTTCGATTCAGTATCTCTTGTCATCTGTGATTAAGTCATCTGTCCCTGAACAATGTCCATGGAGTTTCTATGCCTGTTTAAGGAAGCTGGCAGCCTTGCCTTTGTATTTGGAAATATCGTTCCCCAGGCTTCACTGCTCTCAGCTTTCATCTGGATCTCCTTTAAGTCAGCTTGCTTAGCTGCACAGTCACCCTGAAATCAGGACGGAAACTTTTCTTCTTTACTTTGCTGATATATTTCCATAAAGCAAGGCTGGACCCTGGTTCTCCACCCTGTCAATGCAATGGCTGATCCAATGTTTCTTTGTAGCATCGTGGATTTTTTTTTTTTTGCAATGGAGTCTTGCTCTGTCACCCAGGCTGGAGTGCAGTGGCACCATCTTGGCTTGGTGCAACCTCTGCCTCCCAGATTCAAGTGATTCTCCTGCCTCAGCCTCCTGAGTTGCTGGGACCACAGGTGCACAACATCACATCTGGCTAATTTTTGTATTTTTAGTAGAGACAGGGTTTCCCCATATTGGCCAGGGTAGTCCTGAACTCATGACCTCAAATGATTCACCTGTCTTGGCCTCCCAAATCACAGATTCTTTTTAAAGCAAGAGTTGTTCAAATTTATCTATCAGTCGTGTTTCATGTATAGATGCCTCTAAACATTTAATGTCCATGTTACCTGGTGATATAAGTCCGTATCGCAGCAACACTCTTAGAAAATTGTTTGACCAATTTTTGGAGATTTTTTTGGGGAAAAAATTTTGTTTAACTTTGACTCAGGCAGGGAATATGGCATTATGGTCTACACGTAGAGGGAGATTTTGGCCTGTGGGTCTGGAAAGCAGGGTCATCTAATTCTCACCAAAGTTAATCTAGGACACCCTAGAATATTCCTGTCAGAATCCTTATTCTTGCACTGAGAATAGTTATGTCCTTGTGCTATGACTGGACAGTGATTTGTTCATATGTGAAGTATGAATTGCTTAATGTGACCTGCTTCTCTGAATTTATTTACAGAAAATGAAAGTGATGATGAGGAAGAGGAAGAAAAAGGGCCAGTGTCTCCCAGGTAATGTTGTGGAATTGTTGGCTGTTAATTCAGTAGTGACATCTGGAGATTGTAGATTTAGGGAAAATGAGGAAGTGATGAATAGAACTATTTCTTCCATTCACCCAGCTACAAATTGTGCTGATTTACAATGTTGTATGTTATTTGTGGCACTTGTATTGGTTTTAATTTCATAGTCCTCTCAAGATAGGAACTTGCCATCAGATGAGCCAGGTGAACTAGCCAAACAGGGTTTTCTTGTTGATCTTTTCAAAAAACCAGCCCTGGATTCATTGATTTTTTGAAGGGTTTTTTGTGTCTCTATCTCCTTTAGTTCTGCTCTGATCTTAGTTACTTCTTGTCTTCTGCTAGCTTTTGAATTTGTTTGCTTTGCTTCTCTAGTTATTTTAATTGTGATGTTAGGGTGTCAATTTTAGATCTTTTCTGCTTTCTCTTGTGGGCATTTAGTGCTATAATTTTCCCTCTACACATTGCTTTAAATGTGTCCCAGAGATTCTGGTATGTTGTGTCTTTGTTCTCATTGGTTTCAAAGAACATCTTTATTTCTGCCTTCATTTTGTTATTTTCCCAGTAGTCATTCAGGAGCAGGTTGTTCAGTTTCCATGTAGTTGTGTGGTTTTGAGTGAGTTTCTTAATCCTGAGTTCTAATTTGATTGCACTGTGGTCTGACAGTTTGTTGTGATTTCCATTCTTTTACATTTGCTGACGAGTGCTTTACCTCCAACTATGTGGTCAATTTTGGAATAAGTGTGATGTGGTGCTGAGAAGAATGTATATTCTGTTGATTTGGGGTGGAGAGTTCTGTAGATGTCTTTTAGGTCTGCTTGGTGGAGAGCTGAGTTCAAGTCCTGGATATCCTTGTTAAGCTTCTGTCTCATTGATCTGTCTAATATTGACAGTGGGGTGTTAAAGTCTCCCATGATGATTGTGTGGAGTCTAAATCTCTTTGTAGGTCTCTCAGGACTTGCTTTATGAATCTGGGTGCTCCTGTATAGGGTGCATATATATTTAGGATAGTTAACTCTTCTTGTTGAATTGATCCCTTTACCATTATGTAGTGGCCTTCTTTGTCTCTTTTGATCTTTGTTGGTTTAAAGTCTGTTTTATCAGAGACTAGGATTGCAACACCTGCCTTTTTTTGTTTTCCATTTGCTTGGTAGATCTTCCTCCATCCCTTTATTTTGAGCCTATGTGTGTCTCTGCATGTGAGATGGGTTTCCTGAGTACAGCACACTGATGGGTCTTGACTCTTTATCCAATTTGCCATTCTGTGTTTTTTAACTGGGGCATTTAGCCCATTTACATTTAAGGTTAATATTGTTATGTGTGAATTTGATCCTGTCGTTATGATGTTAGCTGGTTATTTCGCCTGTTAGTTGATGCAGTTTCTTCCTAGCGTCAATGGTCTTTACAGTTTGGCATGTTTTTGCAGTGGCTGGTACCGGTTGTTCCTTTCCATGTTTAGTGCTTCCTTTAGGAGCTCTTGTAAGGCAGGCCTGGTGGTGACAAAATCTCTCAGCATTTGCTTCTCTGTAAAGGATTTATTTCTCCTTCACTTATGAAGCTTTGTTTGGCTGGATATGAAATTCTTGGTTGAAAATTCTTTTCTTTCAGAATGTTGAAGGTGCTGGAGAGGATGTGGAGAAATAGGAACACTTTTACACTGTTGGTGGGACTGTAAACTAGTTCAACGATTGTGGAAGGCAGTGTGGCAATTCCTCAGGGATCTAGAACTAGAAATACCATTTGACCCAGCCATCCCATTACTGGGTGTATACCCAAAGGATTATAAATCATGCTGCTGTAAAGACACATGCACACATATGTTTATTGTGGCACTATTCACAATAGCAAAGACTTGGAACCAAGCCAAATATCCAGCAATGATAGACTGGATTAAGAAAATGTGGCACATATACACCATGGAATACTATGCAGCTATAAAAAATGATGAGTTCATGTCCTTTGTAGGGGCATGGATGAAGCTGGAAACCATCATTCTCAGCAAACTATTGCAAGGACAAAAAACCAAATACCGCATGTTCTTACTCACAGGTGGGAATTGAACAATGAGAACACATGGACACAGAAAGGGGAACATCACACACTGGGGCCTGTTGTAGGGTGTGGGGAGGGAGGAGGGGTAGCATTAGGAGATATACCTAATGTTAAATGATGAGTTAATGGGTGAAGCACACCAATGTGGACATGTATACATATGTAACTAACCTGCACGTTGTGCACATGTACCCTAAGACTTAAAGTATTAAAAAAAAAATATATATATATACATACACACAAAAAATAATAAAGGAAAACTATACATATGGAAAAAAAAAAGAATGTTGAATATTGCTCCCACTCTCTTCTGGCTTGTAGGGTTTGTGCCAAGAGATCTGCTGCTAGTCTGATGGGTTTCCCTTTGTGGGTAATCCGACCTTTCTCTCTGGCTGCCCTTAGCATTTTTTCCTTCATTTCAACCTTGGTGAATCTGACAATTACGTGTTTTGGGGTTGCTCTTCTCGAGGAGTATCTTTATGGTGTTCTCTGTGTTTCCTGAATTTGAATGTTGGCCTTCCTTGCTAGGTTGGGGAAGTCCTCCTGGATAATATCCTGAAGAATGTTTCCCAGCTTGGTTCCATTCTCCCCGTCACTTTCAGTACACCAATCAAACGTAGATTTGGTCTTTCCACATAGTCCCATATTTATTGGAGGCTTGTTCATTTCTTTTTACTCTTTTTTCTCTAAACTTCTCTTCTCGCTTCATTTCACTAATTTGATCTTGAATCACTGATACCGTTTCTTGCACTTGATCGAATTGGCTACTGAAGCTTGTGCATGCATCACGTAGTTCTCGTGCCATGGTTTTCAGCTCCATCAGGTCATTTAAGGTCTTCTCTACACTGTTCATTCTGGTTAGCCATTCGTCTAATCTTTTTTCAAGGTTTTTAGCTTCCTTGCGATGAGTTCGCACATCCTCCTTTAGCTCAGAGAAGTTTGTTATTACCGACTTTCTGAAGCCTACTTCTGTCAGCTCATCAAAGTCATTCTCCATCCTGCTTTGTTCCATTGCTGGTGAGGAGCTGCGATCCTTTGGAGGAGAAGGGATGTCAGGTTTTTGGAATTTTCAGCTTTTGTGCTCTGGTTTCTCCCCACCTTTGTGGTTTTATCTACCCTTGGTCTTTGATGATGGCGACCTACAGATGGGGTTTTGGGGTGGATGTCTTTTTTGTTGATGTTGATGCTATTCCTTTCTCTGTGTTAGTTTTCCTTGTAACAGTCAGGTCCCTCAGCTTCAGGTCTGTTGGAGTTTGCTGGAAGTCCACTCCAGACCCTCAAACAGGGATTTCTTGGTGTTGCCTATTCTCTCCCATGTGTCTAAATCCAGGGAGAGGTGTATATATGCTTTCTTCCTATTTGTTGGTAGTATGTTGGCTAGTATTTTTGCAAGAAAAGAAATTGAAAAAGTAAATATATTATATCAAAATATTGGGAAAATGGGGCCCTTAATACACAAGATCTGTGTCTGCACTGCGTCAAGAACTCTCTTCACTTGAATGCTGCATGTAAAATTCAACCCAATTTATGCAAAGTAGTTGAAGCCCTGTGTCAGTTCTCTGTGCTGCAAGTCATGATGGTAGTTTACAGGGAGAGTCCGGGTGCCCTGAGTTGGCTCATCTGTGGCAAATGTACTGAGCACATGCTGCCCATTTTTGCTCTGTCCCCAGAGCAGTCACCCTCCACCCTGTATTTAGAAGGATAGTTTTATTTCTCTTGAAGGAAAAATGCCTTTGGTTTCTGTGACCACTCCATTCTGTCTCCCATCAGATCATCTGGGAGGTTTTGTTGTCTAATGTCTGTTGGTTAAATCTTCTATCATCCCTGTCCTGCCTGGCTCATCAGGAATCTGCAGGAGTCTGAAGAGGAGGAAGTCCCCCAGGAGTCCTGGGATGAAGGTTATTCGACTCTCTCAATTCCTCCTGAAATGTTGGCCTCGTACCAGTCTTACAGCAGCACATTTCACTCATTAGAGGAACAGCAAGTCTGCATGGCTGTTGACATAGGCAGTGAGTACTCCATTGTGAAGGTGATAAAGCTCCAGTTCATGGCCCAGGTAGACCCCATAATCTTTGGGCCTTGTGCCCCTTGTTGGGCTGAGATTTGCCATCACCGTGGGCTGAACCTATATATCAATGTAGATTTCAGTCACTCTGGAGTCAAGTCTGAAGCACAGGCATGGGGTGGGTCAGTGAGCTTTACTCTCTTCCTAGTCTCAGGCCATGCCCATGCCAACCTGGACTGACTGTCACGACATTGAACTCAAGGCAGGTGTGGCAAACTCACACCAAACTATGTAGCACATGCCCAGGAGTTGTCTGTCAGATCAGCTCATCTGAATTAAATGTCTCTTGCCAGCTACAAAATTCCTTATGAGTTTTGTTCCCAAAGCATGTCTGTGTGGTTCTTTACCTGCCCAAGGCCAGTGTCACCCTTGTCTACCTCTCAGTGAAAGATGTGACCCAGGTTTCACTGAATTTATTCCCATTTTCTGTGTCTTCTAAGTTCGCTTGTTTTAGCTCATCTGTCCGTCATGTTCCTGGTATGTTTTCTAGATAAATGGCTGACTTTTCACCCACAAAAGCCATAATAGCTGATGCTTCTGTGTAGAACCAAGTTTCATTTTGACTCAAGAGCTGGTACATTGCACCCCTTCATCAAATCTCTGTGTCCACAATCTCATAAACTATCAAATTCTGGGTATTTGATGAGAGAAAGCTTAATATTGAAGTATCTCTCCTATGAGGTGTTAGAACTATTTGCCTACAATTTATTGGGGAAAAAATTGCTCATTTGTGTACATAAACCTAGGACAGAGCACATAGGGAAGATAACATTCCAACACAGGGGAATTTTGCCCAAGGCTCATGAAAGAACACAAGCCAGTTTTCTCAAGACTTGACCTCAGGCCTACTGGAATATTTCTCTCAAAGTCTCCTGTTCTCACACTGACAAGACTGATGTCCCTGTGTTAGGATTGGACAGAGGAATGTTTCTGTGTGCAAGGAAGAACTTAATGTAAGAGGGCACATCTGAATTTATTTGCAGGACATCGGTGGGATCAAGTGAAAAAGGAGGACCAAGAGGCAACAGGTCCCAGGTGAGTCTGAGAAATTGTGGACAGTTAATTTGATGTTGACACCTGGAGATGCCAAGTCCAGGGAAAACAGTACATCCTGAAAATAATGATTTTGTCTTGTCAGACAAGTCTGAATTATGCCTACTACATTGCTTTTTGGTTCTCATTAGAGTAAATGTTTAGGTTTCCATTTCTTCCTACCCTTATCATTTACTAACCTAGTGAAAGTTGACCATACCTCAAAAGCTGTATTCTCATGGTAACTGCCGGGAAACTTGAGCACATTTTATGCAAAATTATTGAGGACATGCTTTTCATGATCACTGTTCACTGTGTGTCCTGAGAGCACAAATACAGAGTGTCCTTTGACTCCCTCATCAGTGTGTCACCTGACCAATTGACTGACCTCGCTCTGTGTGTGTGTGAGTGTGTGTGTGTGTGTGTGTGTGTGTGTGTGTGTCTTTCTCGTTCATCCTTTTCTACCTGGCCATAGTCTATCCCAACATAAAGGCAATAATTTGTTACCTCATTAATGGATCTGTCCTTTTTCTTTTCAAACTCTTCCTTACGTTAGCCATGAAATCTAGCTGGGGCTGTGTGGTTTCTGATTCCCCCTGGCTTATTCTTTACTTTTTCCCACTTTTCCAGGCTCAGCAGGGAGCTGCTGGATGAGAAAGGGCCTGAAGTCTTGCAGGACTCACTGGATAGATGTTATTCAACTCCTTCAGGTTGTCTTGAACTGACTGACTCATGCCAGCCCTACAGAAGTGCCTTTTATGTATTGGAGCAACAGCGTGTTGGCTTGGCTGTTGACATGGATGGTGAGTACCTTTCTATGAAGGTGATAAGGATCCACTGAGTCTTCTGGTTAGGGTCATATTCCTACTGCAAGTGGCCCTTACTGAGCTGAGAGATGTCATTGCCACAGGGAGAACCTATAGGCACATGTAGGTTGAATGAAACTCTAGTTCCACTTGGAAGCCCAGACAAGGGATGGGTCAGTGAGCAAGGCTCTCTTCCTAGTCTCAGGCCATGCCTGTGGCGCCCTAATCCTACTCTCATGACATTGGACCTGGGCAGATGTGACAAATTCACACAACTCTGATTTTGTCTCAATTTTGTAGATCTTGTAGATTTCATCCTTCACTCTAATTTCAGCGTCTGAAATCCTCGCTACCATGAACAATCTGAGTATTTGATGAGACAGGGCTGAATAGTGCAGTTTTTCTCCTAGCAACCATTTGGGGGCAATTGCTTTAAATCGATTGGAAAAATATGGCATAACCATTTGCACAAACTTGGGACAAATGATATTGGGATAACGATCTACCAGAATAGGGAATTTTACCCACAGTTTCTGGGACAAAAACCAAGGAATCTCTATGGTGATCAGCCTTCAGGCCTCCTGAAGAATATCTCTCACAGTGTCCTATTCTCATGCTGAGGAGCCTGAAGTCCCTGTGTGAGGATTAGACAGTGGATTGTTATGTGTGTTTAGGAGAACCAGCTTAATATGTCTGTCCATGTCTGAACTTATTGCAGAAATTGAAAAGTACCAAGAAGTGGAAGAAGACCAAGACCCATCATGCCCCAGGTAACTTTGAGCAATTATGGATGCTTAATTCTGTGTTGACACCTGGAGATGCCAGGTCCAGGGAAAACAAGAGTGTGTTCAATTTCATGTTTTCAACGAAGGTTGAATTACTCCTACTGACATTGCTGTTGGTTTTCATTGCAGTAGATGCTTAGGTTTCCATTTCTTCCTCCCCTTATCATTTACTCACTTACTATAGGTTGACCATACCTCAAAGGCTGTATGGCAACTGCATGGAATCTTGAGCAAGTTTACGGAAAATTATTGAGCCCACTCTTTTCATGATCACTGTTCGCTGTGTGTCCCGAGGGCACTAACTCAGAGTGTCCTTTAACCCCTTCATCAGTGTGTCACCCGGCCAATTCGCTGAGCTCACTTTCTCCTCTCTCTCTCTCTCTCCCTCTCCCTGTCTTTCTCTTTCATTCTTTTCTACCTGGCCCTGGTCTATCCCAACATAAAGGCAATAATTCATTACCTCATTAATGGATCTGTCCTTTTTCTTTTTAAACAGTTCCTTATGTTAGCCATGAAATCTAGCTGGGGCTGTGTGGTTTCTGATTCCCCCTGGCTTATTCTTTACTTTTTCCTACTTTTCCAGGCTCAGCAGGGAGCTGCTGGATGAGAAAGAGCCTGAAGTCTTGCAGGACTCACTGGATAGATGTTATTCGACTCCTTCAGGTTATCTTGAACTGCCTGACTTAGGCCAGCCCTACAGCAGTGCTGTTTACTCATTGGAGGAACAGTACCTTGGCTTGGCTCTTGACGTGGACAGTGAGTACCTTACTGTGAAGGTGATAAGCCTCCACCTGGTCTTCCAGATAGGGGTGATATTCCTGTTCCAAGTGCCCCTTACTGACCCGAGAGACGTCATTGCCGCAGGCAGGACCTATGGGCGCATATAGGTTGTAATGAAACTGTAGTCTCAGTTGGAAGCCTAGACATGAAATGGGTCAGTGAGCAAGGCTCTATTCCTAGTCTCCAGCCATGCCTGTGGCAACCTGAGCCCGCTCTCAGCACATTGGACCCAGGCAGATGTAAAAAATTCACAGAAGTATGATTTGGACTCAAGGGTTTGTAGATTTCCTCCTTCATTCTAATTTCAGTGTCTAAAATTCTTGCATCCATGAACGAGCTGGGCATTTGATGAGACAGGGCTGAATACTTTAGTTTTCCTCCTGGAAATCATCTGGGGCATTTTCTTTGAACTGATGGGAACAATAAAGCATAACTGTTTGCACAAACTTGGGATAAATGATTTTGGGATAACGATCTACCAGAATGGGGATATTTCACCCTTGGTTCTGAGATGCAAACCAAAGAATATCATGACCAGCTTTCAGGCCTCCTGAAGTATATCTCTCACATTGTCCTGTTCTCATGCTGAGGAGCCTGAGATCCCTGTGTGGGGATTAGACAGTGGACTGTTATGGGTGTAGGTGAATTGGCTTATTTTGTCTGTCCCTGTCTGAATGTATTGCAGGAATTAAAAAGGACGAAGAAGAGGAAGAAGACCAAGACCCACCATGCCCCAGGTAACTGAGCAATTGTGAACAGCTACTTCTGTGTTGACATCTGGAGACTCCTGGTTCAGGGAAAACAGAGCGGGCTGACATTATCGATTACATCTTTTCAACCAAGCCTGAATTATTCCTACTAACATTGCTGTTGGTTTTCATTGCAGTAGATATTTAGGTTTCCATTTCTTCCTCCCCTTATCATTTACTAACCTACTGTAGGTGGACCAGACTTCAAAAACTGTATTCTCATGGCGACTGCATGGAAACTTGAGCACATTTTATGGAAAATTATTGAGCACAGTCTTTTCATGATCCCTGTATGCTGTGTGTCCTGAGGGCACTAACTCAGAGTGTCCTGTTACTCCCTCATCAGTGTGTCACCTGGACAATTCACTGAGCTCGTTCTCTCTCTCTCTCTCTGTGTGTGTGTGTGTGTGTGTGTGTGTGTGTGTGTGTGTGTGTGTGTGTGTCTATCTGTCTTTCTCTTTCATTCTTTTCCATTTGGCCCTGTTCTGTCCCAACATGAAGGCAACAATTTGTTACCTCATTAATGGATCTATCCTTTTAGTTTTTTAACCACTTCCCTATGCTACCCATGAAACCTAGTTGGGGCTCTGTTGTGTCTGATTTCCCCTGGCTTATTCTTTACTTTTTCCTCCTTTTCCAGGCTCAGCAGGGAGCTGCTGGAGGTAGTAGAGCCTGAAGTCTTGCAGGACTCACTGGATAGATGTTATTCAACTCCTTCCAGTTGTCTTGAACAGCCTGACTCCTGCCAGCCCTATGGAAGTTCCTTTTATGCATTGGAGGAAAAACATGTTGGCTTTTCTCTTGACGTGGGAGGTGAGTACCTTTCTATGAAGGTGATGAGGATCCACTGAGTCCTCCATATAAAGATCATATTCCTGCTCCAAGTGGCCATTACTGAGCTGAGAGATGTCATTGCCACAGGGAGGACCTATAGGCACATGTAGGTTGAATGAAACTCTAGTTCTACCTGGAAGCCCAGACAAGGGATGGGTCAGTGAGCAAGACTCTCTTCCTAGTCTCAGGCCATACCTGTGGCGCCCTGATCCTATTCTCATGACATTGGACCTGGGCAGATGTGACAAATTCAGAGAACTATGATTTTGACTCAAGGGTTTGTAGATTTCCTTTTTCACTCTAATTTCAGTGTCTAAAGTCCTCACAACCATGAACAATCTGAGTATTTGATGAGACAGGGCTAAATATTGCAGTTTTTCTCCTAGAAATCATTTGAGGGTATTTGCTTTAAGTTGATTGGAAAAATATGGCGTAACTGTTTGCAGAAACTTGGGACAAATGATATTGGGATAACGATCTACTAGAATAGGGACATTTTACCCACAGTTTCTGGGAGAAAAACCGAGGAATTTCTATCATGACCAGCCTTCAGGCCTCCTGAAATATATCTCTCACAGTGTCCTATTCTTATGCTGAGGAGCCTGAGGTCCCTGTGTGAGGATTAGACAGTGGATTGTTATGTGTGTAGGGGAATCAGCTTAATGTGTCTGTCCATGTCTGAATTTATTGCAGAAATTGAAAAGAAGGGGAAGGGGAAGAAAAGAAGGGGAAGAAGATCAAAGAAGGAAAGAAGAAGGGGAAGAAAAGAAGGGGAAGAAGATCAAAACCCACCATGCCCCAGGTGACTTTCAGCAATTGTGGATGCTTAATTCTGTGTTAACACCTGGAGGCAACAGATTCAGGGAAACCAGAGTGTGTTTGATGACATGTTTTCAGCGAAGGCTGAATTACTCCTACTGTCATTGCTGTTGGTTTTCATTGCAGTAGATGTTTAGGTTTCCATTTCTTCCTCCCCTTATCATTTCCTAACGTACCATAGGTTGACCATACTTCAAAAGCTGTACTCTCATGGCCACTGCATCGAATTTTGAGCATATTTTATGGAAAACTATTGAGCTCACTCTTTTCATGATCACAGTTTGCTGTGTGTCATGAGGGCACTAACTCAGAGTGTCCTTTGACTCCCTTACCAGTATGTCACCTGGCCAATTCACTAGGTCACTTTCTCTCTGTCTCTGTCTCTGTCTCTGTCTCTGTCTCTGTCTGTCTCTCTCTTTCATTGTTTTCTATCTGGCCCTGTTCTATCCCAACATAAAGGCAATAATTTGTTACCTCATTAATGGATCTGTCCTTTTTCTTTTCAAACTCTTCCTTACGTTAGCCATGAAATCTAGCTGGGGCTGTGTGGTTTCTGATTCCCCCTGGCTTATTCTTTACTTTTTCCCACTTTTCCAGGCTCAGCAGGGAGCTGCTGGATGAGAAAGAGCCTGAAGTCTTGCAGGACTCACTGGATAGATGTTATTCGACTCCTTCAGGTTATCTTGAACTGCCTGACTTAGGCCAGCCCTACAGCAGTGCTGTTTACTCATTGGAGGAACAGTACCTTGGCTTGGCTCTTGACGTGGACAGTGAGTACCTTACTGTGAAGGTGATAAGCCTCCACCTGGTCTTCCAGATAGGGGTGATATTCCTGTTCCAAGTGCCCCTTACTGACCCGAGAGACGTCATTGCCGCAGGCAGGACCTATGGGCGCATATAGGTTGTAATGAAACTGTAGTCTCAGTTGGAAGCCTAGACATGAAATGGGTCAGTGAGCAAGGCTCTATTCCTAGTCTCCAGCCATGCCTGTGGCAACCTGAGCCCGCTCTCAGCACATTGGACCCAGGCAGATGTAAAAAATTCACAGAAGTATGATTTGGACTCAAGGGTTTGTAGATTTCCTCCTTCATTCTAATTTCAGTGTCTAAAATTCTTGCATCCATGAACGAGCTGGGCATTTGATGAGACAGGGCTGAATACTTTAGTTTTCCTCCTGGAAATCATCTGGGGCATTTTCTTTGAACTGATGGGAACAATAAAGCATAACTGTTTGCACAAACTTGGGATAAATGATTTTGGGATAACGATCTACCAGAATGGGGATATTTCACCCTTGGTTCTGAGATGCAAACCAAAGAATATCATGACCAGCTTTCAGGCCTCCTGAAGTATATCTCTCACATTGTCCTGTTCTCATGCTGAGGAGCCTGAGATCCCTGTGTGGGGATTAGACAGTGGACTGTTATGGGTGTAGGTGAATTGGCTTATTTTGTCTGTCCCTGTCTGAATGTATTGCAGGAATTAAAAAGGACGAAGAAGAGGAAGAAGACCAAGACCCACCATGCCCCAGGTAACTGAGCAATTGTGAACAGCTACTTCTGTGTTGACATCTGGAGACTCCTGGTTCAGGGAAAACAGAGCGGGCTGACATTATCGATTACATCTTTTCAACCAAGCCTGAATTATTCCTACTAACATTGCTGTTGGTTTTCATTGCAGTAGATATTTAGGTTTCCATTTCTTCCTCCCCTTATCATTTACTAACCTACTGTAGGTGGACCAGACTTCAAAAACTGTATTCTCATGGCGACTGCATGGAAACTTGAGCACATTTTATGGAAAATTATTGAGCACAGTCTTTTCATGATCCCTGTATGCTGTGTGTCCTGAGGGCACTAACTCAGAGTGTCCTGTTACTCCCTCATCAGTGTGTCACCTGGACAATTCACTGAGCTCGTTCTCTCTCTCTCTCTCTCTGTGTGTGTGTGTGTGTGTGTGTGTGTGTGTGTGTGTGTGTCTATCTGTCTTTCTCTTTCATTCTTTTCCATTTGGCCCTGTTCTGTCCCAACATGAAGGCAACAATTTGTTACCTCATTAATGGATCTATCCTTTTAGTTTTTTAACCACTTCCCTATGCTACCCATGAAACCTAGTTGGGGCTCTGTTGTGTCTGATTTCCCCTGGCTTATTCTTTACTTTTTCCTCCTTTTCCAGGCTCAGCAGGGAGCTGCTGGAGGTAGTAGAGCCTGAAGTCTTGCAGGACTCACTGGATAGATGTTATTCAACTCCTTCCAGTTGTCTTGAACAGCCTGACTCCTGCCAGCCCTATGGAAGTTCCTTTTATGCATTGGAGGAAAAACATGTTGGCTTTTCTCTTGACGTGGGAGGTGAGTACCTTTCTATGAAGGTGATGAGGATCCACTGAGTCCTCCATATAAAGATCATATTCCTGCTCCAAGTGGCCATTACTGAGCTGAGAGATGTCATTGCCACAGGGAGGACCTATAGGCACATGTAGGTTGAATGAAACTCTAGTTCTACCTGGAAGCCCAGACAAGGGATGCGTCAGTGAGCAAGACTCTCTTCCTAGTCTCAGGCCATACCTGTGGCGCCCTGATCCTATTCTCATGACATTGGACCTGGGCAGATGTGACAAATTCAGAGAACTATGATTTTGACTCAAGGGTTTGTAGATTTCCTTTTTCACTCTAATTTCAGTGTCTAAAGTCCTCACAACCATGAACAATCTGAGTATTTGATGAGACAGGGCTAAATATTGCAGTTTTTCTCCTAGAAATCATTTGAGGGTATTTGCTTTAAGTTGATTGGAAAAATATGGCGTAACTGTTTGCAGAAACTTGGGACAAATGATATTGGGATAACGATCTACTAGAATAGGGACATTTTACCCACAGTTTCTGGGAGAAAAACCGAGGAATTTCTATCATGACCAGCCTTCAGGCCTCCTGAAATATATCTCTCACAGTGTCCTATTCTTATGCTGAGGAGCCTGAGGTCCCTGTGTGAGGATTAGACAGTGGATTGTTATGTGTGTAGGGGAATCAGCTTAATGTGTCTGTCCATGTCTGAATTTATTGCAGAAATTGAAAAGAAGGGGAAGGGGAAGAAAAGAAGGGGAAGAAGATCAAAGAAGGAAAGAAGAAGGGGAAGAAAAGAAGGGGAAGAAGATCAAAACCCACCATGCCCCAGGTGACTTTCAGCAATTGTGGATGCTTAATTCTGTGTTAACACCTGGAGGCAACAGATTCAGGGAAACCAGAGTGTGTTTGATGACATGTTTTCAGCGAAGGCTGAATTACTCCTACTGTCATTGCTGTTGGTTTTCATTGCAGTAGATGTTTAGGTTTCCATTTCTTCCTCCCCTTATCATTTCCTAACGTACCATAGGTTGACCATACTTCAAAAGCTGTACTCTCATGGCCACTGCATCGAATTTTGAGCATATTTTATGGAAAACTATTGAGCTCACTCTTTTCATGATCACAGTTTGCTGTGTGTCATGAGGGCACTAACTCAGAGTGTCCTTTGACTCCCTTACCAGTATGTCACCTGGCCAATTCACTAGGTCACTTTCTCTCTGTCTCTGTCTCTGTCTCTGTCTCTGTCTCTGTCTGTCTCTCTCTTTCATTGTTTTCTATCTGGCCCTGTTCTATCCCAACATAAAGGCAATAATTTGTTACCTCATTAATGGATCTGTCCTTTTTCTTTTCAAACTCTTCCTTACGTTAGCCATGAAATCTAGCTGGGGCTGTGTGGTTTCTGATTCCCCCTGGCTTATTCTTTACTTTTTCCCACTTTTCCAGGCTCAGCAGGGAGCTGCTGGATGAGAAAGGGCCTGAAGTCTTGCAGGACTCACTGGATAGATGTTATTCAACTCCTTCAGGTTGTCTTGAACTGACTGACTCATGCCAGCCCTACAGAAGTGCCTTTTATGTATTGGAGCAACAGCGTGTTGGCTTGGCTGTTGACATGGATGGTGAGTACCTTTCTATGAAGGTGATAAGGATCCACTGAGTCTTCTGGTTAGGGTCATATTCCTACTGCAAGTGGCCCTTACTGAGCTGAGAGGTGTCATTGCCACAGGGAGGAACTATAGGCACATGTAGGTTGAGTGAAACTCTAGTTCCACTTGGAAGCCCAGACAAGGGATGGGTCAGTGAGCAAGGCTCTCTTCGTAGTCTCAGGCCATGCCTGTGGCGCCCTAATCCTACTCTCAAGATGTGGGATCTGGGCAGATGTGACAAATTCACACAACTCTGATTTTGTCTCAATTTTGTAGATCTCGTAGATTTCATCCTTCACTCTAATTTCAGCGTCTAAAATCCTCGCTACCATGAACAATCTGAGTATTTGATGAGACAGGGCTGAATAGTGCAGTTTTTCTCCTAGCAGCCATTTGGGGGCATTTGCTTTAAATCGATTGGAAAAATATGGCATAACCATTTGCACAAACTTGGGACAAATGATATTGGGATAACGATCTACCAGAATAGGGAATTTTACCCACAGTTTCTGGGACAAAAACCAAGGAATCTCTATGGTGATCAGCCTTCAGGCCTCCTGAAGAATATCTCTCACAGTGTCCTATTCTCATGCTGAGGAGCCTGAAGTCCCTGTGTGAGGATTAGACAGTGGATTGTTATGTGTGTTTAGGAGAACCAGCTTAATATGTCTGTCCATGTCTGAACTTATTGCAGAAATTGAAAAGTACCAAGAAGTGGAAGAAGACCAAGACCCATCATGCCCCAGGTAACTTTGAGCAATTATGGATGCTTAATTCTGTGTTGACACCTGGAGATGCCAGGTCCAGGGAAAACAAGAGTGTGTTCAATTTCATGTTTTCAACGAAGGTTGAATTACTCCTACTGACATTGCTGTTGGTTTTCATTGCAGTAGATGTTTAGGTTTCCATTTCTTCCTCCCCTTATCATTTACTCACTTACTATAGGTTGACCATACCTCAAAGGCTGTATGGCAACTGCATGGAATCTTGAGCAAGTTTATGGAAAATTATTGAGCCCACTCTTTTCGTGATCACTGTTCGCTGTGTGTCCCGAGGGCACTAACTCAGAGTGTCCTTTGACCCCTTCATCAGTGTGTCACCCGGCCAATTCGCTGAGCTCACTTTCTCCTCTCTCTCTCTCTCCCTCTCCCTGTCTTTCTCTTTCATTCTTTTCTACCTGGCCCTGGTCTATCCCAACATAAAGGCAATAATTCATTACCTCATTAATGGATCTGTCCTTTTTCTTTTTAAACAGTTCCTTATGTTAGCCATGAAATCTAGCTGGGGCTGTGTGGTTTCTGATTCCCCCTGGCTTATTCTTTACTTTTTCCTACTTTTCCAGGCTCAGCAGGGAGCTGCTGGATGAGAAAGAGCCTGAAGTCTTGCAGGACTCACTGGATAGATGTTATTCGACTCCTTCAGGTTATCTTGAACTGCCTGACTTAGGCCAGCCCTACAGCAGTGCTGTTTACTCATTGGAGGAACAGTACCTTGGCTTGGCTCTTGACGTGGACAGTGAGTACCTTACTGTGAAGGTGATAAGCCTCCACCTGGTCTTCCAGATAGGGGTGATATTCCTGTTCCAAGTGCCCCTTACTGACCCGAGAGACGTCATTGCCGCAGGCAGGACCTATGGGCGCATATAGTTTGTAATGAAACTGTAGTCTCAGTTGGAAGCCTAGACATGAAATGGGTCAGTGAGCAAGGCTCTATTCCTAGTCTCCAGCCATGCCTGTGGCAACCTGAGCCCGCTCTCAGCACATTGGACCCAGGCAGATGTAAAAAATTCACAGAAGTATGATTTGGACTCAAGGGTTTGTAGATTTCCTCCTTCATTCTAATTTCAGTGTCTAAAATTCTTGCATCCATGAACGAGCTGGGCATTTGATGAGACAGGGCTGAATACTTTAGTTTTCCTCCTGGAAATCATCTGGGGCATTTTCTTTGAACTGATGGGAACAATAAAGCATAACTGTTTGCACAAACTTGGGATAAATGATTTTGGGATAACGATCTACCAGAATGGGGATATTTCACCCTTGGTTCTGAGATGCAAACCAAAGAATATCATGACCAGCTTTCAGGCCTCCTGAAGTATATCTCTCACATGGTCCTGTTCTCATGCTGAGGAGCCTGAGATCCCTGTGTGGGGATTAGACAGTGGACTGTTATGGGTGTAGGTGAATTGGCTTATTTTGTCTGTCCCTGTCTGAATGTATTGCAGGAATTAAAAAGGACGAAGAAGAGGAAGAAGACCAAGACCCACCATGCCCCAGGTAACTGAGCAATTGTGAACAGCTACTTCTGTGTTGACATCTGGAGACTCCTGGTTCAGGGAAAACAGAGCGGGCTGACATTATCGATTACATCTTTTCAACCAAGCCTGAATTATTCCTACTAACATTGCTGTTGGTTTTCATTGCAGTAGATATTTAGGTTTCCATTTCTTCCTCCCCTTATCATTTACTAACCTACTGTAGGTGGACCAGACTTCAAACACTGTATTCTCATGGTGACTGCATGGAAACTTGAGCACATTTTATGGAAAATTATTGAGCACAGTCTTTTCATGATCCCTGTATGCTGTGTGTCCTGAGGGCACTAACTCAGAGTGTCCTGTTACTCCCTCATCAGTGTGTCACCTGGACAATTCACTGAGCTCGTTCTCTGTGTGTGTGTGTGTGTTTGTGTGTGTGTGTGTGTGTGTGTGTGTGTGTGTCTGTCTTTCTCTTTCATTCTTTTCCATTTGGCCCTGTTCTGTCCCAACATGAAGGCAACAATTTGTTACCTCATTAATGGATCTATCCTTTTAGTTTTTTAACCACTTCCCTATGCTACCCATGAAACCTAGTTGAGGCTCTGTTGTGTCTGATTTCCCCTGGCTTATTCTTTACCTTTTCCTCCTTTTCCAGGCTCAGCAGGGAGCTGCTGGAGGTAGTAGAGCCTGAAGTCTTGCAGGACTCACTGGATAGATGTTATTCAACTCCTTCCAGTTGTCTTGAACAGCCTGACTCCTGCCAGCCCTATGGAAGTTCCTTTTATGCATTGGAGGAAAAACATGTTGGCTTTTCTCTTGACGTGGGAGGTGAGTACCTTTCTATGAAGGTGATAAGGATCCACTGAGTCTTCCATATAAAGATCATATTCCTGCTCCAAGTGGCCATTACTGAGCTGAGAGATGTCATTGCCACAGGGAGGACCTATAGGCACATGTAGGTTGAATGAAACTCTAGTTCTACCTGGAAGCCCAGACAAGGGATGGGTCAGTGAGCAAGACTCTCTTCCTAGTCTCAGGCCATACCTGTGGCGCCCTGATCCTATTCTCATGACATTGGACCTGGGCAGATGTGACAAATTCAGAGAACTATGATTTTGACTCAAGGGTTTGTAGATTTCCTTTTTCACTCTAATTTCAGTGTCTAATGTCCTCACAACCATGAACAATCTGAGTATTTGATGAGACAGGGCTAAATATTGCAGTTTTTCTCCTAGAAATCATTTGAGGGTATTTGCTTTAAGTTGATTGGAAAAATATGGCGTAACTGTTTGCAGAAACTTGGGACAAATGATATTGGGATAACGATCTACTAGAATAGGGACATTTTACCCACAGTTTCTGGGAGAAAAACCGAGGAATTTCTATCATGACCAGCCTTCAGGCCTCCTGAAATATATCTCTCACAGTGTCCTATTCTTATGCTGAGGAGCCTGAGGTCCCTGTGTGAGGATTAGACAGTGGATTGTTATGTGTGTAGGGGAATCAGCTTAATGTGTCTGTCCATGTCTGAATTTATTGCAGAAATTGAAAAGAAGGGGAAGGGGAAGAAAAGAAGGGGAAGAAGATCAAAGAAGGAAAGAAGAAGGGGAAGAAAAGAAGGGGAAGAAGATCAAAACCCACCATGCCCCAGGTGACTTTCAGCAATTGTGGATGCTTAATTCTGTGTTAACACCTGGAGGCAACAGATTCAGGGAAACCAGAGTGTGTTTGATGACATGTTTTCAGCGAAGGCTGAATTACTCCTACTGTCATTGCTGTTGGTTTTCATTGCAGTAGATGTTTAGGTTTCCATTTCTTCCTCCCCTTATCATTTCCTAACGTACCATAGGTTGACCATACTTCAAAAGCTGTACTCTCATGGCCACTGCATCGAATTTTGAGCATATTTTATGGAAAACTATTGAGCTCACTCTTTTCATGATCACAGTTTGCTGTGTGTCATGAGGGCACTAACTCAGAGTGTCCTTTGACTCCCTTACCAGTATGTCACCTGGCCAATTCACTAGGTCACTTTCTCTCTGTCTCTGTCTCTGTCTCTGTCTCTGTCTGTCTTTCTCTTTCATTGTTTTCTACCTGGCCCTGTTCTATCCCAACATAAAGGCAATAATTTGTTACCTCATTAATGGATCTGTCCTTTTTCTTTTCAAACTCTTCCTTACGTTAGCCATGAAATCTAGCTGGGGCTGTGTGGTTTCTGATTCCCCCTGGCTTATTCTTTACTTTTTCCCACTTTTCCAGGCTCAGCAGGGAGCTGCTGGATGAGAAAGGGCCTGAAGTCTTGCAGGACTCACTGGATAGATGTTATTCAACTCCTTCAGGTTGTCTTGAACTGACTGACTCATGCCAGCCCTACAGAAGTGCCTTTTATGTATTGGAGCAACAGCGTGTTGGCTTGGCTGTTGACATGGATGGTGAGTACCTTTCTATGAAGGTGATAAGGATCCACTGAGTCTTCTGGTTAGGGTCATATTCCTACTGCAAGTGGCCCTTACTGAGCTGAGAGATGTCATTGCCACAGGGAGGAACTATAGGCACATGTAGGTTGAGTGAAACTCTAGTTCCACTTGGAAGCCCAGACAAGGGATGGGTCAGTGAGCAAGGCTCTCTTCGTAGTCTCAGGCCATGCCTGTGGCGCCCTAATCCTACTCTCAAGATGTGGGATCTGGGCAGATGTGACAAATTCACACAACTCTGATTTTGTCTCAATTTTGTAGATCTCGTAGATTTCATCCTTCACTCTAATTTCAGCGTCTAAAATCCTCACTACCATGAACAATCTGAGTATTTGATGAGACAGGGCTGAATAGTGCAGTTTTTCTCCTAGCAGCCATTTGGGGGCATTTGCTTTAAATCGATTGGAAAAATATGGCATAACCATTTGCACAAACTTGGGACAAATGATATTGGGATAACGATCTACCAGAATAGGGAATTTTACCCACAGTTTCTGGGACAAAAACCAAGGAATCTCTATGGTGATCAGCCTTCAGGCCTCCTGAAGAATATCTCTCACAGTGTCCTATTCTCATGCTGAGGAGCCTGAAGTCCCTGTGTGAGGATTAGACAGTGGATTGTTATGTGTGTTTAGGAGAACCAGCTTAATATGTCTGTCCATGTCTGAACTTATTGCAGAAATTGAAAAGTACCAAGAAGTGGAAGAAGACCAAGACCCATCATGCCCCAGGTAACTTTGAGCAATTATGGATGCTTAATTCTGTGTTGACACCTGGAGATGCCAGGTCCAGGGAAAACAAGAGTGTGTTCAATTTCATGTTTTCAACGAAGGTTGAATTACTCCTACTGACATTGCTGTTGGTTTTCATTGCAGTAGATGTTTAGGTTTCCATTTCTTCCTCCCCTTATCATTTACTCACTTACTATAGGTTGACCATACCTCAAAGGCTGTATGGCAACTGCATGGAATCTTGAGCAAGTTTATGGAAAATTATTGAGCCCACTCTTTTCGTGATCACTGTTCGCTGTGTGTCCCGAGGGCACTAACTCAGAGTGTCCTTTGACCCCTTCATCAGTGTGTCACCCGGCCAATTCGCTGAGCTCACTTTCTCCTCTCTCTCTCTCTCCCTCTCCCTGTCTTTCTCTTTCATTCTTTTCTACCTGGCCCTGGTCTATCCCAACATAAAGGCAATAATTCATTACCTCATTAATGGATCTGTCCTTTTTCTTTTTAAACAGTTCCTTATGTTAGCCATGAAATCTAGCTGGGGCTGTGTGGTTTCTGATTCCCCCTGGCTTATTCTTTACTTTTTCCTACTTTTCCAGGCTCAGCAGGGAGCTGCTGGATGAGAAAGAGCCTGAAGTCTTGCAGGACTCACTGGATAGATGTTATTCGACTCCTTCAGGTTATCTTGAACTGCCTGACTTAGGCCAGCCCTACAGCAGTGCTGTTTACTCATTGGAGGAACAGTACCTTGGCTTGGCTCTTGACGTGGACAGTGAGTACCTTACTGTGAAGGTGATAAGCCTCCACCTGGTCTTCCAGATAGGGGTGATATTCCTGTTCCAAGTGCCCCTTACTGACCCGAGAGACGTCATTGCCGCAGGCAGGACCTATGGGCGCATATAGGTTGTAATGAAACTGTAGTCTCAGTTGGAAGCCTAGACATGAAATGGGTCAGTGAGCAAGGCTCTATTCCTAGTCTCCAGCCATGCCTGTGGCAACCTGAGCCCGCTCTCAGCACATTGGACCCAGGCAGATGTAAAAAATTCACAGAAGTATGATTTGGACTCAAGGGTTTGTAGATTTCCTCCTTCATTCTAATTTCAGTGTCTAAAATTCTTGCATCCATGAACGAGCTGGGCATTTGATGAGACAGGGCTGAATACTTTAGTTTTCCTCCTGGAAATCATCTGGGGCATTTTCTTTGAACTGATGGGAACAATAAAGCATAACTGTTTGCACAAACTTGGGATAAATGATTTTGGGATAACGATCTACCAGAATGGGGATATTTCACCCTTGGTTCTGAGATGCAAACCAAAGAATATCATGACCAGCTTTCAGGCCTCCTGAAGTATATCTCTCACATGGTCCTGTTCTCATGCTGAGGAGCCTGAGATCCCTGTGTGGGGATTAGACAGTGGACTGTTATGGGTGTAGGTGAATTGGCTTATTTTGTCTGTCCCTGTCTGAATGTATTGCAGGAATTAAAAAGGACGAAGAAGAGGAAGAAGACCAAGACCCACCATGCCCCAGGTAACTGAGCAATTGTGAACAGCTACTTCTGTGTTGACATCTGGAGACTCCTGGTTCAGGGAAAACAGAGCGGGCTGACATTATCGATTACATCTTTTCAACCAAGCCTGAATTATTCCTACTAACATTGCTGTTGGTTTTCATTGCAGTAGATATTTAGGTTTCCATTTCTTCCTCCCCTTATCATTTACTAACCTACTGTAGGTGGACCAGACTTCAAAAACTGTATTCTCATGGTGACTGCATGGAAACTTGAGCACATTTTATGGAAAATTATTGAGCACAGTCTTTTCATGATCCCTGTATGCTGTGTGTCCTGAGGGCACTAACTCAGAGTGTCCTGTTACTCCCTCATCAGTGTGTCACCTGGACAATTCACTGAGCTCGTTCTCTCTCTCTCTCTCTCTCTCTCTCTCTGTGTGTGTGTGTGTGTTTGTGTGTGTGTGTGTGTGTGTGTGTCTATCTGTCTTTCTCTTTCATTCTTTTCCATTTGGCCCTGTTCTGTCCCAACATGAAGGCAATAATTTGTTACCTCATTAATGGATCTATCCTTTTAGTTTTTTAACCACTTCCCTATGCTACCCATGAAACCTAGTTGGGGCTCTGTTGTGTCTGATTTCCCCTGGCTTATTCTTTACTTTTTCCTCCTTTTCCAGGCTCAGCAGGGAGCTGCTGGAGGTAGTAGAGCCTGAAGTCTTGCAGGACTCACTGGATAGATGTTATTCAACTCCTTCCAGTTGTCTTGAACAGCCTGACTCCTGCCAGCCCTATGGAAGTTCCTTTTATGCATTGGAGGAAAAACATGTTGGCTTTTCTCTTGACGTGGGAGGTGAGTACCTTTCTATGAAGGTGATGAGGATCCACTGAGTCTTCCATATAAAGATCATATTCCTGCTCCAAGTGGCCATTACTGAGCTGAGAGATGTCATTGCCACAGGGAGGACCTATAGGCACATGTAGGTTGAATGAAACTCTAGTTCTACCTGGAAGCCCAGACAAGGGATGGGTCAGTGAGCAAGACTCTCTTCCTAG
The DNA here is from genome assembly GCF_000001405.40 of Homo sapiens. NCBI lineage: Eukaryota > Metazoa > Chordata > Mammalia > Primates > Hominidae > Homo > Homo sapiens. The sequence continues at coordinate 148,561,203 of NC_000001.11, read as the reverse complement.
TCTCAGGCCATACCTGTGGCGCCCTGATCCTATTCTCATGACATTGGACCTGGGCAGATGTGACAAATTCAGAGAACTATGATTTTGACTCAAGGGTTTGTAGATTTCCTTTTTCACTCTAATTTCAGTGTCTAAAGTCCTCACAACCATGAACAATCTGAGTATTTGATGAGACAGGGCTAAATATTGCAGTTTTTCTCCTAGAAATCATTTGAGGGTATTTGCTTTAAGTTGATTGGAAAAATATGGCGTAACTGTTTGCAGAAACTTGGGACAAATGATATTGGGATAACGATCTACTAGAATAGGGACATTTTACCCACAGTTTCTGGGAGAAAAACCGAGGAATTTCTATCATGACCAGCCTTCAGGCCTCCTGAAATATATCTCTCACAGTGTCCTATTCTTATGCTGAGGAGCCTGAGGTCCCTGTGTGAGGATTAGACAGTGGATTGTTATGTGTGTAGGGGAATCAGCTTAATGTGTCTGTCCATGTCTGAATTTATTGCAGAAATTGAAAAGAAGGGGAAGGGGAAGAAAAGAAGGGGAAGAAGATCAAAGAAGGAAAGAAGAAGGGGAAGAAAAGAAGGGGAAGAAGATCAAAACCCACCATGCCCCAGGTGACTTTCAGCAATTGTGGATGCTTAATTCTGTGTTAACACCTGGAGGCAACAGATTCAGGGAAACCAGAGTGTGTTTGATGACATGTTTTCAGCGAAGGCTGAATTACTCCTACTGTCATTGCTGTTGGTTTTCATTGCAGTAGATGTTTAGGTTTCCATTTCTTCCTCCCCTTATCATTTCCTAACGTACCATAGGTTGACCATACTTCAAAAGCTGTACTCTCATGGCCACTGCATCGAATTTTGAGCATATTTTATGGAAAACTATTGAGCTCACTCTTTTCATGATCACAGTTTGCTGTGTGTCATGAGGGCACTAACTCAGAGTGTCCTTTGACTCCCTTACCAGTATGTCACCTGGCCAATTCACTAGGTCACTTTCTCTCTGTCTCTGTCTCTGTCTCTGTCTCTGTCTCTCTCTCTCTGTCTTTCTCTTTCATTGTTTTCTACCTGGCCCTGTTCTATCCCAACATAAAGGCAATAATTTGTTACCTCATTAATGGATCTGTCCTTTTTCTTTTCAAACTCTTCCTTACGTTAGCCATGAAATCTAGCTGGGGCTGTGTGGTTTCTGATTCCCCCTGGCTTATTCTTTACTTTTTTCCACTTTTCCAGGCTCAGCAGGGAGCTGCTGCATGAGAAAGGGCCTGAAGTCTTGCAGGACTCACTGGATAGATGTTATTCAACTCCTTCAGGTTGTCTTGAACTGACTGACTCATGCCAGCCCTATAGAAGTGCCTTTTACATATTGGAGCAGCAGCGTGTTGGCTTGGCTGTTGACATGGATGGTGAGTACCTTTCTATGAAGGTGATAAGGATCCACTGAGTCTTCTGGTTAGGGTCATATTCCTACTGCAAGTGGCCCTTACTGAGCTGAGAGATGTCATTGCCACAGGGAGGACCTATAGGCACATGTAGGTTGAATGAAACTCTAGTTCCACTTGGAAGCCCAGACAAGGGATGGGTCAGTGAGCAAGGCTCTCTTCCTAGTCTCAGGCCATGCCTGTGGCGCCCTAATCCTACTCTCATGACATTGGACCTGGGCAGATGTGACAAATTCACACAACTCTGATTTTGTCTCAATTTTGTAGATCTTGTAGATTTCATCCTTCACTCTAATTTCAGCGTCTGAAATCCTCGCTACCATGAACAATCTGAGTATTTGATGAGACAGGGTGAATAGTGCAGTTTTTCTCCTAGCAACCATTTGGGGGCAATTGCTTTAAATCGATTGGAAAAATATGGCATAACCATTTGCACAAACTTGGGACAAATGATATTGGGATAACGATCTACCAGAATAGGGAATTTTACCCACAGTTTCTGGGACAAAAACCAAGGAATCTCTATGGTGATCAGCCTTCAGGCCTCCTGAAGACTATCTCTCACAGTGTCCTATTCTCATGCTGAGGAGCCTGAAGTCCCTGTGTGAGGATTAGACAGTGGATTGTTATGTGTGTTTAGGAGAACCAGCTTAATATGTCTGTCCATGTCTGAACTTATTGCAGAAATTGAAAAGTACAAAGAAGTGGAAGAAGACCAAGACCCATCATGCCCCAGGTAACTTTGAGCAATTATGGATGCTTAATTCTGTGTTGACACCTGGAGATGCCAGGTCCAGGGAAAACAAGAGTGTGTTCAATTTCATGTTTTCAACGAAGGTTGAATTACTCCTACTGACATTGCTGTTGGTTTTCATTGCAGTAGATGTTTAGGTTTCCATTTCTTCCTCCCCTTATCATTTACTCACTTACTATAGGTTGACCATACCTCAAAGGCTGTATGGCAACTGCATGGAATCTTGAGCAAGTTTATGGAAAATTATTGAGCCCACTCTTTTCGTGATCACTGTTCGCTGTGTGTCCCGAGGGCACTAACTCAGAGTGTCCTTTGACCCCTTCATCAGTGTGTCACCCGGCCAATTCGCTGAGCTCACTTTCTCCTCTCTCTCTCTCTCCCTCTCCCTGTCTTTCTCTTTCATTCTTTTCTACCTGGCCCTGGTCTATCCCAACATAAAGGCAATAATTCATTACCTCATTAATGGATCTGTCCTTTTTCTTTTTAAACAGTTCCTTATGTTAGCCATGAAATCTAGCTGGGGCTGTGTGGTTTCTGATTCCCCCTGGCTTATTCTTTACTTTTTCCTACTTTTCCAGGCTCAGCAGGGAGCTGCTGGATGAGAAAGAGCCTGAAGTCTTGCAGGACTCACTGGATAGATGTTATTCGACTCCTTCAGGTTATCTTGAACTGCCTGACTTAGGCCAGCCCTACAGCAGTGCTGTTTACTCATTGGAGGAACAGTACCTTGGCTTGGCTCTTGACGTGGACAGTGAGTACCTTACTGTGAAGGTGATAAGCCTCCACCTGGTCTTCCAGATAGGGGTGATATTCCTGTTCCAAGTGCCCCTTACTGACCCGAGAGACGTCATTGCCGCAGGCAGAACCTATGGGCGCATATAGGTTGTAATGAAACTGTAGTCTCAGTTGGAAGCCTAGACATGAAATGGGTCAGTGAGCAAGGCTCTATTCCTAGTCTCCAGCCATGCCTGTGGCAACCTGAGCCCGCTCTCAGCACATTGGACCCAGGCAGATGTAAAAAATTCACAGAAGTATGATTTGGACTCAAGGGTTTGTAGATTTCCTCCTTCATTCTAATTTCAGTGTCTAAAATTCTTGCATCCATGAACGAGCTGGGCATTTGATGAGACAGGGCTGAATACTTTAGTTTTCCTCCTGGAAATCATCTGGGGCATTTTCTTTGAACTGATGGGAACAATAAAGCATAACTGTTTGCACAAACTTGGGATAAATGATTTTGGGATAACGATCTACCAGAATGGGGATATTTCACCCTTGGTTCTGAGATGCAAAGCAAGGAATATCATGACCAGCTTTCAGGCCTCCTGAAGTATATCTCTCACATGGTCCTGTTCTCATGCTGAGGAGCCTGAGATCCCTGTGTGGGGATTAGACAGTGGACTGTTATGGGTGTAGGTGAATTGGCTTATTTTGTCTGTCCCTGTCTGAATGTATTGCAGGATTTAAAAAGGACGAAGAAGAGGAAGAAGACCAAGACCCACCATGCCCCAGGTAACTGAGCAATTGTGAACAGCTACTTCTGTGTTGACATCTGGAGACTCCTGGTTCAGGGAAAACAGAGCGGGCTGACATTATCGATTACATCTTTTCAACCAAGCCTGAATTATTCCTACTAACATTGCTGTTGGTTTTCATTGCAGTAGATATTTAGGTTTCCATTTCTTCCTCCCCTTATCATTTACTAACCTACTGTAGGTGGACCAGACTTCAAAAACTGTATTCTCATGGTGACTGCATGGAAACTTGAGCACATTTTATGGAAAATTATTGAGCACAGTCTTTTCATGATCCCTGTATGCTGTGTGTCCTGAGGGCACTAACTCAGAGTGTCCTGTTACTCCCTCATCAGTGTGTCACCTGGACAATTCACTGAGCTCGTTCTCTCTCTCTCTCTGTGTGTGTGTGTGTGTGTGTGTGTGTGTCTATCTGTCTTTCTCTTTCATTCTTTTCCATTTGGCCCTGTTCTGTCCCAACATGAAGGCAATAATGTGTTACCTCATTAATGGATCTATCCTTTTAGTTTTTTAACCACTTCCCTATGCTACCCATGAAACCTAGTTGGGGCTCTGTTGTGTCTGATTTCCCCTGGCTTATTCTTTACTTTTTCCTCCTTTTCCAGGCTCAGCAGGGAGCTGCTGGAGGTAGTAGAGCCTGAAGTCTTGCAGGACTCACTGGATAGATGTTATTCAACTCCTTCCAGTTGTCTTGAACAGCCTGACTCCTGCCAGCCCTATGGAAGTTCCTTTTATGCATTGGAGGAAAAACATGTTGGCTTTTCTCTTGATGTGGGAGGTGAGTACCTTTCTATGAAGGTGATAAGGATCCACTGAGTCTTCCATATAAAGATCATATTCCTGCTCCAAGTGGCCATTACTGAGCTGAGAGATGTCATTGCCACAGGGAGGACCTATAGGCACATGTAGGTTGAATGAAACTCTAGTTCTACCTGGAAGCCCAGACAAGGGATGGGTCAGTGAGCAAGACTCTCTTCCTAGTCTCAGGCCATACCTGTGGCGCCCTGATCCTATTCTCATGACATTGGACCTGGGCAGATGTGACAAATTCAGAGAACTATGATTTTGACTCAAGGGTTTGTAGATTTCCTTTTTCACTCTAATTTCAGTGTCTAAAGTCCTCACAACCATGAACAATCTGAGTATTTGATGAGACAGGGCTAAATATTGCAGTTTTTCTCCTAGAAATCATTTGAGGGTATTTGCTTTAAGTTGATTGGAAAAATATGGCGTAACTGTTTGCACAAACTTGGGACAAATGATATTGGGATAACGATCTACTAGAATAGGGACATTTTACCCACAGTTTCTGGGAGAAAAACCGAGGAATTTCTATCATGACCAGCCTTCAGGCCTCCTGAAATATATCTCTCACAGTGTCCTATTCTTATGCTGAGGAGCCTGAGGTCCCTGTGTGAGGATTAGACAGTGGATTGTTATGTGTGTAGGGGAATCAGCTTAATGTGTCTGTCCATGTCTGAATTTATTGCAGAAATTGAAAAGAAGGGGAAGGGGAAGAAAAGAAGGGGAAGAAGATCAAAGAAGGAAAGAAGAAGGGGAAGAAAAGAAGGGGAAGAAGATCAAAACCCACCATGCCCCAGGTGACTTTCAGCAATTGTGGATGCTTAATTCTGTGTTAACACCTGGAGGCAACAGATTCAGGGAAACCAGAGTGTGTTTGATGACATGTTTTCAGCGAAGGCTGAATTACTCCTACTGTCATTGCTGTTGGTTTTCATTGCAGTAGATGTTTAGGTTTCCATTTCTTCCTCCCCTTATCATTTCCTAACGTACCATAGGTTGACCATACTTCAAAAGCTGTACTCTCATGGCCACTGCATCGAATTTTGAGCATATTTTATGGAAAACTATTGAGCTCACTCTTTTCATGATCACAGTTTGCTGTGTGTCATGAGGGCACTAACTCAGAGTGTCCTTTGACTCCCTTACCAGTATGTCACCTGGCCAATTCACTAGGTCACTTTCTCTCTGTCTCTGTCTCTGTCTCTGTCTCTGTCTCTGTCTGTCTTTCTCTTTCATTGTTTTCTACCTGGCCCTGTTCTATCCCAACATAAAGGCAATAATTTGTTACCTCATTAATGGATCTGTCCTTTTTCTTTTCAAACTCTTCCTTACGTTAGCCATGAAATCTAGCTGGGGCTGTGTGGTTTCTGATTCCCCCTGGCTTATTCTTTACTTTTTCCCACTTTTCCAGGCTCAGCAGGGAGCTGCTGGATGAGAAAGGGCCTGAAGTCTTGCAGGACTCACTGGATAGATGTTATTCAACTCCTTCAGGTTGTCTTGAACTGACTGACTCATGCCAGCCCTACAGAAGTGCCTTTTATGTATTGGAGCAACAGCGTGTTGGCTTGGCTGTTGACATGGATGGTGAGTACCTTTCTATGAAGGTGATAAGGATCCACTGAGTCTTCTGGTTAGGGTCATATTCCTACTGCAAGTGGCCCTTACTGAGCTGAGAGATGTCATTGCCACAGGGAGGAACTATAGGCACATGTAGGTTGAGTGAAACTCTAGTTCCACTTGGAAGCCCAGACAAGGGATGGGTCAGTGAGCAAGGCTCTCTTCCTAGTCTCAGGCCATGCCTGTGGCGCCCTAATCCTACTGTCAAGATGTTGGATCTGGGCAGATGTGACAAATTCACACAACTCTGATTTTGTCTCAATTTTGTAGATCTTGTGGATTTCATCCTTCACTCTAATTTCAGCGTGTAAAATCCTCACTACCATGAACAATCTGAGTATTTGATGAGACAGGGCTGAATAGTGCAGTTTTTCTCTTAGCAGCCATTTGGGGGCATTTGCTTTAAATCGATTGGAAAAATATGGCATAACCATTTGCACAAACTTGGGACAAATGATATTGGGATAACGATCTACCAGAATAGGGAATTTTACCCACAGTTTCTGGGACAAAAACCAAGGAATCTCTATGGTGATCAGCCTTCAGGCCTCCTGAAGACTATCTCTCACAGTGTCCTATTCTCATGCTGAGGAGCCTGAAGTCCCTGTGTGAGGATTAGACAGTGGATTGTTATGTGTGTAGGAGAACCAGCTTAATATGTCTGTCCATGTCTGAACTTATTGCAGAAATTGAAAAGTACAAAGAAGTGGAAGAAGACCAAGACCCATCATGCCCCAGGTAACTTTGAGCAATTATGGATGCTTAATTCTGTGTTGACACCTGGAGATGCCAGGTCCAGGGAAAACAAGAGTGTGTTCAATTTCATGTTTTCAACGAAGGTTGAATTACTCCTACTGACATTGCTGTTGGTTTTCATTGCAGTAGATGTTTAGGTTTCCATTTCTTCCTCCCCTTATCATTTACTCACTTACTATAGGTTGACCATACCTCAAAGGCTGTATGGCAACTGCATGGAATCTTGAGCAAGTTTATGGAAAATTATTGAGCCCACTCTTTTCGTGATCACTGTTCGCTGTGTGTCCCGAGGGCACTAACTCAGAGTGTCCTTTGACCCCTTCATCAGTGTGTCACCCGGCCAATTCGCTGAGCTCACTTTCTCCTCTCTCTCTCTCTCCCTCTCCCTGTCTTTCTCTTTCATTCTTTTCTACCTGGCCCTGGTCTATCCCAACATAAAGGCAATAATTCATTACCTCATTAATGGATCTGTCCTATTTCTTTTTAAACAGTTCCTTATGTTAGCCATGAAATCTAGCTGGGGCTGTGTGGTTTCTGATTCCCCCTGGCTTATTCTTTACTTTTTCCTACTTTTCCAGGCTCAGCAGGGAGCTGCTGGATGAGAAAGAGCCTGAAGTCTTGCAGGACTCACTGGATAGATGTTATTCGACTCCTTCAGGTTATCTTGAACTGCCTGACTTAGGCCAGCCCTACAGCAGTGCTGTTTACTCATTGGAGGAACAGTACCTTGGCTTGGCTCTTGACGTGGACAGTGAGTACCTTACTGTGAAGGTGATAAGCCTCCACCTGGTCTTCCAGATAGGGGTGATATTCCTGTTCCAAGTGCCCCTTACTGACCCGAGAGACGTCATTGCTGCAGGCAGGACCTATGGGCGCATATAGGTTGTAATGAAACTGTAGTCTCAGCTGGAAGCCTAGACATGAAATGGGTCAGTGAGCAAGGCTCTATTCCTAGTCTCCAGCCATGCCTGTGGCAACCTGAGCCCGCTCTCAGCACATTGGACCCAGGCAGATGTAAAAAATTCACAGAAGTATGATTTGGACTCAAGGGTTTGTAGATTTCCTCCTTCATTCTAATTTCAGTGTCTAAAATTCTTGCATCCATGAACGAGCTGGGCATTTGATGAGACAGGGCTGAATACTTTAGTTTTCCTCCTGGAAATCATCTGGGGCATTTTCTTTGAACTGATGGGAACAATAAAGCATAACTGTTTGCACAAACTTGGGATAAATGATTTTGGGATAACGATCTACCAGAATGGGGATATTTCACCCTTGGTTCTGAGATGCAAACCAAAGAATATCATGACCAGCTTTCAGGCCTCCTGAAGTATATCTCTCACATTGTCCTGTTCTCATGCTGAGGAGCCTGAGATCCCTGTGTGGGGATTAGACAGTGGACTGTTATGGGTGTAGGTGAATTGGCTTATTTTGTCTGTCCCTGTCTGAATGTATTGCAGGAATTAAAAAGGACCAAGAAGAGGAAGAAGACCAAGGCCCACCATGCCCCAGGTAACTGAGCAATTGTGAACAGCTACTTCTGTGTTGACATCTGGAGACTCCTGGTTCAGGGAAAACAGAGCGGGCTGACATTATCGATTACATCTTTTCAACCAAGCCTGAATTATTCCTACTAACATTGCTGTTGGTTTTCATTGCAGTAGATATTTAGGTTTCCATTTCTTCCTCCCCTTATCATTTACTAACCTACTGTAGGTGGACCAGACTTCAAAAACTGTATTCTCATGGCGACTGCATGGAAACTTGAGCACATTTTATGGAAAATTATTGAGCACAGTCTTTTCATGATCCCTGTATGCTGTGTGTCCTGAGGGCACTAACTCAGAGTGTCCTGTTACTCCCTCATCAGTGTGTCACCTGGACAATTCACTGAGCTCGTTCTCTCTCTCTCTCTGTGTGTGTGTGTGTGTGTGTGTGTGTGTGTCTATCTGTCTTTCTCTTTCATTCTTTTCCATTTGGCCCTGTTCTGTCCCAACATGAAGGCAATAATTTGTTACCTCATTAATGGATCTATCCTTTTAGTTTTTTAACCACTTCCCTATGCTACCCATGAAACCTAGTTGGGGCTCTGTTGTGTCTGATTTCCCCTGGCTTATTCTTTACTTTTTCCTCCTTTTCCAGGCTCAGCAGGGAGCTGCTGGAGGTAGTAGAGCCTGAAGTCTTGCAGGACTCACTGGATAGATGTTATTCAACTCCTTCCAGTTGTCTTGAACAGCCTGACTCCTGCCAGCCCTATGGAAGTTCCTTTTATGCATTGGAGGAAAAACATGTTGGCTTTTCTCTTGACGTGGGAGGTGAGTACCTTTCTATGAAGGTGATAAGGATCCACTGAGTCTTCCATATAAAGATCATATTCCTGCTCCAAGTGGCCATTACTGAGCTGAGAGATGTCATTGCCACAGGGAGGACCTATAGGCACATGTAGGTTGAATGAAACTCTAGTTCTACCTGGAAGCCCAGACAAGGGATGGGTCAGTGAGCAAGACTCTCTTCCTAGTCTCAGGCCATACCTGTGGTGCCCTGATCCTATTCTCATGACATTGGACCTGGGCAGATGTGACAAATTCAGAGAACTATGATTTTGACTCAAGGGTTTGTAGATTTCCTTTTTCACTCTAATTTCAGTGTCTAAAGTCCTCACAACCATGAACAATCTGAGTATTTGATGAGACAGGGCTAAATATTGCAGTTTTTCTCCTAGAAATCATTTGAGGGTATTTGCTTTAAGTTGATTGGAAAAATATGGCGTAACTGTTTGCACAAACTTGGGACAAATGATATTGGGATAACGATCTACTAGAATAGGGACATTTTACCCACAGTTTCTGGGAGAAAAACCGAGGAATTTCTATCATGACCAGCCTTCAGGCCTCCTGAAATATATCTCTCACAGTGTCCTATTCTTATGCTGAGGAGCCTGAGGTCCCTGTGTGAGGATTAGACAGTGGATTGTTATGTGTGTAGGGGAATCAGCTTAATGTGTCTGTCCATGTCTGAATTTATTGCAGAAATTGAAAAGAAGGGGAAGGGGAAGAAAAGAAGGGGAAGAAGATCAAAGAAGGAAAGAAGAAGGGGAAGAAAAGAAGGGGAAGAAGATCAAAACCCACCATGCCCCAGGTGACTTTCAGCAATTGTGGATGCTTAATTCTGTGTTAACACCTGGAGGCAACAGATTCAGGGAAACCAGAGTGTGTTTGATGACATGTTTTCAGCGAAGGCTGAATTACTCCTACTGTCATTGCTGTTGGTTTTCATTGCAGTAGATGTTTAGGTTTCCATTTCTTCCTCCCCTTATCATTTCCTAACGTACCATAGGTTGACCATACTTCAAAAGCTGTACTCTCATGGCCACTGCATCGAATTTTGAGCATATTTTATGGAAAACTATTGAGCTCACTCTTTTCATGATCACAGTTTGCTGTGTGTCATGAGGGCACTAACTCAGAGTGTCCTTTGACTCCCTTACCAGTATGTCACCTGGCCAATTCACTAGGTCACTTTCTCTCTGTCTCTGTCTCTGTCTCTGTCTCTGTCTGTCTTTCTCTTTCATTGTTTTCTACCTGGCCCTGTTCTATCCCAACATAACGGCAATAATTTGTTACCTCATTAATGGATCTGTCCTTTTTCTTTTCAAACTCTTCCTTACGTTAGCCATGAAATCTAGCTGGGGCTGTGTGGTTTCTGATTCCCCCTGGCTTATTCTTTACTTTTTCCCACTTTTCCAGGCTCAGCAGGGAGCTGCTGGATGAGAAAGGGCCTGAAGTCTTGCAGGACTCACTGGATAGATGTTATTCAACTCCTTCAGGTTGTCTTGAACTGACTGACTCATGCCAGCCCTACAGAAGTGCCTTTTATGTATTGGAGCAACAGCGTGTTGGCTTGGCTGTTGACATGGATGGTGAGTACCTTTCTATGAAGGTGATAAGGATCCACTGAGTCTTCTGGTTAGGGTCATATTCCTACTGCAAGTGGCCCTTACTGAGCTGAGAGATGTCATTGCCACAGGGAGGAACTATAGGCACATGTAGGTTGAGTGAAACTCTAGTTCCACTTGGAAGCCCAGACAAGGGATGGGTCAGTGAGCAAGGCTCTCTTCCTAGTCTCAGGCCATGCCTGTGGCGCCCTAATCCTACTGTCAAGATGTTGGATCTGGGCAGATGTGACAAATTCACACAACTCTGATTTTGTCTCAATTTTGTAGATCTTGTAGATTTCATCCTTCACTCTAATTTCAGCGTGTAAAATCCTCGCTACCATGAACAATCTGAGTATTTGATGAGACAGGGCTGAATAGTGCAGTTTTTCTCTTAGCAGCCATTTGGGGGCATTTGCTTTAAATCGATTGGAAAAATATGGCATAACCATTTGCACAAACTTGGGACAAATGATATTGGGATAACGATCTACCAGAATAGGGAATTTTACCCACAGTTTCTGGGACAAAAACCAAGGAATCTCTATGGTGATCAGCCTTCAGGCCTCCTGAAGACTATCTCTCACAGTGTCCTATTCTCATGCTGAGGAGCCTGAAGTCCCTGTGTGAGGATTAGACAGTGGATTGTTATGTGTGTAGGAGAACCAGCTTAATATGTCTGTCCATGTCTGAACTTATTGCAGAAATTGAAAAGTACAAAGAAGTGGAAGAAGACCAAGACCCATCATGCCCCAGGTAACTTTGAGCAATTATGGATGCTTAATTCTGTGTTGACACCTGGAGATGCCAGGTCCAGGGAAAACAAGAGTGTGTTCAATTTCATGTTTTCAACGAAGGTTGAATTACTCCTACTGACATTGCTGTTGGTTTTCATTGCAGTAGATGTTTAGGTTTCCATTTCTTCCTCCCCTTATCATTTACTCACTTACTATAGGTTGACCATACCTCAAAGGCTGTATGGCAACTGCATGGAATCTTGAGCAAGTTTATGGAAAATTATTGAGCCCACTCTTTTCGTGATCACTGTTCGCTGTGTGTCCCGAGGGCACTAACTCAGAGTGTCCTTTGACCCCTTCATCAGTGTGTCACCCGGCCAATTCGCTGAGCTCACTTTCTCCTCTCTCTCTCTCTCCCTCTCCCTGTCTTTCTCTTTCATTCTTTTCTACCTGGCCCTGGTCTATCCCAACATAAAGGCAATAATTCATTACCTCATTAATGGATCTGTCCTATTTCTTTTTAAACAGTTCCTTATGTTAGCCATGAAATCTAGCTGGGGCTGTGTGGTTTCTGATTCCCCCTGGCTTATTCTTTACTTTTTCCTACTTTTCCAGGCTCAGCAGGGAGCTGCTGGATGAGAAAGAGCCTGAAGTCTTGCAGGACTCACTGGATAGATGTTATTCGACTCCTTCAGGTTATCTTGAACTGCCTGACTTAGGCCAGCCCTACAGCAGTGCTGTTTACTCATTGGAGGAACAGTACCTTGGCTTGGCTCTTGACGTGGACAGTGAGTACCTTACTGTGAAGGTGATAAGCCTCCACCTGGTCTTCCAGATAGGGGTGATATTCCTGTTCCAAGTGCCCCTTACTGACCCGAGAGACGTCATTGCCGCAGGCAGGACCTATGGGCGCATATAGGTTGTAATGAAACTGTAGTCTCAGCTGGAAGCCTAGACATGAAATGGGTCAGTGAGCAAGGCTCTATTCCTAGTCTCCAGCCATGCCTGTGGCAACCTGAGCCCGCTCTCAGCACATTGGACCCAGGCAGATGTAAAAAATTCACAGAAGTATGATTTGGACTCAAGGGTTTGTAGATTTCCTCCTTCATTCTAATTTCAGTGTCTAAAATTCTTGCATCCATGAACGAGCTGGGCATTTGATGAGACAGGGCTGAATACTTTAGTTTTCCTCCTGGAAATCATCTGGGGCATTTTCTTTGAACTGATGGGAGCAATAAAGCATAACTGTTTGCACAAACTTGGGATAAATGATTTTGGGATAACGATCTACCAGAATGGGGATATTTCACCCTTGGTTCTGAGATGCAAACCAAAGAATATCATGACCAGCTTTCAGGCCTCCTGAAGTATATCTCTCACATTGTCCTGTTCTCATGCTGAGGAGCCTGAGATCCCTGTGTGGGGATTAGACAGTGGACTGTTATGGGTGTAGGTGAATTGGCTTATTTTGTCTGTCCCTGTCTGAATGTATTGCAGGAATTAAAAAGGACCAAGAAGAGGAAGAAGACCAAGGCCCACCATGCCCCAGGTAACTGAGCAATTGTGAACAGCTACTTCTGTGTTGACATCTGGAGACTCCTGGTTCAGGGAAAACAGAGCGGGCTGACATTATCGATTACATCTTTTCAACCAAGCCTGAATTATTCCTACTAACATTGCTGTTGGTTTTCATTGCAGTAGATATTTAGGTTTCCATTTCTTCCTCCCCTTATCATTTACTAACCTACTGTAGGTGGACCAGACTTCAAAAACTGTATTCTCATGGCGACTGCATGGAAACTTGAGCACATTTTATGGAAAATTATTGAGCACAGTCTTTTCATGATCCCTGTATGCTGTGTGTCCTGAGGGCACTAACTCAGAGTGTCCTGTTACTCCCTCATCAGTGTGTCACCTGGACAATTCACTGAGCTCGTTCTCTCTCTCTCTCTGTGTGTGTGTGTGTGTGTGTGTGTGTGTGTCTATCTGTCTTTCTCTTTCATTCTTTTCCATTTGGCCCTGTTCTGTCCCAACATGAAGGCAATAATTTGTTACCTCATTAATGGATCTATCCTTTTAGTTTTTTAACCACTTCCCTATGCTACCCATGAAACCTAGTTGGGGCTCTGTTGTGTCTGATTTCCCCTGGCTTATTCTTTACTTTTTCCTCCTTTTCCAGGCTCAGCAGGGAGCTGCTGGAGGTAGTAGAGCCTGAAGTCTTGCAGGACTCACTGGATAGATGTTATTCAACTCCTTCCAGTTGTCTTGAACAGCCTGACTCCTGCCAGCCCTATGGAAGTTCCTTTTATGCATTGGAGGAAAAACATGTTGGCTTTTCTCTTGACGTGGGAGGTGAGTACCTTTCTATGAAGGTGATAAGGATCCACTGAGTCTTCCATATAAAGATCATATTCCTGCTCCAAGTGGCCATTACTGAGCTGAGAGATGTCATTGCCACAGGGAGGACCTATAGGCACATGTAGGTTGAATGAAACTCTAGTTCTACCTGGAAGCCCAGACAAGGGATGGGTCAGTGAGCAAGACTCTCTTCCTAGTCTCAGGCCATACCTGTGGCGCCCTGATCCTATTCTCATGACATTGGACCTGGGCAGATGTGACAAATTCAGAGAACTATGATTTTGACTCAAGGGTTTGTAGATTTCCTTTTTCACTCTAATTTCAGTGTCTAAAGTCCTCACAACCATGAACAATCTGAGTATTTGATGAGACAGGGCTAAATATTGCAGTTTTTCTCCTAGAAATCATTTGAGGGTATTTGCTTTAAGTTGATTGGAAAAATATGGCGTAACTGTTTGCACAAACTTGGGACAAATGATATTGGGATAACGATCTACTAGAATAGGGACATTTTACCCACAGTTTCTGGGAGAAAAACCGAGGAATTTCTATCATGACCAGCCTTCAGGCCTCCTGAAATATATCTCTCACAGTGTCCTATTCTTATGCTGAGGAGCCTGAGGTCCCTGTGTGAGGATTAGACAGTGGATTGTTATGTGTGTAGGGGAATCAGCTTAATGTGTCTGTCCATGTCTGAATTTATTGCAGAAATTGAAAAGAAGGGGAAGGGGAAGAAAAGAAGGGGAAGAAGATCAAAGAAGGAAAGAAGAAGGGGAAGAAAAGAAGGGGAAGAAGATCAAAACCCACCATGCCCCAGGTGACTTTCAGCAATTGTGGATGCTTAATTCTGTGTTAACACCTGGAGGCAACAGATTCAGGGAAACCAGAGTGTGTTTGATGACATGTTTTCAGCGAAGGCTGAATTACTCCTACTGTCATTGCTGTTGGTTTTCATTGCAGTAGATGTTTAGGTTTCCATTTCTTCCTCCCCTTATCATTTCCTAACGTACCATAGGTTGACCATACTTCAAAAGCTGTACTCTCATGGCCACTGCATCGAATTTTGAGCATATTTTATGGAAAACTATTGAGCTCACTCTTTTCATGATCACAGTTTGCTGTGTGTCATGAGGGCACTAACTCAGAGTGTCCTTTGACTCCCTTACCAGTATGTCACCTGGCCAATTCACTAGGTCACTTTCTCTCTGTCTCTGTCTCTGTCTCTGTCTCTGTCTGTCTTTCTCTTTCATTGTTTTCTACCTGGCCCTGTTCTATCCCAACATAAAGGCAATAATTTGTTACCTCATTAATGGATCTGTCCTTTTTCTTTTCAAACTCTTCCTTACGTTAGCCATGAAATCTAGCTGGGGCTGTGTGGTTTCTGATTCCCCCTGGCTTATTCTTTACTTTTTCCCACTTTTCCAGGCTCAGCAGGGAGCTGCTGGATGAGAAAGGGCCTGAAGTCTTGCAGGACTCACTGGATAGATGTTATTCAACTCCTTCAGGTTGTCTTGAACTGACTGACTCATGCCAGCCCTACAGAAGTGCCTTTTATGTATTGGAGCAACAGCGTGTTGGCTTGGCTGTTGACATGGATGGTGAGTACCTTTCTATGAAGGTGATAAGGATCCACTGAGTCTTCTGGTTAGGGTCATATTCCTACTGCAAGTGGCCCTTACTGAGCTGAGAGATGTCATTGCCACAGGGAGGAACTATAGGCACATGTAGGTTGAGTGAAACTCTAGTTCCACTTGGAAGCCCAGACAAGGGATGGGTCAGTGAGCAAGGCTCTCTTCGTAGTCTCAGGCCATGCCTGTGGCGCCCTAATCCTACTGTCAAGATGTTGGATCTGGGCAGATGTGACAAATTCACACAACTCTGATTTTGTCTCAATTTTGTAGATCTTGTAGATTTCATCCTTCACTCTAATTTCAGCGTGTAAAATCCTCACTACCATGAACAATCTGAGTATTTGATGAGACAGGGCTGAATAGTGCAGTTTTTCTCTTAGCAGCCATTTGGGGGCATTTGCTTTAAATCGATTGGAAAAATATGGCATAACCATTTGCACAAACTTGGGACAAATGATATTGGGATAACGATCTACCAGAATAGGGAATTTTACCCACAGTTTCTGGGACAAAAACCAAGGAATCTCTATGGTGATCAGCCTTCAGGCCTCCTGAAGACTATCTCTCACAGTGTCCTATTCTCATGCTGAGGAGCCTGAAGTCCCTGTGTGAGGATTAGACAGTGGATTGTTATGTGTGTAGGAGAACCAGCTTAATATGTCTGTCCATGTCTGAACTTATTGCAGAAATTGAAAAGTACAAAGAAGTGGAAGAAGACCAAGACCCATCATGCCCCAGGTAACTTTGAGCAATTATGGATGCTTAATTCTGTGTTGACACCTGGAGATGCCAGGTCCAGGGAAAACAAGAGTGTGTTCAATTTCATGTTTTCAACGAAGGTTGAATTACTCCTACTGACATTGCTGTTGGTTTTCATTGCAGTAGATGTTTAGGTTTCCATTTCTTCCTCCCCTTATCATTTACTCACTTACTATAGGTTGACCATACCTCAAAGGCTGTATGGCAACTGCATGGAATCTTGAGCAAGTTTATGGAAAATTATTGAGCCCACTCTTTTCGTGATCACTGTTCGCTGTGTGTCCCGAGGGCACTAACTCAGAGTGTCCTTTGACCCCTTCATCAGTGTGTCACCCGGCCAATTCGCTGAGCTCACTTTCTCCTCTCTCTCTCTCTCCCTCTCCCTGTCTTTCTCTTTCATTCTTTTCTACCTGGCCCTGGTCTATCCCAACATAAAGGCAATAATTCATTACCTCATTAATGGATCTGTCCTATTTCTTTTTAAACAGTTCCTTATGTTAGCCATGAAATCTAGCTGGGGCTGTGTGGTTTCTGATTCCCCCTGGCTTATTCTTTACTTTTTCCTACTTTTCCAGGCTCAGCAGGGAGCTGCTGGATGAGAAAGAGCCTGAAGTCTTGCAGGACTCACTGGATAGATGTTATTCGACTCCTTCAGGTTATCTTGAACTGCCTGACTTAGGCCAGCCCTACAGCAGTGCTGTTTACTCATTGGAGGAACAGTACCTTGGCTTGGCTCTTGACGTGGACAGTGAGTACCTTACTGTGAAGGTGATAAGCCTCCACCTGGTCTTCCAGATAGGGGTGATATTCCTGTTCCAAGTGCCCCTTACTGACCCGAGAGACGTCATTGCCGCAGGCAGGACCTATGGGCGCATATAGGTTGTAATGAAACTGTAGTCTCAGTTGGAAGCCTAGACATGAAATGGGTCAGTGAGCAAGGCTCTATTCCTAGTCTCCAGCCATGCCTGTGGCAACCTGAGCCCGCTCTCAGCACATTGGACCCAGGCAGATGTAAAAAATTCACAGAAGTATGATTTGGACTCAAGGGTTTGTAGATTTCCTCCTTCATTCTAATTTCAGTGTCTAAAATTCTTGCATCCATGAACGAGCTGGGCATTTGATGAGACAGGGCTGAATACTTTAGTTTTCCTCCTGGAAATCATCTGGGGCATTTTCTTTGAACTGATGGGAGCAATAAAGCATAACTGTTTGCACAAACTTGGGATAAATGATTTTGGGATAACGATCTACCAGAATGGGGATATTTCACCCTTGGTTCTGAGATGCAAACCAAAGAATATCATGACCAGCTTTCAGGCCTCCTGAAGTATATCTCTCACATTGTCCTGTTCTCATGCTGAGGAGCCTGAGATCCCTGTGTGGGGATTAGACAGTGGACTGTTATGGGTGTAGGTGAATTGGCTTATTTTGTCTGTCCCTGTCTGAATGTATTGCAGGAATTAAAAAGGACCAAGAAGAGGAAGAAGACCAAGGCCCACCATGCCCCAGGTAACTGAGCAATTGTGAACAGCTACTTCTGTGTTGACATCTGGAGACTCCTGGTTCAGGGAAAACAGAGCGGGCTGACATTATCGATTACATCTTTTCAACCAAGCCTGAATTATTCCTACTAACATTGCTGTTGGTTTTCATTGCAGTAGATATTTAGGTTTCCATTTCTTCCTCCCCTTATCATTTACTAACCTACTGTAGGTGGACCAGACTTCAAAAACTGTATTCTCATGGCGACTGCATGGAAACTTGAGCACATTTTATGGAAAATTATTGAGCACAGTCTTTTCATGATCCCTGTATGCTGTGTGTCCTGAGGGCACTAACTCAGAGTGTCCTGTTACTCCCTCATCAGTGTGTCACCTGGACAATTCACTGAGCTCGTTCTCTCTCTCTCTGTGTGTGTGTGTGTGTGTGTGTGTGTGTGTGTGTGTGTCTATCTGTCTTTCTCTTTCATTCTTTTCCATTTGGCCCTGTTCTGTCCCAACATGAAGGCAATAATTTGTTACCTCATTAATGGATCTATCCTTTTAGTTTTTTAACCACTTCCCTATGCTACCCATGAAACCTAGTTGGGGCTCTGTTGTGTCTGATTTCCCCTGGCTTATTCTTTACTTTTTCCTCCTTTTCCAGGCTCAGCAGGGAGCTGCTGGAGGTAGTAGAGCCTGAAGTCTTGCAGGACTCACTGGATAGATGTTATTCAACTCCTTCCAGTTGTCTTGAACAGCCTGACTCCTGCCAGCCCTATGGAAGTTCCTTTTATGCATTGGAGGAAAAACATGTTGGCTTTTCTCTTGATGTGGGAGGTGAGTACCTTTCTATGAAGGTGATAAGGATCCACTGAGTCTTCCATATAAAGATCATATTCCTGCTCCAAGTGGCCATTACTGAGCTGAGAGATGTCATTGCCACAGGGAGGACCTATAGGCACATGTAGGTTGAATGAAACTCTAGTTCTACCTGGAAGCCCAGACAAGGGATGGGTCAGTGAGCAAGACTCTCTTCCTAGTCTCAGGCCATACCTGTGGCGCCCTGATCCTATTCTCATGACATTGGACCTGGGCAGATGTGACAAATTCAGAGAACTATGATTTTGACTCAAGGGTTTGTAGATTTCCTTTTTCACTCTAATTTCAGTGTCTAAAGTCCTCACAACCATGAACAATCTGCGTATTTGTTGAGACAGGGCTAAATATTGCAGTTTTTCTCCTAGAAATCATTTGAGGGTATATGCTTTAAGTTGATTGGAAAAATATGGCGTAACTGTTTGCACAAACTTGGGACAAATGATATTGGGATAACGATCTACTAGAATAGGGACATTTTACCCACAGTTTCTGGGAGAAAAACCGAGGAATTTCTATCATAACCAGCCTTCAGGCCTCCTGAAATATATCTCTCACAGTGTCCTATTCTTATGCTGAGGAGCCTGAGGTCCCTGTGTGAGGATTAGACAGTGGATTGTTATGTGTGTAGGGGAATCAGCTTAATGTGTCTGTCCATGTCTGAATTTATTGCAGAAATTGAAAAGAAGGGGAAGGGGAAGAAAAGAAGGGGAAGAAGATCAAAGAAGGAAAGAAGAAGGGGAAGAAAAGAAGGGGAAGAAGATCAAAACCCACCATGCCCCAGGTGACTTTCAGCAATTGTGGATGCTTAATTCTGTGTTAACACCTGGAGGCAACAGATTCAGGGAAACCAGAGTGTGTTTGATGACATGTTTTCAGCGAAGGCTGAATTACTCCTACTGTCATTGCTGTTGGTTTTCATTGCAGTAGATGTTTAGGTTTCCATTTCTTCCTCCCCTTATCATTTCCTAACGTACCATAGGTTGACCATACTTCAAAAGCTGTACTCTCATGGCCACTGCATCGAATTTTGAGCATATTTTATGGAAAACTATTGAGCTCACTCTTTTCATGATCACAGTTTGCTGTGTGTCATGAGGGCACTAACTCAGAGTGTCCTTTGACTCCCTTACCAGTATGTCACCTGGCCAATTCACTAGGTCACTTTCTCTCTGTCTCTGTCTCTGTCTCTGTCTCTGTCTGTCTTTCTCTTTCATTGTTTTCTACCTGGCCCTGTTCTATCCCAACATAAAGGCAATAATTTGTTACCTCATTAATGGATCTGTCCTTTTTCTTTTCAAACTCTTCCTTACGTTAGCCATGAAATCTAGCTGGGGCTGTGTGGTTTCTGATTCCCCCTGGCTTATTCTTTACTTTTTCCCACTTTTCCAGGCTCAGCAGGGAGCTGCTGGATGAGAAAGGGCCTGAAGTCTTGCAGGACTCACTGGATAGATGTTATTCAACTCCTTCAGGTTGTCTTGAACTGACTGACTCATGCCAGCCCTACAGAAGTGCCTTTTATGTATTGGAGCAACAGCGTGTTGGCTTGGCTGTTGACATGGATGGTGAGTACCTTTCTATGAAGGTGATAAGGATCCACTGAGTCTTCTGGTTAGGGTCATATTCCTACTGCAAGTGGCCCTTACTGAGCTGAGAGATGTCATTGCCACAGGGAGGAACTATAGGCACATGTAGGTTGAGTGAAACTCTAGTTCCACTTGGAAGCCCAGACAAGGGATGGGTCAGTGAGCAAGGCTCTCTTCGTAGTCTCAGGCCATGCCTGTGGCGCCCTAATCCTACTGTCAAGATGTTGGATCTGGGCAGATGTGACAAATTCACACAACTCTGATTTTGTCTCAATTTTGTAGATCTTGTAGATTTCATCCTTCACTCTAATTTCAGCGTGTAAAATCCTCACTACCATGAACAATCTGAGTATTTGATGAGACAGGGCTGAATAGTGCAGTTTTTCTCTTAGCAGCCATTTGGGGGCATTTGCTTTAAATCGATTGGAAAAATATGGCATAACCATTTGCACAAACTTGGGACAAATGATATTGGGATAACGATCTACCAGAATAGGGAATTTTACCCACAGTTTCTGGGACAAAAACCAAGGAATCTCTATGGTGATCAGCCTTCAGGCCTCCTGAAGACTATCTCTCACAGTGTCCTATTCTCATGCTGAGGAGCCTGAAGTCCCTGTGTGAGGATTAGACAGTGGATTGTTATGTGTGTAGGAGAACCAGCTTAATATGTCTGTCCATGTCTGAACTTATTGCAGAAATTGAAAAGTACAAAGAAGTGGAAGAAGACCAAGACCCATCATGCCCCAGGTAACTTTGAGCAATTATGGATGCTTAATTCTGTGTTGACACCTGGAGATGCCAGGTCCAGGGAAAACAAGAGTGTGTTCAATTTCATGTTTTCAACGAAGGTTGAATTACTCCTACTGACATTGCTGTTGGTTTTCATTGCAGTAGATGTTTAGGTTTCCATTTCTTCCTCCCCTTATCATTTACTCACTTACTATAGGTTGACCATACCTCAAAGGCTGTATGGCAACTGCATGGAATCTTGAGCAAGTTTATGGAAAATTATTGAGCCCACTCTTTTCGTGATCACTGTTCGCTGTGTGTCCCGAGGGCACTAACTCAGAGTGTCCTTTGACCCCTTCATCAGTGTGTCACCCGGCCAATTCGCTGAGCTCACTTTCTCCTCTCTCTCTCTCTCCCTCTCCCTGTCTTTCTCTTTCATTCTTTTCTACCTGGCCCTGGTCTATCCCAACATAAAGGCAATAATTCATTACCTCATTAATGGATCTGTCCTATTTCTTTTTAAACAGTTCCTTATGTTAGCCATGAAATCTAGCTGGGGCTGTGTGGTTTCTGATTCCCCCTGGCTTATTCTTTACTTTTTCCTACTTTTCCAGGCTCAGCAGGGAGCTGCTGGATGAGAAAGAGCCTGAAGTCTTGCAGGACTCACTGGATAGATGTTATTCGACTCCTTCAGGTTATCTTGAACTGCCTGACTTAGGCCAGCCCTACAGCAGTGCTGTTTACTCATTGGAGGAACAGTACCTTGGCTTGGCTCTTGACGTGGACAGTGAGTACCTTACTGTGAAGGTGATAAGCCTCCACCTGGTCTTCCAGATAGGGGTGATATTCCTGTTCCAAGTGCCCCTTACTGACCCGAGAGACGTCATTGCCGCAGTCAGGACCTATGGGCGCATATAGGTTGTAAAGAAACTGTAGTCTCAGTTGGAAGCCTAGACATGAAATGGGTCAGTGAGCAAGGCTCTATTCCTAGTCTCCAGCCATGCCTGTGGCAACCTGAGCCCGCTCTCAGCACATTGGACCCAGGCAGATGTAAAAAATTCACAGAAGTATGATTTGGACTCAAGGGTTTGTAGATTTCCTCCTTCATTCTAATTTCAGTGTCTAAAATTCTTGCATCCATGAACGAGCTGGGCATTTGATGAGACAGGGCTGAATACTTTAGTTTTCCTCCTGGAAATCATCTGGGGCATTTTCTTTGAACTGATGGGAACAATAAAGCATAACTGTTTGCACAAACTTGGGATAAATGATTTTGGGATAACGATCTACCAGAATGGGGATATTTCACCCTTGGTTCTGAGATGCAAACCAAAGAATATCATGACCAGCTTTCAGGCCTCCTGAAGTATATCTCTCACATTGTCCTGTTCTCATGCTGAGGAGCCTGAGATCCCTGTGTGGGGATTAGACAGTGGACTGTTATGGGTGTAGGTGAATTGGCTTATTTTGTCTGTCCCTGTCTGAATGTATTGCAGGAATTAAAAAGGACCAAGAAGAGGAAGAAGACCAAGGCCCACCATGCCCCAGGTAACTGAGCAATTGTGAACAGCTACTTCTGTGTTGACATCTGGAGACTCCTGGTTCAGGGAAAACAGAGCGGGCTGACATTATCGATTACATCTTTTCAACCAAGCCTGAATTATTCCTACTAACATTGCTGTTGGTTTTCATTGCAGTAGATATTTAGGTTTCCATTTCTTCCTCCCCTTATCATTTACTAACCTACTGTAGGTGGACCAGACTTCAAAAACTGTATTCTCATGGCGACTGCATGGAAACTTGAGCACATTTTATGGAAAATTATTGAGCACAGTCTTTTCATGATCCCTGTATGCTGTGTGTCCTGAGGGCACTAACTCAGAGTGTCCTGTTACTCCCTCATCAGTGTGTCACCTGGACAATTCACTGAGCTCGTTCTCTCTCTCTCTGTGTGTGTGTGTGTGTGTGTGTGTGTGTGTGTGTGTGTGTGTGTCTATCTGTCTTTCTCTTTCATTCTTTTCCATTTGGCCCTGTTCTGTCCCAACATGAAGGCAATAATTTGTTACCTCATTAATGGATCTATCCTTTTAGTTTTTTAACCACTTCCCTATGCTACCCATGAAACCTAGTTGGGGCTCTGTTGTGTCTGATTTCCCCTGGCTTATTCTTTACTTTTTCCTCCTTTTCCAGGCTCAGCAGGGAGCTCCTGGAGGTAGTAGAGCCTGAAGTCTTGCAGGACTCACTGGATAGATGTTATTCAACTCCTTCCAGTTGTCTTGAACAGCCTGACTCCTGCCAGCCCTATGGAAGTTCCTTTTATGCATTGGAGGAAAAACATGTTGGCTTTTCTCTTGACGTGGGAGGTGAGTACCTTTCTATGAAGGTGATAAGGATCCACTGAGTCTTCCATATAAAGATCATATTCCTGCTCCAAGTGGCCATTACTGAGCTGAGAGATGTCATTGCCACAGGGAGGACCTATAGGCACATGTAGGTTGAATGAAACTCTAGTTCTACCTGGAAGCCCAGACAAGGGATGGGTCAGTGAGCAAGACTCTCTTCCTAGTCTCAGGCCATACCTGTGGCGCCCTGATCCTATTCTCATGACATTGGACCTGGGCAGATGTGACAAATTCAGAGAACTATGATTTTGACTCAAGGGTTTGTAGATTTCCTTTTTCACTCTAATTTCAGTGTCTAAAGTCCTCACAACCATGAACAATCTGAGTATTTGATGAGACAGGGCTAAATATTGCAGTTTTTCTCCTAGAAATCATTTGAGGGTATTTGCTTTAAGTTGATTGGAAAAATATGGCGTAACTGTTTGCACAAACTTGGGACAAATGATATTGGGATAACGATCTACTAGAATAGGGACATTTTACCCACAGTTTCTGGGAGAAAAACCGAGGAATTTCTATCATGACCAGCCTTCAGGCCTCCTGAAATATATCTCTCACAGTGTCCTATTCTTATGCTGAGGAGCCTGAGGTCCCTGTGTGAGGATTAGACAGTGGATTGTTATGTGTGTAGGGGAATCAGCTTAATGTGTCTGTCCATGTCTGAATTTATTGCAGAAATTGAAAAGAAGGGGAAGGGGAAGAAAAGAAGGGGAAGAAGATCAAAGAAGGAAAGAAGAAGGGGAAGAAAAGAAGGGGAAGAAGATCAAAACCCACCATGCCCCAGGTGACTTTCAGCAATTGTGGATGCTTAATTCTGTGTTAACACCTGGAGGCAACAGATTCAGGGAAACCAGAGTGTGTTTGATGACATGTTTTCAGCGAAGGCTGAATTACTCCTACTGTCATTGCTGTTGGTTTTCATTGCAGTAGATGTTTAGGTTTCCATTTCTTCCTCCCCTTATCATTTCCTAACGTACCATAGGTTGACCATACTTCAAAAGCTGTACTCTCATGGCCACTGCATCGAATTTTGAGCATAGTTTATGGAAAACTATTGAGCTCACTCTTTTCATGATCACAGTTTGCTGTGTGTCATGAGGGCACTAACTCAGAGTGTCCTTTGACTCCCTTACCAGTATGTCACCTGGCCAATTCACTAGGTCACTTTCTCTCTGTCTCTGTCTCTGTCTCTGTCTCTGTCTCTGTCTGTCTTTCTCTTTCATTGTTTTCTACCTGGCCCTGTTCTATCCCAACATAAAGGCAATAATTTGTTACCTCATTAATGGATCTGTCCTTTTTCTTTTCAAACTCTTCCTTACGTTAGCCATGAAATCTAGCTGGGGCTGTGTGGTTTCTGATTCCCCCTGGCTTATTCTTTACTTTTTCCCACTTTTCCAGGCTCAGCAGGGAGCTGCTGGATGAGAAAGGGCCTGAAGTCTTGCAGGACTCACTGGATAGATGTTATTCAACTCCTTCAGGTTGTCTTGAACTGACTGACTCATGCCAGCCCTACAGAAGTGCCTTTTATGTATTGGAGCAACAGCGTGTTGGCTTGGCTGTTGACATGGATGGTGAGTACCTTTCTATGAAGGTGATAAGGATCCACTGAGTCTTCTGGTTAGGGTCATATTCCTACTGCAAGTGGCCCTTACTGAGCTGAGAGATGTCATTGCCACAGGGAGGACCTATAGGCACATGTAGGTTGAGTGAAACTCTAGTTCCACTTGGAAGCCCAGACAAGGGATGGGTCAGTGAGCAAGGCTCTCTTCCTAGTCTCAGGCCATGCCTGTGGCGCCCTAATCCTACTCTCAAGATGTTGGATCTGGGCAGATGTGACAAATTCACACAACTCTGATTTTGTCTCAATTTTGTAGATCTTGTAGATTTCATCCTTCACTCTAATTTCAGCGTCTAAAATCCTCGCTACCATGAACAATCTGAGTATTTGATGAGACAGGGCTGAATAGTGCAGTTTTTCTCCTAGCAGCCATTTGGGGGCATTTGCTTTAAATCGATTGGAAAAATATGGCATAACCATTTGCACAAACTTGGGACAAATGATATTGGGATAACGATCTACCAGAATAGGGAATTTTACCCACAGTTTCTGGGACAAAAACCAAGGAATCTCTATGGTGATCAGCCTTCAGGCCTCCTGAAGACTATCTCTCACAGTGTCCTATTCTCATGCTGAGGAGCCTGAAGTCCCTGTGTGAGGATTAGACAGTGGATTGTTATGTGTGTAGGAGAACCAGCTTAATATGTCTGTCCATGTCTGAACTTATTGCAGAAATTGAAAAGTACCAAGAAGTGGAAGAAGACCAAGACCCATCATGCCCCAGGTAACTTTGAGCAATTATGGATGCTTAATTCTGTGTTGACACCTGGAGATGCCAGGTCCAGGGAAAACAAGAGTGTGTTCAATTTCATGTTTTCAGCGAAGGTTGAATTACTCCTACTGACATTGCTGTTGGTTTTCATTGCAGTAGATGTTTAGGTTTCCATTTCTTCCTCCCCTTATCATTTACTCACTTACTGTAGGTTGACCATACCTCAAAGGCTGTATGGCAACTGTATGGAATCTTGAGCAAGTTTATGGAAAATTATTGAGCCCCCTCTTTTCATGATCACTGTTCGCTGTGTGTCCCGAGGGCACTAACTCAGAGTGTCCTTTGACCCCTTCATCAGTGTGTCACCCGGCCAATTCGCTGAGCTCACTTTCTCCTCTCTCTCTCTCTCCCTCTCCCTGTCTTTCTCTTTCATTCTTTTCTACCTGGCCCTGGTCTATCCCAACATAAAGGCAATAATTCGTTACCTCATTAATGGATCTGTCCTTTTTCTTTTTAAACTGTTCCTTATGTTAGCCATGAAATCTAGCTGGGGCTGTGTGGTTTCTGATTCCCCCTGGCTTATTCTTTACTTTTTCCTACTTTTCCAGGCTCAGCAGGGAGCTGCTGGATGAGAAAGATCCTGAAGTCTTGCAGGACTCACTGGATAGATGTTATTCGACTCCTTCAGGTTATCTTGAACTGCCTGACTTAGGCCAGCCCTACAGCAGTGCTGTTTACTCATTGGAGGAACAGTACCTTGGCTTGGCTCTTGACGTGGACAGTGAGTACCTTACTATGAAGGTGATAAGCCTCCACCTGGTCTTCCAGATAGGGGTGATATTCCTATTCCAAGTGGCCCTTACTCACCCGAGAGATGTCATTGCCGCAGGCAGGACCTATGGGCGCATATAGGTTGTAATGAAACTGTAGTCTCAGCTGGAAGCCTAGACATGAAATGGGTCAGTGAGCAAGACTCTCTTCCTAGTCTCAGGCCATACCTGTGGCGCCCTGATCCTATTCTCATGACATTGGACCTGGGCAGATGTGACAAATTCAGAGAACTGTGATTTTGACTCAAGGGTTTGTAGATTTCCTTTTTCACTCTAATTTCAGTGTCTGGAGTCCTCACTACCATGAACAATCTGAGTATTTGATGAGACAGGGCTAAATATTGCAGTTTTTCTCCTAGAAATCATTGAGGGTATTTGCTTTACGTTGATTGGAAAAATATGGCGTAACTGTTTGCAGAAACTTGGGACAAATGATATTGGGATAACGATCTACTAGAATAGGGACATTTTACCCACAGTTTCTGGGAGAAAAACCGAGGAATTTCTATCATGACCAGCCTTCAGGCCTCCTGAAATATATCTCTCACAGTGTCCTATTCTTATGCTGAGGAGCCTGAGGTCCCTGTGTGAGGATTAGACAGTGGATTGTTATGTGTGTAGGGGAATCAGCTTAATGTGTCTGTCCATGTCTGAATTTATTGCAGAAATTGAAAAGAAGGGGAAGGGGAAAAAAAGAAGGGGAAGAAGATCAAAGAAGGAAAGAAGAAGGGGAAGAAAAGAAGGGGAAGAAGATCAAAACCCACCATGCCCCAGGTGACTTTCAGCAATTGTGGATCCTTAGTTCTGTGTTAACTCCTGGAGGCAACAGATTCAGGGAAACCAGAGTGTGTTTGATGTCATATTTTCAACAAAGGCTGAATTACTCCTACTGTCATTGCTGTTGGTTTTCATTGCAGTAGATGTTTAGGTTTCCATTTCTTCCTCCCCTTATCATTTCCTAACGTACCATAGGTTGACCATACTTCAAAAGCTGTACTCTCATGGCCACTGCATCGAATTTTGAGCATATTTTATGGAAAACTATTGAGCTCACTCTTTTCATGATCACAGTTTGCTGTGTGTCATGAGGGCACTAACTCAGAGTGTCCTTTGACTCCCTTACCAGTATGTCACCTGGCCAATTCACTAGGTCACTTTCTCTCTGTCTCTGTCTCTGTCTCTCTCTCTCTGTCTTTCTCTTTCATTGTTTTCTACCTGGCCCTGTTCTATCCCAACATAAAGGCAATAAATTTTTTTTTTACCTCATTAATGGTTCTATCCTTTTTCTTTTCTAACCACTTCCTTATGTTGCTTCTGAAATCTAGCTGGGGCTCTGTGGTGTCTGATTTTCCCTGGCTGCTTCTTTAGTTTTGTCTCCTTTTCCAGGCTCAACGGCGTGCTGATGGAAGTGGAAGAGCGTGAAGTCTTACAGGACTCACTGGATAGATGTTATTCGACTCCGTCAATGTACTTTGAACTACCTGACTCATTCCAGCACTACAGAAGTGTGTTTTACTCATTTGAGGAACAGCACATCAGCTTCGCCCTTTACGTGGACAATAGGTTTTTTACTTTGACGGTGACAAGTCTCCACCTGGTGTTCCAGATGGGAGTCATATTCCCACAATAAGCAGCCCTTAGTAATCCGAGAGATGTCATTCCTGCAGGCAGGACCTATAGGCAAGTGAAGATTTGAATGAAAGTACAGTTCCATTTGGAAGCCCAGACATAGGATGGGTCAGTGGGCATGGCTCTATTCCTATTCTCAAACCATGCCAGTGGAAACCTGTGCGCAGTCTGAAGACAATGGACCCACGTTAGGTGTGACACGTTCACATAACTGTGCAGCACATGCCGGGAGTGATCAGTCAGACATTTTAATTTGAACCACGTATCTCTGGGTAGCTACAAAATTCCTCAGGGATTTCATTTTGCAGGCATGTCTCTGAGCTTCTATACCTGCTCAAGGTCATTGTCATCTTTGTGTTTAGCTCATCCAAAGGTGTTACCCTGGTTTCAATGAACCTAACCTCATTCTTTGTGTCTTCAGTGTTGGCTTGTTTTAGCTGATCCATCTGTAACACAGGAGGGATCCTTGGCTGAGGATTGTATTTCAGAACCACCAACTGCTCTTGACAATTGTTAACCCGCTAGACTCCTTTGGTTAGAGAAGCCACAGTCCTTCAGCCTCCAATTGGTGTCAGTACTTAGGAAGACCACAGCTAGATGGACAAACAGCATTGGGAGGCCTTAGCCCTGCTCCTCTCTATTCCATCCTGTAGAGGTCAGGAGTCAGGAGTCGCTGGCAGGAGACAGCATGTCACCCAGGACTCTGCCGGTGCAGAATATGAACAATGCCATGTTCTTGCAGAAAACGCTTAGCCTGAGTTTCATAGGAGGTAATCACCAGACAACTGCAGAATGTAGAACACTGAGCAGGA
Source organism: Homo sapiens (assembly GCF_000001405.40). Taxonomy (NCBI): domain Eukaryota; kingdom Metazoa; phylum Chordata; class Mammalia; order Primates; family Hominidae; genus Homo; species Homo sapiens. Next base: position 148,532,193 of record NC_000001.11, on the reverse strand, counting down.
CAACTGACCTGTCTCCTTCACATAGTCCATATCACCACAAATCACACAACAAAAAGGAGAAGAGATATTTTGGGTTCAAAAAAAGTAAAAAGATAATGTAGCTGCATTTCTTTAGTTATTTTGAACCCCAAATATTTCCTCATCTTTTTGTTGTTGTCATGGATGGTGGTGACATGGACTTGTTTATAGAAGACAGGTCAGCTGTCTGGCTCAATGATCTACATTCTGAAGTTGTCTGAAAATGTCTTCATGATTAAATTCAGCCTAAACGTTTTGCCAGGAACACTGCAGAGACAATGCTGTGAGTTTCCAACCTCAGCCCATCTGCGGGCAGAGAAGGTCTAGTTTGTCCATCACCATTATGATATCAGGACTGGTTACTTGGTTAAGGAGGGGTCTAGGAGATCTGTCCCTTTTAGAGACACCTTACTTACAATGAAGTACTTGGGAAAGTGGTTTTCAAGAGTATAAATATCCTGTATTCTAATGATCATCCTCTAAACATTTTATCATTTATTAATCCTCCCTGCCTGTGTCTATTATTATATTCATATCTCTACACTGCAAATTTGGGGTCTCAATTTTTACTGTGCCTTTGTTTTTACTAGTGTCTGCTGTTGCAAAAAGAAGACATTCTCTGCCTGAGTTTTAATTTTTGTCCAAAGTTAATTTTAATCTATACAATTAAAACCTTTTGCCTATCACTCTGGACTTTTGGATTGTTTTTTACATTCAGTGTTATAATATTTGATTATGGTGATTGGTTTTGGTGGGTACTGATGCGAATTAATAAAAACATTTCATTTCCATGTTTATTTTCTAATCTCTTCCACATTGTAGGCTATGTTTACCATATGTAGCAGAATGTATTTACATTTCTTGGTTCTAGTCATTTGTATTCTTCGTGAGTGTGTGTGTGTGTGTGTGTCTGTGTGTGTGTCTGTGTGTGCCTTTGGCATTTAGGAAGGGTTGTATAGCTCATGTTAAATATTGCACTAAAAATGTTTTTGATGGTTTTCCTCCCTTTGGACTAGACACACTTCTAATATTTGGTTTATAGTTTTAAATTATAACTTTCAGCATCAAATATTTCCATACAACAGTCAATTACATGATGTGTTTTCTTTTTCCTACCTCCTTTACCTGCCACTTCTCATAATAGTATTTGAACCTAAACATATACCGGTGACATTCTGTGATTATCATCTTGCCCCTACCTTGGTTTTGGTTTTTGGTGCAGTTCCAGGCTCTTGGTGTCTTTGTTTGGGACACCAAGAGCCTGGAACTGCACGGCACCAGCTGGTAAGAATTAGGCTTTTTTGGCCTGGTGCGGTGGCTTATGCCTGTAATCCCAGCACTTTGCGAGGCCAAGGCGGGCGGATCACGAGGTCAGGAAATCGAGACCGTCCTGGCTAACACGGTAAAACCCCATCTCTACTAAAAATAAAAAAAATTAGCCGGGCGTGGTGGCGGGCACCTGTAGTCCCAGCTACTCGGGAGGCTGAGGCAGGAGAATGGCCTGAACCCGGGAGGCGGAGCTTGCAGTGAGCCGAGATCGCGCCACTGCACTCCAGCCTGGGCGACAGAGAGAGACTCCGTCTCAAAAAAAAAAAAAAAAAAAAAAAAAGGCTTTTTTTTTCCCTAAGGGTTAACAACAAACCAGCCCTATGGAAAGACTTGCTTCACCACTGTTATCAACCAACGGCCTGATGCTTTTCCTCAGTTTTGTGATTTTGACAAAACAAGCAAGCAGCATTCCCTCCTGATAAGAGACCACCGACCTAGGAATGATTCTGGCCAGACTAGAGAGGATGCACAGTGAGGGTTTTCATGTCCTTTGCTTCAGCTTTTGATGTCAGAGGGCCACAAACTCCACTCTCAGATGATTGCTAATGCCACCATTTTATGAACATGGGCCCCATGGAGAGGCACGAAGCTCAATTGCACTTCTGCACATTTTTCCTCCTATAAATATTGCTATTGGAATATTATTTGGTACGGCTCCCGTGAAAGATACATTTGCGGAATGTACTCAAATTAGAAGCATCATGTAAACCCTATAATGTAGCAATAGTGCATCAACTTCCCTACACTATAGAAATATCTGCGGTGTAGACATTTCCACAATGACCAAAGATATGTGTACAAGAAAGGTGGCTGCAGCATTCTTTGTAATCCTAAAACAATGAAACCTACCTCATCTCAAAAACTTTATTTTTTTATTTTTATTTTTTTTGAGATGGAGTCTCGCTCTGTTGCCCAGGCGGGAGTGTAGCGGTGCAGCCTCCACTGGTGCAGCCTCCACTGCAGCCTCCACCTCCCAGGTTCAAATGATTCTCCTGCCTCAGAATCCCAAGTACCTGGGATTACAGGCACATGCCACCATGCCTGGCTAACAAAAACATTTTGAAAAGGGTTAAATAAATCATGCACAAACTGAGGAAAAATACTCTTTTCAAAAATGATGGAGAGGATCACTATGATGATGAATGATTCCACTGGTCACATTGTTGATAGAGCAATCAGTAAATCCAGGCACATCCTCGGGATATTACTGACCTCCTATTATTAAAATATGAAAAAATGAAGGCATGTAAATTACTCGTTTAAGCGTATAACGGACTGAATTAGAATTTTATCACACCAGAAGTGGGTTCCTAGGGCTCTGTTTCAGGATTCCTGAGTTACACACGTATAAACCCAGGATTTCAGGAGATACCCGGTTAAGAATCCGGTCGGGGAGATGGGCTGGCCCTTGACATGGATAAGTCACAAATTAGTGGCTTAGGACTCCAGGAAGATAAAATCTTCCCCATTTATCTAGTGATTGACAATATATGAATACTTTAAAAGCTCGAACAAGCGTCCCTGGGTGGGCTCGAACCACCAACCTTTCGGTTAACAGCCGAACGCGCTAACCGATTGCGCCACAGAGACAGGTACTGTCAGTTCTACTGGGCGCTATAGGAAGGGCGCACGCACGAAACTTCCTCCGTCCCTTGCATCCTCAGGGCCCGCCCAGCAGGACGACTGAGCAGGCCTTGGAAGACCGGAGAGATTGGAGCGGTAAGTCGCGCTGGTCACGTTGGACACCTGCGCGTTGGGAGATTCTGGAGCCAGAAGGATAGCCGAATGGCCTTCGCCCGCCCTGCCCCTCACCTGCTTCAGAAACCCCCGGAAACGCCCCGGTTGAGACCCCGGCCCGAGCCGCCTGGGGGCCCTAGGGAGGCTGAACGCCCGGTGGCTCCCGGGATGGCTCTTCCCGTTCTTTGCGCCGCCTTCACCCAGTGAGGGAGCCTGTGCCCTCCCTGCCCAGTCGCTTTTGGGGCCGCTGCGGAGCTTCCGCTGCCATCTTCGGATCCTGTGTTCCGCACGGGGGCTCCACCAGAGCAGGGATCGTGGTGAGGGTGGCTCGTGGGTCCCCCTCGCGGGGAGCAGGGTCTGGCACTCACCAGGGCGCAGGACTAGGACTTGTCGAATGAATCCATCCTTTTAGCTTTTAGTCCTTTGAAGAGCCTTGAGAATGGAAATCATGAGAGATTTTTCCATGGGGAAGTTCCTTTTACAAAGCATTTATTTACGTGGACTTCTTGGCACCCCGCGGGGCGGCAACGGGCAGGGCCTCCAGTGCACCTTCTGCGCCGTGGAGCCGCGGGGGCTCAGCTGGGCGGTGGTCGGGTCCTGAGGCCGGAGGGCGGGAGCAGGGGAGGGGAAAAGCAAAAGCGGGGAAAGAAGCCGGGGAGCGGTGGACCAGACGTCCAGACCTCCTGAAAGGCTGGCGGGGAGGCACAGGCGGGATCTTCCGGAGGTGAGAATTTTTTTTTATTATAGCAGAATGGGGAGGAATTGAGGGGAAAATGGAGATAGAACCTGAAAGAGCCCCAAACGCCAGAACCTGTAGCTCCCCAAGAATAAGATCTTCCAGAAGAACTAGACCCAAAACTAGCCGTTGGGGAACACCGAAATCCTTGGAGGAGCAACATCCGCATGACCCTCTGTGTTCCTTTAGGCAAAAGGACTTGCTTCCATGGTTTGTTCAATTGTTCGTGTTTGTTAAATAAATAAAACGATTTTCATGTATCTTTGAAATTACTTTGGCGCTACTATTTTATGATTGCAAATAATACGGCAGTGATCATTCTTGTACACTTCTCATTGGCCATTTGTGTATTTCTATAGGGTAGAGGCCTGGAGAGCAGTTGCTCCAGCATAGGGATTACACAGTTTTTGTTTGTTTGTTTGTTTATTTATTTATTTATTTATTTTTGAGACAGAGTCTCGCTCTGTCACCCAGGCTGGAGTGCAGTGGCGCCATCTCAGCTCTCACTGCAACCTCCGCCTCCCGGGTTCAAGCGAATCTCCTGCTTCAGCCTCCCAAGTAGCTGAGATTACAGGTCCGCGCGAGCCACCACATCGGGCTAATTTTTGTATTTTTAGTAGAGACGGGGTTTCATCGTTTTGGCCAGGCAGGTCTCAAACTCCTGACCTCAAGTGATCTGCCTGCCTTGGCCTCTCAAAGTGCTGGGATTACAGGCATGAGCCACCGCACCCAGCGATTACATGTTTTTTTTTTTATATATCATTCTATTTTCTTTCCTTATTTGGCTTATTAGCTGTAACTCTTTCTTTTGTTATGTCAGTGATGGCTTTAGGGTCCCTAGAATACATCTTTATCCGTCTGCCATCAAGTGACATTATACCTCCCCTTCTGGCCTTTATGCTAGTGTTGTCAGGGAATTTGATTTTGGACATGTTATAAACCCCAACATCCAAGTACGTACATAGCGATTTTCAGTCGTCTCCATTTCTTTGTGTAGGTTCAGATTTCTGTTTGGTATCCTTATCCTTAGGCCTGGAGGACTCCTTTAATATTTCTTGTAGTGTGGTTCGGTGAATTCTGTCATTTTTTTGTATGTCTTTAAATGTCCTGATTTCAGTCACATTTTTGAAAGATATTTCAATTTGGCATAGAATTCTAGAATAACTTTTTTTCTCTCAGTACTTAAGGATGTTGCCACTTTGACGCTTTGTCATTGACATATCTTTCCTGTTTTTGTAAACTTGGCATAAAGTGGGTTTCCTGTACTTGTTATATGATTTTTGGATTGTGTATTCAAATTAAAAGTATTAAATTAAAATTAAAATGGCCTGGGCGAGGTGGCTCACACCTGTAATCCCAGCACTTTGGGAAGGGGAGGCAGAGGATCGCTTGAGACCCAGAGTTGGAGACCACCCTGGGCAAGATAGCAAGACCCTGTGTGTGTGTGTGTGTGTGTGTGTGTGTGTGTGTATACACATAAATATGTATATATATTATATGTATGTATATATATATAAGTCCTACAGTCACCTTAAGTTCCACCAACAGTGCGCTTAAAGTAAAATGTGCCCAACCTGAGGCTCAAACCTACCTGCTGGCACGCAATTTGTGTTTGTAAGACAATCTCAACAGCATTTGCTTTTTCTAGCATAGTGGTTTTCCTGTTTTCCTCACATGTGAATGTCTTCAGTGCAAAACCTGTCAGAATTCATTTCCTTTGCTAAAATGTTTTAAAATAACTCTTACTTCAAGTAAGTGCATTAAAAATAAACTTCTCAGTTGCATCCCTGGAATCCATGGAAAGTCCAGGAGAGACAATCAAGTGCTACAGGATCAAGCCCAAACAGAACAGGACTAGGCATGGCTTCCTCACTAGGAGCCAGGTCAAAGTCATCTCCTTTGGTCTCCAATGGAGGCCAGAACTCGGTTCACCTGCAACGGGAGGACCTGGCCCAGAAGAGGTGGCCTTCATCTTCATGGTGCCTTCAGATAGGAAATCTAGGATTTCTTTTCTTCTATTTGATCTACTTCCAACTCTCCCTTTCTATTTATTTATTTATTTATTTATTTATTTGAGACAGAGTCTTGCTGTGTTGCCCAGGCTAGAGTGCAGCGGGGCAGTCTCAGCTCACTGCACCTCCGCCTCCGGGGTTCTAGAGATTCTCCTGCCTCAGCCTCCTGAGTAGCTGGGATTACAGGCGCCCGTCACCGCGCCCGGCTACTTGTTGTATTTTTAGTAGAGACAGGGTTTCACCATCTTGGCCAGGCTGGTCTCGAACTCGTGACCTCGTGATCCACCCACCTCGGCCTCCCAAAGTGCTGGGATTACAGGCGTGAGCCACCGCATCTGGCTCTCCCTTTCTATTTCTTCAAGACCTTTTTCGGATCCCTCCTGCGCAGGACCTAAATGGGCGGTGCCCTTACCCACTGGTCCCTCCCTGCCTGGTGTCTTCGGAGCCCTAGCTCACCCGGAACGTTACTGCCCGCCGGTGACAGCGAGAGGACCAAAGAGGGCAGCGGGTGCGGTGGGAACCACAGAGTCACCGTGCACCTGCGCCTCGCGGGCTCCTCGCAAATTGAATAAACGCCCCCTGAAGCTTCTCTTCAAGTCACAGGGAAGGGGAAGGTGGCTGCCGACCCGGCGGGAGAAGCCGGCCCTGCCCCTGGTCCTTGAAGACAGGTTTGGCCAGGCTGATTTTGACTGGTAGGCCCAAAGGAAAGCCTCAAGGGCAGACCAAACTCCGACAGGCTCCGAGATTAAGGCTTTCAAACGTCTGATCGTTTTCAGCTTGGTCAGTAAAATCGATCCCGCCTTTATCAGGAGATTCCTTTGTCAAAGTTCAGAGACCTGGGGTTCCCGCTGCTTGCCACACAGAAAACCAATCACTGAGACGGTTATTGTCAAGGAAGAGGCTTTAATAGGGTGCTGCAGCGGAGGAGATGAGAACTCAGTCTCAAATCCATCTCCCTGACCAACCAAAACTAGAGGCTTAGATGGCAGGGAAAGAATGTGACAATGTGTAAGAAAACAGGAACTAGACCAGGCGCGGTGGCTCACGCCTGTAATCCCAGCACTTTGGGAGGCCGAGGCGGGCGGATCACGAGGTCAGGAGATCGAGACCATCCTGGCTAACACGGTGAAACCCCGTCTCTACTAGAAATACGAAAAGAAATTAGCCGGGCGTGGTGGCCGGCGCCTGTAGTCCCAGCTACTCGGGAGGCTGAGGCAGGAGAATGGCGTGAACCCGGGAGGCGGAGCTTGCAGTGAGCCAAGATAGCGCCACTGCACTCCAGCCTGGGAGGCAGAGGGAGACTCTGTCGCAAAAAGAAAAAAAAAAAGAAAAGAAAAGAAAGAAAACAGGAACTAGGGAGGGGCAAGGAAGCAATCAGGATGAATGAGGGGTCCGGCATCTCATTGTCTGGGTGACTTTCAGTTCTTTGATATCTTTTTTGAGAGGCCTGAAGGAAGGAACTCAAATAAAACAAATATCGAGTTTCAAACTTTCAGATCAGAAGGGTCCATTTCTATGTTTATCCAAAAATCTACGTATGGGACTATTGGGTGGGTTTCAGACCAAGAAAGAGTGTGCATATCAAAGTCTGCAGTTAACCAAAGAGAAAACATAATTTTCCGACCAATAGGATGTATGGGGGTCAAAGAACGACCAGCCTACAGTACTGTTTATTGGCCTGAGCATACGGAAGGATGAAGTTGCACCAGCGAAATGGGATTAAGCTGCAGGTGCGGGCTGGGCGCGGTAGCTCACACCTGTAATCCCAGCACTCTGGGAGGCTGAGGTGGGTGGATGACTTGAGATCAGGAGTTTGAGACCAGCCTGACCAACATGGTGAAACCTCGTCTCTAATAAAAATACAAAAATTAGCCGGGCGTCATGGCGGGCACCTGTAGTCCCAGCTACTAGGGAGGCCGAGGCAGGAGAATTGCTTGAACCCGGGAGATGGAGGTTTTAATGAGCCGAAATTGCGCCACTGCCCTCCAGCCCGGGCAACAGACCGAGACACCTTCTCAAGCAAAAATAAAAACAAAAAGCTGCAGGTGGAAAAAAAAGTCTGGATTTTGGTTCAGAGCCCCTGGGGCCTTCCTCAGTAGTTTTCTCTTTCCTTGAAAAAGGAAGCCTGTCTCAGTCTCTGCATCTCTCTGAGTCCTTTTGGAGATTGAGGATGGTGAGGTCTCAGTGCTTGGCCCCCTTCTAATTCTGGGTACCTCCCCTCCCGTGGGTCAACCTGGTCCAGTGCACAGGCCCCAGCTCCGACGACCATCTCCCCCCTACCCTTTGCTCCCAGCAAAGGCCATTTCTAGGTCAGTCGTGAGGTACAGCCAGGACAGGGCAGCTCGCTCCGAGATTTTTGGCTCTCGAAGGCCTTGAGCGCTGTGGTTCTGCAGAACGCTGTCTGCCTCTTGTGGAGGAACTGACACCCGCTGGAGAAAGTGTGGAGGGAAGCGAGGGCTGCACCTGCACGCAGGAGCTGAGGCAAGCGGCGGTTCCCAGCTCTCAGTGCAAAAGACATTTGTCATCTGAGAGGCTGGACTCAGTTATTATAATTTTCAATTTTGTCAATAAAAACCGAATGGAAATTTGTTTTCTTACTTGTAGAAACCTCCTCGCAAGACCTCCCATCTTACATTCCAGGGAGAATTAGCAGGGTATTCCGCCAAGACATAGGTTAGACTGCGGTTCTGATCTGCAGGCCTCGATGCCCTGCGCCGGGGCACCAGGGCACGGGCAAAGCCCTCCCCCTACACAAAGCAAGGGTGTTATGTCTACAACCGAACGGGGACACTAAGAGCCCCCAACATGCACGGTTTTCATTCCAAAGAAAACCACCAGTTCTGAGTACAACTTCCACCTGGCTCTATTAACTGAGTACACGTTTCCCCAGCACAGAAATCCTACAAACTCCCGTGAATGCTGTGGTGAAAAGCAGGAGCTGCCAGGGCAAGATGGATCGCACCTGTAATCCCAGCACTTCAGAAGGCTGGGCGGACCACTTGAGCCCAGGAGTTGGAGCCCAGCCTGAGCAGAATGGTGAAACCGCTACGAAAAAAGAAAAAGAAAGGAAAGAGAAAGAAAAGAAAAGAAAAAAAAAGAGAAAAAACTAGCCGGGTGTGGTGGCGTGCGGTTGTCCTACTCGGGAGCCTGAGATGGGAAGATCGCGCCACTTCTCCAGCCTGGACGGTACAGCGAGACTTGTCTTAGGGAGGGGGGGAAAAAAAACAACAAAAAAAACAGAGGCTAAGAGGTAACTCCGAGGATGACAGAAAACACCAGAGTTTTTAAGAGATGTTAGAAGCCCTGGGAGCACTGAACAAACCAGAAAGCTCCCGACCCTTGATCCCTGAGCTCCACCTAGCAAGTACCGCGGCAGCTAACCTGGGAGAATACCCCAACCAACAGAGACTGAAATTCGCCTCCCGAGAGAGTAAGTGGATAATTCTAACCTGTCCCTAAACATGGCCTCACAAAGGAAAACTAACCGTTGCGAACGGAAACAACTGACCGGACAGAACACAGCCACAAAACACGAGCCCGCACCCTGAATTACAAAAACACTTACGGCTCATCTACTATTCGCACCACAAAAGCGCCAGGGGAAAGCACGAACGCAGCCCCCCACTATCACAAATTATGCAGTCGAGTTTCCCACATTTGGGGAAATCGCAGAGGTCAGCACATCTGGAACGCAATGGATAAGCCGCGACCATGAGAAAAGCGCCTTCATGATCATGGTATCTCCCCTGCCAGGTAAGTATGAACTCTTGCACTCTCCGCCCCGCCACAGCCTCACACGCTTCACCCTTTACACGCACGGTCACTTGCCCCGCGCACGCCCCCCCCCCCCCACCCCCCCCCCCCACCACCCACAGCCCTCCTAGCCCTGACACACAGCTGGGACTCTCAGGTCCGACCAGCGGTCCTGAACCCACTCCCACGGCACGGGAACTCCTTAGTGGCGAAGCAGCAGCCCCTGCGCTGCCTCATCTACATAGAAATCGCCCTATCCGTGATGTCACCGACAGCGCCTTTCCCAGTCCCCGTCTGCTCTTCCGCCCTACCCTCCGCCGACTCAGCCCATCAACCCGCTGCCGGAGCTGGCGGAGGAAGTGACGTCTGTCTCTTTCTCCTTTTCCTCCTGCCATTGTCCTTTGGGGAGGTTCGCAGAGACCCCGCGTCTGGTCTCCCCCTAAGACTGTGGTACTTGATCTGTGTCCTGCAGAGAACCCTTCTGGCGGCCAACAGGAAGCTTGTGCACCCTTCTTCAGATAATGTCTTTTAATGCGCAGACTTGAACGTTTAGGATTACAAGGAAAACCGGTTCCTTTCAAACCTGTTTATCTTTGTGATGTAGCATTCCGCTTCAAGTTGAAAGCCGTTCAATGTCAGAGAGAAAACATATCTATGAAACCAGAGAGGCTGCTCAGATGGGTTGCAAACTAGCCATCCTTACTGGTTTTACCACTAGAAGTGTTACAAAGACAGTTGTCCAATTTTATGAATCTTGAAGGGTTTTTTGTTGTTGTTGTTATTTCAAATACAGTGTAATACAAAATGATGTGGCCCCCGCAGAGACGATTGGACACTCTCAGGCATGGTGATGGAGTTTGTCATCTCTTCCACGGCCATCTCAGAACCTTAGTGCTTACCTCATATTAGTATTTTATATTCTCCAAAGACACAAAAATAATCCCAATTTGACAAAACAAACAAAAAAAATCTAGGGTATGTCTTATTTGAGGTGCTTAACAAATGACTGGATCATCTCCCTTGTATATAACCCAGAAAACACTGTGAAGTAGAGCAAAATTGGAAAGCCCAAGTCAAAGACCATTTGCAAATTTCAAGTAGATTCCAGTCTGTTGCTCAAATCACAAAACATGAAATGGAGGGGTCTCCCTTGGAGACCATAAAGTCTGTGACATGGTGGCCAGTTGGGTCACTGGAAAACATGGCAAAATATTGAAAATGAGGGATTAGGTGAGAGTGTAGCAACTGAACACTAAATGCTTGATCCAGGTGCCATTCCCTGGATACTGACAGGGAGACACATTGTCCAGGTAATACTGGAAAAATACTTTCTATAGTGTAAACCACAAATAAAATTCCAAGCCCCTCAACTATTTGAATGCACCCCTCCTCTCAGCCAGGGTCATTCCAAAGTTAACCTGAAAAACTGGTTCAGACCATGATGGGAAGTAGGGGTCAGATATGCCTCATTATACCCTCCTTCCTTTGGAATTCAGGCACAACTGACCAGCACATCCGACCAGGCCCAACTGACATTACAACAGCGATCTCAAGACTTTTTGTAGCAATAAGACACCAAACTCCAGGCTGACTCTAGTGTAGCATTACATGACAGATAGCAGGCCCTGAAAGAAATACAAATATTTTACCCTAAAATACATTTTTTATCATATTTTGAAATGTCCCTACAAAGTTGTCTCTTGTGGGGAAAGTCTACATGCTACAGGGAATCCCTTTCCAGGCCTTTTCCCTAATCTAGGCACCTTTTTAAGTCTGATAAGAAACATTTACAATCAATTCTCTCTGAAGCCTGCTACCTGGAGGCTTCATCTGCATAATAAGAACAACCCCTTAACACAGAGACTGCCTTCTATGGATTCCAGGTCTTTAGATAAACTCTTTCAACCAATTGCCAATCAAAGTATCAGAAAATAACGGCTGGTAACTATGTAATTATGCATATATATGAGTAGAATTTTGGGGGTGGGCACAGTGGCTCATGCCTGTAATCCCAGCACTCCCTCAGGAGGCTGGCAGATTGCCTGAGTCCAGGAGTTTGAGACCAGCCTGGGAAACATGGTGAAACCCCATCTCTACAAAAAAAAAAAAAAAAAAAAAAAAAAAAAAAAAAAAAATTAGCCAGGCATGGTGGTGAGCACCTGTGGTCCCAGCTACTCAGGAGGCTGAGGTGGGAGGATTACTTGAGCCTGGGAGGTGAAGGTTGCAGTGACCCAAGCTTGCAACACTGCACTTCAGCCTGGATGACAGAGGAATGGGCCTTCACTAGACACTGAACCTGCTGGCAACTTGATCTTGGACTGACCATCCTCCATAACTGTGAGCAATAAATTTTTGTTGTTTATAAGTTACTCACTCTGTGGTATTTTGTTATAGCAGCACAACTGGATTAGGACATCAACCTGACCTTAAGAAATCATCTCATTCAGTCTTGGCTCTGGTGGGAAACAAGGGGCACACTCGGATGTGTGATTTAAAGAGAGTTGTGTTTTTTTTTTTTTTTTTTTTTGAGATGGAGTCTCGCTCTGCCGCCCAGGCTGGAGTGCAGTGGTGCCATCTCGGCTCACTGCAAGCTCCGCCTCCCGGGTTCACGCCATTCTCCTGCCTCAGCCTCCCGAGTAGCTGGGACTACAGGCGCCCGCTACCACACCCGGCTAATTTTTTGTATTTTTAGTAGAGAGCGGGTTTCACCACGTTGGCCAGGATGGTCTCGATCTCTTGACCTCCCAAAGTGCTGGGATTACAGGCGTGAGCCACCGCGCCCGGCCTAAAGAGAGTTTTATGAAGAGAATATTTATAAATATAATATGGACAGGATCAAAACAACCCAACCAAGGACTGAGAGGCGCTCAGAATCTGGAATCAGCAGAGAAGTTGTATTGCCTCTAGGACTGGATTGTTGTATAAGTCTGTTCAGGTTGCCATAACAACCTGGACAGGACCGTAGTTCTGTCCAGTGATCCTCCCCAAGACAACCGTTCTCTCTAGTAACTATGGTTTTCCTTTCTCATTTCAATTGCCACCTCAATTGACTGAAATGTGAACACCAACTCCCGCACTTAAACGTTGAAGCCCTAACACCTACTGTGATGATTTATGCAGCTGGGGCCTTTGAGAGGTAATCAGGATTAAAAGAGGTTGTGAGAGTGGTGTCCTCATGCTGAGATTAATGCCATTACAAGAAGACAGACACTAGAAAGCTTGCTTGTCCGCCTTCCCCCTGGTGCACGAAGAAATGGTCACATGGGCACACAGTGAATCTACAGCCACTTACAGGCCATAGGAAGAGACCTTAGAAAGGAATCCGCTTTGCTACCACCTTTATCTTGGACTTCCCAACTTCCAGAAGTGTGAGAAATACATTTCTATAGTTTAAGCCACTTGGTGTATGGTATCTTGTTATGGCAACCTGAACAGACTTATACAACAATTAAGTTGCCTTTCCACTGATGGACTTAGACACAATCTCTTTCCCAAAAAAGAGCTATATTTAGCTACTTTTCTTTTGCATATTGTTCCATTTGCAGCCACACTATTTGTCTTCCCCCACACCACTTCTATCACCAGGAATCCATTTTCCTTGTTTTCTTTTTAATATCGGGAGCCTCTGCTCACTGCACTGCATAGTCCTTGGGGCTTTTTTTAAACTTTATTTTTAACAATCATTTGAGCAGAAAGTAGCCAATTCAGTTCTTTAATTTCCCATTTTATTCTTGGTTTGAAACTGACCTGATTGTGTCCCTTTTGTTATGACCAGTTACTTAGAAGCCATACAGCCCACAAGGTACCCTTGGGTATAAATCCAACTTCTTCATTTTAATGGTGAGAAACCAAAAGCCCACGTTTCCTGATTTCTGGCCCAGCACTGGAACTGTTTTCATGGCACGTCAATTCATCATACATTTTAATAGTGATATTTTATATTTGCATAATTTTATTGCCTTTGCAATGGGCTTTCACATCTATCTTCTCATGTGTATATAGTTTAAAGGCCATTTTTACCCACTATCTCCTAATCATATCGACCACAGCCTCAGGAAATGTCTGCTCTATTATTTCACTTGCCTGTCTGGGTTCTTGGGTGACAGCATAGAATCCTGCACTGTGTTTTCCCTCACGCTTTCTCACTCTCTGCAGAACAAATTTTTGTTACATGCCTTATTATCATGGTAATATTGGCCTTCAGTCCTGTATAGAAGCATTAAAAATGTGCGTAATGTATATCCTTTTAAAATGTTATCCTAAGAAGCATCTTTTGGAGTTAAGGAGAGTTAGATGAATAAAGAAAGAATACAGTTTCTCCTAAACAAACCCACTAAGAAAATCATGGAAAGAATTATGACAACTATGAAAATGAAGGAGGTATACTTTGTCAACAAAAGCAAAATAACCAAGCTACTCTTAGACATAATCTCACGTTATCTTTCTGTAGTGCTCTAGCATTTTCTAAGCCTTTTCACACACTGTTATCTCTTTTTTTCTTTCTCCTTCTAGAAATTAATTATGACTGTTCCTTTCAAAAATGAAGGACTTTTTTTTTTTTTTTTTACTCTTTTCATTTTTTCCTGAGACCATATGTCAAAGGGAATGTGAGGAACAACTTTGGTGTGGTAATAGCCAAATTTCTCCAGGTCTGCTCCTCAAGCTTGCAAAGTCAAGACTGGCAGAAGTGGTGATTTTTACCTGGGTATCCTGAGAACCTTGCACAGTCCTTATCACATGCAGGTGTTCAGAGTGTGCAAATAAATGAAGAAATGTGAGATTGTGATGATATTTTCATGGCATGCTTTTTTTCCACACTTCCTCATGCAGCCCAACATCCTCTACACTGTGTTGTTCTACCCGTTTAAGTGATTTACCACTTCTCCATTAAGCCAACTTAAACCATGTTGCCTTCAACTCAACATTGATTGATCCCCAATACAGTCCTGTAGGGAGGCAAGAAAACTTACAAACGAAGTGGTAAAGAAAGAGAGAGATTAAGCAATTTGCCCCAAATCTCATAACCACTAGGTGATAAATCTTCAACTAGAACTCAAATATCTGGCTGAGAATTCAGTGCTCTTTTCATTTAAATCACATTGCTTCATAAAAATAGATCTGCAGGAAGAATAAAAATGTCCAAAGTGCAATGAGACAGAGAAGATAATATGGAGACAGACATATTGCACAGAAAGCATTTGACCATATGTCTGCCTGATCCCCTTCATGTGTCTTGTTCATAACTTACTTTACTCGGGCAGCAGGAGATAGCATAACAACTGTCAGAGTGAATTTAGGCCACAGTTTTGTGTTGCTGAATGTGTTGAGTCATTTCCCTTAGTTCACATTTCTACCTAACTTTATCTTTTAAGTCATCATCATGGCTTTAATCTCTTATTTATTTTGACTGTTGAGATTTTGTAGCCATTATCCAAATAAAACATTTATTTTCACTCGTGAGTCCCTAATCCTTCGTCAATGGAATTAGCTATTTATTTGATGCAATAGCTAGACCAGTAGGGTTAAAAATGCTTTTATAAAGACATTAATAGCTGGGTATGGTGATGTGCATCTAGGGAGGCTATGGCAGGAAGATCACTTGAGTCCATGAGTTTGAGGCCAATGCCTTTGCAACATAGTGAGACCCTGTCTTTAAAGTAAAAATTTAAAAATTAAAAGAAAAGACATTTAAAAAGGCTGTTTACCAAAATGATGGTTAATTGACAGAAAATAGAAACGGAAACTAGAAATCATTGCCATCAGCTTTCTCTAATGTGTACTTGATCCTTTTCTCCCTGTGATGGAAGTCGAAAGTCTTTTTGTTTTTTTCTTAATCCACTACTGTTCAAATGAGAATAAACAGCCAAATGACTGAATTAGTTGGTAGACATAATTCCTAGTCAATTATTTTTATATTCTTTTGTAATACAGTCATTATTTTTTCAGACTTCTATAATATTGCATTTAACCAATCCCCAAATAGGGAAACATTATGTAATTTTTCTATTATTTACAGTTCCTTGATTATAATCTTTTATTTGAAAAGATTATATATTTATATAAAAACCCAGTTTCTTTCTTACATATAAATATTATTAGTAGTCTAAAAATGTCACTCTCAATAAACAGGATGAGTCAACTTGAGGACTAGAGAATCAGGTAGTCAACATCAGAGAACTGGTTTAGCAAACAGAAGGGGCCTACCCAGATAGAGAGAAGTCAGGCAGGGCTGTGCTGTGAAAATATTAGAGAAGCTTGATGGGAGGCCTAATATAGTTTGTCTTTACACCTGTATATTTTGCTTCTTGCATCTGCTTCAATGCCCTCTGTCATTTATTATAACTAGATTTATTGTTCCAATAGATTTGTACTACAGTCAGAACAAACAAATCACTGGATCCAGCAGAAGCCTTAGATATATGACATAACAGAGATTTGCACAAAGATTTGCCCCATTGCCTTCTCGAATTTCTCTTATCATCAATCCATCTAGCTGGAGCTCTCTGAAGGTCATCAGAGGTCAGTATAATTTTAATAAGATTTTAACTGAAGGATAGCCTTGATGTTCAGTGACCTTCAGACATGTTTATAATTGAGAAGCCACTCCCCCTGTTGAATGATAATCTCTTCCATGAATTACCAAACCAATGGTGCTCACATTCTGATTAACCATTGATTCCCATAAACCCAGCTTCCCCCAACACTGATGATCTAAATAACCTGAATTATTTGCATTGCCTTATCAATTCCATCTCATTTCCTGTCTTGGTGGTTTTGCTCACACTGCTTCTATGTGGAATGTCTGTATGTAGCCACTCGAGTTTCCACTTCATCGTTCCATCATCTGTAGTCTCTATACACTATCCATCATCAGGACTAATGTGAGCTGACTTTCCTCCAAAAAGCTTTCCCTGAACTTATCCTGAAATAACGTTTTTCTCTGCTAACTTAGCATTTGTCACGTTAGTATACAGCTTCTCTAACTGTCATGAAATGAAATAAATGGGAAGAAGATGAAACTTGAAAAGAAATCTGCTTCTTAAGGCAGGCCCTGGGGGAATAGCCCTGGCTGGAGGTAATGTAAGGTCTAGATGGTGTTTTTAGAATCTGAAGACTGCAACACCAAACACAACAAGTATAAGCCAAGGCAAGCTGTCAGTGCAGGGCCTAAAATTAGGTATTTCAACAAGTGGATGAATCAATTTGGGGAATTGTATTAGTAAACAGAGGAAGCCCGTCCAGTAAAAGGGAGAGTAAGCAGAGATGCAATTTAAAACTATTGAGGAAAAATGGCTAAGAAATAGTAAAATTAACACATGGCCTAAAATATTAAGAAATTAAGCCTGTTACAGAATTACTGACCTGGCTAGTATATAGGAGCATTAACAACACAAAAACAGATTAGGTTGGGATTAGCAGTGGGGTGAAATAATCTTCAGGGCTGAACTACTGAGCTAGAAATATTTAAATCCTCCTTGCAGATGAAAACTATAGAGGACAATTTATTGGTTCAGCATGAATTTCTGGTCTTCTGTTAAGAAATATGCTCTTTCATTGAAAGTGAACATTGAGGCAGTAAACTCCAAATACAGCTGCAGGTACTATCTCCTGCTGATTTGTGTGTATAGAGCATGAAAGAAAGTCTCAGAAACAAAAGCATGTTGGAAAAATAAGCAGGAGGCATTTACTTGCAAAGAAATGTGAGGAAGTCATTCTTCAAAAGAACTGCCCAAAAAATTAAAAAAATAGAACTTTTTAAGACAAACAATATTGTGAAGACTATAGGGTTTATATTAATCTCTTCATGGCAGAAAACAGCAATTTTATCATGGTTATTGTATTCAGAATGTTCATGACATATCTTCAGACAATAAACAGCATTGTAAAGTCAAGGATAAAGTGATTTTCATTAAGGAGTTAGCAACTCTCAGGAAATGCTCAAGGTTTTATTCATTTGGAGGACTGCAGGTAGACAGAGAGACCCTTTTATTGTTTCTTTATGTCAGAGTGCAGAGTTTTTTTTTCTCTGTTTCTTCAGCAGTGGGACATGATGAACGGGCTGACAATGGTGTCAGGCCCCGATGTCACTTTGGTTTTTACACTTCATCTTGCGGTCATGTTTCCTTCTCTACAGGACATGTTTGTCTACCTCCATTTGCTGAACAATGTTCCTAATCAGTACTATTGATTTTACATTTTAATTTGATCCATTTTATTTGCACAGATCTAAGAAGTGTTGATTAATATTTAATGACCTCCTAGTATTTTTTTGATGAAACAATAAACTAAGGCTCACAAGTTTACGTCTATCTATAGATTTATAAAGCCCTTGTGGTTTAAATTTACTTTTACATGTTTAACAGCTCAGTTTAGAGCAGACCAAACCAGTCCGTTCACCTCTACCTGATTTCATCTGCAGTATTTATAATGCAAATGTATCCTTTTTAATAAAAGATATCCAATGTCTCGGTGTCCCTGCTCTGCCAAGAAAGGACATTCTTTCTTACCTCCAAGCCTGAGATTGCATAGTCCATAGAGCAAGCACCAGATTGGTTTCCTAGAAGGATGTTATAGGCATCGCTTCTGCGTGAAAAACATAGAAATTATTCTTATTACTGGATTTGTCTTGTCTAATTAAATTGAATTTGTAGCACAGCTATAAATTTTTTATTAAAAAATTGATTCTTCCTGGCTGGGCAAGGTGGCTCATGCCTGTAATCCCAGCATTTTGAAAGGCTGAGGCCGGCAGATCACCTGAGGTCAGGAGTTTAAGACCAGCCAGGCCAACATGGTGAAACCCCGTCTCTATAAAAATACAAATAGTAGCCTAGCATGATGGTGGGTGCCTGTAATCCCAGCTACCTGGGAGGCTGAGGTGGGAGAAGTGCTTGAGCCCAAGATTGAGAGGTTGCAGTGAGTTGAGATCACGCCATTGCACTCCAGCCTGGGCAACAGAGCAAGACTCCATCTCAAAAAAAAAAAAAAAAAAATTTCTAATTAGTAATATATTCAGGTAGAAGGGAGGACAAATTCTTATTGAACCAATACAAATAACTACATAGTCACATAAAGTAAATGTTTTTATTAAAGAAACTTTGTGCAAGATTTAACCAATATTGCTAATTAAGGGTATGTTAATAGACAAAACCAAATATTGTATGTCACAATTCTTTACAAAATAATTATTTGTATGTTTTTCTTGGCAACTTATTAGCTTTGTTTTTATATTAAGAATTTCTGCAAGGTATTTTTTTCCTCAACACTAAGAATTCAGAGTGTTTTATTTAGTTTTTACAAATTTAATAATTTGTACATTTAATTGGAGATTAAAGGTAGATTAAGAAGAAAGAAAATGGGTTTCTCTCATGTTCATTAAAGTAGAAAATTAAACTAACCTCAATTAAATTGCCTTACTGAGGCCCTTTAATCCTAAATAACAACCTCTTGTCGTGCTGGTCTTGAGTTAAGCAGTCTACTTTCATGAATTCATCCGCTTCTACACTGTGAGTGTCTTGGAACTCCTGACTCATTTACTTCGTATAGTTGGAATATTGTCTGTGGGGACAAGGTCAGCCTATTCTTGGAGGCCTATATCCATGAGTCAATTTCCTGTGGTATCTATAGTATCAACAGTGTCTGCTACCGTTATTACTGGAGCTCTTTTGATATTTCTTCCAGATGACTCAAATTCTGATTGGCACTTTGTAGAGAGGCTTTTAGGTATGCTTAAAGGGAAAGGAGGGCTGGGCACAGTGGCTCATGTCTGTAATCCCAACACTTTAGGAGGCTGAGGCAGGCAGATCACTTGAGGTCCGGAGTTTGAGACCAGTCTGGCCAACATGGTGAAACCCTGTGTCTACTGAAAATAGAAAAATTAGCCATGCATGGTGGCGGGCACCTGAATATAGCTACTCGGGAGGCTGAGGTAGGAGGACAGCTTGAACCCGAGAGGTAGAGTTTGCAGTGATCTGAGGTCATACCACTGCACTCCAGCCTGGGCAACAGAGCGAGATTCCATCTAAAAAAAAAAAAAAAGCAGCGGGGATAGGGGGAGGAGATGTTGCTAATAATAAAACTGTAAAGTTTGGTTAATTTTTTGCCATAGCAAACAACATCACAATGGGGGACAGTGGCATTCTCTGTTGAGGTGTAATACATACTCATCTAATGAAATTTTAATCAGTGATTACCGTAAAAGACAGAACACATGAAGAACAATTAGTGCATCCCGATACCTCTCCAGGGCCTTTAATTTTCCCCACAAAGTAGATATTATTATTTGTCACCAACTGATAAGTTTACTTTTTTTAATCAGTTGGTTGACATTTATTGCACCAGTCTTTGTACATGAACATAAATATGCCTGAATCCAACCTGAGAAGTGCACAATTATTGTAACATAGCCACAGTAATCATACATAATTATTGCATTTAATTAATTTAAGATGATTTTATTGCTATTTTCTCAGAATATGGCCTTGAAAAACACAGCAGCTTCCACTATATTGAGCATAGTTTTGAGCAAATTAAATATCTGGAGAATGCAAAACATTACCTTTATTTCTAATATATCTTCATGTTAAGAGCTAGGAGGAGGATCTCTGGAGTTTCCCAGCAGCCATCTGAGAAACCCAGAGATACTGTATTCATAAATAACATCTCAGTAGTTTTACTATTTTGGATTTGAGGGTTAAATTTGGGGAATATGGTATCAAAAACAGTGTCACAGGTGGGGGCTGCAGATGTGAAGGGCCTGCTATCAATCAGGTGACCCTGGATGGACTACCCACTCCCTGTGTCAGTCCAGGATCCCAGCTGTAGTGGGTTCCTCTCTGCTACAGCACATGTTTCTAAAGGGCAAGAATCTGGGCTCCCAATAACTGACCTCTGTCTCCTCCATCCTGGCTTGTCATGGTAGACCCGAACCACCCTGCCATTGAATTTGGGCCCTTGTGGCTCATAGCCACAAGGGAAATTGGGAGCTCACATGTGAAAGGCAGAATTAAGTTAACGCACCTTCTTCCAAAGTCTTAAGTTTGTTTGTAGCCCAGGTGCCCCTGTTTCCAGCAGGAGTATTAGCAGTACCAGGCAGCCACTCCCCAGAGTTTGTGTTTCTGAGCTTTCCCATCATCAGTTAATTGGAAATTTCAGGAACTGTCCCTGCCTTACAATGCCTGCTCTGATCTACAGGTCTTTTGGAGACAGACAGCAGGTGATGGGGCATGCCAAAGAGATAAAAATGTCTTCTGATAATCAGGGGTCAGCAGATGAGTATGAAAGCTAATTATCCCCACTACTCAGGGAATTTAGAGGCTTCCCCTTTTGTCTTTGTAGGAATAGCAGACTTTCTGACTGTAATGTCCAAAGTTCTTTACAAGTTGAAGTACAGAAGAGATCAGAAAATGTCTTACGCACATGAGAGTTGTTATCCAAAGATTTGTCATAGGAGCAGCGACTCTAGGTGTTCTCTATTCTATTTAGAAGAATTACATTAGATTTTGATTCCTCAATGTGGCCAAGAAATAGAGCTACTTGCTGGGAGCAAGAAAGACAACATGACTTCTGGAAACTATTTATTATGAAAAATGAATTTTCATTATGTAGCAAATTACATTGCAGAAGTATTACAAAGAATTTTCATAGACATGGTATATTAAATCTCAAATCAATAATCATACATAGTCAATTAAAAATATCTTTGTTGATATCTTTCAGAACCTGGGAAATAATTTTCTGACTTTCAAATTTTTTAGTTTCTATTCAATGGCAGAAAATCTATATTGTGCCAAACCAGTCTGAAAATTAGTAGTTGATTATATGCTGGACACAGAAAAATTTTCTATAACCTGTTAAATGCAACACTCCATTCATTGCTTAATTCTCCCCAAATAGCATAAGGTAATTAAGGCTTTTATAAACTTTTTTCTTTTTTTAGAACAGCCTACAGTGACAGAGGAGAATGGTTATATTGTTAATTAAAGCTGGTTCATCACTCATGTGGTAAACCTGACTCACATGGAAACTTAACTATTTTATCACAAAGATAAATGTTTATCATTTAAATATGTATGTATTCACTTTTATACTTCTTGAAAGGATTTCTAGGAGTACAAAGTAAACTACTATAAATCTCTTTTCTCCCGGATGGCAATATTGTTGTGGGTGAGAAACAATTTAGTCCAGGAGAGCTATATCTAATCCGGTAGGACACTGTGGAGAATACAAGTGTTAAATTTTTGCTAAAAAACTAATATATGGCCGGGAGTGGTGGCTCACGCCTGTAATCCCAACACTTCAGGAGGCCGAGGAGGGTGGATCACCTGAGGTCAGGGGTTCGAGACCAGCCTGGCCAACATGGTGAAATCCCATTTCTACTAAAAATACAAAACTTAGCCAGGCATGGTGGCAGGTGCCTGTAATCCCAGCTACTCAGGAGGCTGAGGCAGGAGAATCACTGGAATCCGGGAGGCAGAGGCTGCAGTGAGCCAAGATGGCACCATTGCACTCCAGCCTGAGGGACAAGAGCAAGACTTTGTCTCAAAAAAAAAAAAAAGGCTAATATATGGAGATTGATTTATCATTTTATCAAAAAGGTAACCCAAATACTAATATGACTTTTTTGAGACCATCCATTTAACAAATTGGACTAAAAGACTCAAAAGTTCTTTTATGTTTTATGCCCAAACTAATTAACATTGAGTAAAGTTAGTCCAAAAATTATAAACGTTTTATTGCTCATTTAAACTCATTATTTGCAGCAATTATAAGCTATAGCAAATGAAGTTTACTTCCCTCAGATATTCTACAATTATTGTATGCCCTTAAATTTGTATTTTAAAATTCAGTTTTATATTCTAGCAAAACTCTACAATTTGCCTTTTAGACAAAATTACTCTCTTTGCCTTGATAAGCAAAAACACATTAATTATATTGCATGCACTTTTCTAAATACTCAAACTGACTTAATTTCTTAAAGTAGTATAAAAGAACATGTGCATTAATCAGAACTAAGGGTACTTTTACATACTGTTCATTCTCCTACTTGATAGCCACTCTATAACGTGTAAAAATATGCAGCAAGGATATGTTAAAAATTTTATGAGACTCATCCAAAGATTTTTCACTAATTATCTCAGTGAAATATTAGCCAAGCTCATAAAGCTAACTAGTATGTTAAAATTCATTTTAAACTGACACACTGCAGAGAATTTATACTAAAATATAAAAATTTACATGAAAATTGTGTTACATATGAAATTTGAATTTTTTACCAGGTAGGGTATGTGTGGTTTTACCTATACAGTATAATTATTTGTAGCCCCATCTCAAGTTACAGGAACAAATGTTTTAAAAAATACTAGTTTAATAATTCAATTCAGCTGAGCCATAAATCCAGTAGGGGACATCTAGAAAGCTCTGGTAAGTTAAAATATTTTATAAACCAGAAAAATATGCTAACATTAATTCTAAGATTGTGATAAAATCAGAGAAAAAACATAATTAATTTAAACCAAAATTATCAAACCATATACATTTATCCAAGGATTTCCCATGATTAAAAATATTACTGAACTTCAGTCAAATTTTTAAAACGCTTCAATTTTGTTCTGAAGCACTGAAGTCCTTTGCGTTATGCGATTCTCTTACCCGCCTGCCTTCCCTTGCTTCTCGCCTTCTGACATAGTAACAAAGTCCATTAATTCACCTCAGAACTAAACCTCTCTATAGATTTTTTCTTCTGAGCTGCAGTTCAGCAAGTTACCTGTGCTAGTATACATAAGCCAAGGAAAACAGAAGCTCCATTAAACTTAAGAAATTGTTTAACCTAATTCATTAATTTTCTCCAGAGATAGGAAAATGTACAATAATTTGTTCAGAAGATATTTACATACATACAACAAGAAGTCATTATCAAATTCGGAGCCAGTGATGATTTTCTCCCTGCTTTATTGTAGACTTTCATATGCTATTTATTTATAGTCCTTATCCAGTCAGATTATAGATTATGGTAGAGACGTAATTTTTGAGGTTGAGTAATACTTTACTGTTGATGTATAGAATATTCCTCACAACTTATTTTAACTCATTTTTATATTTCTATGAGATTTTCCTTGTTTGGGGTTTTTTGTTTGTTTGAGAAAAGGGCTAGAGAAATTTAAATGCTTGAAAACCTTTAGAGTTTTCAGAAGCACCCAGAACTTCAAAGAAACACAAAGCTATTCTCATTAATGCTTTCTTAAGACAAATAAAGCAAAGCCCTATCAACAGTTAGAGCTCTCCATTTTTCAAGCTATGCAAGATTGTCTCCAATAGTTATGGCTTCGGCAGTGGTTCAACTTGAGTGTGCATCAGAACCACCTGCAAAGCCTAATTAAACGGATTCCTTGGCTCACTTGGCAGTATATGACTCAGTAGGTAAGATTTGAGAATTTGCATATCTAACAAGTTGCCGGGTAATACTGATACCGATGTCTAGGGACTATGAGAATCACTAACCTAGAGTGTTTAAAAAATGACCAATTTCTGTGCCCAATTATCTGCCAAAGTTTCCTAAGAGAAGGAAAACAACAACAAACAAACAAACCAAAACAGAGAGAAACTGAGAGAAACAGCCACAACTGGAAACTAGTAACACAAAAACAAACCATTGTAAAAGCTAATTAACTTATTTTCATACCAATGGGGAAAGATTTTTATTTCATTTTGGACCCACAAAAAGCTTTAGGAGTTTTTTCATGTGCCAGAAGGAAGCACATAACCTCCAAATTCACAATCTATTCTTTACCCGTTTGCTGTAGTTACTCTTCGTACCAAAGGTTCTGAGTCTGGAGTCTCTGCTTCCACTGGTCAGATAGACTCTCTCCTTACATTGTGGTCTCTCACTGAATGTTCTCACCCACTGCTTCCTCACTACGTAATATCTGCCCAAGAAGCTCCCGTCTTCGCATTCTCCCATCCCATATGCTGACATTCTTTCCAGTCCCTGCATTGTTATGAGAGCTCAGTGGGGGAGGGAGCTGAATGTCTGTATCCAGTCCACAACTATGATCTAGGATACTCTGTATTAACCATAAATAATTGATGCAAGTTTCTTCCACTCAGCCATAGCTGAGCCAGATTACCCGCAATGCTATCTCATCCCACCACAGTCTCTACGACTAATTTCTATTATACAAGGTAAGATCAACATTTGAAGTGATTGAGTTTAAACATAAAAAGATGTATTGGCTCCTGCGACTGGGCAGTCTTCAGGGTTAGTTGCTTGAGTGATCAACGATACCATTAAGATTATGATTGGGACATGAAAAAAAGAACTGGCAAATAAGGAGAGAACTTTGACAATAGAAAGGCATTTAATCCTTGTGTTGTTTTGAGCGCCCTAAAGGAAAAGACAAATTAAAGGCAGATCCTAACAGAACTATTAACAAAGAAGGAAGAGGGTGAATGAGACTCTTGAATCAAAAATTCTTAATTCTTAACTCCACCTGTGAAATCTTACTTAATCTGGTTATACTGAGAATAATCATCACACCATTCTGTCTCACATTCTAGAAGGCTTTGTAGTGGTAGAACTGTAAACAACATATAAACATTTCTGAAATATTGTGGTTGTTTTATCTTCCATAAGCCTCACACAAGCCGTGTGTATGATCATCCATCTTCTGGGCCATTATCTGATTATTGCTGCTATCTCTCGCTTTGGGGAAAGGAGAGTCTCTTTCCTTATCAATAGTATTGGATCAGCTCTTCTAATTTCATGATGACATGAGTGTTCAGGAATGATGGAAGGCAAATGTAACCCTGAGAAAACTTTGTTTAACTACTGCATTTCACAAGTCCATATCCATCCTAGAAGGTCTTCCAGCCTGCTCTCTGCCTTGCTCCCAAGATGGCCACATGTAGGTCTCTTCTTTCCCGTAACCAGAGGGTTATAGATTATATTATCCTTCAAAGTCTGGGATAAACCAATTTCTCACTCTAAAGAGAACAACGTGTTTTGATTTTTCCAACCCTAACCCTAGCCTAAAGTCTACCTTCTAATCCTATCTTATTATAAATGTCCCTGGATTGATCTTTCAAGGGATTTTTGCCTACTGAAAAAATATTACTCTCACTCAAAGAATTGTGGCCTGACAAGAAATCTACAAGAGTCTTGGACACAGAGGCCAAAACATCATAACGTCTGGATTATTCAGGCTAAAGTAATATCACCTGTGGGTTACCCACAGCCCAGTCCTCAGCTTCAGACAATGCCGGAGTCACTAGTGTTCTGTTTTCTTTCCTCTATCATTCCTATTCAAAAATTCTAAAAATTTGGAGTTCCATTTCTCTTAAGAAGACATGAATACATTAGTACAGTAACATATTTATTTCTACTTCCTTGAAATATTATTGAGAAATCCATCATTTTCCAAACTTTTCTTTCTATTGTGTAAAACAGGGATGAATGGCCATGAGCACTTCATTGCCTCATCTCAGGTGACACTTTTTTGCCCTTTGAAAAGCCTATAATGTACTTTATAATGTAGTTTAACTTTTCCACTTCACCTCATGTAAGCAAACTGATTTTCCAACTTATCAATACAGTATGAACATTTCTCCAAGTCAATTAACAAAAAGAGGAAATATCACTTTAAATGAAGGCACAGTTTCTCTATATAGAGAAAAATAATATGTGTGCATATATGCATGTGTAAATATATGTATATGACTAAATTCTACAAGTTTTTAAACTGTCTTTTTACTGATGGAGACTCATCATGGTTTTTTTCCCCCTGTACTACAAACAAAGTAGCCATAAACATTCTAACATTCTGGAGTATGGTATCCCTTATATGAAATGCTTGGGACCAAAAATATTGTAGATTTTGGATTTTTTCAAATTTTGAAATATTTTCATATCATAACATGATATGTTAGGAATGAGACCCAATCTAAATTTATTTACATTCCCTACATATAGTATACATGTAGCCTGAAGGTAATTTTATGTATTTGTAAAATTTTGTGCAAGAAACAAAATTTTGACTGTCTTTTGGCTGTGACCAGTCATATAATGTCATATGTGAAATTTTTCACCTGTGGCATCATATCAGTGCTCAAAATGTTTCCAATTTTGAAGCATTTCAGATTTCAGATTTTTTAGTTGACCTTGGAACAACATGGGTTTCAACTGTGCAGGTCTGCCTACACTGGTATTTTTTTAAAAAAATAAATATATCAGAAAAAGTTTTGGAGAATTGCAATTGAAAAAACTAGCAGACTAACTGCATAGCCTAGAATATAAAAAAAAAATAAGAAAAAGCTATGTACATCCTGAATGCATAAAGTATATGTATATATTAATCTATTTTATCATTTACTACCATAAAATATACACAAATCCATTATAAAAAGTTAAAACTTATCAAAATGTATGCACACAAACCGTACAAGTCACTATTTGCAGTCAAGAGAAACATAAACAAACATAAAGATGCTGTATTAAACCACAACTGCATACAATTAACTATAGCACATACTGTACTACCCAAATAATTACTTTTATTTTATTTTTATAAATGTGCTAGGTACAAGCATACTTTTATTATATGATTGTTTTGTTATTTGGATATATTGCTAGTGGTGAAGTCTGAGCTTTTACTGTACTCATCACCCCAATAGTGAACATTGTACCCAATAATAATTTTTCAACCCTCACTCCCCTCCAACCCTGGCATCTTTTGGAATATTCTCCAGCGTCTACTTTCCAGTGTATATACTATTATAATAATTTTGTAGCCACCCCCTGTTGCTACTGTGGTGAGCTCATGTTGCCAGTATCTGCCATGAGCACTTGGTCTCTTCAGTAAATTCTGTATCTAAGTAAATAGTGTGTTCTCTCACAGTTCTCTTTTCATTGTGCTTAGTGTAATACTATAAATCTTGAATAACACCATGAGACCAATACAAAGTGCCACAAGTGATGCTGGGAGTGCTCCCAAGAAGCAGAGAAAAGTTGTGACATTATGAGAAAAAGTTAGATTGCTTCCTATAGGTTGAGTTCTTCAGCTGCCTGCCATTTCAAAATAAATGAATCCAGTGTAAGGTCCCTTAAAAAAAAAAAAGAGAAATTCATAAGGCCTCATTTCGTGTCAACAGGCATGAAAACCTTGTCCTTTCTTATCTCACATTCAAAATGCAGCTTTTATGTGGGGTACAGAATTGCTATAAGAAAGACATACCTATAGACTCTTATTTGATTCAAGAAATAGCGAAGTCATTATTTGACAACATAAAGTAAAAGCAAGGTGAAAGATCTAAAGCTGGAGAATTTAATGGCAGCAAAGGATGATTTGATAATTTTAGAAAGTGGTTTGGTTTTAAAAATGTCAGGATAGGCCGGGCGCGGTGGCTCACGCCTGTAATCCCAGCACTTTGGGAGGCCGAGGCGGGCGGATCACGAGGTCAGGAGATCGAGACCATCCCAGCTAGAACGGTGAAACCCCGTCTCTACTAAAAATACAAAAAATTAGCCGGGCGTGGTGGCGGGCGCCTGTAGTCCCAGCTACTTGGGAGGCTGAGGCAGGAGAATGGCGTGAACCCGGGAGGCGGAGCTTGCAGTGAGCCGAGATCCCGCCACTGCACTCCAGCCTGGGCGACAGAGCGAGACTCCGTCTCAAAAAAAAAAAAAAAAATGTCAGGATAATGGGAGTAGCAACTTCTGCCAAACAAGAACCAGCAAGTGAATTCTCAAATGCCATTAAGAAAAACATTGAGGAGAAAGGATATCTGCCTGAATAGGTATTAATGCAGCTGAAAGTGCCCTATTCCAGGGGGAAAAATAAAAGCCACAAAGGTCATTTATTAGTAAGGAAGAGAAGCAAGCACCAAGATTTAAGGCAGGAAGGGATAGGCTAACTCTACTGCTTTGTGCAAATGTAGTCGGGTTTATGATCAGGGCTGCCCTTAACTATAAAGCTGCTAACCCCTGGGTCTTGAAAGGGAAAAGAGAAACACTAGTTGCCAGTCTTTTGGTTGTACAACAAGAAGGCCTGGACTATGAGAATGCTTTTTCTGGATTAGTTCCATCAATGCTTTGTCCCTGAAGTCAGAAGTACCTTGCCAGTAAGGGACTGCTTTTTAAAGTTTTTTGTTGTTGTTGTTTAATTGGAAAATGCCCCCTGGCCACCCAGAACCCCATGAGTTCAACACCAAAGGCACTGAAGGGTTCTCCTTTTCCCCCAAACACATCTCTACTTCAGCCTCTAGATAAGGAAGTCATAAGGACCTTTAAGGCTCTACATATGGCACTCTATGGAAAGGTTTGTCAACATTGCAAAAGAGAAACCCAATAGAGAGAACATCATGGAAGTCTGGAAGGCTTACACCTTTCAAGATGTCATCAGTTGATATAGAAAACCATGAAACTCAAAACAATGAATTCCTGCTGGACAAAAGTACAATTTGTGTCCAGATGTTGTGCATAGCTACAGAATTACGACAAACCCAATTTAGAGAAAACCATGGAAAGAAGTATGGATGTGAAGGGAAAAAAAGGTGTGGAGTGAAGGGTTGCAAGATATGGATCTTGGAGGAATTTAAGAGCTAATACACACCACACCAGAGGAATTAACAAAAGATGACTCCATGGAGATGAGTGCTTCCTAACCAGTGCCAGATAATGAGGAAGAAGACATAGGAAAAGCAGTGCCAGAAAACAAATTGGCATTCAACAATCTGGCTTTGATTATTCAAGACTACTTTTGACTTCTTTTATGACATAGACCGTTCCATGATACAGGAACTGAAACTAAAGCAAATGGTGGAAGACGGATAGGTACTACACTGAAATGTTTTTAGAGAAATGAAAAAGCAAAATAGACAGAAATAATGATGTATTTTTGTAAAGTTTCACCAAGTGTGCTTGCCTCTTTTGCTTCCCCTTCCATCCCTTCACCCTCTTCCACCTCTGCTACCCTAAGACACAAAGACCAGCTCCTCCTCCTCCTCCTCTGCCTACTCAACATGAAGACAACAATGATGAAGACCTTTAGGGTGATCCACTTCCACTTAATGAATGGGTCATATATTTTCTCTTCCTTACAATTTTCTTGATTATAATTTCTTTTCTGTAGCTTAGTTTATTGTAAGAATACAGTATATAATACACATAGCATGCAAAATATGTCTTAAATGTAACGCATGTTATCAGTAAGCCTTCTGGTCAACAATAGGTTATTAGTAGTTTGGGGGGAATCAAAAGTTGTATGCGGATTTTTCACTGTGTGGGAAGCCAGCTCCCCTAACCCTATGTTGTTCAAGGGGCAACAATATTCTTTCTCACTGGCACTTTACTTTCCATAAATTCAAATCCCAAAAGTAGAACTGCAAGTTCAAAAGGATTTTTAAAAAAATAATTACTGTCAGATTACAGAAAGTTTCCAATTTACATTTTCACTACCAATGTACAATGTTGGCATCCCTGAATCCTTATCAGCAATGAATTTTTAAATATACTATAAGAGATGAAAAAATTTTTTTTAAATTTGGAATTCCCTGATCACTAATGAAGTTAAGCATCAATATTATTCCTTTAATATGCAAATGCTGAAAATACATTTAACTATAATAGATGTCAAAAATCTGTAAATCAGGCTAGGTGTGGTAGGCACTCACCTGTATTCCCAGCCACTGGGAGACTTGAGTCCAGGAGTTCCAGACTGTAGTATGCAATGATCAAGCCTGTGAATAGCCACTGCACTCCAGCATGGACAACATAGCAAGACCCCATCTTTTTTTAAAAAAAAAGAGTCTATAAGACAAAGGTCCTCATAAATTAAGAGAAGCCAAGACAGTCACTGTGACTGCAGAATATTTTAATTTTTTTATTATACTTTAAGTTCTAGGGTACATGTGCACAACGTGCAGGTTTGTTACATATGTATACATGTGCCATGTTGGTGTGCTGCACCCATTAACTCATCTTTTACATTAGGTATATCTCCTAATGCTATCCCTCCCCCAGCCCCCCACCACAGAGCAGGCCCCAGTGTGTGATGTTCCCTTTCCTGTATCCGTGTGTTCTCATTGTTCAATTCCCACCTGTGAGTGAGAACATGCGGTGTTTGGTTTTTTGTCCTTGTGATAGTTTGCTGAGAATGATGGTTTCCAGCTTCATCCATGTCCCTACAAAGGACATGAACTCATCCTTTTTTATGGCTGCATAGTATTCCATGGTGTATATGTGCCACATTTTCTTAATCCAGTCTATCATTGATGGACATTTGGGTTGGTTCCAAGTCTTTGCTATTGTGAATAGTGCCGCAATAGACATACGTGTGCGTGTGTCTTTATAGCAGCATGATTTATAATCCTTTGGGTATATACCCAGTAATGGGATGGCTAGGTCAAATGGTATTTCTAGTTCTAGATCCTTGAGGAATCACCACACTGTCTTCCACAATGATTTAACCAGTTTACAGTCCCACCAACAGTGTGAAAGTGTTCCTATTTCTCCACATCCTCTCCAGCACCTGTTGTTTCCTGACTTTTTAATGATCGCCATTCTGACTGGTGTGAGATGGTATCTCATTGTGGTTTTGATTTGCATTTCTCTGATGGCCAATGATGATGAGCATTTTTTCATGTGTCTGTTGGCTGCATAAATGTCTTCTTTTGAGAAGTGTCTGTTCATATACTTCTCCCACTTGTTGATGGGGTTGTTTGTTTTTTCTTGTAAATTTGTTTGAGTTCATTGTAGATTCTGGATATTAGCCCTTTGTCAGATGAGTAGATTGCAAAAATGTTCTCCCATTCTGTAGGCTGCCTGTTCACTCTGATGGTAGTTTCTTTTGCTGTGTAGGAGCTCTTTAGTTTAATTAGATCCCATTTGTCAATTTTGGCTTTTATTGCCATTGCTTTCAGTGTTTTAGACATGAAGTCCTTGCCATGCCTGTGTCCTGAATGGTATTGCCTAGGTTTTCTTCTAGGGTTTTTATGGTTTTAGGTCTAACATGTAAGTCTTTAATCCATCTTGAATTAATTTTTGTATAAGGTGTAAGGAAGGGACCCAGTTTCAGCTCTCTACATATGGCTAGCCAGTTTTCCCAGCACCATTTATTAAACAGGGAATCCTTTCCCCATTTCTTGCTTTTGTCAGGTTTGTCAAAGATCAGATGGTTGTAGATGTGTGGTGTTATTTCTGAGGGCTCTGTTCTGTTCCATTGGTCTATATCTCTGTTTGGTACAAGTACCATGCTGTTTTGGTTACTGTAGCCTCATAGTCTAGTTTGAAGTCAGGTAGCGTGATGCCTCCAGCTTTGTTCTTTTTGCTTAGGATTGACTTGGCAATGCGGGTTCTTTTTTGTTTCCGTATGAACTTTAAAGTAGTTTTTTTCCAATTCTGTAAAGAAAGTCATTGGTAGCTTGATGGGGATGGCATTGAATCTATAAATTACCTTGGGCAGTATGGCCATTTTCACGATATTGATTCTTCCTCTCCATGAGCATGGAATGTTCTTCCATTTGTTTGTGTCCTCTTTTATTTCCTTGAGCAGTGGTTTGTAGTTCTCCTTGAATAGGTCCTTCACATCCCTTGTAAGTTGGGTTCCTAGGTATTATTTCAAATATTATTGTAAAACAATGAGATATTGAAACATACATTGGAGCAAACTCTTCTTCATTCTTAAATCCTTTCAGCACAGAGACAATCAACTGACTGTGTGGGTACTACCTGACCACTATTGGAGTCTCTTTCATCTGCCTGAGTCTGTGCAACAATATGAAATTATAATTTTACTATGCACCTAAACGTTCCTCAATATATTGAATTCCTACAGAATTTGAAGAGTCAAATTTTGTAAATCCAGTTACCTTTTTCCACTACTCTAGGCCTCATATACTATCTGGCCTAAGGGTTAAAGGTCCACAATTGAATAAGCCAAACTTGTTAATTTGAGGGTAAAGCATGTCAAGAAATCTGGCCTTAATGTCCAATGAACTTATGTCATATTAAGTAGCTGGATAGAAACATGCATTCCAAAGTGGATACTGTTTATCAGGCTCAGTGCTCTATTCTTGACAGTAAATCCCAGAATAGGGTGGATGCTTTACTTTTGTATTAAATAGTATTAGGTGTAATATCAAAACCACTAAGGGAACACTAATGATGAGAATAGGAACACTAGCTGTGGAGCTGGCAATTTTCTATAGAAATCCTATCTCTTTCAATTGCCTGTTTAGTGGGCAAGTGTTTCAGTTCCTATAATATCTAAATTGGAGAAAATCACCCCACCTACTTCTTCAGGTGTTATGATAATTATGAGGGATAACATCTTTTTAAGTGTTTAACACAATTCCTCACACATAGAAAGCAATAATAAACATTGGCTAGCATTGTAAGGATGGATTATTGTCTTCCAATGTGTTTTCATACATTTTCTTTCTGGGATCTTGAGTGAAACATGTGGATCTAGAACAAGAACAAAATGATGTTACCTTGATGATCTCTATGTAGGGTCACACTCAAGGCATCTTAAAATATTTTGCTGGCCAACAAAAGACACCTCCTGTTCTAATTGGGCATTGTCCTTTTCTTTAAACTATGCAGACAAACAATATTATAAAGTGAGAACATCCGCATAAAAAACCTAAACATAAATCTTAATAGTGAGTTCATGAAAATTCTTACTGATGAAATGGCAATGTCACAGACTGACTGTTTATGTCCCCCCAAATTTGTATATTGAAATCCTAACCCCCAAGCTACTCGTGTTAGGAGATAGAGCCTTGGGGAGGTGATTAGGTCATGAGGACAAGATTCTCATGAATGGGATTTGTGCCCTCATAAAAGAGACCCCAGAGAGCTCATTGGCCCCTTCCAAAGTATGGGGATACAGCAGGAAGTTGCCATCTATGAGCCAGAAGGGTGAACCTCACCCCAGATGCTGAATCTGCCTTGATATTGGACTTCCCAGCCTGCACAACTGTAAGAAATTTCTGTTGTTTATAAGTTACTCAGCTTGTGGTATTTTGTTACAGCAGCCTACACAGACTAAGACAAGTAGCATTTTGAGGATTAAAATTTCTTCATAAATGAATAGAGTATGCCCTGTTAAACCATATTCTCAGCTAACCCCGTTTACTCACTGTTCCTCTTTATTTTAGTTTCACATTTTTGCTATTTATCTCTGTAATTTTATTCATTCTTCACAATTTGCCATTCTTATACTTCAAATCATGTTATCAGTTTATAATACCTCCATCAAATGATAGTCTGCATTTGTTTATCCTTGGCTGATTCAAAACACTTGGCATAATTTCCTTAAAGGAAATCATCTTCATCCCACCTCACAACACTGTATTATTTTCAATTAATTTCCAATAAACTCTTAATTGTCCATGCTCTGTCAGAGTTGGCAGAGTTAATCCCTGTTTAAGCTAATAGGTTCAACTTCTTCAACAAACAAATCTTTCATGAAAGCTGCTGACAAGCCAGAGTATTAATTAAATCTAGTTTCATTGCTTCTCACTTTCCTTGATCTTTCTCTCTTGTTCTTTGGGAAACAGTCACAGAGTTCTGGCGCTAATAAATACTATAAAAAGTAGGAAACACAGTCTAAAGAAGCAGAATATTCTGTTTAAAGTTGATGTGGTGCTTTTTGTGCACCAAGCATTGGCTCAAAAGCCTGAAAATTAGGCAGCAATACTTCCTAAGCTCATCTTCAACCATAAGGCAGAAAAGCCAAACATATCTGAAAATATAATATCACTGGTACCTTATACCAGCACTAAGAATAAGAAAACCCTGGAAAGTGGCTCGAGTATAGTATTTTTCTATTGGAATTAATTTTTCAAAATGGAAAGGACTTCATTGTTATTTTTATTATAAAATTAGTATATGTTTATTATTAAAAATAAGTACAAAAATCTCTAAAAGAAAAAGGGAAAAATTACCAGCAGTTCCACATTCCAGATATCATCACTGTTAGCATTTAGGATACAAATATCCAAACACTTTTTCTATCAATACATTTAATTTTTAAATTTGACCATTACGCAATGTACACATGCACTAAAGCACCACACTGTACCCCATAAACATGTGCAATTATTATGTCAATTAAAAACAAAATAAAAGCATTTTACAAAAAATCATGTTATTTTTAATAACTTGTTTTTCTAATTTTATACACCATAAAATAAATGTCTTTACATGACATTTATTTTATGATAATAACTAATTTATTCATTTAAACAGCAAGGTACATTTCATTCTACAGATATACTATATAATATTTACTCCGATCTCTGGATGAGAATTTATGTTGCCCGTAAATATTGTATCACAAACATTATAAGAATAATCTCTGTAAAGGTTTTCTTCCTGAATTATTATTTGGGTAGAAAAATTACTAGAAATAGAATAACTGGGTCAAAGATTAAAGACAATTTAAATTTCAATATATAGAATCAAATTATTCTCCAAAATATTGTACTCTACAGTATTTGAATTTTGATTTTTTTCTCCATTTTCACTACTGCCAATAACTTTAATCTTTGTCGATAAATGAGACAAAAAAGACAAATAATGCAATATTATACAAGGGAGATTAATAGGTAGAAAAAGAAATGCAATGGCCAGGAGTAACAGAAGATGTTCAACATCAATCCAACCAAATTAATGAGTCTTTAAAATGCAATAGCAGTCAATGTTAGCAAGAGTGTAGGTATTAGACATTCTCATAGGAATATAAACTAGGGCCATGTTTTAGGATCATATTAGATCGCAGCAATTAAAACATGTTAAATTCATATGTTCTATAGCAACTTCTCAGGTTGGAATTTATCACATGGAGAATCTTGTAAAATACATAAATCAAGATATGTTATTAATGTTATTGGTAGCCTATTGTTTAAATAAAAAATATATTTATACAATACAGTTGTTAAAAGTTAAGAATATCTTGAAGGTAAATTGTTAAACAAAAATAGAAAGCCTAGGCCAGGCAAGACTTCATCTCATGCTTGTAATCCCAACACTTTTGGAGACTGAGGCGGGAGGATTGCTTGAGCCCAGGAGTTTGAGACCAACCTGGGCAACACAGTGAGACCTCATCTCTAGAAAAAAAAAAATACAAAGCCTAGTTCTGAACATCCTTTTGTGTAATACTAAAAGATAAAATTTTATTTTCTAACTTGTTTAAGATCTATATTCTATACGGGGGATGTGTATTAAGGTCATTTTTAAAAAGATACTCAAGAAATTGTCAACAGTGATTATCTTAAGGAGAGATTCCAGATGTCTGGGGGTAAGAGACTAGAGGAAAGAGAATTTTATATTTCATTTTTACCTTTATTTAATTTTTTGATTTTCTTACTGGGTGCATGAATTATATTTTTATGTCAGCATGTTTTATCAGATAAATAAAATTATGAGCTATTTCTGTTTTCTCTCATTTGTTTTATGTTTAAATAAAGGAAAATGAGATATGTCTTTTTAAATTAGATAATCTTGAGTCCATGATTATTATGAAAGCCCTCTGTTATCTTTTTCCTTCCTTTCACAATGACTATTTATGTTGTAGAATCATTAATTTCTCAAGACAAATGTCTTAGAAGGTAGATACAAAAAAATGGTATACATTTTTTGATTCAAGCTAATTTCATGTTATGAACAAAATTACGTAATGTCATTTCTAAGACCTTTCTGTGATCTATCAATCCACTAGGTTAAAGAGCAGAAATCACTTCCAAAACAAATCCTTTTGCAGTCAGCAAAATGAAGCAATTATATGAATAAGTTTTTCCACTTGGCCTATTTTTCTACCCATGGTTATTAATCAGTCTCACTGACTACATTTTCCGTTTTACATCCCCTTTCAGGCACTACTGCAGATGGCCAAGCATATCACATTATGTAAATAAAATAAAACAAAATCTTTTCCCATTGAGCAAATGGATATACTTCACCTCTAATGCTTCCAGTCTTTCTCAGATCATTCAAAAAGCATGATATGGTTTCCATAAAAGGACATTCATCCCATTTGACTAACTGGAATTTCTTTACTCCAGCTAATCTTTACCAAAGAGCTGAATTAATTCAAGTTGACACCCTGTTATCTACCAGCTCTTCCAGCCCTTTTGCTTGATTGTTTTGTCATTTTGCCTTTTCTTTTCTTCTAAAGTGGGAGTATGGAGATTTACCCTTCTGAAACAGCTGTGTCACATCATGATCCTTGAGGATATCAGCTCTTAACTGGCTGCACATCAAAATCACTGTTTCCTTTGACCAATACTCTAGACACACTCAAGCAGAGATTCTGGATTCTGATTTAATTGACACAGAGTAGGGCCTGGGCATTTTTACAGCTCCCCACATGATTCTATTGTGCCTCATCTATCCTAGCCCTTAAGCAGGACCAAACATTTGTTCTATCTTAATTATTATTCTCTTAAACTTAGTCCAATTCCTTACAAATGATAGCTTTCTGTATACTCATCTGCCTTGAGTGATGACAATTGATATGGTTTGGCTGTGTCCACACCCAATCTCATCTTGTAGCTCCCATAATTCCCACATGTTGTGGGAGGGGCCCAGTGGGAGATAACTGAATCATGAGGATGGGTCTTTCCTGTGCTGTTCTTGTGTTAGTGAGTAAGTCTCATGAGATCTGATCATTTTTAAAATGGGAGTTTCCCTGCACAAGCTGTCTCTTTGCCTGCTGCCATCCATGTAAGATGTGACTTGCTCCTCTTTGTCCTCCACCATGATTGTGAGGCCTCCCCACCCATGTGGAACTGTAAGTCCATTAAACCTCTTTCTTTTGTAAATTGTCCAGTCTCAGGTATGTCTTTATCAGCAGCATGAAAACAGATGAATACAACAATACTGTAACAAATCGACTCACATCTGTTCTCTTTATAGGAATTGCAGTGCTACAATATTAGTGGCTCTTAATTCTAAGAGTGTTAAAAAAATATTAATGCTTGTCTCACCCCTAAAGTCTAGGGTGTGACCTGAGTATTAGGTTATTTAAAACTTTTCTCAGGTAATAGACATGTGCAGCCGAGGTTGAGAGCCACTCTATAGGGCCAAGATATGTAAGAAAATTCAAGTCCTTTAGCTGGGCATGGTGGCATGCAGCTGTAGCCCCAGGTACTCTGGAAGCTGAGGTGGGAGGATTGCTTGAGCCCAGGAGAGAGAGGCTGCATTAAGCTATGATCACATCACTGCACTCTAGCCTGGGTGACAAAGTGAGATCATGTCAAAAAAAAAAAAAAAAAGAAAGAAAGGAGAAAGAAAGGAAGAAGAGGAAGGAAGGAAGGAAGGAAGGAAGGAAGGAAGGAAGGAAGGAAGGAAGGAAAAGAAGACAGAAAGAAGAAAGAAAGAAAGAAAGAAAGGAACAAAGAAAGAAAGAAGAGAAAAAGAGAGAGAGGAAGAAAGAGAGAAAGAAAAAAGAAAAAGGAAGGAAGGAAAGGAAGAAAGAAAGAAAAAGAGAGAAAGAAGAAAGAAAAGGAAAGAAAGAAAGAAAGAAAGAGAGAAAGAGAGAAAGAAGGAAAAGAAAGAAAATTCAAGTCCTGCCTTGTAAAATGCAGTACTCCATTTTCCCAAAGAGATCCCAAGGGAAACTTAACTACAGGATAAAGACAGACAAAAGGACATAAATTACAACTACTCTAGGTTCACATATTATTTTGTTTCTGAAATGGGTTTTAAAATATCTATGTCAGAGTTCATTTCTAGAACTTTATCTCTAGAAAACATATTTTCACTTCTCAATACAGGAAAATGGAGATTGGAAAAATGAGGTTGGAAAATGATTTCCATGCTTATCTCTCAGCTTCTTTTTTCAACTTCCCTTTTTTCATCTCCGTATCTTCACTGATACCTAGGAATCTCTGTTACATCACAGTCTTCAAGAGCTTTGCTCACAGCGAATTAGTTAAGACATTAGCTTTCAAAAGTATATGATATTCTCTCACAAGCATTTGTCTACTTTTAATAGGGCAAGCTATGTAAAGATGTTAAATCTCATTCCAGAAATACCACATCTACTCTACCTATTTATGAGAACAGTCGTCTCTAGACGAAGATAGAAATTCATAGTTAGGAAATAAATCCCTGTAGGGTTTTTCCACAGTCCCAACATGTCCCCTACTGTCCCGATTTTAGCAACAAAAATCCCCCATCCAGAAAATCCTTCATTCCTGAGTAAGTTGAAAGATTGGTCACCCTATTTCTATCTGTGTCTCTTTCTTTCATAATTGGCTCATAATCATAGCAGTCACAATTTTGAAAAATTTTATTTTACTGAATTACTCATTGCTGTTTTCTCATTTTTTAAATAATAAACACTTATTAAGAAACATTGGAAATATACCGAAAATAGTAAACAATAAAACAGAAACCATTGGCAGAAATCGTCACTATTAAAATCTTAATATACTCCCTTCCAATGTTGTTTCTGTTAATGCAAATTGAAAAACCAGAGATTCGCCTCTGTGAACTAGATCTCTTTTTACCTTTAGATATTATTTGACAAATACATAGCTCAATCATCTATCCAAACTTCTCTTTTACAGACTCCATGCCAATTAACCTTCTCCTATGAAACTATTATTTCTTCACATAGGATAAATATGGTTATTGACACACAAACTTTCTTAGTTACACTGCAATCCAGTTGTGCGTCCCTAAATTTATACCAATTGGATTTAGAATGATCATTACTAAAGAGGCTTGGCCTTATCTCTTGCAATTTGCTTCTTCCTTCTTAAATTCAATTCTTGTAATGTAACTATAATTTGGGGGTATCTTTTTGCCTCATATTCAAGTTCTCTTTCAAACTGAGGTACATTTCTGTATTTCTGTATTTGTATATTGCATATAATAGTATAGAAAACAATAATGAGATTATAGTGTACATAAAAGTTTTGAAGTATAATTAAATATTTAATATATAAATATATTAAATATGGGCTGCTGACTCACCAAGCCTGGTTTGGCTTCCATCACTTGTGTAATCAATCACCTGTATTAAATCACCTCTGCTTGAAAGACGAAGAATAGTTTCTGATTTATAAGCAAACACTGAAAGCTCTTCTATTTCTTGTTTGCTAAACAAGATTTGTCAAAGTTAAATATTTTATTTTATTGAATTCACTTTTTGCCTCTCCTACAATGATGATTTGCTTTTCCTCCTTTAACTTGTTAATGTGATGAATTATACATAGTTTTTTTTTCTATTGTTAGAAATCCTTGCATTCATGGAACAAACACAATTTTCATACTATATTATCTTTTTTATAGACTTCTAAACTTAATTTGCTAACTTTTAATTTAAAATGTTTGCCGTTAGGTTCATGAGGAAAGTTGGCATGTAATTTTCCTGTCTTACACATTTCTCATATAACATTGGTATCAAGGTTGTACTGGCCTCATAAAATGAATGAACAAATGGACCTTTTTTTATTCTGGAGTTGTTTTTATAAAATGGAAATAATCCATTTCTTGAAAACATTTGATAGAACTCACCAGTAAAAATGTCTGGGCCTGCTGGTTCTCTTCTTCTAAGAAGAATTTGGAACTTATAATTAAAGCTCCTTTAATGTGTTAGAAAACTTTCCAGGTTTCCTTGAACATTAATAAATTCCAATGACGAAAAGCCCTCAGATATTAAATATAACCTTAAATATAACCTTCCCCCGATTCAATTTTTCTTTTGCAGATATGATTAGATACTCTAATTTTTCAACCTCTATTTCACATATCCATTTTCCTTTCCTCCTCTGTACTGTCTTCAGCATAATTTGTTTAGTCTAACTTCCAACTCACTTATTTTCTTTTTGGTTCTATCCAATATTGTGTTTAACCTGTCCATTTAGTTTTTAATTTTCATTATATTTTTTATTTCTAAAAGATCTCTTAAATTCAGTTTCAATCTGCTTAATATAAGATACATACACTGTCTCAATTTATATTCCTGGCACACCTCATTGATTTTTTAAACATATTAAACACAGCTTTTATAGTTATATAATCATCCTAATATCTGAAATCTTTATGGGCATAATTCTGTTTCTGCTCATGATGTTTATTTCCTCATGAGTTTTGTAAGAGTCTTACTTTTTTCTCATTTTGGATGAAATTTTACCTGTGGCCATTCTTTGAGACATGGGCTGAATGTGGGTTTCTCCAAAGACACTTTGCCTTCGTCTTGTGTTTGGTGGTAATACCAACATGGGATAACTATAAAATAAATTATCAGTTTCATGTGTGGGTTTTTTCTAACTTATACTTACAGTGAAAATTTAAACCACAAATTCATGTGAAGATGGCCTTCTCATTTTTCCTCTAAATAGCACCGAGTTTGAGGCAGGAAAATTTCCTGGTTGTCTCCCGCTGAGGAACAGGTTTTTATCTAGTTTATCCTTTCACTGCAATTATAGTCCTTCGTATCTCTGGCTTTCAGCAGTTTTCTCCTGTAAGACTGCTATACTGGGCAGGCACTAGGTTTTGTCTCACACTCTCCCATATCCCAGGTGGTCATAAAAATTGAAGCTCAGGGTACTAGGGCCAGGACTGTCCTTATGGAAGCTTCTGGTTTGGGGGTCTGCATACCTCTCTGGATTTATGTATTCTCCTTATGCTTGGCCTATGTGGTTCACCTTAGTTTCTATTCAAGTCAGTAATATACTTTTGAAAAATGACATGTACATTTTATCTGGTATTTGTAGATTTCATATAGCAGCATAGTGATTCAGCAAATTTAGCCTACCACAATGCTGGGAATAGAATTCCCCTAATTTTTGAAAACATTATATCAAATCATGTTTATTGCCATTAATAGTCTTATAAATGTGCTTTTAAGTAACTGCATTTTGTCATAGTTCATTGTGATTGTATATTTAACTAGTTCACCCCTACCTCATGTTTTTTGGGAGTGAAGGTTGTACTCAACTCATTATGTTAAGTAATACTACAGTAAACATCAATCTATACATGCATTAATAATGATTTCCAAGAAAGTAGTGACACATGGTCATAATCATCTTTGAGGCTGATGGTACATATTTTCAAATTGCATCTCAGAAATAATATACCAATCTGTGCTCTAATCAGCCGCATATGAAAGTGTCATCTTTCTGTTCTCCAACCAATACAACTACTACTGTTTTTATACCTACAAATCTGACAAAGATGGGAGAAGGGATCTTATAGTTTCAATTTGTATTTCTTTGGTGACCAATGTACTAAATTACTCAATGTACTAAATTACTCTTTTCCTGTTTATCATCCATTTCAAACAAAATGTAAACCATTTTTTAAATTTTTTTATATTAATGCAAATTGTAAATCACTACTTTATTTATTCAACTTCCTAAGCAAAATTATATGTTGTCCCATTTATACATTTTATATTAGATCATTCTGCCTTACATTTATATCCTAAAAACTGTCAGAATTATATAATAATGATGAACAGTTGATTATAAATAATGTCTTTATTAGGATATTTCTCCATAAATCTAAATTTCATCAATCTTTCTTTAAATATCTCTACACAATGTCCTCTTGTATTATATTAATAATTGCAGATACACTTCTTTTTGCTATTTCTATTAATTCTTTCCTATTCCTATTGTCTGTTAGTCTCCCATTTTCTCCCATAAAATAAATAAAAATTTTTCTATCAGATTCTGTGATATATTACTTCTTATTCCCAGCCTTCAACATTTTAAGAATTCAGATTGACCTTTTCTCCCATTCTTATTTCAAGTTGTCAGCATGTCGATACTTGGGAAATCTCATCAAGTGTTTAACAGTGCATACCTTACTGATTCATTATTTATTGCAATTTAATCTTTCTTATTTTCATTCAACTTTTTTCTCAGTAATACAACTTTTTCAAGCTTTTTATTTTCTAATGCATTTCTCCAAATAGCAGCCATAACCCTTATATGCCCTCTTTCAATGACAACAACAAAAGTGTGCTAGGCTTCTTGGAAGAAAATAATGATATCAATTCAAGAAGGAGAAAATTGATGTACTGATAAACAAATGGGCATCTTAGGATCATGTTTCTCACAAGTAAGGCAGTTCCAGAAATTCCTAGGACCATAATGGGTTTTATTCTAAATAGGTTAAACATATCACTTAAAAAATTGTTTTCTACAGTTCTCTAATATTGCTTACAATTGTCCACGTTTCCATGTTTATAAACTTGCACTTTTTTTTTTTTTTATGGAGTTTTGCTGTTGTTGCCCAGGCTGGAGCCCAGGCTGGAGTGTAGTGGCGTGATCTTGGCTCACTGCAACCTCCACCTCCCAGGTTCAAGCAATTCTTCTGCCTCAGCCTTCTGAGTAGCTGGGATTACAGGTGCGTGCCACCACACCTGGCTAATTTTTTGTATTTTTAGCAGAGACGGGGTTTCACCATATTGGCCAGGCTGGTCTCGAACTCCTGACCTCAGGTGATCCACCCGCCTTGGCCTCCCAAAGTGCTGGGATTACAGGCATGAGCCACTGCTCCCGGCCTTATACTTCCACAATTTTTAATTCTAAGACCTTGCTACTCAGTGAGGGATCCTGGGACTAATACCATCAGCTTGACTTGAGGCCCTGTCTGAAAGCAGACTCAGAATCTGCAATTTATCAGGATCCCCAGGTAATTTGTATGTGCAGTCTAGTTTGGTAGATCTGCTCTGGCAGACTGGAAGACTCTTCTATCTGCCTCACGTAAGGTGCAGGTGACATAATTAGGTAATCAAGCAAAAGATCACATATTTTAATAAGAAAGAGACACTGGCTATTATTTTGAGTAGCAAAACAGGTTATTCAGTCCCAGTTTAAAATGGAAATGACAGAGACCAAGATGAAGATTTTTAATTTGAGATGTGCCTGCGATGCAATTACATTTGCTGAATGAAACTGCTTCAGTAATTAGATGCAGGTTTCTTCTCTCTTCTTTTTGAGATGTAAAGAAGACACAATAGACTCATGGAACTTAAAGAACTAGACGCCAGCTAACAAAACATGCTATCCAGACTCTTTCGTTTCACCATATTGCTTTCTTGAAAACATAGGACAGTGCCAGTTTAGCACTGAAAAAAATCAGTTCTCCTAATTCTAAAAAGAGGAGACAGCCAGGCGTGGTGGGTCACTAAAAATACAAAAAATTAGCTGGGCATGGTGGTGCATGCCTGTAATCCCAGCTACTTGGGAGGCTGAGGCAAAAGAATCACTTAAACCTGGGAGGTGAAAGTTGCAGTGTGCTGAGATAGCGCCATTGCACTCTCGCCTGGGCAACAAGAGCGAAACTCCGTCTCAAGAAAAAAAAAAAAAAAAGAGAGAGAGAGAGAAACTGTAATTTCATTTCAGAAGTTTTATAGGGTACTATTTCCAATTCTTTTTTTCTTACTCCATTAAAGTGTAATTAGCAGTATGTGAAAATTTCCACTTTATCCTCAATCAGAAGCCTCTCCTTCCAATTAGCATATATTTTTTCTATTAACTTTGTAAAGTGGGATTCTTGTTTTATACATACCCCTGGAAAGTATACTTAAACTGTGAGACCCTGGGATTTTATATTTCCAAATAGAAGATACCATCCTCTTGTATCACAAAATGTACCTAAGATGGTT
Source organism: Homo sapiens (assembly GCF_000001405.40). Taxonomy (NCBI): domain Eukaryota; kingdom Metazoa; phylum Chordata; class Mammalia; order Primates; family Hominidae; genus Homo; species Homo sapiens. Next base: position 148,487,983 of record NC_000001.11, on the reverse strand, counting down.
TGGATTATATTTAAATATTCTTGAATGAAATAGACTTACTGACTGAAGCCAATTATTATATTTTTCCACACCAAAATAAATGCAATAGGAAAAGATGACAGTTCTATGTAGTATTCCTGCTTCCATATTGCACAAATTAGAAACATACATATTCTATTATGTTACAGGGTCTAGGGCTTTGGGAGGACAAGGCTGCAGGCAGCCGAGATTGTGCCGCTGCACTCCATCCTGGGCGACAGAGTGAGACCTTTTCTCAATAATAATAATAAAAGTAAAAAGAAATATAATATTTAATCAATATATGCACACACATGGGTTTATCATGACACACATGACATGTGTGTACAGTGAAAAAAATGAGTAAATCTAGAAACCTGTATTGCCTCAATAGCTAGCTAAGTACTTCAATATGCATGTTTATTTCAACAATTTTGTGTTAAGCTTCAGTGGTAAATAAGCAGAGTACACTGACCATAATGAATACTTCTTTTGATGAGGGTTATCACTACACAATTAAAATATTACATAGTTGCCTGGGCACGTTGGCTCACACCTATAATCCCAGCACTTTGGGAGGCCGAGGCAGGCAGATCACCTGAGGATGGGAGTTCAATACCAGCCTGACTAACATGGAGAAACCCCTTCTCTATTAAAAATACAAAATTAACCAGGCGTGGTGGCACATGCCTGTAATCCCAGCTACTCAGGACGCTGAGGCAGGAGAATCACTTGAACCTGGGAGGCAGAGGTTGTGGTGAGCCGAGATAGCGCCATTGCACTCCAGCCTGGGCAACAAAAGCAAAACTCCGTCTCAAAAAAATATATAATAATAAATATATATATATATTATATATAATCAATATAAATATAATATATAATAAATATATAATATGTATTATACATATAATAAATATATATATTATATATAATAAATATATAGATGATATAGTTTAGAGTTAAATACTGACTGCTCTTGGGAACTTTGAGGTATTCTGAGGGATATAAATAACACGAAGAGAATAGCACATTGGCTTGAAGCAGATTAGAGTCTGCTACCTGCGTGAATACTTGCTTTTCATGAACTATGAGGATGCCCTTAGCTTTTGAACCACTTCTACTTGTGTTGAAATTTACCCTTTAATTTTGGGGTTTGACAGGCTCTGCCCTTCTGTTATGCTTGAGTCTGGCTTTTCCTACTCTGACTCACTTTGATTCTTGACCTCTGAATCTTATTCCTATTTTACAATAAACACACATCGCACATACGCCAATTAGTAGAGTGGAAGAGGGAAAAATTGCCAAGGAACTATGTTTAATTTTGTTCCTTTCGCAAACCAGACACCATAACAGAAAAATTTTAGGAACATGTGCATGTTCAGTAGCCTTCAATGCAATTATACTGGTTATTAAAAAGTGTTGGATAATCAATATTTTTTAAAGATTCACTAGTCCCTTCTGATAATTTTAGAACTTTGGGAAGTAATAATACAAATGTATTTTTAGCTGTGTCCTTTAATCTTTTACTGTTTCCTCTATGTGTGGTGTTTGGTTTGTGTGTGTGTGATAATTATTATAAAGATCAGAAGCTAACAGAGGTGTTAATCATGAACTTTTACATTTTTTTATTTTTATTTTTTTATTTTTTTTAAGAGACAGAGTCTCGCGGTGTTGCCAAGGCTGGATGCAGTGGCGCCAACTCAGCTCACTGCAACCTTCGCCTTCAGGGTTCAAGCAATTCTGCTGCCTCAGCCTCCCAAGTAGCTGGGACTGCAGGAGGGCACCACGATGCCCCACTAATTTTTGTATTTTTAGTAGAGATGGGGTTTCACCATATTGGCCAGGCTGGTCTTGAACTCCTGACCTCATGATCCGCCCACCTCAGCTTCCCTAAGTGCTGGGATTACAGGCGTGAGCCACCGCGTCTGGCTGCATGACCTTTTAACTTGTCTCATACACTCAATATTCTCAAGATATACCTTCCAAAGTGCAAAATTATGGCACTTTGCAGCCCTGACCACTAACTGAGAACTTTGATGCTTTGGATTTTGGAGACCTCATTTTATCACCTGGGCCTTTTACTTCATGACTTGTCATGCTGCCACATTTTGATGGGATTGAGATCAAGATAATAATTCCCAACTGGTCAGGAATATTGTGCCCCTTTGTTTTTATATCCAGATGCAATAGAGCCTCTGACACACCACTACTATTGTTCTTAGGATTTGGAACAAAATGCTTCTTTCTTTGACAAAATAAATGTTTTCTTTAAAGAACTCTTGATTGATCCTGGACCATTGTAGAAACTGAAGTCCTATCAATGCAAAAAAAATATGAAAACATGAGCTGCTTATCATGAAATAAGTGTTTTCCAATTAACTATCCTGCTTCATCAGCAGGTAGGAATAATAGAATCTATACCTATGTCTTCATGGGAAGTTCTCTATGGCCAGTTGATTAGTGAGGGAAAAATTGAGCCTGATTTACAGAAGTCACTGTACAACATCACAGCAGCAGCCAAAAGTAGATTGCTTAGGCATTATAACCTACGTGAATGCAATTTTAAAAGAAATTCAGCCTATGTAATTGGTTGTCCACGATGTCTAGAAGGAGAGATATTATTGATGTATATGTGGCAGCTAATAATTTGTCTAGATAATTAGGGACTTGGGGCCAGGCCTGATGGCTCACACCTGTAATCCCAGAACTTTTGGAGGACAAGACAGGTGGATTGTCTGAGGTCAGGAGTTCGAAACCAGCCTGGCTGACATGGTGAAACTCCGTCTCTACTAAAAATACAAAAATTAGCCAGATGTGGTGGTGTGTGCCTGCAATCCTAGCTATTTGGGAGGCTGAGGCAGGAGAATCTCTTGAATCCAGTAGGAAGAAGTTGCAGTGAACCAAGATTGCACCACTGCACTCCAGCCTGGGCAACAAAGCGAAACTCTGTCTCAAAAAAAAAAAAAAAAAAAAGAAAAGAAAAGATAATTAGGGACTCAGAAAGACAAAGACTGAAGGATTGGTGGCAATGAGTTTTGGGGAAAAAGTATGTAGATGAACCACAGAAAATGAGCCAGAGTGTAAGAATATTTGTGCTTAATACGAATGCTCACCAAACTATCATCAGGAAGGTTATCAAATAGATATGAAGGTATGAAACAATCTCTTTCACCAGGCACTACATTGCTTGCTCAGAAGGCTAATAAACAGCAACATTGGTGGTAGCAGTAGAGAATACACATAGGTTTAGCAACATGTTGGACTTTACCACTCTCGCTTACAAAAGCCTATTTAGCTGTCAAGACTATTAGGTGTCCAACACACAAGCAACAAAGTCCAAGGCTAAGCACACAATAACATATCCTGGGTGAATAAACCAGTCACCTTTTGTCAGACTTGTTGATTTTATTGGAGCTCCTCTATGATAAAGGCAACAAGGAATTTTGTAAATGGAATCTACCTTTATCCTTGAATTACATTTGCTTTACCTGACATCATTTTTCTCTGATCGCCACTCTCCACGGGTACATTGAATGCCTTATATATACTGCCATAATATCCTGTTCTACATCCTTCTATTAAAAGAACTTGTTGTATAACAAATGAGTAGATATTCATTGGACTCACCTGGTCCACCATTTATCCTATCACTAACCAAAATTATTATTATTATAGAATGGTGAATATTTTATTAAAGACTCAATCACAGTGCCAGCTGGAGACAATGGCTTATAAGGTTGTACTCATGCTAGAGGATGTGGTGGTGTATCCTCTGAACTAGTAACTAAGTATAAGCTTGTCTGGTGTCTCCCATATAAAAAATACAACAATCTTTGATATTTGTTATGAATGTTGAAGTGACTCCTTTTGTCATTACATCTAATGATCCACTCCAAATACTTATCTCTTGTCTCTGAGATTCTAGGTTTTTGCAGAATTAGTACCCAAAGGGAGAGTCTTAGCAGTATTCCATTTTACAATCCATCCTTCGTTAGAGGATGAGAGACTTCTATCTAGCCTTTTAGGTTGCCTGAGACCTTTAAAGAAACAGTCAAAAATTTAAAATTTAAAATGCGGCTACACTGTTGCATGGGGTAGTAAATCTTGACCTTAAAACTGGTATTTGTAAGAAAAACAGAAAGAATTCAGGGATCCCCTTTGATGGCTCCTAATTCTATACAGTCCTGTAAATATTCCTGAAGACTAACCAGGCGTGGTGGTGCACACCTGTAATCCCAGCTACTCCAGAGGCTGAGGAAGAGAATCACTTGAACCTGGGAGGCAGAGGTTGCAATGAGCTGAGATTGTGCCACTTCACTCCAGCCTGGGTGACAGAGCAAGACTCTGTCTCAAAAAAAAAAAAAAAAAAAAAGAAGAAAGAAAGAAAGAAAGAAAGAAAGAAAGAAAGAAAGAAAGAAAGAAAGAAAGAAATGAAGACTGCCACAACTTGGAAGCAACCAAGATGTCCTTCAATGAGTGACTGCATAAGCAAACTGTGGTATATTCCTACAGTGGAATATTATTCAGTGCTAAAAGGAAAAAACTATCAAGCCACAAAAAGATACAGAAAAAACAAAGACATTTTGCTAAGTGAAAGAAGCCAGTCTGAAAAGGGTACATACTGTGATTTCAACTATACGACATTCTAGAAAAGGCCAAACTATAAAGACAGTAAAAAGATCAGTGGTTATCTTTGCAGACGCCGCCATCGCTGTGAGCCCTGTACTATCAGCCATGGTCAACTCCGTCATCTTTTTTGACATCACCGTCGACGGCAAGCCCTTGGGCCGCATCTCCATCAAACAGTTTGCAGACAAGATTCCAAAGACAGCAGAAAACTTTCGTGCTCTGAGCACTGGAGAGAAAGGATTTCGTTATAAGGGTTCCTGCTTTCACAGAATTATTCCAGGGTTTATGTGTCAGGGTGGTGACTTCACACACCCTAATGGCACCGGTGACAAGTCCATCTATGGGGAGAAATTTGATGATGAGAACCTCATCCGAAAGCATACAGGTTCTGGCATCTTGTCCATGGCAAATGCTGGACCCAACACAAATGGTTCCCAGTTTTTCATCTGCACTGCCAAGACTGAGTGGTTGGATGGCAAGCATGTGGCCTTTGGCAAGGTGAAAGAACGTGTGAATATTGTGGAAGCCATGGAGCACTTTGGGTACAGGAATAGCAAGACCAGCAAGAAGATCACCATTGCTGACTGTGGACAATTCTAATGAGTTTGACTTGTGTTTTATTTTCACCACCAGACCCATTCCTTCTGTAGCTCAGGAGAGCACCCCTCCACCACATTTGCTTGCAATATCCTAGAATCTTTGTGCTCTTGCTGCAGTTCCCTTTGGGTTCCATGTTTTCCTTGTTCCCTTCCATGCCTAGCTGGATTGCAGAGTTAAGTTTATGATTATGAAATAAAAACTAAGTAACAACAACAACAACAAAAAAGCTCAGTGGTTGCCAGGAGTTTGGGGATGGGTAGGGAGATAAATAGTTCTGAAACAGGCGATTTTTAGGGGATTGAAAATACGTTGGTAATAATGTAATGATGGGTACATGACATTATGCGTTTTGCAAAACTCCTAGACCTGTACCACACAAAGAGTGAACCCTAATGTAAACTGGGGGTGGGATAAAGGTGACAGTATGTGAGAACTCTGTACTTTCTGCTCGATCTTTCCATAAAGCTAAAACTGCTCAAAAAATAAAGTCTATTATTTTGTTAAATGAAAGAAATTAACAATGACCATGGCACGCTCACACAAAAAGATTATCAAGGACATTTCTCTGTCAGGAATGAATATTTGGTCATCTCACAAGGCAAAACCCTGACTAGCAGAGGTGTTAGCTGAGGGCACATGGCCATAGATGCCAATAGTGACCTGCTGGCCACTTGCAGAAAGGAGAGCCTTGACATCCAAACACATTGTTTCTCTTGTATTGTCCTGTGCATACTTATGTATCTTAACAACTTTCCTTCTTTCCTCTCCATTTATCCCTCTTTTTAAAACAGGGCTTATTGAGGGTGATTAACTTAATTTTTAAATGATATATGGCAGAATGTCAAGAGAGTATAGTGAAGAACTTCGTAGAGGAATGGACATAACCCAGAATTCTTAGACTTAGAGTACATGCTGTGATTGAGAATTTTTTATTGTTTCATTGTTCAAGAGATTGTAGGTACATGTTCAATTATTAGAGAAATAGTTGCACTCTGTTAGAAGGAAGCTTGGGTCTTTCATGTTTACTTTCAAAAGGGAAAGTTTATATTGATATTGAGCAAGTGAAAGCATGAATATTTATTATTTGATGTTTGTTTCTGTGTTTGAGGAATTCCTCAGCCTCTCAGTTTTGACGAAAACAAGAAACCACCTCCTGCTTTAGAAGCTAAAATGCCAAATGCTTGCTTTCTCAGCCTCCTTTGCAGCTAGGGTACAAGCATATGACTTAGGTTTTGCCAATCTGTTTGCCAGTGCTGAATTTCGACTTCGGAATTAATAAAAAAAGAAGCAGATTCAGTTATGCTTTCTCTTGTTTCTGGTGGAGGCCATGTAGCAGCTGCTACAATATCTGTTGCAAAGCGAACAAGTGGGAGTGGTGCTGGTGGCTTTGCAGTTAGCCTAGGATTGAGCAATTGCTGCAATTGTTGCTGTCTGCATCTTCGGTGTTACTTCTTACTGGTGGTGACAGTGGTTTCCTCCCTGGATGAGTTCTACAGCATGGTTTGGGGTACATTTCCTGGCTGCCTAGCTTTGATCTGGCTCTCTAGCCTTCTCAACAGTTCTACAAGTTCCCCACTATTTCTGTGATAAACCTATTTATTGTTAATGTCAGCCATAATTGGCTTCTGTGGTTTATATTTTTTAAAATTCCAAGATATACCAACGTAACAGATAGCTCAACAAACATATGTCTTTTTAAATTAAGATATATTCTGTGTCACATGAAGTACAATGGACAAAATGCAACAAATTGAATTGAGCTAAAGACCAAATATATATTAAGCCTGGCTGGTCTTAAAAATGTAACTGGATACAGCCAGGCATGGTGGCTCACGCCTATAATCCCAGCACTTTGGGATCCTGAGGTGGGCAGATCACCTGAAGTCAGGAGTTTGAGACCAGGCTGGCCAGCATGGTGAAACCCCATCTCTACTAAAAATGCAAAAATTAGCTGGGTGTGGTGGTATGCCCCTGTAATCCCAGCTACTCGGGAGGTTGAGGCAGGAGAATCACTTGAACCTGGGAGGCAGAGGTTGCAGTGAGCCGAGATCATGCCAATGCACTCCAGCTTTGTCAACAGAGCGAGACTTTGTTTCAAAGTAAAAAAATAAAAATAAAAAAATAAAAACGTAACTGGATAGACCTAAGGTTCTTGAATAAGCAGAAAATAATTTAGGTAAAAACCAAATAATAAACTAACATTCTGAAAGGTTTAGGATTTGGAGGCCCAAATGTCTTAGCTAAAAGTGTTCATTCTAACCTCACAGGAAAATTGAAATATGAAAATATACAGAAAAATCTTAGGCAGTATTTATCAATTTTAAGAAACAACTATTTACAGGTTTTTCAATAGGCATTACATTAAAAATGAAATATATAGTTAATAAATATGAAAACTGTGGATATAATCAACACATTTATTTTACTTCTTGAAGTGTTAACATGTGCTGTCTCAAATATCAACAGTGTACACGTGAGAAAAAACATTTTACATAGATTTTCTGCGACAGAAAACAGCATCTCATTAGACATCCCAAGTTTTTTCATTTGGAACACACACCCATTCCCCAGTATATTAGGGGTAATAATAATTTAAAGAGTTTAATTACTTTTTACTACTAGAAAACTAATTTTATGTTTGGCACAAATTTCTGAAATGCTATTCCACTGCAAAGAATAATACCTATATATGGCCAGAATTACTTTTTTTCTATAACATTAAGATAATACTTGTCAGCCTGAGCAACAAAGTGAGACCTCATCTTTACAAAAAATAAATAAATTAGACGGGTGTTGTGGTGATGAGGGTCTGTAGTCCCAGATACTCAAGAGGCTGAGGTGGGAGGATCCCTTGAGCCTAGGAGGTCGCGGTTGCAGTGAACTATGATTGCACCACTGCACTCCAGCCTGGGTAACAGAGCAAGATCCTGTCTCAAAAAAAAAAAAAAAAGATAATATTGGTATAATTCAGGGTTTTTGCCTCAATCCCCATGCTTCTTCATTTGACCTTCCCTGACTCCCTGATGAATTTTAGTTTGAATTTTTGCTATAGTCCAGAAGTTAATTTAAAAGATCTTAAAATTTCCACCTGCCTAGATATTACTTATTTGTTACACTTTAGTCCATGATTTCTATTGTCATTTACATTACCCCAAAAATATGACCTGCTGAATTTCTGCTGTCATGAATTGACTAACATATTTTGGGCCTAAAACCTTTACATTTAGAATCTTTTTGTTTCGTATTGGAAAATATTGTAAGTCCTCCATTTATTGGTCAAAAGCACTGCCTATTTATTTCCATGCTTAATCAGAGAGACTTTCTAATAGTTATTTAATATTATTTACATTCATTCACTTGTTGACTATAATGAGGTTAGTTGCTATGATATTTTTAGGTCATTAATATAATAAAAATATGTCAACTTTTCTCTTCCAATGTGTCTTTGGGTTATTAATTTTTAACTCAGGTATCAAGCTTGTAAAATGTTTAATGGCTTATAATAATGTCTAACACATAGTATCCACTGAGTTCTGATAACTCCGGTTTATCAAATTCTCTTTTTTTGTACCATTCTCCAAATGCAATGCTATTTGGTTTTATTTTTATTTTTTAAAAATGTGCTGCCTGTTTTGAGTCTCTAAAAGTGTGAAATGCTCAGCATTTCCCAAATGTATTTGAACATGGAGTGTTATATTTACTAAAAAGTTAACAAGCAAGTATTCCCCTAAACACTCTAGCAAATACTACTAGTACAGACAAATTATGATGTAACATTATAGTACATTTTAACTTATTAGGTTAATTTTGGTTGCAAACAATCAAAATTCAAAATGGCTTGTATAATAAAGAGATTTTGAACAATAGTATAGGCTCAAGATAGTTTAATGCAGAAGTTTAATAATGACACAAAATAAATGCTTCTTGTCCTCCCTGTTTCTTCACTCTACCTTAAGTGATATAGATTGAATGTTTGTATCCCCCCAAAATTTGTATGTTTAAATCTAATCCCTAGTGTGATGATATTTGGCAGTGGGTCTTCGGGGGGTGATTAGGTCATGAGGACAGAGCCCTCATGAATGAGATTAGTGCCCTTATAAAAGAGACCTTAGAGAACTTCCTAGCCCCTTCCACCATGTGAGGACACAGCAAAAAGACAGCTGTCTGTGAACCAGGAAACAAATCCTCATTAGACCCTGAATCTGTTGACACCTTGATCTTGGACTTCCTGGCTTCTAGAACTGTAAGAAATAAATTTATGTTGTTCATAAACCATCCAGGCTGTGATATTCTGGTATAGCGACCTGAAAGGACTAAGACATTAGGTCTCAGTTTTATTCTATGGCTTAAAATATCATGTCATGAGTAGACAACTTCCAATCCTAGTACCTCGTGCTTCCTCTGCTGCATTTGGAAAGAAGGCATTTCCCTCTTCAATCATGGAATGAAAAAGTTGTACTTCATTCTGATTTGATTAGCAGAAGGCACACGTTCCTTCCATGCACCAATTACAATGACCAAGAATTGGGCATGGGACTCATGTCACTTAAACATTGTGAAGCTGAGAAATTCATTATTTGGTTAGGAGTGTGTGAGAGCAGGGAACACTGAATGCTTGAGACACCACCACGATGTCCACTACATGTATTTCCATTTCAGTAAACATTTCCATTAAGATAATGCTAGAACAAAATCAGAGGAGTAGATCTTGGTGTCCCCAACTTTTGTTGACCTAACAAAGTGAAGTTGCTTCAACTGGACACTTCTGAACCACATTTATGCCTATATGTTCAGTTCAAATTTATTATAAGCAATTTTCAGGTCCATATGTTTAGGATATTTCATATGTTTGGTTATGCATTATATGTATACATGTTTTTAACATACATACGTCTCTACATATATTTTGGAGGCCTTTACACAAAAGTGTTTTCCGTAAAGGGAGAAGAGAAAAGTTGAATGCAGAAGTAGAAAAAAAAATTCATTTGCACTTGTAGTATTTATAGCTAAATATTTCATATTACAGATGTATTAAAATTTTTATAATTTTAAACACTACTTTAAAACAGGGAGATGGTTTACCTTCAAAAAATTTGGCTCTCAACTCAAAGTTATCAAAGTATATCCTAGATGTAGTTTGCTTGTCAGGCTTCTACATGAAAATCTAAAATGCTCCTGCATTTCAGAATGAGCCTAACATATGTAATTGCACTCATCCACTATGTCTACATTGCCAACCAAATACTGACAGAGAGAGCTAGAGTGCCACAGAGAGCTGGCAGTTCCTCTGTTTGCATTAGTTTCTACTTGCTTCTTCATCTTTCCTCTATGTCTGACACATTTCATGTTACTGTTTTTAAATGTTCCCTTAGCTAAAGAGCTAATGTGCTTATATCTGTAAGGGGTCTCATGTGAACCTCTAAATAATTAAAGATTCATTAGCTCCCTGGAGGGCCACCATAATTTCCAAAACAAGTCACAATACCTAAAGATCTAATTGTACAATTTCCCTCAGAAATAGCCTTGAGAAAGAAGTCACATCACTCAGCAATGAGTATTATAATTACTCACAGCAGTTTTCATGGTACTATATAACATCCAATTTACAGAATTAAAGGTAATGTAATTCGAAAGAAAAATAGCTGGTTTTAAGGAATGAAGGGCCATGTCAACTATTGGAAGCATCTTTGAACTGGAGCCTCTATGTTCGGGTTTCACCAGGTTTATGTTTTTAATTAGTATCCTATTCAGCTTGCTGTAATTTCCATTGAGGTTTTCTAGAACAAGACAAGTCAGAAATTGATCTTTAATTATAAGCTAAGAGCAAACTGCCAAAGAACTGAGAGAAATTTTGAAGAAACAGGTCTATCAGGACTAACCATTTTAAGATAATAAAGACTAATCAGACACACACACATATGCACAAAAAGAGGGAGAGAGAGAACAAAAATCCTATGAAATACATTTTAAAAAATTAATTTTTTTAAGAAGAAGCATTTGATCTGCCAAAGAGAAGAGTTAGCAGTTTGGAGATCTGACATTGCTAATCTCAGGCAAGAAAATAACAAAATAAGACACCAAAGAATTACCTAAACTGTGGAAGATGAAGCTTTCAGAGTTCTCACAGAGAAATGGGATACTAAAGTACCAAGTTTAAGAGGTGTAATCTATTAATGTTTAATTTATGTCCCAAATACTTAAAAACTATGTTTCATTGTTATACATATTTATTTTATTATAAAGATAATGAATGCAGTAGGGTTAGATTTAAATAATTCATTGGGTTTAAAATGAGAAATGAAAGTCTGGCTTTTTACAACCTACAGTCTTATCACCAAAGTTAGCTATTGTTAATAACTTCTTGTCCATTCTTGTATGTGTTATGGTTTCTTTCTTAGAAAGAAGTATGCTATACTAGTATACATGCTATTTATTCATGAACCTTGCACTTATCATGTAATCATATGTCTTAGTGGTCTTTTCATAATAGATGTCTCTCTTTCCCACGCTGTCAGTGGTGATTGCATGAGGCATTGTACAGACGTACCAATAATTACTTACTCTGTGTCATATTGTTGGTTATTCAGATTGTTTTCACTTTGCCCTTGCAGACAACACTGCAATGAACATCCTTATGCATATATTATTCCAAATATATCATCGTGATGGCTGTGTGAGAGAAATATACATTGTTGATTTTATTTTTTTATTTTTTATAATTTCAACTTTTGATTTTAGATACAGTGGGTACATGTGCAGGTTTGTTACATGGGTATGTTGTGTAATGCTGAGGTTTGCGGCATGATTGATCCGATCACTCAGGTACTAGACATAGTAGTTGTTTTTCAACCTTTACCCCCTCCCTCCTTCTACCCTCGAGTAGTCCCCAGTTTCTATTGTTCCCATCTTTGTGTCCACGTGTACTCAATGTTTAGCTCCTGCTTATAAGTGAGAATATGTGGTATTTGGTTTTCTATTCCTGTGTTAATTCGCTTAGCATAATGGCATCGAGTTGCATCCATGTTGCTGTAAAGGACATGATTTTATTCTTTTTTATGGCTGCAAAGTGTTCCATGACATATATGTACCATATTTTCTTTATCCAATCCACAGTTGATGGGCACCTAGGTTGATTCCATGTCTTAGCGATTGTGAGTTACACTGCTGATTTTAATAGAAACCACTAATTTTTATGCCAAAAAAATCATCAATGTGCACATGCTCCAAGGCTGTGTGAGCATAGCCCTTTTTCTTGGGATGTCAGCAACACTGGGTTTTATCAAAATATAATTTTTGCCAATTTATTAGTTAACAAATGCTAACTCAGTGCTATTTGGATTTGAACTACCACTGGTGCTGAGCAACTTTTTACATATTCACTGGCAATTTATTTATCTTTCTCTGTTGTTTATCTTTTTCTGTATAATAATTTTCCCTATCTTCTACTCTTTTAAACATTAAGTTTTCACTGTTTTCTTAATAATTTTTAAGTTTAAAAAGTGACCTTTTGGCTGGGCGCAGTGGCTCACGCCTGTAATCCCAACACTTTGGAAGGCCAAGGCGGGTGGATCACAAGGTCAGGAGATCAAGACCATCCTGCCCAACATGGTGAAACCCCGTCTCTGCTAAAAATACAAAAATTGGCTGGGGTGGTGGCACGTGCCTGTAATCCCAGCTACTCGGGAGGCTGAGGCAGAAGAATCACTTGAACCAGGGAGCTGGAGGTTGTAATGAGCCAAGATCACGCCACTGTGCTCCAGCCTGGCGACAGAGCGAGACTCCGTCTCAAAAGAAAAAGTGACCATTTTATCTGCTGCATATAATTCTAATGATATTTCTCAATTCGTTCATCTTTTAACAATGGTAATATATAATGTCTTGCTATTTAGAAAGATTTTTAAAAGTATTTTACATAAAGAATTTTTATTCTTTGCCATTAATACTTGCAGGTTTGGAATTTTCAGGACCTCCTCAAAGACCACCTACAGGAAATGCTCTTCAAAGACATTTCACTTTTTCCCCACTTGATTGTGGAGCAAAGACTAACACTGGCAATGCTTTGAAGTACTTGAGTCAAATGGGTCTCTCATGTGGTCATTACTATACTCACTCTCAGGCTCCAATGCAAATTGTTTCCTTACGCCAACTACTCTTGCTTTCCTTTAATAGACCTATTCCTCCTGGGCTGTCTGAAACTAACATTTAATTGTAAATAAAGTCCTGCAAATCCTTGGTATCTCAAAGAACCCTCCTTCCATTTAGTTTTAGGAGAACTCTCCTTCTAAAACTCTATTCTTCTCCCTGGAGTCCAAATCCCCATTCCTTGCAACAAATGAACTCTTGATTTGAGCACTGAAGGGAGATAATTGGAAGTTTGACTTTGTGTTCTAGGTTTTCCCTGCCAATATATGCAGCGTCTTTAAAACTAATTGGGCTGAGGCAGGAGAACTGCTTGAACCCAGGAGGAGGAGGTTGCAGTGAGCCGAAAATGCACCATTGAACTCCAGCCTGGGTGATAGAGCAAGGCTCCATCTCAAAAAAAAAAAAAAAAAAAAAAAAAAAAAACAGCAAAAAGAAACTAATTAGGTTCAAGAAGTTTGAATGAATTCAACTTAGACAAGCTCTTAAGCAGACATGTTGGAAGTTCCAGAAAAGACAGTTTGGGAAAATATTTTATTAAAAAAAAAAAAAAGACTGTCCTCCACTTCCTCACTCTTTCTTCCCACTTATTTTCACTCCACTGGTGCAGTTTGGTGTCAACTCTCCTCACTCTACTGAAACTGCTGCAGCCGAGGTTACTAGTTATTTAATTAACAAAAGCAATAGATTTTGTTTTTTTAATTGCATTATACTCTACTATTTTGTGACATTTAAACTATTGACAATGTCTTTCTTGAAAATGTGTCCTTTTTGTTTTTTTCAAAACACGACTTTCTCCTTGATGTCCTCCTTTTTCTCTCATTATTTCACCTTTACATTCTCTGCTGACACCTTTCACCTTACCAAACCTTAATTAAATGTGTATGCTTCCCAGTCTCCCATTCTTGGCTCTCTTCCCTTCCCTCTTATTGATCATTATTGTATTCTGTGATCTCACCAATTCTCTTGGCTTTAACAATAACCAGATGACTCCAGAAAACTATTCAAAATTCCGGACCTATGGAGACTTTGCACCCAGATATGTACCAACAACTCAACCTCAGTTATCTCTAATATTATCTCATTAAGTGCCCTCTAACTACAGAATGACTCCTCCTTCTGGGTTTCCTCTGCCTGAATGGCACCACCATTCAGTGGCCCACGACAAATGTGGACCTCATTTGGAACTTCTCCCTTTCCCTCATGTTTCATTTTCTCTTGGCTAAAGAGTTATTAGATTCTTCATTTTTAGCTTTTCTCTAGCCTATCTTCAATTTTATAGTGGACAGTTATGTATACCCTATATCCCAGGAGAGAAGGGATATCTTCTTCTATGCCCCTACTATGAACTAGCATATCCTTTGAGTCCTTTCTTTGTATGAAGCACTGGGGAAATTTAATCAACTTCATAATCACTTATAATCCTCACAGTAATTTTATGAGATAAGTTCTATTTATTATCCCTACCTTAAGGATGAGGAGACTGTGGTTTAAAGAGCTTAAGTAATTTGGGCAAATCATAAAAGAAGCAGTGAAGACAGAATTCAAATCTAAGCAACCTGAAATCTGAGCCTGAGCACTTTGCCTCCCTAATAACTATCTCCCTTTGAGAGTTGTATTACAAAGTTGACAACATTTAGCAACCCTTATTCCCCTCCCCACCCCTATCTCTCTCCAAGAAATCTGCTGTGAGGTAGAGAATGTGTTGATTTTCTCTGCAGTTTTTAGTGCATAGCATAGGGCTTAGAAAGGAGAAAATGATGAAAAATATTTATTAAAATAATTGTTTTTCTTTGTTAGTTGTTATAACCATCTAATTGTGAGTGCTTAACAATTACTATAAAGGAGAATGGAAATCACAGATCTTTTCACAGATTTTTTTTTTTTTTTTTTTTGAGACAGAGTCCAGCTTGTCACCCAGGCTGGAGTGCAGTGGTGCGATCTCAGCTCACTGCAACCTCCACCTCCTGGGTTTAATCACTTGCCTTGGCCTCCTGAGTAGCTGAGATTACAGGCGTGCACCACCATGCCTGGCTAATTTTTGTATTTTTGGTAGAGATGGGGTTTCACCACATTGGCCAGGCTGGTCTCAAACTCCTGACCTCCAGTGATCCACCCATCTCAGACTCCCAAAGAGCTGGGATTATAGGCTTGAACCACCGTGCTGGGCCTTTCTCAGAGAATTTATAGTTTACCTGGAAATGTAAACCATATGTACTTAAACTGAGGGATATTTACAAAAGAGCTTTCTACTTAACCCACAAGAAGCTATATTAATAACAAAGCAAATCAAGCTTGTTCACAGGCAACTGAATGGAATGAATGGTTTTGATTGGTCTTGCCAGTTATATTTCTAACAAGAGAAAATTCAATGTGAGCCTCATTTGGAAACAAAATATTACAGAGAGGAAAATTTGGGATTAAGGTCAGATTTGGTGCAACTATGCTAGATACAGAAAAGGCAAACTTTCAGCTCAATCCCCAGCTAAGTACAAGTTCAATGGTGAAGGCATAAGAAAATGAGCCATTATAATAAGTCTGAAATAAGTTTATGATTCCACCTCAATATGGGCATGCAATATATTCTAACATTTAATCCCTGGAAAATATGATGACATCACACTGAAATCTTGACTCATAAGAGAACTTTTTTATGCTGTTCCCTAAGTCAGTTTATTTCTACTTCATTCTTGTGTTAAGGGTAGGCTCAATTCTTACTCATTCAAAAACGGTATCACCTGAAGCTTTTCTTTAATTCTTGTTTTCTCTGCAGTGAGAAAATTAATCAAGGGGTTAAAATGTATATTAAATTATATATGTATTATATATAAAAGTTATATAATATAGATCAGAGAAGAATATATTGCATATGTTATAGGCTGAATTGTGTCCTTTCCCCAAATTAATATGCTGTACCCTGCCCCCTGCCATCCCAGTATATCAGAAGGTGGCTATATTTGGAGATAGAGACTTTTAAGAGGTAACTAATGTAAAATGAGGTCACATGTCTGGGTCCTAATCCAATATCACTGGTGTCCTTATTTGAAGAGGAAATTTAGGTACAGACATACATGTGCACAGAAAAAAGTCCATGAGAAGACAAGATGAGAAAATGACTATCTAAAAGCCAAGGAGAGAAATTTCAGAATAAAATTAACACATCTGATGCCTTGACCTCACACTTCTAGCCTCCAGAACTGTGAGAAAATAAATTTCTGTTGTTTAACTCACCCAGTCTGCAGTAATTGTTATAACAACCCTAGCAAAGTAATATAGGAAGTATATATATATATATATATATATATATACACACACATACATATATATATACACATATTTGTGTGTGTGTGTATATATATATATATATATATGTGATAGAGTAGATAGATAGAGACATATACAGTCATCCCTCAGTATTAGTGGGGTATTGCATTCAGGAGCCCTGCATATACCGAAGTCTGCACATACTCAGGTCCCACAGTCAACCTTGCAGAGCTCGCATATGAAAAGTTGGCCCTCCACATATGTGGGTTTCACGTCCCACAAATACTATATTTTCAATCTGTATTTGGCTGAAAAAATCCACCTATAAGTGGACTCACACAGTTTAAACCAGTGTTATTCAAAGGTCAACTGTTGATATATAGATATATAAATATCTCATATGTATAGAGCAAGCGGGAGAAAAAATCTCTAATCTCTCTTCCTTCCTGCTCTTTTTGGATTGCAAACTCTTCTCTCATAAGTACAAAAAGTAATGTTAACAAAGTAAAGAGAATTGGAAATAGTAGTGTTTTTGACCACTAGTGTTTTGTAATTTTAGAAAAAAAATTACTGAAATGTAACTTTTTATTTATATTGAGATGTTTTGACTCATACTCCAATCATACAGAACTAATAGATAAAATATGAAAAAGACTTCTTTTTACATACATAGCTGGATTAAAATATTAAAAATAATTTTCTTCCCTCAAAGGATCCCCTATTTAATAAACGGTGCTGGGAAAACTGGCTAGCCATATGTAGAAAGCTGAAACTGGATCCCTTTCTTACACCATACACAAAAATTAACTCAAGATGGATTAAAGACTTAAATGAAAGACCTAACACCATAAAAAACCCTAGAAGAAAACCTAGGCAATACCATTCAAGACATAGGCACGGGCAAAGACTTCATGACCAGAACACCAAAAGCAATGGCAACAAAAGCTAAAATAGACAAATGCGATCTAATTAAACTAAAGAGCTTCTGCACAGCAAAAGAAACTCTCATCAGAGTGAACAGGCAATCTAAAAAATAGGAGAAAAGTTTTGCAATATACCCGTCTAACAAAGGGCTAATATCCAGAATCTACAAAGAACTTCAACAAATTTACAAGAAAAAAACAACCCCATCAAAAAGTGGGCAAAGAATATGAACAGACACTTCTCAAAAGAAGACATTTATGCAGTCAACAGACACATAAAAAATGCTCATCATCTCTGGTCATCAGAGAAATGCATATCAAAACCACAATGAGATACCATCGCATGCCAGTTAGAATGATGATCATTAAAAAGTCAGGAAACAACAGATACTGGAGAGGATGTGGAGAAATAGGAATGCTTTTACACTGCTGGTGGGAGCGTAAATTAGTTCAACCATTGTGGAAAGCAGTGTGGCGATTCCTCAAGGATCTAGAACTAGAAATACCATTTGACCCAGCGATCCCATTACTGGGTGTATACCCGAAGGATTATACATCATGCTACTATAAAGATGTATACAGGCACACGTATGTTAATTGTGGTGCTATTCACAATAGCAAAGACTTGGAACCAACCCAAATGTCCATCAGTGATAGACTGGATTAAAAAAATGTGGCACATATGTGCCATGGAATACTATGAAGCCATAAAAAAGGATAAGTTCATGTCCTTTGCAAGGACATGGATGAAGCTGGAAACCATCATTCTCAGCAAACTATCACAAGGACAGAAAACCAAACACCGCATGTTCTCACTCACAGATGGGAGTTGAACAATGAGAATGCATGGACACAGGGTGGGGAACATCACACACTGGGGCCTGTCAGGGGGTGGGGGGCTGGGGGACAGATAGCATTAGGAGAAATACCTAATGTAAATGACAAGTTGATGGGTACAGCAAACCAACATGGCACATGTATACCTATGTAACAAACCTGCATGTGATGCACACGTACCCTAGAACTTAAGATTAAAAAAAAACATTTCTTCCCTCATGAGGTACAAAGCCAAGCATTACACTGGGGCCATGATAGTCCAGGTTGCTGAAAGATTTAGATCTAAAGACTGAAAATTGGGATATATATTGAGAGAGAGAGAGAGAGAGAACAAATGGTAACCTAAATTTAATAAAATAATAATAGACAAATTAGGGTAACAGGCATATGAGTATTTTTTGTTCTAACAATTCTTTTATTTTCAAACATCTATAATCTTACATTTATTTCCCAATAAAAAGGATTTTAAGTTAAAAAAAGAAAGTTTTTCTGTAGTAACATTTTCACAACTAGGGCCTTTAAGACTGAGGAAATACTCCAAGCTCTGAGCAAACTCAGTAAGTATAAATCCATATGTAGACATACCACAGTAAAATGCAAGATACTAAAGACTAATACAATATTTTCAAATCAACCAGAGATGGAAGGCAGATTACCTGCAAAGGAAGGACAATTACTTTATCACAGACTTCTCTTCATCAACGAGAACAGACAATACAGGAATAACATCTCCCAAGTTGTGAGGGAGACTAACAGATGACATGAAATTCTATGACCAAATAAAGCATAATTCAATGGGCAGCAGTTAACAGAATTAAGCTGTTTCCAGACATCTATGGAGAGATTTAACTCAAAGATGTCACTGTAAATTTGATTGTTGAGATGTAGTAATGGATACTTGGCAAGTTTATTGAATTAGTTAAACGATCTTCAAAGCTTAGGTCATGTATCTTCATTAAACACATGGTGCTTTGCATTTACTAAAGAAGGGCTTCCGTTTTCTCTCCAAATAAATCATTGCGATCTTAGCACCCCAAGTGTAAAAACCTCTTTTATTTCTATTCTTGATCTCTAGTCCCTGCTTATGTGTATGCATAAATGCATGACACCGTGCTTCTCTTTCAGTTATTTATTTCTAGAGATCATGTCTTTGAAAATCATTATATTCCCAGCAACTATTTAGAGTGGTACTAAGCTAACTTGGTTTATGGTGTCAACCGCATAGCAGTTATTTGATTGGCCCATTCCTTTATAAAATATTTTATGCTTAGATGATGAACTCTACATAAATTCAGCCAGGAGAAAGTTTTCCTTGGCAATCTCTGGGAGATTACAAGTGTTCTTTTTTTTTTTTTTTTTTTTTTTTTTGAGATGGAGTCTCGCTCTGTCTCCCAGGCTGGAGCCCAGTGGCGCGATCTCGGCTCACTGCAAGCTCCACCTCCTGGGTTCACGCCATTCTCTTGCCTCAGCCTCCCGAGTAGCTGGGACTACAGGTGCCCGCCACCACGCCCGGCTAATTTTTTTGTATTTTAGTAGAGACAGAGTTTCACCGTGTTAGCCAGGATGGTCTCAATCTCCTGACCTCATGATCCGCAAGCCTCGGCCTCCCAAAGTGTTGGGATTACAGGCGTGAGCCACCGTGCCCAGCCTACAAATGTTACTATTAACTCCTCCTTCTGCTAAGAAATAAACCAAAATAAAATTATTCACAAATATAACTGTTTTGATCATGCTTTCAGATGATATGTAAAGTAGCCCACAGAAGGTAAATAATATTCAGGGGAAATAAATTATTACTTAAGAGTGGGTGCTGAGAAAAAGAAATGTGTGAAGTGTGAGGTAGGAAGTATGTGAGAAAAGCTAGGGCACAGTTGTGTCTTATATTTTTGTTAAAATCTGCCTGTTAAGACTTCCTGATTGGGTAATGGGAATGATACAGTAAAATACTCTTCCTCAGAGTGTCTGACACCTTTGTGATAATTTACTACATAAAAGTACAAGTTACATTATATAAAAAGACAGAATGGCCTGGCTCAGTGGCTCACGCCTATAATCCCAGCACTTTGGGAGGCTGAGGCAGGTGGATCATCTGAGATCAGGAGTTCGGGACCAGCCTGGCCAAAAGGATGAAACCCTGTCTCTACTAAAAATACAAAAAATTAGCCAGGCATGGTGGCAGGCACCTGTAATCCCAGCTACTCAAGGGGCAGAGGCAGGAGAATCGCTTGAACCTGGGAGATGGAGGTTGCAGTGAACTGAGATCGTGCCACTGCACTCCAGCCTGGGCAACAAGAGCGGAAACTCCGTCCCCCCAAAAAAAAATGACTCCAAGAAACTGAGGTTTCTAGATGAGGGTTACACAATGTGGATCTAAAAGCAACAGGGAAAGGAAAAGGATTTGGGCCTAGAATGTGGGGAATTTTAGATGCTGCAGAAAGCCTTCTGGTGTCTTTCTAGAATGGCTGGATTTTGGTTAAGGCAAAGAAGAAGTAACTTTTCATGGAGAACAGTAGCATACAAGAGTGCGGATGGTTTGATCATTTAAGGCAGGGATGTGAGGTTTGATGGAATATGTTGATAACAAAGATTCTTTGCTTGGCCAACTTTAGTCAGGCTTCTAAATCTTCAGCTAGGCTAAACTGTGCACTTCCTCGCAAAATCCAGCATTAGCAAAGAACACTGCCAAGTTTACCAAAGAACCCCTCATTCTCAATATCTGATCAGGTTCTTCATTCTTCACCATTCTGCAGGTGATGTCTGATCACCCTGGCCAGTCTTCAGCAAGAATTCTTTTAGGTCGGTTTAGCCAGACTCTCCCTTACTCCTGATGTTTCCTCTTAGTGATTTTCCATTCACTGACCCCTGCATTGCTCCTGGGCTATAAATTCCCACTTCCCCATGCCGTATTCAGAGTTAAGCCCATCTCTCTCCCCAGCTCCAAGACTGTGTTGCAGTGGTTCCTATATCTATGGTGATGGTCCTGAATAAAGTCTTCTTTACTGTGCATTTGAAGTATCACTGAATAATTTTTTCTTTAACAATTATGGTGTTGAAACTCAACTAGGACAGATTCATCACTGGATCCTGGGCCTCTCACTCAGAACCCTAAATGCATGCCTTTGAAGTCTTTGTTGTCATTTCTGACTGATTAGGGATCCATTGGTGAATCAGATTCCTGAGCCATTGCTCCAGACAAAAGCCCGTTGATGGCTAAGGACAGATTTTGAATCTGAAGGGATGAATATTCTCTCTGAAGCTGGGGTAGAGTCCCAGGCTTCTTTTGAAAGCAATCCTCTGGGCAGGAAGGTCTTCGTGTGGGCTTCTTGTTCTGAGTGGTCTATTCTCTGAGTCCCTAGACTAGAATTCTCTTCTTTCTGGCTCTCTTTTTCTGAGTGAGGGGTTATTCCCTGATTCCCTGGGCTACAAATTGTTGTTCCTGGCTCTCTATAAAACCACTCTGCTCTTTCTCTTCTCTCTATTGGATCCTGCTTCTCCCATGGGAGCTCTGTCACCTGAAACCCCTCTTCTCAAGTCTCTGCTGACTATTTCTCTGTCCACTCTTGCCAGACCCGTTTCTTTTCTGCTGAACTTCAGGACCCCTATCCTACCCTCCTTTGAGGGGGCTCTCAAGGGACTCAGAGGCCCCTCAAAAACAAGCACCTGGGGCTGATAATAGGAGAAAAAAAGAAACTGTTTGGAAACTGATAAAGTAAAAAAAAAAAAAAAAAAAAAAAATCTTAAAAAACCTCCTCCACAAATATTGGTAAAAAGCTTTAGCCTTTGTTATGTAGGTCAACTCAACTTATCCCTTTTTCACCAGAAACACAATTTGGATAACAATATAAAGCGGAGATAAACCAGTGAGTTTGTATTTTTGTATTACTCTGTTTTACTGCCTCATGGTTAAAAACTTTTTTTTTTTTTTTTTTTTTGAGACAGAGTCTCACTTCATTGCTCAGGCTGGAGTGCAGCGGGGCAATCTCGGCTCACTGCAACCTCCACCTCCTGGGTTCAAGTGCTTCTTGTGCCTCAGCCGGGCACCACCATGCCCCACGCCCAGCTAATTTTTGTATTTTTAGTAGAGACGGGGTTATGCCATGTTGGCCAGGCTGGTCTCGAACTCCTGACCTCAGGTGATCCACCCACCTCAGCCTCCCAAAGTGCTGGGATTACAGGCATGAGCCACTGCACCTGGCCTGGTTAAAATTTTTTAAATGAGAAGTCATAAGATCTGGTTACATCAGTCTATATGTTTGTGTATGTGTACATGTGTGTATCTATGTTATTATGTTATGTATATGTGATATTTTTCTACCTCCAACGTTATTACCAAACTAAAATACCCAAATTGGCTAGGGATAAATGAGCACTCAAACAAATAAGAATGTATAAAATTTTCAGAAAAGTAGAAACTGACCCAATTTTTTTAAGTTCACATAATCTGGGATATTCCTTAGTAAATAAAAACTAGTTTAAAAAATATTGGTAAAATAAAAATAGAAACATTTTCAGAATTGTCAGCATACACTTGTTTTACCTGGCTTTGCTGATTAGACAAGTTTGTGTTGTTACTGTTAGATGTTTAAGGCCATAAAACCATAAATTCAACCTAAGAGTAGAATATGTAGTAAAAGTAAACTGCTTAATTGTCTGGTGTATGTCTGTTGCAAAAGTAAATAAGAAAAGATGTCTAGAAGGATTGTGAAAATCTTATCTTGTATGGTCTAAGCTGACTGAGATTGGATAGATTTATTTATAAGGTTTTATTAAAACTTAGTTTTAGTAATACATTGATTCAAAAGTAGAATTTGATCTTCTCCGTTAAAATGGTAAAGTTTTCTTGGAATGTTGGTCTGAGAATGTAAAGGGTATTTTTTTCCTTTTAAGTAATTGGCCTCAGAAACAGAGACTCTGTTTCATCAAGATAATTTCTTGAGTTTCATGTTGTTTTATTAGGTTTTTGGTTACTTAAGAAAAGTGAGTCTTCTCAATATTAAAGGAGCTAAGTTCTTGTTCACAACTATGTAATCTGAATTTGCCTTTAAAATCTTTTAATGGAGCTTTTATTAAATAGATAACTATGGTCATATTTGTTTTAAATGTTTTAAACTTTTTGACATTTTTGACAATCTTCCCAAAATCACATTCTAAGTTAAGTCTTTTTGACCTCAAATTAACTTAGGATTCTCCATATTGGACCCTCAAAAAGCCACAAAGAATATTTTTTTTTGTATGAAAGAGAGATTAAACCAATTAGATTTATTTAATATGCTAAATTATATGTGTAGCATTCAAATAAAAAGTGATGCTAAGCCATCTTTAAGTTATATTTATGGATATATTATTGGGATAAGTGTACAAAAGTTGTATGAGATTCCTAGAAATCTAGTATGTTATCAGTCATAATTTTGGTTATTATGTTAAAATGCTGTATGCCATGCTAACCAAATTTTCTTATAAATTGCATCATTGTAATGAACTCTCATTAGATTTTTTAACCATGGACATTTTAAGTACTTGTCATCTGTAGACAGTTATTGTTTTAATTTAATTGCTCTCTAAAAGCATTTGAAATTAGCTACAGTCCAAAATGGCTTCTTCTTCAAGGAGATTTATGGAAAATACTCTTATGAGTATTCTGGAATACAGGTTTCTGAACAAGTTTAACGTCATACAATTGGACTGGTAAGAATTTCCAGAACTCTAATAAAACTGATGGGTTCATGTAACTACTAACCCAAGATCAAGCAAAACAAGATTTAATTACATGGTACTGAATGAACTGATGAGAATAATTTTTAAAATGACTTTTTGTTGGAAACATTGCTAGTTCTTTAAATGTTTTGTTTTCCAGATTTCAGAAAACTTTCTTTTAAGCTATCTCTAGCTTACACCAATTCAGTAAAGAATACTTTTGTGCAAAATGGAAACATTTACTTTTTCCCCCTAACTTATCCCTCCAGAATTTGGAAACTATTTGTGTATATTCTTATTTTTATGACAATGTATTTATTTGCATAAGTTTAATAAGAATCTGTTGTCTTTGTAACAGGACAAACTGGAAACACAGGTTATATCACCAAGGCTTTGACTGAAACATCATGTTTTCAGATATGACCAGAAGGCTTTAGGGGACTAAAGTTGGCTTTATGGAACCAATAAAGTACCATCTTGGAAAAACTGGCTCTAGGGTTCCCAGACTTACAGGTAAGTAAAGAATGTCACTGCTTGGTGGGTCTGGAAACCTTGGGATATTTTAGGGACCTCAAGAAGAGAGAAATTTATCTAAATCTATAAATGTAACAGGTGCAGACTAATGACAAGTTTTGGGCTTGTATCCCAGCCTCAAGTGGCTTTTAAAAGTTTAATCTGACTGGAGACAGTGGCTCACCCCTGTAATCCCAGCACTTTGGGAGGCCAAGTCAGGTGGATGACGAGGTCAGGAGTTCAAGACCAGCCTGACCAATATGGTGAAAGCCCTGTCTCTACTAAAAATACAAAAAATGAGCCAGGCATAGTGGCACGCACCTATAATCCCAGCTACTCGGGAGGCTGAGCAGAAGAATCGCTTGAACCCAGGAGGCGGAGGTTGCAGTGAGCCAAGATCGCACCACTGCACTCCAGCCTGAGAGACAGAGGGAGACTCTGTCTAAAAAAACAAAAACAAAAAGTTTAATCTGAGATTTCTTATCTGACTAACGCAACCTTTAAAAGAGCCTAAAGGGTCAATCACTACTCTTAACTGCACTTGTGTACATAACCAGTACAAGTTTAATGAGATTAAACTTATTTAGCAAACAAATCAATCTGACTTTGATTATCTTTGACAGAAATGAGAGTGAATATAGAGAGAAAAGTTATGTTTCAGGAGAAAACTGCAGTGCACCCAATATTAGATTCTAGCTGTTTTTTTTTTTTTCTGAGGTTTTATTATCTGCCTGCAATCTGCAATAGATCCTCAATTTTTCTAGTTTACTACAATATTTAGCTACAACACTCCAAATTAATATTTCATTTTTTTCCTGCTATTCTGGCTTGGAATCACTAAAATTATAAACTTTTCATTTCTTGAAGTCCTTCAAACTGAAACTGGATGACTTGACATAAGCTTCAGAAAAATTACCACAACAGCTTGTGTGTGGCCCATCTTTATGGCATTCAAACTGCAAACTAATCCAATGCCTCTTCTCACTCCAGCTGAAGATACTACAAGCCCAGCATCTAGAAATCTTATTGATCAGCTGCCCTCTGGGCTCAGAAACTGTCTTTATAGTTCGTTCCAACTATTAATCTTTTTTAATTTTATTTGTATACAAACTAAACTTCCCACATTAAAGGCCCGATAGCTCACACTATCCAGGAAATATCCTCTGCTACCAAGTCCCAACAGATGATTCAACTGGTCCTTAATGAATAAAAGGTGATCAAACAAGAAAAGAGACTTATATTGTTTGAAGGAAAGATGAGTGTCTCTTCTTTCCTTAAACAAGAAGTAGTACTAACAAAGATTCCTTGCTAGGCCAAACTTTAGTCAGATGTCTATCTTCCTTGCAAAATCCAACTTTTTTTTTTTTATGTGGTACAATGTGATGTTTTGTTCTTTTTTTTAAATTTATTATTATACTTTAAGTTTTAGGGTACATGTGCACAATGTGCAGGTTAGTTACATATGCATACATGTGCCATGCTGGTGCGCTGCACCCACTAACTCGTCATCTAGCAATAGGTATATCTCCCAGTGATATCCCTCCCCCCTCCCCCCAACCCACAACAGTCCCCAGAGTGTGATGTTCCCCTTCCTGTGTCCATGTGTTCTCATTGTTCAATTCCCACCTATAAGTGAGAATATGCGGTGTTTGGTTTTTTGTTCTTGCGATAGTTTACTGAGAATGATGATTTCCAATTTCATCTATGTCCCTACAAAGGACATGAACTCATCCTTTTTTATGGCTGCATAGTATTCCATGGTGTATATGTGCCACATTTTCTTAATCCAGTCTATCATTGTTGGACATTTGGGTTGGTTCCAAGTCTTTGCTATTGTGAATAGTGCCGCAATAAACATACGTGTGCATGTGTCTTTATAGCAGCATGATTTATAGTCCTTTGGGTACATACCCAGTAATGGGATGGCTGGGTCAAATGGTATTTCTAATTCTAGATAGAATGTTTCCTCTTATAACTCATAGTGAATATGACTGGACAATGAAACTATTTTGTAATTTCTTTCCTGAAAGATAAAGGCGTTAGAACATAGAATCTTTCATTGATTCTACAGAATCTTAAGACTCCTTCAGAGATGGCAGTCATTCCTACCGTGCTGAACATCATGTTGTCACGGTCAGAATCAGAACTAAATTGATTAAGGGTCTGAAACAGTTTGGCACTCTTGGGCACTTATTCTGATAAGAAAGCTGATGAGACAGGGTAATGAAAAGAGGCTGCAAGAAATGACCATTCATGCATTCAGCCAACATTTAGGCCACCCTCCTGTATTCCAGGCACTGTACGTGGCACTGAGAATGCAAAGCAAAACGAGTCATGGTCTACTGGCGGGAGCCTTCTCAGCGGAGAAAAGATCAACAAGAAAAGTGCCTGCTGGAGACCTCTCCTAGGGCATAAACCAATATAGAGGTGGGGCAGCTACGTCAGCCTGAGGTGTCCTTAGGCAGAACAGAAAGTGAGAATCAGAGCAGTATCTCATTTCTGAACACCTGGATTGTAGCTTTCCCTGGACTGACTGTCAAAGGAGGTGGTTTTAAAAAGCAAGCCAAACAGGTTTCCATCCTTTAGGAAGACCCTGGAACGTGCCAGTTGATTCTGACAATTTCTCATGAACAGAAACACCTAGGAAGGGAGAACTGGTGAGTCTTTTCAAGAGGAGGAAGTCCCTCAAAAGGGGCTGTGTTTCGCAAACGGCGCCCCAAAAGGGCTGAAATACTTCGATCTGGAGGAAAAAGACTCAGGCACTGAGGGAAGGGGAGGGTGCACATCTGGAGTAATTTCAAGGCTTTTTCCGTGTTATCTGATGTGGCAACAAGTAAAGATTTGTTCGTTTTATTATTTTTTTAATTTTTAAAGATTTTCTTTTCCCCCCTTTTCCCCTTCCCGGCCACTCCGGTTTGTGTTTGCCACAAGACTCATAATTCCTTTAGAAAGTGGAGTCGAATTCATAAAAGTGACGGGGGGAGAGCGCGGAGAGGGAAGGCTGGGAGCCCCAGGGAGTCTTCACTACCTACACTGCCGCTCAGCTCCCGGCGCGAGTGGAGGTCGGGGTGGGGAGACGCGACTCCTGCCCGGGATGGCTGACACTCTGCGAGCCCCGGCGGCCCGCGGCCGGGCCGGGTGACTAGGCGGAGGGCGCGGAGGGTCCGCGGCGGGCGGGTGGCGCTGCAGCAGCCTGGGCACGGCTGCCGCCGCCCGCGGGCGAGAGTGTGCACGGGTGTGGAAGGCCGGAGTGCGGGCCGTGAGGGGTGTGCGCGCTTGAGCCGGAGCGGGGCTCGCCCCTCGTCGGCTCCCGCCGCCCAGCCGGTGATCGCTCTCCGGCCGTCCCCGGCACCCTCGGCCCCCCACGGCGGTTGGTCCGGGCGGGGGAAGGAGAAAGTGAGACTCGGTGTCATCACCAATCCGTCGCCAGAAGGGGAGGAAACTGGAATCCAGCAGCGGCGAGCAGCAGCTGGGCGGTCACATCTGGAAATGGAAAGCCGACCTCCCCCTCCTCCTCCACCTCCTCCTCCTCCTCCTCCTTCTCCTCCTCTCACCCAGGATCACTTCCGAAACCAGTTGGCCTTCAGCCCCTGCCTCGGCCAGAGGTTTCATTTTTAACTGAATATTTACGAAAGCTGAAAGCGTGCGAGGGGGGTGGGGTGGAAATAGCGGCTGCTTCTTTTCCAAGGATTTATTTAATGGGGATGTGTTCAAGGCAAGACCGAATTCAGAAGGATATCGACGTCGTGATCCAGAAGTCCAGAGCTGAGGACTGCCTGTTTGCAGGTGAGTTCTTGCTTTTCCAGAACCTCGGACCCAGCGCCCCCTTCTCAGTTCTCCGACCGCGACGTGTGTGGCTGGGGGTGGGGTGGAGGGTTTGCACGTCCGCATTCCGGGGTTCATTTGGCGACAGCTGCTGCAACGAACGCGGGAGCCAAAAGCGGGAGGGGGCGCCAGCCTCGCCCCTTCCCCTCCCCCCACCCCCAAGTCTGGGGCAGCTACTAGCTTTGAAGGCAGAACCCGAGTGGCCCGAGCGGGGGTCTAGGCGAAGGGGCAGTGCGTGGTATTTCCAGCCCCGCGTAGTGCCCGAAGCCTGCAAGCACGCCTCCTGGGTTCCAGCAGCGGCGGCAGAGCGGGGTTGGTTGGACCCGCCAGGTTTGCGTAATGGGCTGAGCGGCGGCGGCCGGGAATGGAGCCTGCTGCCCTGCGCTCGTAAGCTGCGCCCGGCGCCGAGGACCCCCGGGGGGCAGCGCTCGGCCCATCTCCGGCCCCTTCGGCTCCATCTAGTCCCCTCCGACTGGCAAAGAGAAGGGATTCCTCGGATTCCCAAGGCACCCAGCGCCCCTGCCTGGGGGGTCGCCGTTCGTCCATTTTGCTCCCCCGGGAGAGAGATCGGATTTTGCTTTCGCTGCCGCGAGCCCGGCTGGGGCTGCTTCCGGCCTCCCCGACCGGGAAATTCCCGCCGTTGCCATGGCACCCGGCACTTGCTGCCGGGGGCGGCCTGCCGCTGCACCCAGTCGGGGGCGCGCCGCATCCCCTCGGACGCTGCGCGGAGAGACCTCGCCGCCCTCTAGCCCTCGCCTCCCGCCCGGCCAGGCCTCCCCTGACTCCACCAAATGGAGGGCCCAAGTCCTGATCGGGGTTAAAACAAATCCACTCCAGGGGTAGCTTTTGACAGGACTTTCTGTTTCAGATTCAGATACTCAGACTCCACCTTTACTTTTACCTATGTTGGCGGCCCCAGAAGGTATTTATGGGTGTAGAGTTGCTTCATTTCCTGTTCACACTCTTGTGTTTCCTTTGTTCTTAGCGTGTTCCGTGTTCGGGTATTTTGGTTGCTTGTTTGATTACTGTGGCTTTTCTTTACCTACAACCCAAGCCTGACGTCCCACGGTTTTAAATAGCAGGGGGAGGGGAATCAATGTTTGATTCAGGTGTTTCGAAGACCACGCCACAGGCGATGAGCAGAACTCTTCATGTTGAAACGGTTCTGCTACAGTACTAGATTGCTCTCAGGCGATTTGGGGTTGATACAGGCAAGCCGGTGCAAAACTGGAATACTGGATATGAAGTGAAATGTATAAAAGACATAAAATGTCACAAAATAGTTTGATCACAAGTGTTGATTTTCCTGGTGAGTTGGGGCTGCGTGTTTCCATGTTTTCTGAAGGTTCACATAAACATGCAGCCTGCCAATTCTCTGTACATTTTTTTTTCAATGAGTGGTATTTCGGTTTTCACGTTTAGTTGTAAGACAGAAATTGGAGACTTATATGTAGCTGGAGTGGATGACTTCTTTCTTTTGGGGGAAGAATGAGAGATGCACATTTCGTTAGTAAATTGTGAACAACTTGAAACGAACCCAAATCCAATTTTGAATTTAAGAAGTAGAGTTAAAATGAAAGGTAGCCATTCAAATACTATGCCTTGCTGCCTTCACTTATTAAGTTAGGATTTTCTTCCTTTTAGCCCTTTAGGGATACAGTAGTTTAAAAGAGCAGTAGCCACATATGAAAGGATCAGATTTAGCTTAGAGGGAATTCCTTAGACCAGCCCTGCTGTTAAGACTTGACATTCAATATTGTTTGATCACATTCCAAAATATAGCTTAGCTAATGGCAACATTTGTAAACATATAAATTGCAAAAGAAGCTTTCTTGTGTACATACATTTTTAAAAGCTTGAAATTGATGTGAACTTTTAAAAACACGTAGGATCTGTATTACATTCTACTTCTCAAAACAAATTTAATTAAAGTGAATATCATTCCAGTATATACAATATGCCTAAGACCCAGAATTGGCACATTGATTTACTAGTTGAAAATATAACAGTATTCACCAAACTTCAATGTATACTTTTTGGAGAGAATGAAATTACAGTATTTCTTAATTTACTGTAATGTCATCTTTGTAATTATGAATTAACAATTCAATGAGAGGAGACTTGGTTGATTAAATTAATGCTGGTCCTACACATTATATCTAAAGGATCTTCGTATATGACTACTATCCTCTTGGATTATTTTAACAGTTAAAATATACAAAGTGGCCCATTAAAAACAGAGTTGACTTTTCACCATTGCTGTTTTTCTGGTGAGACATGTGGAAAGGAAGGACAGGTGGACTTTTCAACTAACTAGCTCTCTGATTTTTAATAAGATACCTCAGTTCTTTTGGCCTCAGTTTACTTATCTGTACAAAGGGTAAGTCATATGCTTAATCACTAAGATCTGTTAGATACTGCAGTTAAGATTCTTTATCAGCTAATTACTGAACTCTAGTGTTAACATAGCTAGAGGTGGAAAAGGGAGCAAGACCAGGTGTTGGGATGAATAATTAACTAATCGAGATAACATCAGTTTTCACCATAGGAACAAGTACCATGGTTGCTCTTAAAGTAAGAGATGTTTCCTATTTTATGTAATTTTACTAAGGGATAATGTTTTCTTTTGTCACTGATTTAAATGTACCTGGATGTTTCTCAGCCATTTGGCTAAGATCGAACACAAGTAATACCTGGGCCTTTTATATGTAATCTAGTGTAGACCAGCCTGTTAAAAGAGAAAGACAATTGGTTAAACTGCTGATGTGTTGCTTTGTCTTCTCAAAAGCTTGTTCTATAATACAATATGTAAAAAGTTGTTACAGTGTAGTAACCGTAGATAATCCCTTTATGATTTGTACCTAATGGTGAAGACCTTTTATTTTCTGAAAATAACGTGTTTGTTTTCATTACCGACATTAGAAGCCAATATTTATTAATCTATTTCTCATCCTGACATTTCAGTCAGACTCTTAAAATAATCTTGCTGTGTTTTGATTTAATGTGCTTATCAACTTATAATATTGAATTAATGTTAATAGTGTCATTTTAGGTGAACTAGACTTCATTGAAGGAGGTGGGAGCCTTATGGAGAGAGAGTATATGATTATCTCTATTTGTATTTAATTACCATTTCATCTAACCATTCAGAACATATTTCAAGAATAATTTTAATTCAAGTTGTAGATAAAACTTACTATACCATTTTCATTTTGACGCTTTCCAAGAATGAGATACACGGTATTTTAAAGACAAAGATTGATCTTACATGTTACTATTAAAAAAAACACGATAATTTTGTTCTACATTTATACTTTTAATTTTTCTGTGGATAATAAGAAATGCCAAGAGTCGATTGTGTCCATGCTGGCAAGTGGCCTAATAAATTGTCCTTTTATTTGGTGGTCCTCAGAGTGGCAGTTAACATCTTGCTATTCTGCCTTGTGGACTTGAGGTGGAAAGGTTCATGGAATTATATCCTTGCTTTTGGATGTGCAAACTGAGGCTCAGAGAGTTTAAGACACATAGTCACTTTCACCAATTAAATGATGAAGCTGCCATGTAAACGTATTTCATCACACTCCCGAGACCTTCTTCTCCAGTAGTGTTTTCAAGCTTTTTGAGCATGCAGACACTACCATCAAAAAATTATGTAGAGACATACTTGAGAGTTACAGTTTAAAGAAAAACAAGGTGTAATTATTTGGTTATTAGTAGCATTTACATATGCTTGAAAACTTCTGCTATATATACAGTAAGATTAATTTATTCTAACAATGATCTTGATAATTCCCCTGATTCCCAGACTCCTTGGAATAGCTCCACAGCTATCGGTGGTTCTGCCACAGGTTCAGAGCCTTCCCAGTACTGCCTTCTTATTTGAGAGGTGTGCTAAGAGCTATAAAGCGGAGGCTTCAATTGTACACAGTTTGGAAGTTTAGGCAAAAGTCATTTCTTCCCTATATTTTGTCATGCTTATCTCCTGTCTCTTTCTGTTTTACAGATTAGCAATAAACTCCTTAAAACCCAAAGGTTTGGGCTTCTGTTCCTTTCACTTGCAGTCAGACATGGAGTTAGTGGTAGAAGAAACAGAAGGGGTAACCTGCATGGTGACAGCTACTGAGGGGATGGATAGGAAAGCAGGCTGAGTCCCTGGGGCCAGTGGTTACCAAAGCCAAGGAGAGAGCAAGGGGAGCCCAGTGGGCCTGGCCATGGACTGCTCTGGAATTCCGAGTGTGAACTTTCAGCCAAGAAGGTAGTGTGAAAATATTACTGTGAGGTTTTAAAAGTACACAAATAACAATTGTTTTTTGTAAAAAGAAAAAAAAAAGTTAGAAAAAGAGATATGCCAAAAAGAAGAAAGTAAAAAATACATGACTTCTGTCTTCTGTTAACATATTAAAATTTATTCTTTTAGATTTTTATGTGTCTATATACATGTAAAATATATATGCATCCCCAAATTGTATTATACTCTTTTGAGACCTCACATTTTTTTTCACCCAAGAATATAACATTAATTTCTTTCCTTTAGAAAAGACATGAGACTAAAGAATGTTTATTGAGTTGAGAGTTTCCCAATCGAGGAGTATGACTCTGTATAATAATAAATCTAATGTTTTATTAGAAATTATAATAAAATTAGAAATTTAATATTTGGCAGGATGTGAGTTGCCTGCCTATGTACACCCTTTATTATATGACTAGACACTCTTTTGTGTGGTCATGGATATATTGGCATCTTTTGAAGTGTATCCTTTTTGTTTCAGGAGCTTCTGTCTAGATGAATAGCAAGTGTGACACTGATAATAGTAATCGAATATTCCTCCAAGTACAGGCTCCTTCCTCTTTCTCCTGGACCTTTGCACATGCTGCCTGGAAAACTCACCCACAACCTACTTTCCATCCTCTCCTTCGGCTCATCCCTGCTCAGCCCTCTTTGTTGAGATATTTGCCAAGCCAGATTCTCTGAGAAGCCTTTCCTGGCATCTTCGTCTATATAATTCTGCTAGTTGTTTCTAAAACTATGTTGTTAGTGTATATTGTAATCACCTATTTATGTCTGTTTGACTGTGAGCCTCTTGGAGATGGGAATTCTCTCCTATGCATTGCGGTTTCCCCAGCCCCTAGCACACTGTCTAGCCCAGTATTCCTTCTCAGTAAGTAGGTGTTGAATGACTTACACAATGAATGCTAAAAGACCTGGTAGACAAGAAGGAATTTCTTAGCCTAAATGACCAGATGTGGAGAAGATACTCAAACACTTCAGGGTCCCCAATCTGGTGATGTCACTTGCAGTGGAATTTCATATGAATCCAGTGTGACAGAAGTTGCCTAGTCAAGTTGTAAGTCCTCTTCTCTGGGTCACATGTTCAAATACTTTTAGGGGACAGATAATGCAATATTTAAGATACAGGAAGTGATGAGGACTGTGGCACACTGGAGAGTTTGGACTCCAAGAGTAATTAATTCAGTTGAAAAAATCAACAGCACTCTGTTGATCAAGCAAACTTTCTAGGGGCCCTAATCCACCCGGGCCTGCAGTATGTAATTCCATAACTCATGGGATGCCATCAAGAGAGACAATCTACTTGATTGCTAAAGGGCCTTTGTTTTCTTTGGAGTTCCCCAGGAAGGAGAAATGTATGTGTGTGCAGGGGTGAGGAGGGGGGAGAGTGAAGAAACAATACTATCCCCCTAAAAAGGTTTGTCAGTTTTCATTATGAAAGAAGATCAAACGTGCCCACTCCAGAAATCTTGGCATATGCAGTTATTTTGAAGCCATTCAGCATTCTTCAAGATGTCACAATGAAAAGAGTGATGATTTTTTAAATAAAAAATTAACATGTTTCTCTTGGCAATGGGACTTTCTCACCATACTTTTAAGTTACATCACTTATTATGTATTCAAAATACTGATTTTTTAAAAGTATGTTCCTTGGAGCCCTGGGAACCTGCCTCAGGAGCTGAGGTGGCTGTGGGGAGGGAGTATGAAGGGAGCTGAATGAGTTAGTGAGAATCTGGGTCTTCATATCTTTTTTAAAATTGTGGCTGCTTTTTTCTGTTCTGTATAACAACTCTTTTTGAAAACAGTTTCATTGTTGAGTTTTAAAACCACTGACCTAAAATAACCACCAATTTAACGTAAGTATAACTTCATTGAGTTTTTTTGTATTAAAAAAATTAAACTCCATTTTCTTCATGGATTAAGGTGATCCTACTAGGATATTTATTAAGCATTGTCTCTGCTGTTCTTTTTGCTTGCCTTGCTTTATCCCATGTTTCCAAAAAATACAAATAGGTATTTTGTCAGCTATTTTACATTTTATAGCAGGGAAAACAGAGGCTTGAGTGATTTAAGTAAGTTACAGTTAGTAAGAGCCATAGGATACATTTCGGTGTAAGTCAATGTTTATGTAAGGCTTAAGGGACATTGGTTGAATTGGCATGACTAGAATAGTTGGGAATGTTTGGGAATGGGGAGAGATTGCTAATGGGATGTCTGCCAGGGGCAGTACTGAAAATCTGCTGGTTGGCAAAGGTAGTGTCTGAGCCCAGTGCTAACCATAGTAGTTGGAAAATTGTGTACGTTGGCTGTGGAATCCTTATGCAAATATTTGTCCAATCCATCTAAATTTCTCTCTGCAGCATTTTTAAAAAGACATATAGCTGAAATTTTGTCAGTCCTAAAAATATTTTGTATTTCTCTGCCCAGATTTGCATTTGGGTAGATCGTGCTGTAGAAGATATATCTTGCTTTAAGATAGCTGCCACTGATTAGTTTATTTTAGTATTTTAATCAACTTATTGCCTTGTAATCTTTCCTTTTTCATTCTCTAAATTTCTGAAATTCTATCTTTCATGTTCCCCAGGAAAGACTAGTAAGACGTGTTTTTATTAATAAGACATTATCCTCATTTCACCATGACATAATTTGGGCTTTCTGTTCCAAGTTATCCTACTTGAATGCTGGACACTTCCACCTGAATATTTGTCATTTTCACCTCAACCCAGCACATCAAAACAATCCCTTATTACCTCTTTAAAAGAAGCTTCTCTCTCCAGCCTTTTCCTAGTCAGTATCACATCTTTTGAGCCAGGCATGGGGATTGCAGTTTCAGATTTCACCTCAAGTCTTCCTCTTCTGGTTCCTGAAGCTCCGGCAACCTCTACTTTGAAACATTGTTGGCCTCTTCATCCCATCCCATGTCAATATTTAGCCCATGCCCTGTTGGCTTTGACTTAACTCAATCACCTTAACCCAGTGTCTTAAAATTCTTGATTTTGAGTTTCTTATCCATCCAGTTTATTTACACCTGAACTCTTTAAGCATGAAATTAATCATTCTTCTGTTCAGAAGCCTTCGAATGTGACCACAGCTTTTTCCATATAGACCTAAAACTTATATTCTTGGCCTTTGAGAGCTGCCTTCCCTACCCACTGATATATGTTTCTCGTGCTTCCTAACACCTACATGCTTCTGTTTGCTTAGTGACCACCCCCCACCCACTCATCAGCAGTTTGTATTAATTTAATGTAAAGCTGTGTAAAGTTTATTGATTGATAACATCTGTGTCAAGATCATGGTTTTTATTATAAAGAGCAGTTCATTGTGTTTTTTCCTTGTCGACGAATGGTATCTCTGTTCATTAGAATACATAATATTTTATGCATAGGAGGATAGAGTGAGAATATGAGTAGAACAAAGTAAGAATGAGAGGAGAGAATAGTGAAATTTGAGGATAGGATGAGAATGTAAATAGATTTATGTCCATCCATTACAAGATTAATAACCACAACGATAAAAGTCTTGAATGTTATTTATTTGCATATGAGTGATATTTCAGTTTGTGGCTGATACCCTTTTGGTATTAAATGGAAGATGACAAATCATCCAATATTAATTTTAGAGGGAGACATCTATTGAAATCTTTGTGCAGTCAGGTCAAGTTTCTGTGTACAAAAATTAGCAGAGAGGTTGCTGCTGGTTGACTTCCCCTAGGATGGTGTCTTTCTGAACATTTTGAAATGTAGATTGAAAAGGTGGATTTGTCAACTAACTCTGAAGTGCTGTAGTTAGTTGTGTTTTCATCATTGTTTTATTATTTATTTTATTTTTAAGATGGAGTTTTCGCTCTTGTTGCCCAGGCTGGAGTGCAGTGGTGCAATCTTGGCTCACTGCAACCTCTGCCCCCCGGGTTCAAGCGATTCTCTCCTCTCAGTCTCTCAAGTAACTGGGATTACAGGCACACACCACCACGGCCAGCTAATTATTTTGTATTTTGAGTCGAGAGGAGAATTCACCATATTGGCCTCAGGTAATCCGCCCGCCTCGGCCTCCCAAAGTGTTGGGATTATGGGCGTGAGCCAGCCACGGTGCCCGGCCTGTTTTATTGTTTGAAAAACAAGTACAGGTTGTTATTATCCAAGAATTGTTGATAGAGTATATACTGTATTTGAAGTGTAGAACTGAGGCAGAGGCTGATTAATATAACTAGTTTACATTTGTTAGCCTTTCACATCTGTGAAGGAATAAAGTACAGACAAAAGTGGAAAACAAACCAGGAAAAAAAAAATTGTGAAGCACAGAGCTGCTTAAAAGAATAAAGTCACAGAAATAAGTCAGTATTTTGTTTAGAGACTAGAACTCCAACTGCTAGCCAACTGCCTAGAATATAGTAAATATTTTCTAGTTTCTTAAATGACTAGTAATATTCCTACATTATGTGATGGCATTTCCCAAACTGTTTAATTAGATGTTAGATTTGTAGCCAAATATGTCTAGGAAATGCTTAAACAATATAAAACAGTTTTAATGATTGGCTTTTTAGAACGTTATATATTAGTGTGCTTTATGCATATCCAAGAGGTGAGTGAGGTATTTGGGGTTTTTCAGACTTACTTGATTACAGATCTGGAGTATCTCAAAACAGTTGTTTTGTGGAAAACACTTTGGCAAACTCTGAGTCTTAGTCATTAAAAATAGTTTTTGGGTAAACAACAGTGTAATAGAAATGGAAATTACTGATTCACATTGAGCCATGAAGAATTTATTTTCAGCAATTTTTATAGAAGTTGCTTTATGACAAAGAAAGCTTTGGTTAACTGGCATTTGGCATTTCATGCCCCTAAATTTTCTACATGAGGATTTATTTCTCTGGTTCTCTCACTTTCTCACTCAGTTATACTGAATTCATTTATGATGAGCGCTCTCAACCATTCTTATTCATCAAAGCCCTGAAGTTGGCAGAGCCCTCTCTGGTACCTGATTAGAAGTCCGTCTTCCGTCTCATAGGGAAGTGTTAGAGATGGATAATGTTTCTGTGTAGCAGAAGTAGTCATTATGTCCCCTTAAATTCGGTCACTTTGACTACAGTAGAGCTTCTTAGTGAGCAGTCTGTGATGGAGTATACTTTCGGAGAAGCTCATGGTGGGGGAAATCTGGAATTTATCTAAATATTTCATTTCTTTGATAAATTACATTAAAAAATTAATGAGAGTATCTATTTGGTGAAATCACTTTCCTCCATGTGACCAAATGAGAAATTTAGTGAAAGATTTAAAATCATTTTTCAGACTTTTTCCACATTAGTCGGGAAGCAAACCCCTTTTTTAAGGCAATGTCAGTTATTAAGCTTTAGGGAACCACATGCCACTTTAGGTAACACGTGATTGGAGAGATTGAAGAGTGAAGTCCCTGCTTTAAAGTGTACTCCTGTGGACACAGTAATACATATATTTAAAATGGTTCATGTTAAGAGTAGGTATATTTCTATCTAAATACTCTGTAGCTTTTGTGATTCAGGGAAACGAGTGGAGCCTCACAGGCACAAGAATCTAGTAAATTCTAGGTTTCTTGTGTGGAAATCAGTGTGCAAAATCTTAACTGAGTGAATTCTTGATTATTGGTATCACATTTATTAGTCTGTATGTATCTGTGTCATTGATCTCCTTAAGAAGAGACTCGTAGATATTGACTGGGAGACCCAAGCTGAATGCTAAAATCTGCTCCATGGATATAAGCTGATGCAGTCATCATTTCACATTAAAATGTACCACAGCTATATATGCAGCAAAAAAAAAAAAAAAGTTAGTCCCTCCAGCTGAAAAGCGGTCATTACTTTATTATCACCACAGAATTTGAAATGATTTCTGTAGTTAACAGTCAGATTTTATTTTTGCTTAACTAAGACAAAGTGAATAATTCACTGTGAGCCAAATTCTTTCTTGATTCCTCTTTTTGGAGCAGTCCATCTTTATGGGAAAACCAGCCTAGAATGGTGATTTCAGTTTCAGGTGATTTCGATAGAATTGTATTTGGCTCAGAAATGATAAGACTGGGGCCAAGAAAAATTTTAAACTTTTTTTTTTTGTAATCATATTACTAGTTTGATTTCATATGAACTTCCTTTGTTGACTTTCTTTGCCATTAATTTAAAAGTTCCAGTATCCTCAATATTTGATGTCTTATATGTACAGAATCCTTTCCAGCTGTAAGTCATCAGCAAGTAAAAAATTTAGTATGGCAATAGTTTTCATAAGAGGTTTTTTAAAACAGAAAAATGTTGACATTGCCAGCCTCTGGGTTGCATTTTGGGATATGCTACATTTCAAAGGT
This sequence comes from Homo sapiens, assembly GCF_000001405.40. Lineage (NCBI taxonomy): Eukaryota > Metazoa > Chordata > Mammalia > Primates > Hominidae > Homo > Homo sapiens. The sequence continues at coordinate 148,448,944 of NC_000001.11, read as the reverse complement.
ATCTTTTAAATCTGAAGGCAAAGACTTTTTCAACATCTGAATATTCTGATTTACAGAAATTAAAAAAAAAAAAACCCCGGAACATTACACGGGCATATAAATTTGAATCAGGAAAATATAAAATTAGCTGATTATTTTTATTCAGTAAAAGTGCCTTGGCACAGAACTAAAATTGATAACTTATGGTTTTAGCATGTAGATAAGTACATGAGAGTAAATCACATTTCTATATGAATAGAAATATCCACTTTATTCATGTATAGATTATAAAACTATACTAAACAAAAAGTAATCATTTACTATTACAAAAATTATTAAGAGCCATTACAAAAATTCTCTGCCTACTAATTTTCAATCACCATAGAAATACAGTATTTAATAATGCTGCTGCTGTACTTACATAAAACATATTAAGAATAGATGTTATATTTCTGTGTTTGAATATTGAGCTTAAACATAAAACATGTTTGAAATGTGTTTGTGTGTGTCTCTCACACACACACATAACATGTACATACCTGAAACTCATACTGCAATTGCAACACATCTTAAGTTTTTCCTTTTAAACATACCAAGATAACATTCTAAAATGAAGAATAATATCTATGTCTCTCTTCATACTACATACTATCTCTCTATGTATATGCAATTGCTATAAACATATCTTCATATTTGATATATATAGGTACATATAATATGGATAGATAAATATAGATATATGAGAGAGAAATGGAGATTAGAGATCTATGTTTGCCATAAATCATACTTGTTAACATAAACCATCTGATTAAACTGATATTTTGTGGCCCAAGACCTGAGACATGCAAAACTATTCTTAGCAGATAGAATTTTCTAAAAGCTGAGAGCTCATTCTCCAGGAGCTGGCCAAGGACCAGTCCTAAAGGCAGACCTTTCTTGGAAATGTACAGAGTCTGGGCAAACAAGACCTGCTGAGTTAACCCTTTCCTATACATATGCAGACGGTATTCAGCACAGGGCCTGACAGAAGGCAGTGTTTGTTATTATTATTCATAGCATGAGCCCATTTCTTGTTGTGAGCAACATGAACAAGGAGACTAACGGGAAAAAAATGCCCTTTTTTAGGGTGACCACCCTAACTGATTTGAAAGTCTACAATTTTTTCAGTTTAAAATGGTATTTATTTGTAACATGTACTATTATTGAATAACAATTTCTAATAAAAAAACTACGCTAGTTTTCTGCCTATGGAGAAGCCACCTTTTTATTCTTTTACTTTCTTAATAAGCTTGCTTTCACTTAAAAAAAATCTACCCTACATATACACAAAAGTTAAAAAGCAGCAATAGTGTACATTGGTCAGTATAAATGCATGCAGTTTTCTTTTCTTCAGTGTACAAAGTCCAAGTCTAAACCTTTATAATTTTTAGAGTCTAGCGATTCTCCAGACTCCATACTTTTCGTTGTTATCAGATGCCAGCGTTAATTGCTTTTCCTTTCTTCTGTTTTGGGTTCCTGATCTTCATCTGTGTCTTTAAAACAGATTATTTTCTTTAGATTTGAAAGGTTGGGTTTTTGTCTTCATTTCTTATTTGTTTAGCCTTGTATTTCCCTTTCTTTAATTGAATTGTGTTATTGAAAATTAAATAATTTCTCTGTGAAGTCAAAAATCCTGTTTCAGGGTGGGCTCTAGAGCCTTCCTCTTGGGCCATATCCTTAGAAAGCCTGTGTGTATTCTGATACATTTGGCAATTTCTACTGGCTTTTCTTGTATTGTCTGACCCCTTTTTATTTCAGCGGTGCATCCTGGTCTTACCCAACAGGCAAGTGGTGACTCCAGTGCAGGTGACGCAGAGGTGACACTAGAATGAAGTGAAATATTCTGTTGAGGGCTAAGTTCATGTTTTTGCTGACAGTGGTAGATAAATGTCATGGCTTCCCCCTGCATAGTGCTTAGGACATTTCTTTTGATATGTGTTTTAGAGAAAACATAAAACTTGTAATCAGGAAAATGCAATAACGGAAGAAATGCTTACTTGAGTAACTAATGTGAGTTAGGCAAAGAAGATACAAATACTTCCCATTTCCTACTTCTAAATTACAGTCAAATTGTCCTAAGCAAATCTCTCATTGTCTCCATGTAAAAGATATAGAGAAGCCGTTAGAAAAAGGTGGCTGGAACAACTTTATACATACAGCCTGAATGAACTGCCTCATCATTTATATGTTTGAGGAAAGTGTCTGTTTGATAATTTAAATTAAGTTTAAACTGTCATAAACGGAGAGCTGTACAGATTCTGTGGGAGAGGATACTGGGGTACCAGATACTCATTACTAGGCTCTCCACTCTGCCTTCTTCAATACTCTGGATCGGTGCCCTTTATTCATTTTTTTCACAACTTCCTCCCCTTTGCTCACATTCTTTACAAGCTTCCAGGATTTTTTAATTTTATTTTATTTCTTTCCACAATGACTCTCATGGCTGTTGCTATAGTTGCTATAAAAGGCAAGGTGGGGAACAGACAGGTGAATGAGCACAGAGGTCATTTGTAAACCGTTTGTGGTTAGTGCTCCTCTGTTTACTGTCTGTCTGTCTCTCTCAGTGTCTCTGGGTATGTGTCTGTTTACAACATAAAATATATGCACACAAATCTCCAATTTTTCTAGAGTAACTATTAACACAGTTAAAATCTGGAAGAACTCTATCTTTTAAAGGAAATACCAATTAGCAAATAAAAGAGTTGATTCCCCCCAACTCTCATTCCCCAGAGCTTGCTTAAGTGTGTGGTTTGCACACATTCCCTAAATAAAAACATTGCTGGCTCATAACTATGCTTCACTTTCATAAGCCTTCCAAATGTTAGTAACTTAGCCTTCTCCTTTTGAAGGGTTAGTCTGTAAGTGATACTGGAAGCCATGTGGTAAGAAAGAGGACAGAAGTATAAAATCAGACTCAGAAAGTAAAATCTGGCATATTTGGCATAGATCCATTCAGCTTCGTATACTTTGTTAGGACCCGAGGGCATGCCTGATTTTCATAAAATCGATGCACTGTTATTAAAACAAACAGGTGAAAATCACTTTTGTTAAACTACTTGACAAGGCATCTGACTACCTTAAGTGTGTTATAAATTTTGCAAGTGGTTAAAATTTTATGCTTATGAATTCAAAAGATAGACTTTAAATTAAAAACTAATTTATGTAGATATTTTCCCTAATAATATAGCACAAATGGGTTTTATTTCCAACTGAAAAGAGTATTTATTACCATGGATATAACTAGAAGAATCATATAAATATATGTAATTCCATTAGAAAATATTTTTCTTAAAATTTGAAATGACAAGAACTTAATGAATCTTAAATATCTCTTGTTTTATTTTGAAAAATTGTTTTCATAAGATACAATTGAGCAATTGAGATTTGTTCTCCCAGTATCTGAAGATTTTTTTGGTCTTGTTTTGTTTTTTGGGTTTTTGGCCCTAAAATTAGGTGAATTCAGCTTTGGGTCTATTTCATCCATTCTGGAAGGTTCCTTGGGTCACTGATCTGAGGCATTCTTGATGTGGTTAGGACTTCCCAGCATTATTTTTTTTAGATCCTGTTTATTTAAAATAAAAAGGATTAGCATGAGGGATGGTAACATTCCTTTTTGATATCTGTAGCAGCAAGTTTTCTTATGATTCATTATTCTTCTTCTTACAGCTTTAAATCATCTAGGAACTTCATATAAAATTTAATTCCAGTTTCAACTAGTTGTGGAGCATTTGATCCAAAATAAAATGAAAGTCCTCTCTGAAGCTGTAGAGTAGACTCAAGAATCAGAACAACCTGAAGTTCTTTAAGCTGTCAGTTGAAGGACTAGGTAAAAAACAAATATCATTTAGTGTGATCATTAATGCACATGAGTCATTATTCCATGTGGTTGCTGTCGACTGGTCAGGGGCACTTCAAGCCCTAATCTGTACTTTGTCCTGTCTCTCTACACCCCATTCTACTTTTTCAGCTTGTTGCCTGTAATATGTGAATGGAAATAAAATAATCAAGCTTGTTAGAATTGTGTTCATAATGACACAAAAGACCTGAGAGAATGTAAGAACATATAGAACATCCAAAATAAGACATATGTTTGGTTGGTTTAAAACCTTTTTGTTTGTTTCATTTTCTTCTGTGCTTAATGTGTAGTTACTATTATTTCATATCCTTTGACTTACAGGTTTGACTGCAATGCAGTGTGAATATCGCACATGGGACCATTTGTCATACTGTCAGATGGCAATACATAGATGGATAGAATTTTGCTGTTTGATCAAAGCTGTGCCATCGGAAACTTGTTTTCCCAAGTATGGGTACATTCTCCTCTTTTCCTGAGTGGAGAAACCTAGATCTGAGCAAAAAGCATGAATCAATACACCTTGGGAGGCAGGGTGTCAAATATTTGATGCCATTTCCTTTGCTTGTAAATTGTTCATTTCATTTGAATATAAATATAAAAGGACTTCTACCAAGAACATGAAACTAACATTTTGCCAAGCTAAATTTTAATGAATTTATTTGGACTTTTTTATAATCACTTAATATTTTCAGTTCATGTGCTAATATTAACTCTACTTACTGGAGAGAAAGAAATGGTATTCAATATGATAACTGCCTTGTTACTGCAGAAATGTAGAAGTTTGGCATCTTAAGTATCAAATATTTTAAGTCAAAAAATTACCAGTGTCCCACAGCACAGAGAGAGAATATATGTTTGCTTGTGTCCCTTTAATCTTTCCCCTGTAAAATTAAGCCTAGGGGCCTTACACTATTTTAAATTTTCAAAATTAGGTCATGTAAATGTTGTGTCAGATTTCCAATTCATAAGTAGTATACTTATGAATACTGAATAGTGAACATAGGGTACATTTTTATCCTACTGATTGCTTAGCTGTGGACCAGAGGTAAACAGAGAATGAATGGTATTTTCACAGGTTAGTAAACTGTTTTTCTATGATCTCTTATATACAAGTGTGATGAACATTTTTTCCCCCTTCCTGAACTAATATAGGAACATATGGTCTAATAAGTGTGAGTTCATTTGGGGAGGGCAGGATAGAATGCTTGAAATTAGGACTGACCCAAAAAATGCCTTGGTCTCAGTATTTGTGGATTACGAGGAGGAAGGGCTGAAAAGGAACCTTAAAAGCATTAGAATGGTAGAGTACAGATTAGCAGCAACACTCAGGGCTCCATCATGAAGAGAGTGAGATGAGTTCCCATGGTTAATGCAGCAGGGGCTCTAATTGAAAGCCCTCTACCTAGGAAATGATTTAAATCCTTTTATCCTAGCTGGATTGTGAACGTTTTATTTACTTTGAGGAAGTTGTTTAACCCTTTTTGTAGATTGCATCAATATTTAGAGTAATGTAAATACATTTTCCCTTTGGCTATTTTACAAGGACATTGAGGATTAATTAAATTTAAAAGAAAGTAGTGCAGTTAACTCCCAGGAGACAGAGGGAGATGTTTATCATTTTTCTCATCATTCATTCCTTATTCATTCATTTTACAAATGTTTGTTGAATAGTAATTATAATGAAGATACTATACCAGCTTCCTGAATTGGGAATACAAAGATGAAGGATGAGAGTGACTTCTGCCTTCATTATGTTATGTGTTCATATTTTCTTTTTAAAATTCTCATTATAATATGAGTAATTGTGCAGGGATTTAATATTGCTGGTCTCAGCAATAGTTGATCTTTGATTAACATCTCACTGACACATATTTTCACTGTGTATATTTATTTTTCCTTTCTAAATTTAGAACTACTCTTTATCTTCTACTGTAAGAGATATACAACATACTTTTGTTTTTTTCTATGTTGTAATCAGTGCAGTTTTTTTAACCAAGAATAAACACAAGTTCTAATAGCAAACAGAAATAAACTCCCTACACATTACCTTCTCCATTAAAATATGTTTTATGCCACATGCAGAATTTTAATATTATATAGTTATTTGTGAAAGTATAACTAAATAGAAATTTTAAGAAAGAATGCCTCTAATATTCATATCTTAGCACTAAAGAAGCATATATTATTCTGCAGATTGAATTAAAATGTTAGTTACCAAGATATGAACTTAGACATTTTCAGTAAGCATTTATAGGCTATTCTAGTAGAAAACTGTACACAATTTCCCATGAGGCTGGTGAAGGTTTCTTAGCTTAAGCGACTTTTTAGCTGGTTCTTGGATTTTATTAAATAATATTTGAATGAACAGTTTTGACTAACAGCCTGAAAATATTAATCTTTCCTCTCAGTCTGAGCAAGCGAAAGTAGATAAATTCATATTGTATGTCTGATTCTCTTTGGGTTTGAAAAGAAATAAAGACTCTACTTCTAAATTAGCATAGAAAAAAGGAGAATTTCTCTTGATTTATTTCTCAGTTTGGGTTTGTGCTTTTGAAAAAGGAAAATAATGATCCTGAAATCAGTAGGCTTTGTCTTTGCCAAAAAATGTGGACATGTTGATCTTAGGGGGGCTGATTATATAAAACAGTAGAAATGTAGTCTTAGATGAAAATCTGTAAAGATGTAAGAATGCTGAACTAACATGAAAATCAGGGGCTGAGAAAATGCTGGATTGAGAATAATGTGATAATGAAGGTTTTATATATATTCATATATATAAAATGTATTCATATATTCTCTTCAACATACATAATGTCATAAAAAGGATAAAACGCCTAAGTCTAGTCTTGGCAGAGCACCAGCTTAAATCACATGAGCCTATCAGAGAACTTATGACAATATTTAGGGCTAAACTGATGTTACTGGTGAACCAGTATCTGGAATGATTTCCATAACTCACTTAACTTGCACATTTATAATGTGGACTTTAAAAAATAATTATCAGGATGGCTACTCTGAAGCCAGGAGCTTAGGAAGTGTCACAGATGGTATATATTTGTATTCCTGCCTCATGTCCCTTTCCCTGAAGTGGCGTGTGGAGTATGAGGGATTACGGTGTATTTGTAGGTGGTGTCCCTGAAAGGCTATCAGGGGACTTCTGGTTCTGCTTCAGTTCTGTTTTGTGAAGACGGTCAAGTGATTTAAGGTCTCTTGCTTCAGCCATCCCACTTAGAAAGCAGTTGCTTTATAGTCCTTTGGGTATATACCCAGTAATGGGATGGCTGGCTCAAATGGTATTTCTAGTTCTAGATCCCCGAGGAATCGCCACACTGACTTCCACAATGGTTGAACTAGTTTACAGTCCCACCAACAGTGTAAAAGTGTTCCTATTTCTCCACATCCTCTCCAGAACCTGTTGTTTCCTGACTTATTAATGATTGCCATTCCAACCGGTGTGAGATGGTATCTCATTGTGGTTTTGATTTGCATTTCTCTGATGGCCAGTGATGATGAGCATTTTTTCATGTGTTTTTTGGCTGCATAAATGTCTTCTTTTGAGAAGTATATACCCAAAGGACTATAAATCATGCTGCTGTAAAGACACATGCACACGTATGTTTATTGCGGCACTATTCACAATAAGCAAAGACTTGGAACCAACCCAAATGTCCAACAATGATAGACTGGATTAAGAAAATGTGGCACATATACCCCGTGGAATACTATGCAGCCATAAAAAATGATGAGTTCATGTCCTTTGTAGGGACGTGGATGAAATTGGAAATCATCATTCTCAGTAAACTATCGCAGGAACAAAAAACCAAACACCACATATTCTCACTCATAGGTGGGAATTGAACAATGAGATCACATGGACACAGGAAGGGGAACATCACACTCTGGGGACTGTTGTGGGGTGGGGGGAGGGGGGAGGCAGAGCATTGGGAGATATACCTAATGCTAGATGACGAGTTAGTGGGTGCAACGCACCAGCATGGCACATGTATACATATGTAACTAACCTGCACAATGTGCACATGTACCCTAAAACTTAAAGTATAATAATAAAAGAAAAAAAAGAAAAAAAAAAAAGAAAGCAATTGCTTGAGACTACTTCACTGTAAGCTCCTTTTTTTTTTTAAATAAATGCAGATTTTATGATATTCCTGATCATTCTCTTTGCACTTAGTTTTAAAATGTTATTTGCAGTTGATTAGAGAGTGGTGATAAGTAAGCCAGGATTTCTGGAATGCCAGGGCACTGTCCCCATGCATGGAAAACTGCACAAGAGCTTGTGTGTCTTGACATTCCCACATGTCAGGATGCCTTCATTTGCTAATGACAGAATACCCAACTCAGACTGGATTAAATAAAAGGGGATTTTCTTGCTTATTTAACTCTAGATTCAGTGGTAAATGGGTTTCTGGGTTGATTGGTTTGGGGCCTAACAATGTCTTCAAGGACTTGGTTTCTTTTCAACAGTCAGCTTTTGCCTTCCTGTGAGCTAGCATTGTTTCCCATGGGATTGCAAGGCAGCTGCATACAACTCCTGCAGTTCTTCCTTTTCCATATCCAGAGAGGGGACGTCCTTTCAGACGCTGATTATTTTAGGTGTAAATTCCATGTCCCATCCCTAGAGTCAGGGGTAAACTTAGCGATTCCCAAATGAACTATCCTGAAGAAGATACGATGTAGTATTGAATAGCAGGAACATTTTTTATTTTATTTTTATAGAGATAGGGTCTCTTTCTGTAGCCCAAGCTGGAGTACTGTCTTAGTCTGTTTTTATGCTGCTGATAACGACATACCCATGACTGGGCAATTTACAAAAGAAATAGGTTTAATTGGACTTACAGTTCCATGTGGCTGGGGAAGCCTCATAACCATGGCAGAAGGCAGGGAGGAGCAAGTCACGTCTTACATGGATGGCAGCAGGCAAAGAGAGCTTGTGCAGCAAAACTCCCCTCTTGAGACTTACTGTCACAAGAACAGCATGGGAAAGACCTGCCCGCATGATTCAATTACTTCCCACTGGGTCCCTCCCCCAACACATGGAAATTCAAGATGAGATTTGGGTAGGGACACAGCCAAACCATTCTGCCCTGGGCCCCTCCCAAATCTCATGTCCTCACATTTCAAAACCAATCATGTCTTCCCAACAGTCCCCCAAAGTCGTAACTCATTTCAGCATTAACTCAAAAGTCCAGTCCAAAGTCTCATTCAAGACATGGAAAGTCCCTTCCACCTGTGAGCCTTTAAAATCAAAAGCAAGTTAGTTACTTCCTAGATGCATTGCAGGTACAGGCGTTGAATAAATACAGTCATTCCAAATGGGAGACATTGGCCAAAACAAAGGGGCTATAGGCCCCCTGTAAGTCCAAAATCCAGCAGGACAGTTAAATCTGAAAGCTCCAAAATGATCTCCTTTGACTCCATGTCTCACATCCAGGTTACACTGATGCAAGAGGTGGGTTCCCATGGTCTTGGGCAGCTCCACCCCTGTGACTTTGCAGGGTGTAGCCCCCCTCCTGGCTGCTTTCACAGGCTGCTGTTTAGTGTCTGCAGCTTTTCCAGGCACATGGTGCAAGCTGTCAGTGGATCTACCATTCTGGGGTCTGGAGGACAGTGGCCCACTTCTCACAACTCCACTAGGTGGTGCCCCAGTAAGGACTCTGTGTGGGGGCTCTGACCCCACATTTCCCTTCCGCACTGCCCTAGCAGAGGTTCTCCATGAGGGCCCTGCCCCCTACAGCATACTTTTGCCTGGGCATCCAGGCATTTCCATACATCCTCTAAAATCTAGACAGAGGTTTCCAAACCTCAGTTCTTGACTTCTGTGCCCCTGCAGGCTCAACACTAGATGGAAGCTGTCAAGGCTTGGAGCTTCCACCCTCTCAAGCAACAGCCCAAGCTATACCTTGGGTCCTTTTAGTCAGGGCTGGAGTGGCTGGGACGCAGGGCATGGAGTCCCTAGGCTGCACACAGCATGGAGACCCTGGGCCTGGACCATGAAACCATTTTCTCCTAGGCTTCTGCGCCTGTGATGGGAGGGGCTGCTGTGAAGACCTTTGACATGCCCTGGAGACATTTTCCCCATTGTCTTGGGGATTAACATGCGGCTTCTAGTTACTTATGCAAATTTCTGCAGCCAGCTTGAATTTCTCCTCAGAAAATGGGTTTTTCTTTTCTATCACATTGTCAGGCAGCAAATTTTCTGAACTTTTATGCTCTGCTTCCCTTATAAAACTGAATGCCTTTAACAGTACCCAAGTCACATCTCGAATGCTTTGCTGCTTAGAAATTTCTTCCACCAGATACCCTAAATCATCTCTCTGAAGTTTAAAGTTCCACAAATCTTTAGGGCAGGGGCAAAATGCTGCCAGTCTCTTTGCTAAAACGTAACAAGAGTCACCTTCGCTCCAGTCCCCGACAAGTTTCTCATCTCCATCTAAGACCACCTTAGCCTCAACTTTATTGTCCATATTGCTATCAGGTTTTTGGTCAAAGCCATTCAACCAGTCTCTAGGAAGTCCCAAACTTTCCCACATTTTTCTGTCTTCTTCTGAGCCCTCCAAACCGTTCCAGCCTCTGCCTGTTACCCAGTTTCAAAGTCGCTTCCACATTTTTGGGTATCTTTTCAGCAGCCCCAACTCTACTGGTACCAATTTACTGTAGTAGTCTGTTTTCACACTGCTGATAAAGACCACCCCAGACTCGGCAATTTACAAAAGACAGAGGTTTAATTGAACTCCTGGCTAGGGAAGACTCACAGTCATGGCGGAAGGCAAGGAGGAGCAAGTCACGTCTTACGTAGGTGGCAGTAGGCAAAGAGGCTTGTGCAGGAAAACTCCCCCATATAATAACTATCAGATCTCTTGAGAGTTACTCACTGTCACGAAAGCAGCACCGGAAAGAACTGCCCCCATGATTCAATTACCTTCCACAGGGTCCCTCCCACAGCACATGGACATTCAAGATGAGATTTGGATAGGGACACAGCCAAACCGTATCAAGTACAATCTTGCCTCATTGTAGCCTCCACCTCCTGGGCTCAAATGATCATCCCACCTCAACCTCCCAAGTAGCTGGGACTACAGGTGTGTGCCGCTACACTGGCTATGTTTTAATTTATGTAGACATGATGTCTTCCTGTGTTGCCCAGGCTTGTCTGGAAGTCCTAGGATTAAGGGATCCTCCTGCCTTGGCTTCCCAAAGCTCTGGATTACAGGTGTGAGCCACTGTACTTGGCTAGCAGGAAAATTTCTAAGAAATAGATATTGGTGCAATAACCACAAAGCCAACCAGAGAGAGTTTTTCCATTTCCATTTTATAACTCATTTTTTTCCTTGACCTTGGAAAACTAGGGAACAGTTGGACTTAAGTAAGTAAATGTACTTTACTGTATAAGAATACTTCACTCTGACACACAGCATCTGCAACACACAAGTCAGCTCAGACTTCAGTAACTGCTATTAGTATTTCTATCATGAACCTCACAGATCCCTGGTGACCAGGCATTGCATAAGAAGAAACTTCACAAGAGATAGAGATTCACGGGAAATATACCAGAATATGTCATAAAGAATAATCTCTTTCCAATGCATATGGTGGGGATAATGATATGTAAATATTTTAATTTTTTTGACAATATTTTACAATTAATTTAGAACTTATATAGTATTATTGATGTAGGTTTCAAACTCACAATTATGACTTAAAGTATATACTAATATGATAGAAATTCAAAGTCAGATAATTCTCATCTTTATATAGGAAGTAATTATGAAAGTTCTCAATTAACATTAATATAAGACCTAGAAAGTAAGTCTAGCTTGACTGTTGAAGTATAATAGTATTTAAATCCTTTACTGAAAGAAAATCCGCCACTTACCTATGATGAGTGGTTATATACATTTTGTACCTTTTATTATATAGCCTTGTCAGTTTAGAAAATTAAGAACATTATGATGTTTTATTGGTTGAGTGGTAGCCCAAGCTACTCAAACAAGAAAATGATGGTTTGAGTGCACTTGATTTTGGACAGATAGTATCACTGAGAACTGCTTCCTTGTTTGTGCCAGAAAATGGGCTGACGTTTGAGAAGATGTTTAAATATGAATGATTTTTTTTTGATAAGTTATTTAGCGCAATTTTCCTACAAACTTTCCAGTTTAATTCGGAACTGAACAGTGGAATTCCAAAGCACAGCTCGAGAGGAACCCAATCTGCTTCTGTTGTGGCACCAGAGGTTTGCTTTGTTGCTGAATCTGTAGTTGCTTCCTCAATGACCATTTCAAATGACTCTGTACTCCCATTTACATCTGAGCCAGAAGCCAAATCAGGTTTTCCTCTCTCATCAGAAGCATCACTGAGTTTTCTATTTGCAAGTTGGATGGAAACATTCAACATGGTGACATATCCGCAGAGATGTTGTAAGTCCACTGTTCCTTAGTATCTGCAATGCTTTATGAACACCCATATTGACACGAGTGAACTCTCCTTGTAGTTCTGTTTCATCAAATGGAAATGGGACATGGACAGTTTCTCCTATCCCATGCAGACCATGCTCCTGAATTAAAACTGCAGAATGTGTTAAAGCATCATTCAACATCGTGAGCACATTTGAGGTAGGAACTACTCCAGGATCATGACCCCAAGATGTTATTAGCAATCGATCATAACTCTGAAATATATCTGGCAGTTTTTGAGGTCTTGTACCTTTGGACAATAAAAGGGATGGTGGTCCTTGTCCAGTGATATGATAAATGTACCGTTTAAACCAGACAGAGCTGATTTCTGGGATAGCTGGTCCAATATGCTGAAGGGTGCAGCTGCTGATGGGCCGGATTTCATTGGTGAGGGGAGCCATGGAAACAAGCAGCGTGTAGTTTTTGTTTAAAACTCTGCTGAAAGTTCCAGGGTCCAGACCAAGAAGGCTTTCACAGTATAAGAGATCCAGAGGAAAACCATAATTGGGTTGGTCTGGCTGTGCAGTTTGCACAACTAGATCTTTGTTATGATGCAGAAACAGTATTGTGTTTCTCAGAGTAAATGCATGATCAAAATACCTCTGTGCTTCTCCTTCACCAGTGCTCTGAACTGGTGAAAGATATCCCATCATTAAGAAGGCAGTAAGACTGGAGTCAAACAGGAATGCGATGCGTTTCGTGTGTCCTGTAGACAGACTCAGGCTGCTTACACTGGCTGAGTCAGCTGGATCTTCTTGACTATTTGTATCAGTATCAGTTGCCGATGAAGCTGATTTCTCAGGCACATTTCTCAGGCAAAGTGCGTATCTTGATGTCATCTTATGTGATATATCCAGCCTGCACCACCCACTACGCCTCTATGGCAATTTCCACTGGCTTTATTGGTAGAAGATCATGGGCTGTTTTCCTTCTGAAGAATTTTTTTGATGATCTACACTGATTCATAAGATCAATATACTGGTTTCTTCCTATGCCGAGAAGCCTTAGACAGTCAGCAGCAGTAAAATTGGGCAATGAGTCATAACTTTTCTCACTGTTCATAATATTCTCCATAATCCCAGTATAATATGAAAATGGTGTTATGCTCAAGCCCTTCACCATAATATCCGATAGATGGTAAGGGTACAGCATGAGATGATCTTGGCTGTACTTTAGCACTTCCTCACAGTATCTGCATTCATCTTTCTTGACATGTTTAAGTTATTTCTGTATCGTAACTGATTGCAGATACTGTACAGGACAACCTGCTTTTCATATTCTCTGTGAATTTCAAAGACGACTGGGATTTTCTTCCTCCTCTACCACCCTGAACAGCAAGACCAATACATCCTGTATTTCCTCCTCTTCAGCCTACTTGTGAAGACAAGGATGAAGACCTCCATGATGAGCCATCTCCACTTAATGACTGTCTCACATTGGCCGGCAACTTGTTCCAGGTATAGTTGTGCCGGATGTGGAACTCCACATCTATGTTCATGATGCGGCGGCCAGGGCCGGCGGCGGGGGCCACGACCGCGACCCACACTAGGCCTCCCGCCTGCCCGCCCGCAGCCCGTCAGCGGAGCGCTGCGGGAGGCCCGGCGCCTCGCAATGCGGGAGGCCCGGCGCCTCGCAATGCAGAAGGCCCAGGCTGCCTCTTGGCCTGGGCTCCCTACAGTTGAGTGTGGCCCAGGCCAACCGAACACTAGAGCAGCAGCGATGGAAGGCTGGGTCGCCTGAGCAGCTCGGAAGGCCCTTTTTAACTTTAGACGTTCTGTTTGATGAAGAGATACATAGGTTATCAACTTAGGCCAGGTTCAAAAGGCCCTTCAATCATATGGAAGTGAAACGTAACCTCCTCCCACAAGGAAAAGGATTGACTCGCCCATTCAACCAGGATACTTAGTCTTACTAAAAACTTAGAAAGAAGAATCCCCCAAGAATCAATTACAACCAAAATGGAAAGGGCCCCTATCAGGCATTATTAAGCACCCCCACTGCTGTTAAACTTCAAAGTTAATTTTGTTTTTTTTTTTTTTAGATGAAATCTTGCTCTGTCACCCAGGCTGGAGTGCAATGGCTCGATCTCGGCTCACTGCAACCTCCACCTTCTGGGTTCAAGCAATTCTCCTGCCTCAGCCTCCTGAGTAGCTGGGATTACAGGCACGTGCCACCATGCTTGACTAATTTTTTTTTTTTTTTTTTTTTTGTATTTTTAGTAGCGACGAGGTTTCACCATGTTGGCCAGGCTGGTCTTGAACTCCTGACCTTGTGAAATGCCTGCCTCAGCCTCCCAAAGTGCTGGGATTACAGGCATGAGCCACTATGCCCAGGCTCAAAGATCCTTTTTTTTTTTTTTTCAGATGGAGTCTCACTGTGTCCCCAGGCTGGAGTGCAGTGGCGCGATCTCAACTCACTGCAAGCTCTGCCTCCCGGGTTCACGCCATTCTCCTGCCTCAGGCTCCCGAGTAGCTGGGACTACAGGCGCCCGCCACCACTCCCGGCTAATTTTTTTTGTATTTTCAGTAGAGACGGGATATCACCATGTTAGCCAGGATGGTCTCGATCTCCTGACCTCGTGATCCGCCCTCCTCAGTCTCCCAAAGTATTAGGATTACAGGCGTGAGCCACCGCCCCCGGCCCTCAAAGATTGTTATGAGTCCTCACAGATGTCAGAGGACGATGCTGTGACCTATATTTGCAAACGCCCGGAAGACTTAAAGCTATTGTTTTGCAAATGCACAGATAACAATAATAACATGATGCTGTGGATGAGCATGAAAGTTTTTCTCTTACTCCTAATTATAATGTTTTCCCTCTTACTGCTTTGCCCTGCTGATGGAATTCAGTAAAGGAATCTCTACCAGCAGACACTTGGTTTTTACCCTTCCTAGGACCTTTAATAGATATCTTTTTATTACTAATCTTTGCTCTTTGCTTGTTTAACCTCCTTGTAAAGTTTGTGTCTTCCAGATTACAATAATTCCATGTAAAGATGATGCTGGCACAAGGCTTTCAACCCATCCCCTCTTCTGACCCAGAAGATAAAGACATCCTACCTTTGAGCCTTTTAGAACAGGTATCCAGGGATTTTACCTCTCCAGTGCTAGGCAGGGTCTATGCCCATAACATCAGCAGGAAGCAGTTACAGAAGATGAACCTCCGCCCTTCTGCAAGCCCCTTAAGATTAAGGAGGAGTATATAATCTCTGATGGGGAAATGAGGTAGGAGACCAGAAGGACTTATTTTCCATTCCCAACCCCATTGAACAGAGCAGGATCTGGTCAAAACAGGGTGCAGTGGAGAAGCCTGCTGAAACCAGCAGATGATGATGAAAGTGACCTCTAGTTGCCCTCACTGCTTATGAGCATAAAGACACTACCACTGGGACCATGGCCAGTTTACAAATGTCATGGCAACACACCTTGGCAATGGCCTGGAAGTTACTTTATATGGTTCTGGAAACTCCCTGCCCCTTTCCCAGAAAGTTCTGAATAACCTACCTCTTAATTGGCATGCAATTAAAAGTGGCTCTAAATACAACTAGCTAGTAGCCCACAGGCACAAACTCTGGGCACACTGCCTATAGGTTAGCCCTGCTCTGCAAGAAGTAGCACCAGTTCAATAAAAGTTGCTTTCTCTCACCAGCGGCTTATCCTTGAATTCTTTTCTTGGCAAAGCCAAGGAGACTACAGTCTGGGAGAAATTTCCCACGCTACAAACCAGTTTTGGGGCTTGCCTGCCCTGTGTCACTATCATTATTTCCTTGGATTTCACAGGAGTGTACATGTGTGAGACTGCTGCCCTGCTTATAGATCTGTTTCCCTGCAGGAAACAGGAGTATCTTGCCTGTGGCTTCCAGAGTTGGAGATACATGTAGTTTCACTACTGAGTGCTAACATTTAATTTTGGAATCAAGTGATGCAATCAGACTGGTTGCTATCATTCTGTGGTATACATGTAGTGAACACATTTGTGACTGAGTTTCCTGCTTTTAGCTGGAGCAAGAAAGTTTTATAATTGTGATTTGTACAAAAAAAATGATAGGCAAGAGAATGTGTGTAAAATAAACTTTATTGTCAGAGGTTTCTAAACGCTCATCCTTCAAGGAAAACGGACATATGCTGAAGAGCTGATAAACAGTCTACAGCAGTGTTTTTCTAACTTAATCTTGATTACAAGTCCTTGCCATTTTCCTCCAGCTGCTGTTGACTCCAGTTATATATAGGTTGGGGGAAAGGGGATTATCTATGGATGTAGGCATCACTGTCTCTTGGGCAGTTATCACATTTGCAGGCTGAAGGGATGTGATTTTTATAATCAAACTATCCATTTGGAATACAAATCTGGAGTGGCTGTAAAATTTGCTTCTCGGAGATGGAGCTTTCAAATTTGGACTTTCAATTGTTCTGTTGTTTTAGTTGTTCTCGTCAACTGGGGAACTGTTTGTGACTAAGCTTTGTTAAAAGTAGAGAAGAGCTTTTCATAGTTCCAACATCAGTTGTTACCTGAAACAAACAAAAACACACACACATATACAATGAAACAATAATCTTTGGTGAGGTCTTGCTGATACCTAACTGAGGCTGGAGTGAGAGCTAAGTGGTGATACAGGCCAGGTGCAAACTGAGTGCAGCTAAGTGGATAATCTCTGGTAGTGAACTACAGTCTAGAAGAAGATAGTAATAATAGATAGAAAAGAAAGTCTCCTGAAATGAACTAGCTGGCCTGTGGTGTAGGACACAGGACCCCAGCCACCTTATGATTCTAAAAGCCTTGCTCAAAGCCGCTGCAGATGAGTTAGCTAGGTCTCTACCACCTCCTCAGCATCAACTGACTTTCCATAATACTCCTCTGCAGAGAAATAAAGGTCTTTCACGCCTCCCAGGAAGGGATTTGCTTAGCCTCAAATGTGCACATTCAGAAATAGCTGTCATAAGAAAGAGAGGATAGTTTGCAGAGAAATAACCCTCCTAAGTCCACATCCTATTCCTTTTAAATAAGAGAGTGGTGCCAAGGGAAGGGCCCTAGAATGTCAAAGCCAACAGGGTGCTCAGATACCACCCAAGTACAGTTCCATCTTTGGCCATAAGGAGACAATGGTGTCAAGAGGCTAAGGCCATATGATCTGTAGGTGAAAAACCTGGGATGAGAATCAAGGCCTCAAACTTTTTCCACTACATCACAGATTTAGGAGCAGTTAGAGGGAAGGCTTCAATCTGGAGAACACTAACAGGCTCTAGAGATTATTGGGTCATGGTGGCTGGGACAGAAATAAGGATTCACAGAAAGATGTTTGTTGTCAATGTTCTTTTACAGTAAATGTTCTTTTGAGATTTTGCTTGATAAAAAGGTTGAGCAGAAGTGAAAAAAATTTTTTTCTTTTTTTCTTTCTTTTTCTTTTCTTTTTGCTTTTTTTTTTTGAAACAGTTTCGCTCTTGTTGCCCAGGCTGGAGTGCAATGGTGCAATCTTGGCTCACCACAACCTCCACCCCCAGGGTTCAAGCAATTCTGCCTCAGCCTCCCAAGTAGCTGTGATTACAGGCAGGCACCACCACACCCAGGTAATTTTTTTTTTTTTTGTATTTTTAGTAGAGATGGGGTTCCTCCATGTTGGTCAGGCTGATCTCAAACTCCCAACCTCAGGTGATCCTCCCAAAGTGCTGGGATTACAGGCTCAAGCCACCAAGCCTGGCCAAAAAAAATTTTTAATTGCAATTCTGAACAAGTTATGGGTTGTGAAATCAATATAGTGGACTGCTTGCTACTACAGGCTTTATTTAAATACTAGGAAGGTTGGATTACACATAATGAAAGATTTTTTAAAAACTGATCACAAAGAATTGTATATTTCTCACTGCATCTTGTGGTCAGATAAGTTTGAGAAACTGCTCTACATAGGCAAATTATAGGTTCAATCTATCCATCTACCTCTTTTTCTCTTCTCTTTTTTCCATGCTATGCAAACAAAACCATGGCGAGAGGAAGGAAAATTCCATCAATGGGTGGTGTTAAGCCTTTTCTATGAGGTAGCGGTACATTTGGGACACTTCTATGTTGGCGACTTGACATTCTAATAGATAGATGGTCCTTTTCATCTCTAGCCACATGTGAAAATTACTTGGGAGCTTTTTAAGACTACTAGTGGCTTCCACCCACCTGGAAGCATTTAAATCAGAATCTCTAGGTGTAGAGTCCAGGCACTTGTGTTAAAACCTCACCAGGCTTTATAATATGACAGAATGGTTTAAAGCTACTGAGTAGACCCACCCTATTTCCCACCATTCTCTTTGTTTCTCTTTCACCATAGGCTTCTTTCCCATGAGAAAGTAAAGATTTTAGTCTCTCTTTCCACAGTCTGAAGTAAATCACTATCTTTCTCAACTGGACTTCCAAGGCAAAGATTTCTTTCCATTTATCTATCTGGAGTTTTACAAAGTTGGCCTCTGGATTCCCTTTTCCCAAAGCTAATTCACCACAAAGGCACCCCTCAAGTCAAGGAGCTGGACTTTCATACACCTGCACCTGTCAATCATGGGTAAATAATTTGCAGGCAAGGTTGCTGGGTGCTGTGGGATTGACATAAACTCCCAGGTATTGCCAGCTCTGAGCCTCAGGCAAGCTTGTGACTAAATGACTCCAGTAGTCTGAGGACAGTCCTTACTCAGAAGGGTCTTTGGAAGCAAAAGCAGACATAGGCATGAGAGGGTAAAAAAAAAAAAAAAAAAAAAAAAAAAAAATCCCATGTGATCTTGGCTTATACCTAACAGAACTTGTGCAAGAATGGATATTAAGGTGGGTATTGTACACAGCAGAGCTTAGTAAATACCAAGTCTGGAGTTTGAGGGATAGGCTGAAGAGATTTTGCAGGTTTGTAAACATTTTTGCCAATTTGAACATACTTTTGTTTGCGTTTGGTTTTTCTCCTCAGTGGTAAGAGCTAGGCACAATAAGGTAGCTAGGATATTATATTTTCAATCAATAGATTTGTATTTTGCCAAGGACCAAGATGAACTATGACGATTTCAATTTTTTCATTCTTTATTTTCATCAGCTTGAAAATTAGGACTTTTGCTCCTTTTTTGGCTTATGGCACCTTTTTTGTTTTCACAATTTCTCAAAGACCAGTAAGTTAGAATCTAAATTATGATTGCTTATTCTATCAGTACCCTAGGGGAAAGTTGATTTAATCTTGACAAAATGTATTCAACTAAAACAATTGTTTTCTTTCTTCTTTCTTTCTTTCTTCTTTTTTTCTTGAGAGGGAGTCTTGCTCTGTCACCCAGGCTAGAGTGCAGTGGAGCAATCTTGGGTCACTGCAACCTCCGCCTCCCAGGTTGAAATGATTCTCCTGCCTCAGCCTCCTGAGTAGCTGGGACTACAGGTGCATGTCACCACGCCTAGCTAATTTTTGTATTTTTAGTAGAGATGGGGTTTCACCATGTTGTTCTCTTAAATCTTTTCACCTTTTAAGTTTGTCCTTCTCTTCTCCAATTTGCAATAGTGGAGTGTGGCTTCCACCGAAAAACTATATTTCTCAGAGCTACTTATTCCTGGAGCCTGGCAGTCTGGGGGCCTGGAGGGGGTGCGTCTAGAAAGCAGCCCTGTGTAAGTTGAGAATAACTATGACAATTGTGGGTTATAAGGTTTTGAGCAGCTCTGGCTTCCCCGTCCTCTTTTGTTTCTACAGTGGAGTGTGACAAGAGAAGGGACCCGTCTGAGAGTGACTTCATATTGTGGATTTTCACCGCTTACCTCTAGAAACTTGATTCAGGCAAGTCGGGGGAGTCTCCGGTGTTCTCTGAGAACTCTGTTTTCATTATACAGCTGGACGATGGAATCTATGATGTGCCTGTAGAGTTTAGAGGTGCATGCTGTTCCAGGAAATAATTACAATTTAGGCAAATTATACACGTTTGCTTAAGAGA
Organism: Homo sapiens; assembly: GCF_000001405.40. Lineage (NCBI taxonomy): Eukaryota > Metazoa > Chordata > Mammalia > Primates > Hominidae > Homo > Homo sapiens. The sequence continues at coordinate 148,428,674 of NC_000001.11, read as the reverse complement.
ATGCTTTCTGCATATTTCATGTTCTTCCTCTCTATCTTAGCCTAGGGAGAAAACCATGGGGACTCAGGGCTGGAACTTTAGTGCGACGGGGCAGAAGCTTAATTTTCACATGATTCTTAACAAATTCCAGCACATCACATGTATTATCATGTCCAATGGCTGCAATATGAAGGAGGCTTTTCCAAAATAGTTACTGCTTTGGTATGGGAAGGGACCTGGTTATGGTTCTTCCGGCCCAGCACAATGTTATGAAATGATGGCCTCTGTGTGAGAACAATCTAAGAGGAGGGGGGTTGGAGAGAACCACCTTGGGGTGGTAGAATGAAGAGTAACCGAGACATAAGGGAAGCTGATGAGTATGGCAGCAGAGGAGACTCTCATTCTGCTACATGAGGTGCTCAGAAACCTGGGTTCTACTGAATGCCAATCACATAAGAAGCAGAGAGACAGCAGGCAGTGTACAGCAGCAGATAGAAGACAGAAGACAGCCTAGGAATCACAAGAATGATTTTAGAGGTAGATACCTCTAAGTTGGAGGCAAATCTTTAAGCCTATTTATTTACCTATAAATAGGAATGATAGTAGCTGCCCTACCTCTCTAGCTGGGACATTTGTAATGAATAAGTGAAGTAAAGTATGTCAAAGTGCTTGAAATCTATAAAACTCTGCCCCAGTCACATGCCTTTAGAAAAATACATATTGCCAGAAGCACTGACTTGGGCCTCTCCCACCATTTTCTTCATCAAAGCTGCTGAGATGACATTCCAGCTTTTCTCACAGGCAGTTGTTGATGAAAAGGGTCTCCTTCAGGTGCTACCGCTGTCTCTGGATCTCATCTTCTGCAGCCATTCCACCAGGACATGGAATGAGACGGGAAATGAAGAATGCTGATCACTAAAGGGATAGTCAGGGGCCTCTCATCAAGATCCCTGCCTTTCACCATTCTTTTGCCAACTTCATCTTCTCATCAGGGAACATAAGGCAACTTCCTTTAAGAGCTTTTAAGGTTTCAAACAAAGCATGGCCAAGTGCTAAGCAAACTCCACAGGGATGCCTCCCATATGGAGATACAGGAAGTATAAGGCAGGTTGACAGGAGGTGGAAAAACACTGAAGGTTTCTGAATAGGGCTTTTCTAGCACTAGGAAAGATATGACCACCTCCTTGAGATGATTTATGGGTACTAGGGAATATCTTCCTCTCTACAAAACATCTCTCCTGAGCATCTTTTGTTGTTGTTGTTGTTTTTTGACAGTCTCATTCTGTCACTCAAGCTGGAGTGCAGAGGCACCATCTTGGCTCACTGCAAACTCCATCTCCCAGGTTCAAAGGATTCTCATGCCTCAGCCTCCCAAGTGGCTGAGACTACAGGCATGCACCACTATGCTTGGCTAATTTTTGCATTTTTAGTAGAGACGGGGTTTCAGCATGTTGGCCAGGCTGGTCTCAAACTCATGACCTCAAGTGATCCACCCACCTAGGCCTCACAAAGGGCTGGGATTATAGGTGTGAGCCACCATGCCCGGCCCTGAACATCTTTAACAGATGGTAAAGACCTTCTTCTGCACCTTATTGTGAAATTGGAAAGAGAAATAGGATGCCTTTGTCAGAGGATGGTATGAGTAATAAAAGCCACAAACTTACACCCATCACTGACAGAATGACAAGCCTAATATGGTTTATATTACTGTGAAAGCTCAATGAGTGAATTAATATAATCTCTTTCTATTGCATAGAAGAGTATATAAAGCATATAGTCCCCTAACAATCCAAACTTTTGCCCCCAAAGTAAAGTCAAACATTCAAGTAAGGGAGAGGAGATATAGGTCAAGGTTTTAATCTATACACACACCAGTGAGGTTACCAACCTAAAGGGCTCTTATATACCTAAAGAAGCTCCAATGGCTAGCGTGGAGTTATTCTGGGAAGAGGGCATGCTGGTGGCATTGCTGTTAGATTCATCCTTTTCTCCAGCAGATAGCCTCGTTGTTTATTTAGATTGAATTACAACACTGAGACTAAACTAACAGAGATCTTAAAAATACCTTGGTGCTGCACAAAGATTGAGAACCCTGGCTATTTACCAAAGGGTTGCCAAGATCAAAGTCTTGTCTTTATGGAAATCCCCTGATATTCTAGTAGTCAGATGGAAACTTATGGGAAAGCAAGCACCTGAGGGGAGATGGAGACTGGAGCTTGAAACCCAGGAACCATTATAGTTACACCTCCAAACATATGGAGAAGCCTGCCAACATTCTTGGGATGGCTAGAACAGCTTGGGAAAACTGTTCAGGAACTATAATTATCAAGAATATTTCAGGAAGGCTGGGTGTGGTGGCTCACATCTGTAATCCCAGCACCTTGGGAGGCAGGGGTGGGTGAATTGCTTGAGCTCAGGAGTTTGAGGCCAGCCTGGGCAACAAGGCAAGACCCTGTCTCTACCAAAAAGGCAAAAAAAATCCGGGAGTAGTGGCATGCATCTGTGGTCTCAGCCACTCAGGAGGCTGAGGCGGGAGGGTCATTTGACCCTGGGTTGTAGGTTGTGGTGAGCCGAGATCATGCCACTGCACTCTAGCCTGGGTGACAGAACAAGAGACCCTGTCTCAAAAAATATATATATTTCAGGAAAGATAAGATGTCCCATTTTAAAGAAGGAGATCTGTTAAGCGGATTTGTACATGTGTGGCAGTAGTGGCAGAGAGTCTGCCATAATCTCTTCACTCTCTTCATTCTGGCCAGCTTTGAGTATACTGGCTTGCAGATGCCAGTTGGGGCCAGAGGGACTGAGGTGAGGACAGGAACAGAGCAAATTACCTGACCCACCAGGGACCTGTACTTGAGACTTGATCCCAGAGCTGTGTTCAGCCTAATCACTTTTTTAAAGTGAATGTTTAGGGCCTGCCTGCAGAGAATAACATCTCTCAGTTTAGACAGAGGTGGTGAGCATGTAGAATGTAGGAGCTACTGAGAGATTGATGGAGCTTTATTTTTCTTATCAAAGGAGCACTCACTGGCTATATCCACAGCCGAGGGGCCTTCCTGTGCATCAAAGAGGAAGGCATTGCTGCTGCGAAGCTGGTGGGAGTCATGGCGGCTGGAATGGGTCAAATACTGTTTGAAGTCCCTCCAGGACTTTATCCATTTCTTCCTCCTTGATGTCCCTCCTGAGCCTGGTGGAGTAGGCAAGACAAGGGATGAAACCAAGGCAGCCTGGAACCACATAGCTAGTTCTGATCTGAAGCTCATGGAAGAGGCACCAAAACCAAAGGGACCATCACATCAAAGAGGACATATACAATCCACTTTTGACCGGGAGTAGAGTGTGCCTAGAGTTAGTATAGAAGTGAAAACAGCAAGTGATCAGTGCATTGACCTCATAACACACAGATAAGGCAGCAGACTCAACAGCTACTCTAAAATACACTCAGGGCACACAGGACACACAGAGACCCATACTATTGGCTTCAAAATGCTGTGTTCAAATTTTATTTACTATGATGTGGAGTGGTCCATTGAATACTGGCTCTTGAGACAACGCAACCTCCCAGGGCTTTTGCAGACTTTAGACCCCTAGCTCTAAATACTTGGTATGGTTTCAATTTATTTTTCAAGGTGAATTTCTAGGTATAAAATATCTGCCAACATAATTCAGGACAACTGTGCAGAAACCAGATAGGCATCTCACTTTGGTTTGTAACCCTATAGGTTTGAAAGATACAGAAACCAGGGATCCCTGGTTAGTTTACTTTTCAGTAAGACTGACTAGTTAACTAAGTGTGAGAAATTAGTAGGAACTAGGAACCAATACAAGAACTGCAAAGAGAACAGAGAACCATTTTTAAAAGGACACATTGTATAATCAGTCAACAAAAAAAGGAACAATCAGCAGTTTCTGCTTTTTCTATATCTGGGACCTTTAACCTCTTGAGTCCTTGCTTCTGGAATCCTCTCTAGATTTGGTCAGTCCATTATCAGCCCCTTCATCATATAGAGTTACCTAGGAGCCAGTGGCTTTTGCCTGTCTTCATTTTTCTTACCGTTGTGATTTTCTGCAAACCAAAATTAGAAAGAGCTAGTCAGAAATTAGGCAAGTCCCATTTCACACATTGCACACATGGGGCCTATATGATCAGGGACATAACACTTTACATGTGTGTTCAGAATACTCTGTGAGATTTATTGCAGGAGGCCTCAGGTGGTGTCTCTAGAGAAGTGGCCTGGCAGGCTTGCCTGAGCCCACTGGACAGGGTGTTCCTGATGTGGTGAATCATCACCATGACATCAGCTGCCTGAAGCAGAGCAAAAAGTTTAAAATGTCTTTTGTTCCCCAGCTCAAAGAATACTTGCCTGGCTGCCCTTTGGACTTCTCCAGTTGTAACCTTCCTTCCTGCCACAGGCTGTTTGCCAGACCATGACTGTTTGTCCCATAGCTACTCACACACAGAACCTGCTCCAGTCTCTGAGAGGACAAATAGCCCTGTCCTACCTCTACTCCAAAACCAGAGGACTGCCCAGGTGCCTTCAAGTCTGTCCCTGTTGTGCTTCCTCAGATGTTCTTGGGGGTAATTCTTTTTTTTTTCTTCTCAGTTTGTTGGTGAGAATTGGGGGTGATTCTGTGAAAAATATTCCGGTATAAATCAACTTTTCTAACACCAGCTTCTACTATATACAGAGCCTGAACTAACCCCAAAAGATTTGGACAGTCTATTGGGACCTGAAAATAAATAAATAAATAAATAACCCTGAAAGAGAAATACACTCATGAACATTAAGATACTACTTCAACTGATCTGTACAGCAGCCGTGGAATTATGATTTGACTCACTTTACAAATGAGGAAACAGAAATTCAGGAGGGATCAATCACTTGCACAAAGTTAGTAAATACAGTGCTGAGACTAGAGCCTAGGTAATTCTGATTCTTAGTCCATGGATCTTTCTATTCTAACAAGCTGCCTTCTGTCATACTGTTCTTTCTGACCACAAAGATGGAATGGAGACTTCTGCTTCTGGCCAAGTTGGAGTAATAGGGACTAGATTTGTCCTCCACCTTAAACAACTAAGAAACTGGAAAAAGTATTTTAAACTCTAGCTTCAACATTGGATATAGTGCAGTACAGTACATTGATCCCTGAGAGAGAGAAAATAGAAGAGATGAGCCCTATGATTGCTCCAGTTTGCTGCCTGAGTTTGTCAACTGCAGAGCAGGGAAGGAGGACCCAGGCAGAGCCTGGTAGTAAGTTTGAAGAAGTCAGGGTGGCTAGACATCACAGGACAGACTAGAGAATAGGTTGCTGCACAGAGAGAATGCCTTGGATATCTGTGTTCAATCTTCAGCTAAGTACTTATTAGTACATGTATTTGAGGAAATTATGCAAAGCAGGGCAAAGAACTTCCCAAAAGGAATAATCTCTGTAGCTCACACAGAGCTTGCAACACTTGGTGTTTCCATCAGCTAGTGTGAAAATCCCTTTTAATAGAGGGAGCATTGGTTAGAACAGGAGTCCCAAACCCCCAGCACTGGTCCATGGCCTGTTAGGAATGGGACCGCACAGCAGGAGGTGAGCAGCCAGCGAGAAAGCATTACCGCCTGAGCTCAGCCTCCTGTCAGATCAACGATGGCATTAGATTAGCATTGGAGCACAAACCCTATTGTGAACTGTACATGCCAGGGATCTAGGTTGCATGCTCCTTATGAGACTCTAACTAGTGCCTGATGATCTGAGGTGGAACAGTTTCATACTGAAACCACCCAATTCCCAACCCCTACCACCCCACCCCCACCTTGTCTGTGGAAAAATTGTCTTTCATGCAACCAGTCCCTGGTGCCAAATCTGTGGGAGATCACTGGCTTAGAATCTTCAAAAGAGTATTGCCCCCAATGTAAACTATGGACTTTGTGTGATAATGACATGTCAATGTAAGTTCATCAACTGTAACAAATGTGCCATTCTGGAGAGAGATGTTGATAGTCTAGGAGGCTATGCATGTGTGGAGGCAGGGGGTATATGGGAACTTTCTGTACTTCCTGCTCAATTTTGCTGTGAATCTGAAACTACTCTAAAAAATAAGGTCTATTTTCTTAAAGGTCATTTTGCCTCCATAGTGGGAAAGAAAATAGCAGTTGACTAATAGCTGCTCTTATCCTGCCTAAAAAAAATTAAAAAGCCAGCTTGGAAAGATGAAAATTGTTTTTAAGTAACTTTATTGTATACCAAAACAAAGCTCAAAGAATTTTAACACAAAATGCAAAAAAATCCAGCACCCAATAAGTTACAATGCTCAATGTCTAACCCCAAATAAAATAATGTTAGGAATGCAGAGAAACAGAAAACTGTAATCCATGATAAGAAGGGGGAAAAAAATCAATCTACTTAAACTGACTTAGAAAAGACACATCAGGTGAGAATTAAAAAACAATAAAAAGGACACAGATGAGAGAATCTGTAGATAAGCACATTGAAACAAATATAACTGTATACCTTGTATTAAAGAAGCTAGGCCAGTGTGGTGGCTCATGCTTGTAATCCCAGCACTTTGCCAGGCCAATGTGGGTCACATGAGGTCAGGAGTTTGAGATCGGCCTGGCCAATGTGGTGAAACCCCGTCTCTCTGAAAAATATGAAAATTAGCTGGGTGTGGAGGCATGTGCCTGTAATTCCAGCTACTCAGGAGGCTGAGGCACAGGAATCACTTGAACTCAGGAGGTGAAGGTTGCAGTGAGCCAAAATCTCACCACTGCACTTCAGCCTGGGCAACAGAGCGAGACTCTGTCTCAAAAAATAGAATAAAATAAAATAAAGAAGCTAGAGGAAAATATGAAATGATGAAGAGTTACATAGAAGACCTTAAAAAAAAGACATAAATTAAATTTAGATGAAAAATAAAGTCTGAGATGAAAATACACTGGATAGGATTAACAGCAGATTAGATGCTGCTGAAGAAAGATTAATCAATTCCAAGACATGGAAATAGAAAGAAACGGAGAGAAAGAAAAGATACAACAAAAATGAACAGACCATTAGTCAGCTGTGGTAAAATTTCAAAGCAGCTAATACAAATATAACTGGAGTCTTTAAAGGAGAAGATAGAGAGAAAGAATAGAATATACATTATATATATTTGCCGTATATATGCGAAATATAATATATTGTATATGCCATAGGTAAGACTATATATGTCATTATTATTCAAATTTGATGAGAACTATAAACATGCAGATGCAAGAAACTAAATAAAGTAGAACAATATGTAAAAGAGAAAACTATACAAGGTCTTATCTTAATCAAACTGCTTCAAACCAGTGATAAATAGAAAATCTCAAAAGCATCCAGAGAAAAAAGACATATTATGTACAGAGAAACAGAAATAAGAATTATGGCAGACTTCTTGTTGGAACAGTGTAAGCCAGAAGACAGCGGAATATCACTTTTCAAACACTTTTTTAAAACAAAAACTGTCAACTAGAATCCTACATCCAGTGAAAACATCTTCCAGAAATGAAGGTGAGTTCTTATGCTCATCAAGATGAAGTAATCCACTATACTCTACCTCTCTTACTGATTGAAACTAAGAACTCTCAGGCCAGGCACAGTGGCTCATATCTGTAATCCCAGCACTTTGGGAGTCCAAAGCAGGTGGATTACTTCAGCTCAGTAGTTCAAGACAAGCCTGGACAACATGGAGAAACCCTATCTCTACAAAAAATACAAACATTAGCCAGGTGTGGTGGCACACACCTGTAGTCCCAGCTACTTGGGAGGCTGAGGTGGGAAGATTGCTTGAGCCCAGGAGGCACAGATTGCAGTCAGCCAAGACCGTGTCACTGCACTCCAGCTTGGGTAAGAGAGCAAGATTCTGTCTCAAAATAAAAAACAAAACTTAGAATTCTTGAAAGAATATGAAAAGTGATTACCTGAGTGCTCTAAAGAGAAAACAATAGAATGCAGATTAAGGACCATAGTCAAAACTAAAATAAAATCTACAATGGAGATAAGTTTGCATTTTTTCTCCCCACTTTGGGACACTTGGGAGGAGCTAAGGGTCTTCAGAGCCTGTAGCCAACTTACCTGTGACAAGTTTTCTGACAAGGATCTCTGTCAGCTGGCTTCCTTGTACCATTTGCTCACAGAATCTCTGTCTCTGGTAGTAGGCAATGCCAGTGTTCCTGAGAAGGCCCTCAAAAGACTTGACTGTGTTCTTCACATGCTGGGTAAAAAGGTAGCAGACACCTCTCCCTTCCTGTGTCTTCTGTCGTAAGTGGGTCAGTTCTTCAGCCTGAGCCTGAATTAAGGGATCATGTATCCTAAGGTGGGAAAGAAGAGTAAAATGTATGAGGGAATGTAGTGAATAACAGGTTATAGAAGTTTCAGAGGAGAGATCTCTTAGAATCCCTGTAAGGAACTCCCAAGTTGAATTCTTTTTTTCTTTTTTTTTTGAGACAGGGTCTCACTCTGTTGCCCAAGCTGGAGTGCAGTGATGTGATCTTGGTTCACTGCAACCTCCACCTCTGCCTCCGCCTCCCAGGTTCAAGCAATTCTCTTGCCTCAGCCTTCCAAGTAGCTGGGACTACAGATGCCCACCACCATGCCAGGATAATTTATATATTTTTTGTAGAGATGGGGTTTTGCTATGTTGGCCAGGCTAGTCTTGAACTCCTGACCTGAAATGATTCATGCACCTCGGTGTCCCAAACTGCTGGGATTACAGGCATGAGCCACTGCACCTGGCCCAAGATGAATTCCTGTACAAGTTGTGTGACTTGCCTGTGGCAGAAGGAATGAAGAGGCAGCCTTGGGTTTGTCTGTTATTTTACTAAATTTCCTTTAAAAAGATGCCCCTTTGGTTCCCCACTTTAGCCCAAGTATCTTTTCATATGCAGTAACTGGCAGAAAAAAAAAAAAAAAAAAAAAAAAGCCAAGTTCAAAACTGTTGGGCCGGTATCTCTAGTATTAATTGAAAGTTAAAAAGAAAAATCAGTGAAAAGGTCAAGAGGGGCAGTGTTCTTCTGAATGACATGAAGATAGACTATAATCAGTAAGAAGGCAGTTAAAACTAAAGTTCTGGCCGGGCACAGTGGCTCACGCCTGTAATCTCAGCACTTTGGGAGGCCAAGGCAGGCAGATCACCTTAGGTCAGGAGTTTTGAGACCAGCCTGGCCAACATGGCGAAACCCCATCTCTACTAAAAATACAAAAATTAGCTGGTGTGGTGGTGTGCACCTATACTCTCAACTGCTGGGGAGGCTGACCTAGGAGGATCACTTGAACCTGGGAGGTGGAGGTTGCAGTGAGCTGAGATCACACCACTGCACTCTAGCCTGGGCAACAGGGTAAGACTCCATCTCAAAAAAAGAAAAAAAGTAAAGTTCTGAGTAGTAATTTCATTACTCTGTGGGGATTTATTTTTTTTCTAATTATTGTTTAAATATTTCTCATGGTGATATGGTTTGGCTCTGTGTCCCCACTCAAATCTCATGTTGGATTGTAATCCAACCAGGGACCTGCTGGATAGTGACTGGACCATGGTGGTGGATTTCCCCCTTGCTGTTCTCATGATAGTGAGTGAGTTCTCATGAGGTCTGGTCGTTTGAAAGTGTAGCACCTCCCTCTTTGCTCTCTCCCTCTCTCCTGCTCTGGCCATGTGAAGACCATGCCTCCTTCCCCTTTGACTTCTGCAATGATTGTAAGTTTTCTGAGGCCTGCCCAGAAGCAGAAGCCTGTACAGCCCACAGAACCATGAGCCGATTAAACCTCTTTTCTTTATAAATCACCAATCTCAGATATATGTTTATAGCAGTGTCAGAGTAGACTAATACACATGGGTTCCAATGTAGAGTGTGAGCTCTGTGAGTCTAAAGATAGTGCTACCTATTACCCAACTTACAGCACCCGGTAGTATGTACACATACAAGTAGTTATTCAGTTAATGTTTAGAACCATGTAATCCCAGAGCTAGACTGAACATTTACAGTCATCTAACCCATCTAATGCTTGAATTTTCTCCCCACCAGTCTTCTAAGTAGTTATCTGCAGGTCCTCTTTCAAACTCTATTTCTTAGAGTTACTAGAAAGTGTCAGGGGAAGTAAAGACATACTGGGGAGAAATAGGGGCTCCAGACCTATCCCACCTTCAATCAAATATCTCTGCTTTGGTGAGTTTTAGAAATTTGAGCTTCTATGATTTCATTTCAACAAAGGATTAAAAGAAGTTTCGAATGCTACAATCTACCTTATGTCTGAAACCCTCTAAGGATAGTCAATGCTGGTCCTGAGCGAATTAATAATTCATTTTCCACACAACAGCTGCTCAATCATCTATCTACCCAATAGCCCTACCAGTTAATACTCCACCTAGTATAATACTTTTTTAAAAAGTTTGGAGGAGAAACATTGTTATCATGAAAGGCACTTTGGAAAGTTTGAAAATATCTCTTATAGAAAATATTAATGACAATCACCACATCTATAAATGGGAACAAATATAATAATTACAGAAAATAGTTGTTCAGAGTTTTATATGTGTTAGAGATGGTTCTAACTACTTGCAATTGTGCATTTAATCTTCATAACCCTCTGAGTAGATACTGTCAGTATTTGCATTTTATAAATGAGGTAGCCTAGGTTAATGACACGCAGAAAAGTGAAGTAAATTTGACCAAGGACACACAAATAGAAGCCACATTGCTAGTATTCCAATGCAGGCAGCTGTCTCCATTTTACTAATATGCTATTTAATGGAAAACCCTAGAGACCTAACTAGACCATAGCCTCATTGTGTCTTAGTCTAGTTCTGTGCCTGAGTCATACATTTCTGCCCTTCTCCTTGCACAAATTTGCTCTTTGTTCTACCAGCCTGAGCTGCCCTACTTCAAACAGTATTTATGCACTTCCCACAGAGGTACCTCCTTACCGGAGCCTTGCAGCTGACCTCGGCAATTCGGCCAGCTCCCTCTCCTGAAACTGCACCTCCTCCTCCAGCACAGATTCTATAAGGTCTTTGCACTCTTCACACTCTGAGAAAAGACAGACATGCCTGCATCATGGAAGGCTGGCCATGCTGCTGTGGTCACTGCCTGCAGAGCAGGAGGCAGGGTCTATCTCAAGGATAAAAGTATCCCCAGTACGAGGCTTTACACTGGGATTTCCATATCTTTATTCCTCAGTCTCTCAACTACTCCCTGTTTTAGAGATGAGGAAAGAAAAGCCCACAGGCTGATAAAATCACTTGACAAGATGATTCAACTGGAATGAGGCAGTCAGAATTCACATCCCCTGAGATCTGACGCCACATCTTTTTCTTTTCTTTTCTTTTTTTTTTTTTTTTTTTTTTGAGATGGAATCTCACTTTTTTGCCCAGGCTGGAGGGCAGTGGCACAATCTCGGCTCACTGCACCTCTGATTCCCAGGTTGTTCTCCTGCCTCAGCCTCCCAAGTAGCTGAGATTACAAGTGTGCCCCACCACACCCTGCTAGTTTTTGTATTTTCAGTAGAGACAGGGCTTCACCATGTTGGCCAGGCTGCTCTCAAACTCCTGACTGCAAATGATCCACCCACCTTGGCTTCCCAAAGTACTGGGATTGCAGTAAGTGAGCCAATGCACCCAGCCATGACTTCAAATCTTAAGGCCAATTTACCAAGCCTTACAGCCTCTTAAGTAAAACATGAACATAAGGGCATGAAATAATGACTTCCTGTGTGTTTGGGAAGATACTAAGAATGGTAGGACTGATGGCCCTCCTGTGTCAGGAGTTTCAATAATCCCAAAATATTTCAAAGATTTAAACATTTATCTGTATACAGCTGTGTAAAACTGTATATAGAGGAGAAAGATCCAAATGATATATGCCCAAAAGCTAGTAGGTGGTGTTTTAAAGGGAAAACCAACACATAGTGTTTGTCACGGTACTGTTGCAGTAGGTTTTTAAGAATTATCATCATATGATCGTCACCACCATCCAAAGAGGTAGTTCCTACTCTATTACCATTACAGATGAGAAAACTGAGGGACAGTGATGATAAGTTAGATTTGAACCCAGGAAATTTGGCCCTAGGGTATATGCTCTTTAATCACTGCACAATAATACCTTTATATTAGGGTCTTAGGTAATATCTTTCTTCTTCTCTAGCTTGAGAAATTTTTTTCCTACAATTATAATGAGTGAAGGGTTTTTTTTTTTAAACTAGTTTTTCCACACACCAAAGCTCATCTTTTCACTTCTTTAATAAGTGGGCTTTTGGCTTTACTTTTCTATGACAGTAAGTTAGACAGCAACTTTTAGCCACCCCCCACACAATGATGTATTTTAAAATAATTGTAGAAATTGGAAAACAAACTCAATTTCTATGTTAACCAGAATCCTCTTCTAATATCCCTGTTCCTCTCATGCCCTTGTTCCCACGTTTCCTTGTCATTACAGCTTCCCTTCCCTGACTATTAGTAACATGTTTGGGATTTTACAGTGGATTTAAAAATGTGAGAGCTAACTGTGGAGAGGAAGGGGCCAGCCCCTAACCTGGCCTGGCCTTCTATTGAGAATGGCAGTCTGTTCCACTTGGCCTTGTTCTCATTTTGGCCATATGTCTCATAGCTCTGATCCTGGATGTCCACCTGCAGTTGCTTGCTGTCTGTAAAGTTGATACTCAGAGAGAGACAGAAAGGGTGTTACAAAGTCTCTGATTTTTCTGGAAATACCCTCAATCTAACCAGAGCATGAGGAATGGCTTATCTGAACTTATGTGGGAAGAGAATCTTGATCCAGGTATCATAAAGATTTTTCTCCGTGTCTGCTATTGAAGTTTGCATCTCCACATATCTGTGACTCAGTTGAGAATAGGTAGTTTTAAGTTCCTTCAAGGCAGATAGGGTATACTATTACTTCTTTCATCCCTGATGCTGTTGGCACAGTGCTTTGCAAATGGGCGCTCTTAAAAAAGTTTAAATCGAATCCTGAGATGTTTTAACCAACAGTGATGTTACATGTTTGTAGAATCTGATATTCATTGCTGAGAGGGGAAAGACAGTTTCAGGCCTAAACCAAGGTTTTAGTCTCTATTCCTCACTACACTCGCCCTGCAAACTTTACACCTTTGTGCCTCAGTTTTTCTGTCCTTGGCAAATTGAGAGTAAAAGGCCCACTTCTACCTTTCTGGGAGTGTAGTTAGCATAAAATTAATTTTGATAGAGAATAAAGTCCGCAGTGTTTCATTTCACAGAGGAAAGATGGGCAATCATTTATCACTTTGGTGACCATGCCCCTTTGGGACCTACTATATTTCTGCAGGTGATTGGTCAGGGAGTAGGCAGTAGCTTTGGATGTCAGGAATTTCTCTGTGAGGTCTTGGAAGTTCTGTTTGCACTTTTCCAGTTCAGAGCGCAAGTACTGATTGGTTTCCAGGATGCTGATTTCTGCCCTTGGACCAAAACAAGTGGTGGCAGATACTGCCATGCTGTAGCTTGTTGAGGAAGTAGAATCAGAACCCAGACAAATAATAAATTAAAAACAAATGCATGGATTATGGTAATGGTTGCACTACTTGGGTAAATTACTAAAAATTATTCAACTGTACAATTATAATGGGTAAATTTTATAGTTTGTAAATTATACCTCAATAAAGTTTCTTTACATTAAACAAAGGATTTAAATGAGTCAAAAGAAAGCAGATCTGATTCATAACTTACTTTTGGGATAAATTTCATCAGCATCCCGCAACTCTGAGAATCCTTAGCCACAAAAACAAGACAAAGGTACCTAAGCTTAGACTCTAAGGTACTGTCTGTGGTTCAGGCTCTGATAGGAATGCCAGAGGTAAGACCCAGTGCCAGGTAATGGTCTGGAGTCACAATCAGAATTAGAAGGTGGGGGTGTCATGGAATGTTAGGATCTCTGCCTTCCAGGTGTCTAGGCCATGTGGAAACACAGGTCTCTTCTGAAGGTCACCACCAATGGAGACCACTGCCTCAACAAGTCAATCTCAGTATTTGTATACCCTTGTGACAATACCACAGGCCTATCTCTTTCTAAAATTCAACCATATTTTCATTGTTTATTATTGCAAATGCATAGAAAACATCAAGGAATACATATTTCCCCAAGTTCTATCACTGTCTTAATTACTATCATGAAGTCATTTTCTTCCTAATGAAAAATTTAACACTTTTAGATAGTCTTGGCATTCTTCTTTGGTTCTCCAGATTTTCACATCATTTATATTATAAGAAAAAAATCCTGAATATTCCTCTCAGTGTGTGAATAATTGATTTATATCGATTTAGAGGCCAGGTGCAGTGGTTCACACATGTAATCCCACCACTTTGGGAGACCAGGGTTGTTGGATCACTTGAGCTCAGGAGTTTGAGACCAACCTGGGCAGCACGACGAAACCCTGCCTCTACAAAAAAATTTAAAAAATTAGCCAGGCATAGGGCTAGGCACGGTGGCTCATGCCTGTAATTCCAGCACTTTGGGAGGCTGAGGCAGGCAGATCATGAGATCAGGAGATCGAGACCATCCTGGCTAACACGGTGAAACCTCGTCTCTACTAAAAATACAAAAAATTAGCCAGGTGTGGTGGCAGGTGCCTGTAGTCTCAGCTACTTGGGAGGCTGAGGCAGGATAATGGTGTGAACCCAGGAGGTGGAGCTTGCAGTGAGACATGATTGCTCACTGCAAGCTTGGGTCCAGGTGTGTTTTGCTGTAGTGAACCAAGATCATGCCACGGCACTCCATTCTGGATGACAAAGTGAGACCCTGTCTCAAAAAATAAAAACAAAATAAATAATAAAAGGATTTTGATCAATATCTTAATATACTTCTTGCTGCAAACCAATGTTATACTGACATCTTTTCCCCCACTGGGGAAGCATGTTAGTTTTTTGTTTTTTTGCTTTTTTTTAATAGAAAGGGTCTAGCTCTGCTGCTCAACCTGGAGTGCAATGGCATGATCACAGCTCACTGCAGCCTCAAACTCCGAGGCTTAAGTGATCCTCCTGCCTCAGCCTCCTGAATAGCTGGGACTGTAGGCACATGTCATCACACTCAGCTATTGTGTGCGTGTGTGTGTGTTTTTGTGTGTGTGTGTTTGTGTAGATGGGGTCTCACTATGTTGCCCAGGTGGGTCTCAAACTCCTGGGCCCAAGTTATTCTCACACTTTGGCCTCCCAAAGTATTGGAATTACAGGCATAAGCCACCACACCTGGCCCATGCTGGCTTTTCACTTAACTTGAGGACAAGCTTGATATTCATAACTCCTAACCCCACTCTCCTCTTCTATGTGTGGTTTGCTTAGTGTTATAATCTCTGTATACATATTTTGTGCTTGTCACTTATGATTTTCATTCTAACTCCACATGCTTTCTTTCCAATTTGTCACAATTGCTGAAATAATTTATGTATATCTCTTTAAATACATGTAGTTGCCACCTAATTTGGAATGACTTATAAACTGTTACTATTTTATGTGTTTGAAGCAGTTTTTATGGAACACTAATGATTTGCATTGGCCTGAGGATATATTCTCAGACAAAGCATGGTAAAAATCAAGTTAATGAGTCTGGTGGTTGGCGGTGATCAACAGTTTTCCTGTGCAATGGGGTTTAGTGGGATAGAAACTGAGGTTTTAAAGACAGGCATAGATAGGCAGAAGAGAAGTCATCCCCTGATGTAACTCTTCACTTCCTATGTATCAATTCCTCCCTGGTTTTTTGAGACTGAGATAGGGAGACTCTTATGGAATATCTGTCCTTTCCCTTCAGCTGCCTGACTTTCCTGGGCTACTGGCCTACACATGTGTAATCATGGTCACCTCCACATTCATGACAAACAGAAGGAAGCAGGACCAACAAACTGCATACCCTACATGCTAACCTGAAACTATAGTGTGTGATAGTATTAGTTTATGAGATATATCAGAAGTTATATGATTTTAGTCCTTTTAAATTTATTAAGATTTATTTTAAAAGCTAACATATGGTCTATTCTATAGAACATCCCGTGTGTACTTGAGAGGAAGTGTATTCTGTTTTTGTTGAGTGGAGTATTCTATAGATGTCTGGTAGGTTATGTTGTTTAAATCTTTTATTTCTTTATTGATCTTCTGTGTAGTTGCTGTATCCATTATTGAAAGTTGTGGTATTAAAGTCTCCATCTACTATTGTTAAATTGTCTATTTCTCCCTTCAATTCTGTCAGTTTTTGCTTCCTGTGTTTTGAGGCTCTATTAGATGCATGTGTATTTATAATTGTAATCTCTTCCTGATGGATTAACCCTTTTATCATTACAAAATAGCCCTCATTGTCTTCAGTAACTTTTTTTGTCTTAAAGTCTCTTGTTTATTTTGTCTGGTATTAGGATAGTTGCTACTGAAACACCAGAGGTTTGATTTAAGTCTTGCTGTTCACTGCACAGAAAGCCAATCACTGAGCCAACTAGCATTGCTAGGAAAGAAGGCTTTCATCAGGTACTACAACTTAGGAGATGGGAGATCAGTCTCAAATCCATCTTCCTGACCAATGAAAATTCAGGGTTTAGATAGCAGGGAAGAAATGGAACTACATGCAGGAAAACAGGAATTAGGGAGAGGTAAGAAAGAGGAATTGGTCAGCAGGAAGCAGGTGGTCACTTAGGCAATTTTGATGGGATAAGGGGTCTGATATTTCATTGTCCAGATGTGGTACTCTGGTAAATTTCAGTTCTTTGATACTATCTGGAGGGCCCAACGCTTGGTTTCCTGAGAAAGGAACTCAGATAATGCAAATGTAACTTTCTCAAATTTCAAGACTGAAAGGGTCAATTTCTATGTTTATTCAAAAGAAACCGTAAACATCAGTTCTATGGGACAATTGGGTTGGTTTAAAAGTCACTTCAGCTTTCTTATGGTTGCTAATTACATAATTATATTACATTGAATGGCAAAGGGATTTTGCAGATACAATTAACCTTAAAATGGGGAGATTATAAAGGTTGACTAATCTAATAACATGGGCCTTTAAAGTCTGGATCTAGAGGTCAGAGGTCAGCAAACTAGGAAGTCAGAGAGATCCAAAACGCGTTAGTGATTCAATGAGGAAGAAACTCTTCATTGCTGACTTTGAAGATGGTGAGAGTCACAAATAAATAAAGTCCTCAGTCCAACAACTTCATAATTAGTGCTACCTGCAAATATGGGCTAACAATATTTTTAAATGCATTTACAATATGTGGTGAACAGATTCACATTGTCTCTGCCTACTCTTCTCTTTTGCTTTGTCCCTGCATGCTATTATGTCTGTCTAGATGGGGGGACACAAACATCAGGGCTTTGTGCAGCCTTCTCTCCTTTCCTGGAATGCTATGGCTCTCTAGAGCCAGATAGCACTGCTGAAGGTGGCTGAGTACAGGCAACTGATGGTGTTAGAAGCCACAGGCCCTTGATTAATCCAGGCTCTAATCATCACCCACCTCATAGTCCTAAGAGTCCTCCTTATAGCTTCCTATCAGATTTATACAGATTATTACCCACAAACCTTGCTCTTCCTTGGACCCCTAAGGCCAGGGCTTCTAATATCTTCATCATTTTTGAGGTATCTAATAACTCTTCTTTCTGGAGTTTCAGTTACTTCATCCCCACTGCCGAGTGAAAAGTTACCAGATGACCAGCACAAAGTCTCATATGCAAATCAGGGCTAAACAGCGACTGGATGATATTTTGTCTAGATCAGCCATGGGTATTGTCAAATGTGACAAGAATATTATTTCTAAAAGTTCCACACTACAGAAACACACTAGAACTTACTTCCCACATTAAAAGACAACCTGGAGGAGTGGCTATTACATCTCAGGCCAAGCATTAATCTTTCCAGGATTACAACTTGGCTCCCAAAGTTGCCAAGCTATTGCTTAGACAAATTATTTAATCTCTGTTATACCAAAATTATTTCCAGGCCCCCACAATTTGCACCTGGCTGCTATACCTCTATGAAGACTAGAATTACCTATGAGTAAGAGTCCAAAATAAGCTTTCTAAATCAATTCAGACCTGTCTCACATACTTTTTGGTTTACAATTGATAACCATGAAGGAATTCTGAGTGGAGGTGCCCTGACCTTTGACAAATCTCCTATCTGTACTTGGTACCAGCTTGAGCTATTTTTATTGCTCAAACCAATAGGACAATTTGCTGAGGCCTCAGAGATCCACCCCCTCCAGAGAATCCCTGATTTCCCAAAATTTGATTGAGATCTAAGCTTTATTTTGCTGTACAACTCATTTTCTGGAGTTTTACTTGCTTCCAACAATGAAGGCAACTTTTCCTGCTTCCATGATGATGGAGAGCAGGCAATTCCTTTCTGGGGTTTCAGTTCACTTCTAACAGGGAAGGAGGGAAGGAGAGTTTGAGTTTTTTCCTGCTTCTAAGATGGTACAGAGCAGTCTTCAGCCTGGGCCCCATTCCTAGGTAAGTAACTGAACCTGTGTTTTGTCTTGGAAATTCTCCTAAATGATTAAAGTTATGATTAACAACCAGGCTGAGGCAAGAGAATGGCGTGAACCCGGGAGGTGGAGTTTGCTGTGAGCCGAGATCGCGCCACTGCACTCCAGCCTGGGCAACAGAGCGAGACTCTGTCTCAAAAAAAAATAAAAAATAAAAAAATAAAAAAGATTAACAACCAACTGATTATAATTTCTTCTTACCGTTAGAGTGCTAGGCAATCATATAAATTGTGCGATCACTAATTTTCTGAACTGTTTTTTGTTTTCTGTTTGTGTTTTTATTGTTGTTTCCTTCTTTTCCCCATTGGGTTTGACCAGTTCTATCTGACTTGATCAAATCCAAAGGAAAGTTCCAAATTATGGGGACAAGACCTCTGAATTGGATAAATCTCTGCAGAAAAAATAAATAAATAAATAATAAAAATTTAAAAAGAGGGAGAGCAGGGAAAGAAAAATAAATAAATAAATAAATAAATAAATAAATAAATAAATAAGCAGCCATCACGAAAATAAAGGTTTTCATTGGGCACGGTGGCTCACGCCTGTAATCCCAGCACTTTGGGAGGCCGAGGCAGGCAAATCATGAGGTCAGGAGATGGAGACCATCCTGGCTAACATGGTGAAACCCCGTCTCTACTAAAAATACAAAAAATTAGCCGGCTGTGGTGGCGGGTGCCTGTAGTCCCAGCTACTAGGGAGGCTGAGGCAGGACAATGGCTAAACCCGGGAGGCAGAGCTTGCAGTGAGCCGAGATGTCGCCATTGCACTCCAGCCTGGGCGACAGAGCGAGACTCCATCTCAGAAAGAAAAAAAGAAAGAAAGAAAGAAAGAAAAATGAGGAAGCTACTGATAGTCCAGTATGGTATACTGTGATAGATTGAAAAAAAAAGTGGTTATATTTTGCAGCTTCTCTCATCAAGAGAGTCTATTTCTCCTCTCTTTGAATCTTGAATTGGCCATATGACTTGCTTTGGGCAAATGTTGGTGCCTTCGCAAACCTGGCAGAAGAGAGGCTTGCACATGGGAGGATTACCTGCTTTTTTCTTCACTTGAAATCCTGAGGCCATGATCTGAAGATCCCCCAAAGCTAGCCTGCTAGAGAGATCACATGAAGAAAAAGATCCATGCATCCCACTTTTTCCAACCAATCCACCTATACCCCAGATGTGTGAGGCCATCCTAGACCATCCAGCCCCAAATGAATCAGCTTGGACTAGAAGAATTTCCAAGCCAACTCACAGAATCACTAAAAATAATAAATTATTGTTATTCTTTTTTTATTTTTTAAGAGACGAGATCTCAGTCTGTAGCCCAGGCTGGAGTGCAGTGGCATGATCTCGGCTCACTGCAACCTCAGCCTCCCGGGTTCATGCCATTCTCCTGCCTCAGCCTCCCTAGTAGCTGGGACTACAGGCGCCCGGCACCACGCCTGGCTAATTTTTGTATTTTTAGTAGAGACGGGGTTTCACCGTGTTAGCCAGGATCGTCTCGATCTCCTGACCTCATGACCTGCCCGCCTTGGCCTCCCAAAGTGCTGGGATTACAGGTGTGAGCCACCGCGCCCAGCCAATTATTGCTATTCTAAGTCAATAAGCTTGGGATGGTTTATTATACAGCAGAAGTGTATCAAAAGGGTGATGGTAGTTGCAGGAAATAAATATATACCTTTAATTGTATATGCATAAACATCTTTGGAATGATACCTCCAAAATACAAATTCCCATATTGAAAGAGCACACTGAGTACCCAGCATGGTGGATGGAAATAGATCATGAAGTTTCAAACTAATAGGAAGAGGTAGAAGATTCTATAGGCTTTTGGGAGGGGAGATGGGAGAAAAGTTTAAGGCAAATAACAAAGAATCAGAACGGCATCCATCTTCTCTATGGTGCTGATGTGCTCCAGTGTGTAACCATCAGGAACAAACCTATAGTCAAACCTGAGTATATTGGCTCATTGCAACAGAGGAGACAGCAAACACTATGGGGAAATTGTGGGACAATTCTTCCTTTGGGAATCTCGATATTTTTATCTAGAAAGTGAGAGAAATGGTTGCAAGACTAAACACATAATTGGTAAAGAATCAACAGTCAACACAAAAGTTAGCCAAGCATGGTTGGGCATGCCTGTAATCCCAGCTACTTGAGAGGCTGAGGGAGGAGAATCACTTGAACGCAGGAGGTGGAGGTTGCAGTGAGCTGAGATGACGGCCCTGCACTCCAGCCTGGGCAACAGAGACTGTCTCAAAAAAAAAAAAAAAAAAAAATGGCCTGGTGCAGTGGCTCATGCCTATAATCCCAACACTTTGGGAAGCTGAGCGGGGCGGGGGCGGATCACAAGGTCAGGAGTTCCAGACCAGCCTGGCCAATATGGTGAAACCCAGTCTCTACTAAAAGTACAAAAATTAGCTGGGTGTGGTGGCAGGTGCCTGTAGTCTCAGCTACTCGGAAGGTTGAGGCAGGAGAATCACTTGAACCCAGGAGGCAGAGGTTGCAGTGAGCTGAGATTGTGCCACTGCACTCCAGCCTGGTGACAGAGCAAGACTCCATCACAAAAAAATAAAAAATAAAATAATTAACCGTCACTATTAGTAGCTGGGATGTTTGATCATATTATGGTTTGAACAGTGTTCTTTTTATGCTCAAATATGATTGTGAAATAGTATTTCTTTCAGTTTAGTGAGGGGGTAACTTTGTCTGATATTGGTGTTGTGAAATTTTTAGTTTTAACCATACAACACCATGGCCTAGGTGTTTGTCAGACCAGCTCTAGCTCAGAGCAGAAAAGGCTTACCTTTCTCTTTCTCAGAAATGACTATGGAAAGCAGTAAACAACAAGGGCCGGGAGCTCTTGTTGTGGCTCAGGCCTGTAATCCCAGCACTTTGCAAAGCCAAGGGAGGCGGATCACTTGAGGTCAGGAGTTTGAAACTGTAGCAGGAGTCATAGACAAAATCCCTCAGACACCGGATTGTGGAAGGTAAGAGCTTTTTTCAGCTGGGAGCATCGGTAGACTCACATCCTAGAAACCGAGCTCCCCAAACAAGTAATTCTTGTCCCTTTTAAGGGCCCACAACTCTAAAGGGGCTGCATGGGGGGGGGGTCATGATCAACTGAGCAAGCGAGGGGTACGTGACTGGGGGCTGCATGTACTGGTAATCAGAATGAAACAGGACAGAAAAGGGAATTTCATAATGCTTTTTTATACAATGTCTGGAATTTACAGACAGCACAATTGGTGAGGTCAGCAGTTGAATTTTAACAACCAGGCCTGAAATGTGGCACCCAGTTGTCTGAGCGTGATTTTCACTTCTGCCCATTCTTTCAACCTCCACTTTTTCAGCAAACAAGAAATTAAGTGTAAGACAATATGAGGAGTGGTCGCTCTCAAAACCAGCTTGGCCAACATGGTGAAACCCCATCTCTACTAAAAATAAAAAAATTAGCCGGGCATGGTGGCAGGCACCTGTAGTCCCAGCTACTGGGGAGGCTGAGGCAGGAGAATCGCTTGAACCTGGGAGGTGGAGATTGCAGTGAGCCAAGATCCCACCACCACACTCCAGCCTGGGTGACAGAGCGAGGCGAGACTGTCACAAAAAAAAAAAAAGCAGTGCCTTCAAAAATCTCAGAGAGAAATTATTTCCACCTATCTTTTTGTATCTCTATCTAGTAAAATATCAATTAACTTTATGGGTATAAAAGACATTTTCAGACATGCAGTGTCTCAAAAAGTTTATTTCTAAGGTAACCACTTTATAGGAGGTCTTGAAGGATATGCATCATCAAAAGGAAGAAGTGAGTGAGGAATGCACCCCCTTGAGATCCATGAAGCAGGGGATCTAACAAGAGAGAGGTCATGGAAATCCCAAGATGGTGCAGTAAAGAGAGATATTATGATAACAGCTGTGAGATAAGCCTGAAGAGCAAGTCATCCAGAATGGAACATATAGAAATGTGCCAGGAAAAATTTCTTTCTTTCTTTTTTCTTTTTTATTTATTTTTATTTTTTGAGAAGGAGTCTCGCTCTTTTGCCCAGGCTGGAGTGCAATGGCATGATCTCGGCTCACTGCAACCTCTGCCTCCCGGGTTCAAGTGATTCTCCTGCCTCAGCTTCCCGAGTAGCTGGGATTACAGGTGCCTGCCAGCCTCAGCTTCCCAAGTAGCTGGGAGTACAGGCGCCCGCCACCATGCCTGACTAATTTTTATATTTTTATTAAAGACGGAGTTTCACCACCCTGGCCAGGCTGGTCTCGAACTCCTGACCTCAGGTGATCCACCTGCCTGGGCCTCTCAAAGTGCTGGGATTACAGGCGTGAGCCACCGCGCCTGGCTGCTCTTTTTTATAGACGAAGAAATTGAGGTACAGAAAATCCAGTAAGGTTTTAAAAGTCACGTCATGAATGAACCAAGATTTCAACCCAGAAATTGAGGCTTCACCACAAGTGAAGACTGGGGTTTTCTTGTTTTCAATTATTGGGAGTTTTGGATTTCCAGGAATGTGCAATTGTAAAAACCCAGCTTCAGGAGGTGATGAAATAGGTGCAGTGGCTCTGGTGTAAGCTCTGAAGCCCCAGGCTCAGGCTCTATTGAAAAATTACTTTTGCTGAAATATTCCTGTTTTTAGGAACTTCCATGGAACTTGAGCCTTCACGCAGCATATTTTGGCATCTGATTCAAAGCTAATAGAGGTCCGGAGGATTCCCAGGATTAAAGTCTTTAAACAGAAAGTGTGAATCTTGCCTAAGCAAAAGGTGCCATCCCTGGATGGGCTTGCACCACCAACCTTTCAGTTAACAGTCAAACGCGCTAACCGATTGCGCCACAGAGACTCCAATGGCTTGTGTCTTAAACTCATTTGCTGATACCAGAAATGGCTTTTTAACCTCTGGCTGCAGATAATCTCATGTATTTGATGCCTGTCCAATCCCGCGCACTCCAGAAACCCATAATACGGGAGACAATGAAGCCAAGAGTCGAGTCTTTGGGCACTTTGGACGTTCTACTCTGGCAGAGTCAGCTGGGGGACTCCAACGGCCAAAGGTCCACCTGCTCCTCACCGTCTGCTCTTCACTGCTTCCTCCGCCTGCTCTTCACCGTCTCAAAAGTCGCCGGCCCCTCTACAGGCGACAACTGCAGCTTCTCAGGCGAAAGTCACTCTCTTTCCCATTCTTAGCCCCGCTCACACCTTGCACTCACAGTCATTTCTGCCAGGCCTGGGCCAGCAGACGCGCGCGTGGGAAGGACCAGAACCCGTGGTGTCCTCACTGCGTCCCCCTCGGGTCCTCAGAGGTGGGATCCACAGGAAAGGGACCTGGAGTTTGCACAGGCTGCAGCCCTTCGCCCAGAGCCACCCTAGCACCTAGTAGGTGCCCAATAAATGCTCGGTGAAGGAAGGCATTCCACCGCAGGGTTTTAGGAGAACCATGAATTCCCAGGTGAAAATTAAGGGTTTAGTCCTACTAAGAAGTCTGGAATATAGAGACCTGAACTGTTTCTCAAAGGCAGCTGTTCTTGTATCCCCAGAGCCGGTTTAGAATCCAGCAAAGGCCCCTGCCCAGTGGATCCCACCTCTGGAGACCCGAGGATAGTGCGGTGGGGGGCACCGCGGGTTCTGGTCTTTCCCACGCTCACGTCCACCGGCCCAGGCCCAAAGGAAATGGCTGTGAGAGCAAGATGTAAAGATAGTTACAAATACCAGCTAGGGCCAGTGACAGTTGCAGAAATGAGGACTTGTAATAGTTAGGAGTATTTCTTCATTATTTTGAGATGAATACATTTGGTTATATGTTAACCAATACTTTTCTTGAGAATTCTCGTCTTCCATCATCCTCGCTATCATATTCATTAATAATTAACTTTTAGAAATCTCAATATTTAGGTTACAGGATAGCAAATATGGAATGTGATCTAGCTAAAAAAGGAGTGAACATCATTCAAAGACAAATAAAAGACTTTATCCTGTTGGGGAAAGGGTTGGCATATTTTCACTGAATGAGAAAAAGTATGATTTTCCTATTGTCTTTATCTGAACCTTAAGTATGGCTTTACAAGGAGGAAAAAGGAGGAAGAAGAGAAAGAAGAGGATGAGGAAGAGGAAGAAAAAAGGAGGAGGAGGAAGGTGCACATTGATGCCACTTTGAGAAGAAGTGGACTGTGGTGGATTTGTAATGTATCAGTTTTGCCAAGCTGAATGCACATTTCCCAGATTTGCCATCTTTAGATAGCTCTAGGTTAGCCTGGGCAACAGGAGACACTTGGAAGATAGAATTCGAGTGGCTGTTACACGCTTTTGTATACTGGGAAGGGCGTTGTTACAGCTCAGGCATGATCTTCATCTTCCCTGACCCTTGGACTGGTGGGTGTTTTGCTTCTTGATCTAACATTAAGGTTAGAAGTTGCAGGATTCCAGCAGGGTTTTGTCACATCCAATCTGGTTTAAGTTCCCATATTATTAGGAAAGCTTTAGGGTGCTTCAGGAAAACGCTTTTTAAAAAATCAAATTTGGAAAATATCAAATGGAATTACAGGCAATAAGCATAACCCAGTGGAAACATGAATCAAACCCTCTAGAGCAGGGTTGTCTAAATTTTGGCTTCCTTGGGCCACACTGGGAAAAAAAAAAAAGACACTTGTCTTGGGCCCAGCATAATATACACTAACTGCAACTGAACCGTGCGTGTAAAGCTTGTAAACAAAATCTGTCTGTAAAGTCTGTAAACAGGCCAGGCGCGGTGGCTCAGGCCTGTAATCCCAACATTTTGGGTGGCCGAGGCGGGCGGATAACTTGAGGTCAGGAGTTTAAGACCAGCCTGGCCAACATGGTAAAACCCTGTCTCTACCAAAAATTCAAAAAATTAGCCGGGCCTAATTTTTTAGTGGCCTGCGCTTGTAATCTCAGTTACCTAGGAGATCGAGTATTCTCTGGCTGAGGCAGGAGAATAGCTTGAAGGCAGGAGGCAGAGGTTGCAGTAAGCCATGCACTCCAGTGAACTGTTTGCTGTTAATAAATGTTTACAGTGGGCTCCCATAGGGAAAAGAAAAGCTTAGTTTTATTTCTATAGAACAAAAAAAAAAGTTAAGAGATTAGTAGAGACGGGTCCACCATATTTGACCACACTGACATCAAACTCCAGAGCTCGAGCGGTATTAACATAAAGTTATCAATGCATCTCACAGACTACTGAGATTACAAGCGTGAGAACCAACCACTACCTGACAAAATCTTTACTTTGAAAGTAAGTGACAGATGGGAACAAAGACCTGTTTATTAGTTTATACTAACGCGTTGTATATGCTTCCACAGCAAACAAAATCCACTTTTAAAACGACAGCAATCCAGGGGAAAGCACAAACAGTTCCCCACTGCCACAAATTATGTAGTCGAGATTCCCTCATTTGGGGAAATCACAGGGGTCAGCACATCCAGAGTAAAATTGCTAAGCCTTGCCCTGGAAAAACCACCTTCGTGATCATAACATTTCTTCTGCCAGATAAATATAAGTATAAGCTCACACCCCTCCGCCCCGCCGCAGCCTCATATTCCTCACCCTTTACACGCAAGGTCACTTGCGTCACGCGCATCCCGGAGCCATCCTAGCCCTAACACACAGCTGCGACTCTCCGGTCCGACCAGCGGTCCCAGACTTGCTCCCACGGCACGGGAACTCTTTCGTGGCAAAGCAGCAGCCCCTGCGCTGCCTCATCTACATAGAAATCGCCCTCTCCGTGATGTCACCGACAACGCCTTCCGGATCCCCGTCTGCTCTTCCGCCTCACCCAACGCCCCTCAGCGGACCTACCCGCTGTCGGAGCCGGCGGGGGAAGTGACTTATGCCTGTCCCTTCTTTCCCTCCTGTCCCCGCCCCTCGTCTGCCGCAATGAAGCGGGTACTTAATCTGTGTCCTGTGGAGGTCCCACTTGGCAGCCAGCTGGAAGCCCGTGCACCCTTCTTCAAATAATGGCTTTCAATGAGCAGACTAGGACGTTTAGGATTACAAAGGAAACCGATTCCTTTCAAACCTGGTTATCTTTATGATGTGGCACTGTGTGCATATCTTCGTTAAAACGCATTGAAGGCCACTGCACTCCACCCTGGGCGACAAGAGGTGACTGTGTCTCAAAAAAACCAAAAACACTCCCCCCTCACCCCAAAGCATTAGACGTCAAGGCTGGCAGGGATGTCTGTTCTCTTGAAAGTTCAATATCAAAATACTTGGAAATTAAACTAAAATAGTAGAAGCAAGAACAAAAATTAAGTTGAAGATAATGTCAAGAATATTTCCCACAAACCAAAATAATAATGTAAAAACAGGAGAGAAAAGTTCAGGAAGGTAGATGTCCAAGGTCCATACGATTAGCATGCGTATCAGAAAGAGGATAGAAAAAAATCAGTACAATAATTCAAAACACTTTCCATACCAATGGATTGAAACTACAGTGAATTTAAAGTATTGAATTGATATTGAACTTTCAAGAGAACAGACATCCCTGCCAGCCTTGACGTCTAATGCTTTGGGGTGAGGGGGGAGTGTTTTTGGTTTTTTTGAGACACAGTCACCTCTTGTCACCCAGGGTGGAGTGCAGTGGCCTTTAATGCATTTTAAGGAAGATATGCAAACAGTGCCACATCACAAAGATAATCAGGTTTGAAAGGAATCGGTTTCCTTTGCAATCCTAAACGTCCTAGTCTGCTCATTGAAAGCCATTATTTGAAGAAGGGTGCACGGGCTTCCAGCTGGCTGCCAAAGGGGACCTCCACAGGACACAGATTAAGTACCCGCTTCATTGCGGGAGACGAGGGGCGGGGACAGGAGGGAAAGAAGAGAGAGGCATAAGTCACTTCCCCGCTGGCTCTGGCAGAGGTTTGGTCCCCTGAGTGCTCCTTTCTTGTAAGCAGTTCTTGTTTCATATTTTCACTATCTCTGACACTGTTAACTGTACGATTTTTTTTCTTCTGTACACAAAAAAAAGTTTGTTTCAATAGTGAACTATGAGCCAGGGTGGTGGCTTATGCCTATAATCCCAGCACTTTGGGAGGCCAAGGCGGGCAGATCACCTGAGGTTAGGAGTTCAAGATCAGTCTGGCCAACATAGTGAAACCCTGTCTCTACTAAAAATACAAAAATTAGCCAGATGTGGTGGTGGGCACCTGTAATCCCAGCTATTTGGGAGGCTGAGGCAGCAGAATTGCTTGAACACAGGAGGCGGTGGTTGCAGTGAGCTGAGATTGCGCCACTGCACTCCAGACTGGGCAACAGAGCAAGACTCCATCTCAAAAAAAAAAAAAAAAAAAAAGTGAAGTATGTACCTTCTACAGTATACTCTTCCAACTTAACAGATTCTGTCATTGACATACGATGTTGCATCAATACTTGTGTAAGGGGTTTAACACTACTACTATATATAATAGATGTAATATATTTTATATATATATGTATATATATATATATAACACTAAGGTTTATTAAAACAACTCTCAGTAAACAGATGCCCCTGATGTTCCAACAAAATAACCTACTATTATTAGAAACCAAATAAACTCCTCCTCCTATGAGAAAGAAAGTAAACAACTTCTGGCTTGGCGCGGTGGCTCACGCCTGTAATCCCAGCACTTTGGGAGGCTGAAGCAGGTGCTCATGATCACCTGAGTTTAGGAGTTCAAGACCAGCCTGGCCAACATGGTGAAACCCTGTCTCTATTAAAAATACAAAAATTACAGCGCGCCTATAATCTCAGCTACTCGGGAGGCTGAGGCAGGAGAATCGCTTGAACCTGGGGGGCAGAGGTTGCAGTGAGCCGAGATCACCCCACTGCACTGCAGCCTGGGCAACAGAGCAAAACTCCATCTGAAAAAAAAAAGTAAACAATTCTGGAACAGTTTGAAAAAGCAATTTAAGTGAAAATGACACCAAAAAGGGTAAAAAGAAAAAGGAGGGAATAGTAGGAAATAACCTATATGTGATTATCTATTTTCAATTCTAAGTGGCTTGGTATAGGTTTAGGCAGGCTACCTGGAAAGAAAGAAATAAAGAAGCAGAATGTACTGAGCCACCCCCTCCACCTTCCTTCTTTCCCTTTCACCCAGTGGCCAGGCATCTATCGGTGGGGGCCCCCTCATCTACCCCTTCCCCACTCCACAAAGAAATTTAGTTTAAGCTAGCTTGCAACATAGATAATTGTACCCTTTCTTATCAGCTAAGTGCAGCCACTAGAGCCGTAAGTCAAATGTTTGAAAAATCCTGAGAGTCATAATGCATCGTGTGCTGCAATAAAATGCAGCAGAAAGACCCTAAAGAATGTACTTGAAGAACAATCAATAGGTGATGTCTAGGAAGATTGTGGAAGGCTAGTACTCAGCCTATGAGGAACTGAGGGAGGGACCTGTGCACTAGGGCGTAAATTGCTTGTTGAAACTGTGCTGGGTGTGCCTGCATGCCAGACACCCGATCTTGCAAGACCGTCATTAAAAGTCTCACTTTCGCTGTTCTCTGGGTCTCTGAGTTCATTGTTTGGGTTTAGACAGGTGAATTTGTTTCTCACAAATTTGATTGGATTGAAGGATGAAAGTATTGATCCTGGGCGTATCTGTGAGGGTGTTGCCAAAGGAGATTAACATTTGAGTCAATGGGCTGGGGAAAGCAGACCCACCCTAAATCTGGTGGGCACAATATAATCCACTGCCCATGAATATAAAGCAGGCAGAAAATCATGAAAAGGCCAGACTGGCCTATCCTGCCAGCCTACGTCTTTCTCCTGTGCTGGATGCTTCCTGCCCTGGAACATCAGACTCCAAGTTCTTCAGTTTTGAGACTTGAACTGACTTTCCTGCTCCTTAAGCTTGCAGACAGCCTATTGCAGGACATTGTGATTGTGTAAGTTAATACTTAATAAACTCCTGGCCAGGTGTGGTGGTTCACACCTGTAATCCCAGCTCTCAGAGACGCAGAGGCGGGAGGATAGCTTGAGCCCAGGAGTTGGAGACCTGCCTGGGCAATATAACAAGACCCTGTTTTCCACAAAAAGTAAGAAAAAAAAAGACAAAAAAAGTAAGTGTAATACTTAATAAACTACTTTGTATATCTATCCTATTAATTCTGTCTGTCTAGAGAACCCTGACTAATACAGAGTCACATAAAAATATGAGCCTCAGGCCGGGCACAGTGGGTCACACCTGTAATCCCAGCACTTCGGGAGGCCAAAGCGGGTGGATCCTGATCACCTGAGGTTAGGAGTTCGAGACCAGCCTGACCAACATGGAGAAACCCCATCTCTACTAAAAATACACAATTAACCAGTTGTGGTGGCACATGCCTGTAATCCCAGCTACTCGGAAGGCTGAGGCAGGAGAATCACTTGAACCTGGGAGGCAGAGGTTGCGGTGAGCTGAGATCACGCCATTGCACTCCAGCCTGGGCAACAAAAGCAAAACTTTGTCTCAAAAAAAAAAAAAAAAGCCTCAAAGAAGGCCGTATGGTTGAAGTTTATGTGCAGCACAAAAAGGACTAACTAGGCTTGGAGTTCTTAGGGGGTGGTGGCCACAGGTTATGGGAGGTTGAGGGGAGGAAAGACATGGTGAGCAAAGGCTGTGTTGTGATGCAGATGTGATGCAGATGAAGTCTCTCAAGAAGTAGCCCTCCACCAGATGTGGTGGCTCATGCCTGTAATCCCAGCACTTTGGGAGGCTGAGGTGGGCAGATTATTTGAGGTCAGGAGTTCAAGACCAGCCTGGCCAACATGGCAAACCCCATCTCTACTAAAAATACAGGCCGGGCTCGGTGGCTCATGCCTATAATCCCAGCACTTTGGGAGGCAAAGGCAGGTGGATCATGAGGTCAAGAGATCGAGACCATCCTGGCTAACACAGTGAAACCCCGTCTCTACTAAAAATACAAAAAAATTAGCCAGGCGTGGTGGCGGGCACCTGTAGTCCCAGCTACTAGGGAGGCTGAGGCAGGAGAATGGCATGAACCTGGGAGGCAGAGCTTGCAGTGAGCTGAGATGGCACCACTGCACTCCAGCCTGGGTGAAAGAACAAGACTCTGTCTAAAATAAATAAATAAATAAATAAATAAATAAATAAATAAATATATAAATAATAAATTAATTAATTAACCTGGTGTGGTGGTGGGCACCTGTAATCCCAGCTGCTCGGGAGGCTGAGGCATGAGAATGGCTTGAACCTGGGAGGCAGAGGTTGCAGTGAGCCAAGATTGCACCACTGCACACTCCAGCCTGGGTGTCAGAGTAAGACCCCGTTTCAAAAAAAAAAAGTTTCTCTGTCAGACGTTTAAAAGCATGAGATCTTTTGTTTCCTTTTCCTGTGAGTTAATCTTACCTGGATCCGGATAAAGCAGATAAGAAGGTCTCAGAGAAAGCCATTTGCAGTTGATGTTTACTTCCTCTACACATGCTAATCTCCCTGACAAAAGGACAGCTTTTCATAGGTATTTCTGTGACTGTGTTACCTATTGCACTGCCTACATGACTTACCTGGACCCCTACCCAGATGTTGTTGGCCATTGCAGTGCATATGTGTCATGGCTGAATTCTTACTCACCTTTAACTCTGCTTATTTTTAAGAAACAGGATGTCTGTGGTCAGAAGTTTCTTCTTGGGACTAAACCAGCTGAAGCTGGTGAAATCCATGATGGCAGCTTATGCAACCTCTGAAAAACATCTAGCTTTATTATAATCCAATTTCCATGCTAAATAGCACTCCCATCAGTGCATGACAGTTGACAATCACTGTGACAATGAACGAAAGAGACCAAGAAAGGACAGAAATGAGGTGACTCCTTGATTCTAGGAAAATCTCCATCCCTTCCTAAGAAAAGCATGAATATTCCTCACCTTGCTCATTCCCTTCATTAAAGATCCTCTATATTTGTAACTTCCTGGTTCTCAGTAGCCGAGAAGGTGATTTGCAAGCTATACTACTTCTCCAATTCCATGCTATGCTCCTACTTCTCCAATGCCATTGAATAGAGCCTGCACTGCTTGACACTCACTCTTGGTTTCATACATTGGCTTTGCAATAATAAACAGGAAAGAGTCCCTTTTTGGGCTGAGACCCCTCAGTAACATCTGCAGCCCCTCTAAATAGCCATCTCAAATTATACCAAAGGAGTGTATTTTGGGGTGGCATATTTTGGGCTTCCCACATGGCTAAGCCAACATATAGCATTCTTGCTGAACGCAGGGTGATCAGACATCACCTAGCAGATGGTGAAGGATGAGGAGCCCTATTAGATATTATGAGTGATCAGCTATTGAAGATGGGGAATTCTGGCTAAATTGACTGAGAAGGATTCTTGCTGAGATTGAACAATGCAGAGAGGAACACAGAAGCTCAATAGTTGAGGCCTAGTGAGAAGAGGACTCAGAAGAGCCTGATTAGAGTTTGGCCAAGGAGATGTCAACCTGAAATAAATGAAAGGTTCAGAATTCAGTGTTAAAATGTTTATTCATTCTGCTTGTGGGAACTAATGGTAAAAATTAAAAAAGAGTTTATTCAAACAAAAATCTGGGAATAGCCAATCAGGGCACACAGACTCCAGAGAAATGGGGTCAGTGCTGCAAAGTCAAAAGTGAAGTTCTTGCTTACATAGAAAGAAAAAAAAATTAATAGGATCACAACATTTTCTATATAAGGCTGCTTTAAGAGTTACAACAAATTAATTAGTTGCAGAATTTTTTGTTTTTTTGTGTTTTTTTTTTTTTTTGTTGTTGTTGTTCTGAGATGGAGTCTCACTCTGTTGCTAAGGCTGGAGTGCAATGGCATGATCTTGGCTCACTGCAACCTCTGCCTCTTGGTTTCAAGTGATTCTCCTGTCTCAGCCTCCTGAATATCTGGGATTACAGGTGCCCACCACCATGCCCAGGTAATTTTTTGTATTTTTACTAGAGATGGGATTTTACCATGTGAACCAGGCTGGTCTCAAACTCCTGACCTCAAGTGATCCACCCACCTCAGCCTCCCAAAGTGCTGGGATTACAGGCATGAGCCCCACTGTGCCCAACCTTTTTCTCTTTCCATACTACTTGTTTTCTTTCTTTATAGCTGGCTCACATTTCCTTTCCAATTTAAAGGAGTGTATTTAACATTGCATCTTAAGACAATGCAATAGCCATGAAGTCTTTATGAGAGCAAGGTAAGAAGGAAGTTAATCTATAATGAAAGTCAGCAGTGAAGAGGGAAGCAATCTTCCCTGGCACCCTTCAATAATTTATATGACATGTTAGAAAACAATGCGTGTGGCTGGGTGCAGTGGCTCATGCCTGTAATCCCAGCACTTTGGGAGGCTGAGGCAGGTGGATCATGAGGTCAGGAGATGGAGACCATCCTGGCTAACATGGTGAAACCCCGTCTCTACTAAAATACAAAAAATTACCTGGGCATGGTGGTGTGCGCCTATAGTCCCAGCTACTCGGGAGGCTGAGGCAAGAGAATGGCATGAACCCAGGAGGCTAAGGTTGCAGTGAGCCGAGATCATGCCACTGCACTCCAGCCTGGCCCACAGAGCAAGACTCCATCTCAAAAAAAAAAAAAAAAAATGTATGTAAGGAAGAAGGCCAATCTATAATCAGAGAAACAAAGGTTAAAACTGCCTAGTTTACAGGTGCCTCTCATGTGACTTAGGCTCCATACCCACATTTTCTTTTTTCTTTTTTTTTTTTTTTTTGAGACAGAGTTTTACTCTTGTTGCCCAGGCTGGAGTGCAATGGTGCGATCTCAGCTCACTGCAACTTCTGCCTCCCAGGTTCAAGTGATTCTCCTGCCTCAGCCTCCCGAGTAGCTGGGATTACAGGCATGCGCCACCACACCCGGTTAATTTTGTATTTTTAGTAGGGATGGGCTTTCTCCATGTTAGTCAGGCTGGTCTCAAACTCCTGATCTCACGTGATCTGCCTGCCTTGGGCCTCCCAAAGTACTGGGATTACAGGTGTGAGCCATGGTGCCTG
The DNA here is from genome assembly GCF_000001405.40 of Homo sapiens. Classification (NCBI taxonomy): domain Eukaryota; kingdom Metazoa; phylum Chordata; class Mammalia; order Primates; family Hominidae; genus Homo; species Homo sapiens. The sequence goes on along the minus strand of NC_000001.11, from coordinate 148,395,251 downwards.
GCCCATACTCAGATTTTTTAAAGGCTCAAAGTAATTTGGAATTCCAACAACTTACATTTTAAATTACTTATTTTCACAGAAAGAATCTTTGTCAGTTGTCACTCACTTATTTCTCCAAAGACTATAGTCCTGTCCAGTGATCCTCTCCAAGACAATAGCTCTCTCTAGTAACTATAGTTTTCCTTTCCCATTTCAATTTCCACTCCAATTGACTGAATTGTGAACACCAACTCCCACACTTAAATGTTGAAGCCCTAACCCCCAGTGTGATGGTTTATGCAGCTGGGGCCTCTGAGAGGTAATCAGGTTTAAAAGAGGTTATGAGAGTGGGGTCCTTATGCTGAGATTAATGCCATTATAAGAAGAGACACTAGAAAGCTTGCTCATCCGCCTTCCCCATGGTGCACAAAGAAATGGTCACATGGGCACACAGTGAAACTACAGCCACTTACAGGCTGTAGGAAGAGATCTTAGAAAGAAATCCGCTTTGCTAGCACCTTTATCTTGGACTTCCCAACTTCTAGAAGTGTGAGAAACACATTTCTATAGTTTAGGCCACTTGGTATATGGTATTTTGTTATGGCAACCTGAACAGACTTATACAACAATTCAGTCCTAGAGGCAATACAACTTCTCTGATGATTCCAGATTCTGAGTGCCTCTCAGTCCTTTCTTGCGTTATTTTGATCCTGTCCATATATTTATAAATATTCTCTTCATAAAACTCTCTGTAGGCCGGGTGCAGTGGCGCATGCCTGCAATCCCAGCACTTTGGGAGGCCGAGGCAGGCAGATCATGAGGTCAAGAGATCGAGACCATCCTGGCCAACACAGTGAAACCCCGTCTCTACTAAAAATACAAAAAATTAGCCAGGTGTGGTGGCGGGCGCCTGTAGTCCCAGCTACTCCGGAGGCTGAGGCAGGAGAATGGCGTGAACCCAGGAGTCGGAGCTTGCAGTGAGCCGAGATCATGCCACTGCACTCCAGCCTGGGGGACAGAGCGAGACTCCATCTCAAAAAAAAAAAAAACTCTCTTTAAATCACACATTCGAGTGTGCCCTTTGTTTCTCATCAAAGCCAAGACTGATTTGAGATGATTTCTTAAGGTCAGGTTAATGTCTTAATCCAGTTGTGCTGCTATAACAAAATACCACAGAGTGAGTAACTTATAAACAACAAAAATTTATTGCTCACAGTTATGGAGGATGGTCAGTCTAAGATCAAGTTGCCAGCAGGTTCAGTGTCTAGTGAAGGCCCATTCCTCTGTCACCCAGGCTGAAGTGCAGTGTTGCAAGCTTGGGTCACTGCAACCTTCACCTCCCAGGCTCAAGTAATCCTCCCACCTCAGCCTCCTGGGTAGCTGGGACTACAGGCACCCGCCACCACGTCGGGCTAATTTTTTGTATTTTTAGTAGAGATGGGGTTTTACCGTGTTAGCCAGGATGGTCTCGATTTCCTGATCTCGTGATCCGCCCGCCTCGGCCTCGCAAAGTGCTGGGATTACAGGCGTGAGCCACCGCACCCGGCCAAAAAAGCCTAATTCTTACCAGATGGTACCGTGCAGTTCCAGACTGTTGGTGTCCCAAAGAAGTGTACATGACACACACAAAGCAGCAAAGCAAAGCAAAAGTTTATTAAGCACAGTAACACTCTCGGAGTGGGGAGAGTGGGCTGACCTCTGGGAGATGAGATCAGTATTAGTTTGGTGTACATTGGGTCTTTTGATGTGTGGTTTTTTTTCTTCACAAGGATGCCTAATCTTTTTTTTTTTTTTTTGAGACAGAGTCTTGCTCTGTCACCCAGGCTGGAGTGCAGTGGCACAATCCTGGCTCACCGCAAGCTCTGCCTACCGGGTTCAAACCATTCTCCTGCGTCAGCCTCCCCAGCAGCTGGGACTACAGGCGCCCGCCACCACGCCCGGCTAATTTTTTTGTATTTTTAGTAGAGACGGGGTTTCACCGTGTTAGCCAGGGTGGTCTCGATCTCCTGACCTCATGATCTGCCCACCTCAGCCTTGCAAAGTGCTGGGATTACAGGCCTGAGCCACCGTGCCAGGCCAAGAATGCCTAATCTTTAGCCAGGGTTTGCCATTTGATTGATAGGTGGGTTGCTTAGTTACTTTGGCCCTTGTGTGCTTGAATGTTGCCTCTATCCCATAATTTTAAGTACATGCATGATATGCAGTCCATATGCATGAGCTTTAATGAGCTGATTATCATATGAAGTCATGTTAAGGATACTTTTTCTCTCTAATGCACATGCCTATCTCTGAAGAGCTGCCCCTTTATTGGTTTGGATCTTGCTGGCCATGGGGTCCTTGCTTGCTTGTTTTATTTTTTTTTTTTAAGACAGGGTCTTGCTCTGTTGCCCAGTCTTGAGTGCAGTGGCATGATCTTGGCTCACTGCAACCTCTGCCTCCTGGGTTCAAGCAATTCTCCTGTCTCAGCCTCCTGAGTAGCTGGGAGCACAGGAGTGCACCACCATGCCCAGCTATTTTTTTCTTTTTGTATTTTTAGTAGAGAAGGGGTTTCACTATGTTGGTCAGGCTGGTCTCGAACTCCTGACCTCAGGCGATCCACCTGCCTTGGCCTCCCAAACTGCTGGCATTACAGATGTGAGCAGCTGCACCTGGCCTTGCTTGCTTTTTTTAATCTTACTTTTTGTTTTGGTTGCTTAGTTTATGCCTTTTATCTTGCTTCTTGCTCTCCCACCCCATCACCTTACTTCTGTTTCTGCTTTTACTCATTCTGCCTTTTATCCAACTTCCAACTCCCTCTGCTGTTCTCCTGCCTCATAACCGCGGTTAGTGAGGGAGGGGTTTTAAGGGGGCATGTCCAGCCTTCTATCCTGCCACAGCCAGAAACAGCTTTCAAGGTTTCTCTGCGGTCCTGTCAGCCAAGAGGGAGTCTGTTCAGTTGGCTGTAGGGCCTAGGGCTTATTTTTATTTCTCAATCCTGACAAGGGAAGGCTAGATTAATGCAGATTCTCTGTAGGTGTAAATTTCCCCTATAAAAGACAGTTTTGCAGAGTTACTTCTGTTGCTGGCTCTCTGACGGCCATCTTAAAATATGCCAAAGAAATATATTCTGGGGTAAAATATTTTGATTTTTTCATCTATCTAGCTTCATCATGCTGACAGCCTCCAGTTGAAGCATACCTGAAGCCTTTCTTTGTAAAAAGCTTTCCCACTTCTCTGACTGCCTTCAAGTCTCTGCCAAAACACAAGTAACAGTGGCTGACTCCCTGCTATAGCAAGCTCAGAATAAATAGCCTTTACTTTTTTTCATTTGGTTGGTCTTCGTTTATTTGCAGAAACTTCAATGTAGAGTTGACAAGGACTCCATCTTTGACCAAACCTTAGTCAGTTTCCTCTGAGCCCTTTTCTCTATTAGTTCTTGGCCTGCCAAGTCCAGTTTTAGAAAAGAATACTGTTGAGCCTAGTTTAGCAAGAGTCCTCCCAACCACCTTTGATAGTTAATCAAGTTCCTCTTAGTAATTTTCCATCCACTGACTTTCTTACCTTGCCGATTGGCTATAAATCTTCAACCCTTCTTGCTGTATTTGGAGTTGAGCTCGGTTCTCTGCTGGTCTCTCTTGCCTACTGTAGTACATACAATAAAATCCGCCTCATGCTTTTAACAAGTGTCAGGGTAGTCCCTCTGAAACTACTTTTGCAAAATTATGACAATCAGAGAAATCTGACATGGCTGACTCCATTTTGGTTCTAGCCTCACAGGCTAGCTGTCTTTGCTCATTCCTGCACAATTTCTCCCAAGCTATTTTTGGGAAAAATTGAGTTTATAGTTCAAATCAGGGGTCCCAAACCCCCAGGGCCACAAGACAGGTATTGGTCCATGGCCTGTTAGGAACCCAGCCAAACGGCAGGAGGTGAGCTGCAGGCTTTCGAGCATTACCACCTGAGCTCTGCCTCTTGTCAGATCAGCATCAGCATTAGATGCTCATATTAGCTTGAACCCTATTGGGAACTATGCGTGTGAGGGATCCAGATTGTGCACTCCTTATGAGACTCTAACTAATGCCTGATGACCTGAAGTGGAACGGTTTCATCCGGAAACTATCCACCACCCCCTTCCATGGAAAAACTGTCTTCCATGAAGCCAGTCCCTGGTGCCAAAAACACTGGGGACAGCCAAAAAGTTTGGTTAAAATGATAACCTTCCCCAAAGCTAAATTACCCCTGTAAAACTAATGAAAGGCCACCAAGTTAGGAGGATGAAAGGGACCTGAATTCTACTAAGATGTATGCCTCATTAAATAATCACCAGCCATTATTCCAGAGGTCACAAGATTTGCAGCTTCCCCAGTTACTGCTGTGAAGAACATCACTATTGTAGAACCTAAGATTGGCCTCTTGAGATGTCTTTTCAGGCTTTTGCATTTCTGACTACTGGATGGCACCATTTGGCCCGAAAATCAATCAGTCCCTTAGCTCCCACCCAGAAGCTGACTCAATGCAGGAGGGCCATTTTCCACACCCCTGTGATTTCATCCCCAACAATCAGCACCGCCCAAGCCCTAGCCCCCTCCCCACCAAACTGTCTTTGAAAAAACCCTTACCTCCAAGCCTTCAGTGAGATTGATTTGAGTAATAACTCTGTCCCCTACATGTCATGGCTAGCCTGTGTCAGTTAAACTCTTTACTGCAATGCCATGGTCTCCGTGAATTGATTTTGTGTGTACAGTGGGCAGGAAGAACCCATCAGGTGGTTACATCTGCAGGATGGTGCCAGTTCTTTCCACAAAGGCTGGTCAGATACCCAGAAAGTATTTCTCCACTACTACCTGGACAATGTGTCTCCCAGTCAGTCTACAGGGAATGGGGTCTGGATCAAGTATTTCACATTCAGCAGTTACTACGCTGTCACCTAATCCCTCATTTTCAATATTTTGCCATGTCTTCCAGTGGCCTAACTGGCCACCATGCCACAGAATCTTTACTTTGTGGTCTCCAAAGAAGAATTCTCCATTTGATGTTTTGTGATTTGAGCAATGGAATAGAATCTGATACTGGTGGGCTGGGGGAGGTCCCCGGACACTGGTAGGATCTCGACCCCAGCTGTGGTGTCCAGGCTCTTGACACCATCTCAAGAATGAGGTCAAGGATGAGTTAGCAAATAGTGAAAGAAGAGATTTATTGCAAAGCAGAAAGTACACACTCAAGAAAGGGGAGTTTGGGCATACCTGAGAGAGAACAATGGGTTCTGGGGTTTCATCTCAATGGGTTTCTTTAACCAAGGAGTGGAATATTGATGAAAATTCCTGGGTAAAGGTGGAGATTTCTCAGAACTGTGGTGCCATCCATTTTTACATCAAATATTGGTCTCAGAACTGTCATGGCACTGGTGGGTGTGTGATTTAGTATGTTAATAAGCGTATAATGAGGGCCTAGGTAAAACCTACGTCAAATCCAGCACCACATTGGGTCCAGTCAGTCTTAGCCAGCTTGGTCCACACCCTGGTTTTTCAGCATCTTATCAGCCCATAGCCTCAAGTCATGTAAATCTGCTGCCTAGAATTTGTTATCCTGTGACCACCCTGTATTATTCCTGTCTCAAATCTACTTGTAAATATTCAAATGGTCTTTGACTTGGGAATTCCAACTTTGCTTACTTCACAGTGTTTCCTGCATTATAATCCCATATAAGAAAAGATGATCCAGACATTTGTTAAGCATCACAAATAAGATGTATCCCAGGTATTTTTGTCAAATTTGGATTATTTTGGTTTTGTCTTTGCAGAATATAAAAAACTAACACGAGGTAAGCAATAAGGTCTGGAGATGGCTGTGCAAAAGATGACAAAGTGCAACACCACATTTGAGAGTGTCCAATCATTTCTTCTGTGGCAGCATATTTTTCCACAATACTGAATTTGGAAAAAAATAAAAATAAAAATAAAAAAAACTACAAGATTCATTAAACTTGACAACTGTTTTTATAACATTACCAGTGATAAAATCAGTAAGGAAGGCTGGTTTGCAGTCATCTGAGAAGCCTCTTTACTTTCATAAATATGGTTTCTCTGTGACATTGAACGGCTTCCAATTTCAAGCGGAATGCTACATTACAAGGATAAGTATGTGAAGAAAACCGGTTTCTTTTGTAGTCCTAAACGTTCTAGTCTGCGAAATAAAAGTCATTATGTGAAGAAGAGTACCCAGGCTCCATCTGGCCACCGAAAGTTTGCTTCACAAGATAGGCTAAGGACCAGCTTCTTTGGGCGAAAACAGATGCCGGGGCGGGAGGGAAAAAGGGAGAGGCAGACGTCACTTCCTCTTGCTGGTTCAGGCAGCGGGTTGGTCGGCTGACTGGCAGAAAGGCAGATGGGGCCTGGGAAAGGCACTGTCGGTGACATCACGGATAGGGCGACTTCTATGTAGATGAGGCAGCGCAGGAGCTGCTGCTTCCCCACCTGCTGCTTCGCCTCGAAGGAGTTCCCGAGCCTTGGGAGCGGGCTCAGGACCGCTGGTCCGGCCGGAGAGTCCCAGCTGTGTGTCAGGGCTAGGAGGGCTGGGGGGTGCGCGGGGCAAGCGACCGTGCGTGTAAAGGGTGAGGCGTACGGGGCGGAGGTGCAGGAGCTCATATTTACTTGGCAGGGGAGATAACATGATCACGAAGGTGGTTTTCCCAGGGCGAGGCTTATCCATTGCACTCCAGATGTGTTGACCCCTGCGATTTCCCCAAATGTGGGAAACTCGATTGCATAATTTGTGGTAGTGGTACTGCGTTCGCGCTTTCCCCTGATTTTTTGTAGTTTCAAGAATACGCTGTACTCTAAGGGCTACTTTTTTCTTTCATTGATTTGTGTCTTGGACGTGTTATTCTTACAGTGGAAGGCTGGGAAATAGGAATTAAGATGTCGCTTCTCCCACTGAGGAGAAATAGGGAGCGTCAGCCTTAACACAAACAAACTAGCGCGAAGGCCGTACAGCTCTTCCCTTTCTACGCAGGGCTGCTTTTTGCAGAGATTGGTCCATGGTCTCCAGTGTCTTGGGTTCTCACGCTCTGTGAAAATCTTCGTGGTTTTCTCTAGCCCCCAGAGTCACCTTTTACACAGCCCCTGCTTCTAACCGCAGCCCCCTCAGGAGTTTGTAGGATTTCTGTGCTAGCGGGGAATGTGTTCTCACCTCATAGAGCCAGGTACAAACTACGCAGACAGGCGCTGTTCTTTGGGATGAAAGCAGGGCCTTTGGGGCTCTTAGTGTCCCCGTTCATTTGCAGACATAACACGCTTACTTTGTGTAGGGGAATGGCTTTCCCGGAGCCCAGGTGCCCTAATGCAATTCGTGGAGGCCCGCAGGTCAGAACCGCAGTCTTACTTGTCTTGGCTGAAATGCGCTGCGATCCTCCCTGAAATATAAGGCAGGAAGTTTTATGAGCAGCGGGGTCCAGTTTCCCTATTATCTCCTGCTGTTTACATATCTAGTCTTTCTTCAGACTTTATTTAAATGACAACTTCTTGTTTGATGTCTCGCTTCCATATCCTACATCCATTGCCAGGCAACTTTTTAGATAGCACCCCGACCCATCCTTCCCACCCCCAAGCAGCCCTTTCCTACTTCTGGCGCCAGTGTCCTTCCCGGTCCGTCTTTCTTCAGGCCCTCCCTTATCACCTTCATGGACAGAAAATACTTAGCTCTCTTTCAACCTGCAGTTTGCACCTGACACGCGTCAGTACCCTGGCAAATTCCTTAATACCCCTTCTCAAATGGCACTGTAAATTCATCTCTTTTTAACTCCCAGAAGTATCTAATTGGTCTTGTCCCTGCATTGCATGAATACTAGTATTCCACTACAAAAGAAAACCCCAGGCCTAGAGATGGCGGTTCTGGGCATTGTGCCAGCATTTCCCAGGGTATGTTTTCTGACCTCACCTACTTCTGATCAACTGAGGTCAGGAGTTCGAGACCAGCCTGACCAACATGACGAAACTCCGTCTCTACTAAAAATACAAAAAAAAAAAAAAAAAAAAAAAAAGCAAAAAAAGCAAAAAAAGCTGGATGTGGTGGTGTGTGTCTGTAATCCTAACTACTGGGGAGGCTGAGGCAGGAAAATCGCTTGAACCCAGGAGGCAGAGGTTGCAGTGAGCTGAGATCATGCCATTGCACCTCAGCCTGAGCGACAGAGCGAGACTCTGTCTCAAAACAAAACAAAACAAAACAACAAAAAAAAACTAGGCCATCTGAGACATATTATTGGAGACAGTAGAATCCTGCATCCAACAGGCACTTGGTGCAGATCTGAACCCACTGAATTATTGGCTCATGTTCCGTCTGTTTTATTAAGTATCATGAGCAGAAATTGAGCTCTTTGGCTTTTACACACTAAGTATGGCTATAGGACAGGTCTCTCTCTCTCTCTCTCTCTCATTATTGTGTCATTATTTTTTGCCATCAGTGTGGGCTTTTGGTTTTGATGTTATGAAGTGAATTTGTATGGACAATTTCTGTTGGGTGGTGTTGACAAGGATCCAATCCCTGTTTGGTAATACATGACAGCTAATCTGCTCTGTGAGACTTTTTTTATTGTCTATTTATTGTCCTGAGAATAATGGTATTTCCTGATATTTGAGACTGCAGCAATGATAAGTTGTTCATATCTTGTCTTTCCAATGTTTGGTAAAAATTTTATGGGCCCAATAGTTGTCAATATCTGCAAGAGTGGCATCCCTGTTACAAGAGTGATCTTACTACTCAATGTCCCCCCTCCCATCAAACTTCGTTCCATAGGAAGTCTTGGCTTTAACAAATTTACTATATCTAAAAGACATCTTAGTACAGGAAGAAAACCAAATCTGTAGCATGTAAGGAGCAGTTTTCTTTGATTGGTATATTCAGGTTTCTAACCAGCTGAAAAATTCAAATACATGTCCTTTAAGGATTAAGTTTAAACCACACTACAGAAAGGAGAGAAAAGATTTATATGATCACATATAAGCAATGGAATCAGCAATATGAGCACTTTTCACAACTATACAAATCTAATTTAATAATCTCCAGAACATTAAGAAAGGTATTGTCGGTGACATCATCGATAGGGCATTTCTATGTAGATGAGGTAGCACAGGGCTGCTTCTTCACCATGGAGGATTTCCCGTGCTGTAGGAGCAAGTCCAGGACTGCTGGGTGGACGTGAGAGTCCCAGCTGTGTGTTAGGGCTAGGAGGGCTCAGGGTGGTTGGGGATTGGTGGGGGTGGTTCTCAGAGCAAGTGACCATGCGTGTAAAGGTGAGGCGTATGGAGCTGTGGTGGGGCAGAGGTATGTGGACTGCCACTTACCTGGTAGGGGAAATCCTATGGTCACCAATAGTGGTTCATCCTAAGGTTGAGGCTCATCCATTGCACTCCAGATGTGCTGTTCTCTGTTATCTCCCCTAATGTGTGAAGCTCAGCTGCATAACTGAGCTTCACAGTACTTGACTGACTCCAAGGCCAGCAATAGATAGAGCCCTAGCAGATCCTTGATAACACTGTCTGAAAAGCCAGAGCCCTGAGGAATTAGTTCCAGAGACTCTCTCAACACAGTCTGCCCCTAGCAAGGATAAGAGGAAAAAACAACAAATCCCTTTACTACCTTCTCTTTTCCCCTTACCATTTCTTATTATTCAAGTTTTAAGTTCCTGATTTCCTGTCAGTGCAGCTGCAAGGTCACCAGCTATGCTTGCATTGCAAGACCGGTCACAGTTTGATTAGCTGCCTTTGTTCTGCTTCTGTAAGCCCTCTTGCCTGCACCGTGAGTTTTGCACCTTCAAATTCCCACTGCACCATTCAAACTAGCCAACCCCCTTTCAGAAGTGTGTGTAAAAGCCAAGCCTTGTCTTTGTTCAGGGCTCAGCCTTTGGATTTTAATATGCTGGGCCTGAGTACACTCAATAAAGTCCTCCTGTTCCACCCATTGGTCTCTCTGTTCTCCTGATTCCCACAACAGTAGTAGGGGACTGTGTTCGCACTTTCCCCTGGTCCTTCATGGTATGAATAATAGACAGCCTTTTTTTCTTCACCTATAGTCACAGGCTCAGTCTCAGTGATTGTATGGTGTGGTCAGCTGTTTTTGTTTTTGTGAGACCTTGTTTTCTTTTTTATTATCCTGGGACAGATGTCTGTAGTCACTTGTTTCCTCGGGAGGCAAATTTCAGTCTCTGTGGGGGAGGTCTCTCACATTAGCTGTGGTGGTACTTGGCAGGTGGAGCTCAGGGATCTAGGCTTCCCTGCTTTGTAGATTGCTCAATGGTCCCCAAGGCCCACTGGCTTTTAACACCACTTGAAAACCTTAGTATTTTTCTGTTGACCTCTTACACAGCCTCTTTTTGTTTGTTTGTTTGTTTTTTTCCCTGAGACAGGGTCTCACTGTATCTGGTGGCATTTTGACTCAAGCAATCCTCCCACCTCAGCCCTTGGAGTAGCACAGGCACAAGCCACCACAGCCGGCTAATTTCTGTGCTTGTTTTGTTGTTTTTTTGTGTTGTTTTTTTAAGAGTTGAAGTTTTGCCATGTTGCCCAGGTTGGTCTCCAACTCCTAGACTCAAGTTTAGAAACTGCTAGGATTACAGGTGTGATCCATCACACCTAGCCAGCCCCTGCTTTTCACTATAGCATTCATGGGAGTTTGTAGGATTTCTGTGCTGGGGGGAATGTGTACTCAGTCCATAGAGTCGAGCAGAAATTGTACTTGGAACTGGTGCCGATGGGTTGTAGACATAACATCCTTGCTCTTTGTATGGGAAAGGCTTTGCCGGTACCCTGGTGCCCCTGCGCCAGGGCATCAAGTCCTGCAGGTCAGAACAGCAGTCTCACCTATGTGTTCATGTAATACGCAGCAATTCTCCCTGGAATATAAGATGGGAGGTCTTGTAAGGTTCTTACAAGTAAGACGACTAATTTCCCTGAAGCTTGTTTTGACAAAATTCAAAATTAATAATAACAGCCCAACCTCTTGGATGACAAATGTCCTTTACATTTACAGACTGGAACTGCCCTGCTTGCCTCAGCTCCTCCATGCAGGTGTAGCCCTCGATTCCCTCCACACAGGTCATTTCCTCCCTGCTTTCTCCAAAAGAGGGAGACAGTGGTTCTGCAGGACCGCAGTGCTCAAGGCCTTCCAGGGCAAAACATGTCAGAACGAGTTGCCCTGTCCTGCCTGTGCCTCACCACTGACCTAGAAATAGCCTTTGCTAGGAGCAAAGTAGGGGGAAATGGTCGCTGGAGCTGGGGCCTGGGTACTTGGCCAGGTTGCCCTGCAGGAGGGGAAGTACTCAGGGTTAGAGGGGGCCAAGCACCAAGACCTCAGCATCCTCAACCTCCAAAAGGACTCAGAGAGATGCAGAAACCAAGACAGGGTTCCTCTTTCAAGGAAGGAGACTTTTGAGGAAGACCCCAGGGCTCTGAACCAAAATTCAGATTTTTGCCCATCTGCAGCTTAATTCCACCTTATCTGGTGCAGCTTCATCCTTCCCCTATGCTCAGGACAAAAAAACAGTTCTTCTATAGGCTTGTCATTCTCTGATCCTATACATCCTATTGGTCAGAAAATTGTTTTTTCTTTGGTTAACTTCAGACTTTGGTCTGCACAATCTTTTTCTTTCTTGATCTGAAAACCACCCAACAGTCCCACATGTAGCTTTTTTGGATAAACCTAGAAATGGACCCTTCTGGTCTTAAAGCTTGAAACTTAATATTTGTTTTATCTGAGTTCCTTCCTCAGGAAATGACTTTCAGGACTGTCAAAAAAGCTATCAAAGAACTGAAATTCATCCAGACAGTGAGATGCTGGGACCCCTCGTTCATCATGATTGCTTCCTTGCTGCTCCCTAGTTCCTGTTTTCTTACACATTGTTCATTTCTTTCCTGCCATCTAAACCTCTGGTTTTGGCTGGTCAGGGAGATAGATTTGAGACTTGAGTTCTCATCTCCCCCACTGCAGCACCCTATTAAAGTGCCTTCCTTGGCAATAATCATCTTGGTGATTGGCTTTCTGTGCGGCAACCAGCAGGAATCCCAGATCTCAGAATTTTGGCAAAGGAGTCTCCTGATAAAGGTGGGATGGATTCTACTGACCAACATCAAAACAATCAGACATTTGAAAGCTGTAATCTCAGGGTCGGGGGTTGGGTTGCCATTGAGACTTTTCCTTCGGCCTACCCATTAAAATCAGCCTAGCCAGGCCTGTCTTCAAGGTATAGGGGTACAGTGAGGTCCCCCGATGCTTCCTGATGCTTCTCTTGCTGGGTCAGCAGCCACCCTCCCCTTCCCTGTGACCTGCAGAAAAGCTTCAGGGGGCGTTTATTCAATTTGCTCAGATCCCACGAGGCACAGGTACATGGTGACGCTGTGGTTCTACTGCACCCACTGCCCTCCTTGGTCCTCTCACTGTCTCTGGCAGGCAATAACATTCTGGGTGAGCTTGGGTGCTGAAGACACCCAGGCAGGGAGGGTAGGGAAGGGCACCAGCCCCTTAGGTCCTGTGCAGTAGGGATCCAAAAAAGACCTTGAAGAAACAGAAAGGGAGTATTGGGAGTAGATCAAAGGGAAAGAAAGAAATCCTAGGAGATTTCCTGTCTGAAGGCACCATGAAGAGAAAGTCGGCCTCCTCTGGGCTGCGTCCTCCCGTCACAGGGGAACCGAGTTCTGGTCTCCATTGGAAACCAAGGCAGTTAACTTTGCCCTGACTCCTAGTGAGGAAGCCACACTTTGTCCTCCCCTGTTTAGCGCTTGATCCTGTAGCACTTGATTGTCTCCCCGGGCTTTCTATAGATTCCAGGGATGCAACTGAGAAGTTTGTTTTTAATGCACTTTTACTTGAAGTAAGAGTATTTTAGGCCAGGTATGGTGGCTCACGCCTGTAATCCCAACACTTTGGGAGGCTGAGGTGGGCACACTACTTGAGGTACAGAGTTTGAGACCAGCCTGGCCAACATGATGTAATTCCATCTCTACTAAAAATACAAAAATTAGCTGGGTGTGTTGGCACAGGCCTGCAGTCCCAGCTACTCATGAGGCTGAGGCAGGAGAATCCTGTGAACGTGGGAAGTGGAAGTTGCAGTGAGCTGATCTCAAAAAAAAAAAGTATTTTAGAATCTTTTGGCAAAGGAAATTATTTCTGACAAGTTTTGCACTTAAGACATTCAGGTGTGAGGAAAACATGAAAACCACTATGCTAGGGAAAGCAAATGCTGTTGAGAATGTCTCACAAACACAAACTGCACGTCAGCAGGTAGGTTTGACCCTCAGGTTGGGCACATTTTACTTTAAGTGTACTGTTGGTGGAACTTAAGATGAATCTAGGACATTCACGATTTATGTATGTGTGTGTGTGTGTGTATGTGTATATGTGTGTATATATATATATATATACATGAGACAGAGAACAGGGTCTTGCTATCTTGCCCACACTGGTCTCCAACTCTGAGCCTCAAGCGATCCTCCTGCCTCCCCCTCTCAAAGTACTGGGACTATAGGCGTGCACCACCTCTTCCAGCCGTTTTTTTTTTTTTTTTTTTTTGAGACAGAGTCTTGCTCTGTCGCCCAGGCTGGAGTGCAGTGGTGCAATCTCCACTCACTGCAAGCTCCGCCTCCCGGGTTCACACCATTCTCCTGCCTCAGCCTCCGGAGTAGCTGGGACTATAGGCGCCAGCCACCACGCCCGGCTAAGTTTTTTGTATTTTTAGTAGAGACTGGGTTTCACTGTGTTAGCAGGATGGTCTCAATCTCCTGGCCTCGTGATCCGCCCACCTTGGCCTCCCAAAGTGCTGGGATTACAGGCGTGATGCACTGCGCCCAGCAGTCCACCCCATTTTATGTTATTAATTTAAATACACATTCCAAAAATTATATAACAAGTACAAGAAGCCCACTTTATGCCAGTTTTGCAAAAACAAAGTGGCAACATCCTAAAGTGTTGAAAGAAATAAAGTTTTCCTAGAATTCTATGCCAAAATGAAAATTCTTTCAAGAATGTGACTAAAATGAGGACATTTAAATACATAGAAAAAAAATGAAAGAATTCTAGCTGGGCGCAGTGGCTCATGCCTGTAATCCCAGCACTGTGGGAGGCTGAGGCAGGCGGATCATGAGGTCAGCAGTTCGAGACCAGCCTGGCCAACCCAGCCTGGCCAACATGGTGCAACCCCGTCTCTACCAGAGATACAAAAATTGGCCGGGTGTGGTGGGGTGTGTCTGTAATTCCAGCTACTCAGGAGGCTGAGGCAGGAGAATCACTTGAAATCGGGAGGTAGAGGTTGCAGTGAGCCGAGATTGCACCATTGCACTCCAATCTGGGTGACAGGGTGAGACTCCATCTCAAAACAAAACAAAAAAAAAGAATTCAGCAACCCACACTACAAGAAATGCAAAAGGATTCCTCCAGGCCTAAGGATAAGGATACCATACAGAAATCTGGATCTACAAAAAGAAATGGAGACTAGTGGCAATTGGTATGTACATAGTTAAATATATATGTTCTTATTATTTAAATCTTTTAAAATAATTTGACCAATTAAACAAAAGAAATAATAATGGATTCTGGGGTTTATAACATGTCTAAAATCAAATTACATAACAACACTAACATAACAGCCAGAAGGGGAGGTAGAATGTCACTAGACGGCACTGATAAAGATGTATTCTGAAAACCCTAAAGCCATCACTGAAAAAGCAAGAGCAGGAAAAGAAGTCGGGGAGCGGTGGACAAGAAGAAAAAAAGAGTTACAGCTAATAAGCCAAAAAAGGAAAGAAAATGGAATGATATAAAAAATATGTAAACACTATGCTGGAGCAACTGCTCTCCAAGCCTCTACCCTGTAGAAACACACCAGTGGCCAATGAGAAGTGTACAAGAATGATGACTGCAGCATTATTTGTAATCTTAAAATAATAGAGCCAATATACTTTCAAAGATATATGAAAAGGGTTTTATTTATTTAACAAACACAAACAATTGCACAAACAAGGGAAGCAAGTCCTTTTGCCAAAAGGAACACAGAGGGTCATGATGATGCTACTCCTCCAGGGATTTCAGGGTTCCCAGATGCCTAGTTTTCTGTCTAGTGTCCCTGGAAGATGTTATTCTTGGGGAGTTATAGGTCCTCGCGTTTGAAGCTCTTCTATGTTGTCTCTGAATTTTCCCCTCAGTTCCTCCCCATTCTGCTTCAACAACAACAACAACAACAACAACAACAACAACAAAACAATTCTCACCTCCAGATCCAGCCTGTGCCTCTGCACCAGCCTTTCAGGAGGTCCGGATGTGTGTTCCACCGCTCCCCGGCTTCTTTCCTTGCTTTTGCTTTTCCCTTCCCCCGCTCCTGCCCTCCCTCCCCACGATCCCTACTACTGCCCAACTGAGCCCCCGCGGCTCCACCGCGCAGAAGGTGCACTGGAGGCCCTGCCCGTTGCCCTCCCTGGGGGATGCCTAGAAATCAACTTGAATAGACGCTTTGAAAAAAGAACTTCCCCATGGAAAAATCTCATGATTTCTATTCTTGGGGTTCTCAAGGGACTAAAAGCTAAAGGCGACGACGGCCCCGGGAGGTCGAGGCTGCAGTGAGCCGTGTTTGCACCACTGCACTCCAGCCTGGGCGACCAAGCGAGACCCTGTCTCAAAAACAAACAAAACAAACAAACAAACAACAAAAAGCAAATCAAAAGTTCCCCATGGTAAAATATTTCATGATTTCCATTTTCAGGGCTCTTCAAAGGCCTAAAAGCTAAAGGCGAGGATGGATTAATTCAACAAGTCCTAGTCGTGCGCGCTGGTGAGTGCCAGACCCTGCTCCCCGCGAGGGGACCCAGGAGCCACCCTCACCACGATCCCTGCCCTGGTGGAGCCCCCGTGCGGGACACAGGATCCGAAGATGGCAGCGGAAGTTCCTCAGCGGCCTCAAAAGTGACTGGGCAGAGTGGGCACAGGCTCCCTCACTGGGTGAAGGAGGCGCAAAGAACGGGAAGAGCCATCCCGGGAGCCCACCGGCCTTTCAGTTTCCCTTGGGCCCCCAGGCGGTTCAGGTCTGTGTCGGGGCCGGGGCGTTTCCGGCAGCTTTTGATGAAGGCGAGGGGCAAGGTCGTCCTGGTTCCAGAATCTCCCAACCTGCGGGTCTCCAATGAGACTAACACGATTCACCACTCTAATCTCTTCAGTTTTCCAAAGCCTTGCACAGTTGTACTGTCTGGTGGGCTCTGAGGTTGGGACGGTTGGGGGAGTGTTTGGTGAGTGCACCCTTCCTATAGTGCCCAGAAGAAGGTACAATACCTGTCTCTGTGGCACAATCGGTTAGCGCGTTCGGCTGTTAATCTAGAGGTTGGTGGTTAGAGCCCACTGAGGGATGCCTCCTCCAGATTTTTTTTTTTTTTTTTCTGAGACAGAGTCTTGCTCTGTCGCCAGGCTGGAGTGCAGTGGCGCGATCTCGGCTCACTGCAACATCCGCCTCCCTGGTTCAAGCGATTCCCCTGCCTCAGCCTCCCGAGTAGCTGAGAATACAGGCGAGCGCCACCCCGCCCGGCTAATGTTTTGTATTTTAGTAGAGACAGAGGTTTCACCTTATTGGCCAGGATGGTCTCGATCAGCTGACCTCGTGATCCACCCGCCTTGGCCTCCCAAAGTGCTGGGATTACAGGTGTAAGCAACCGCGCCCTGCCCGGCTGCCTGCTTCAGCTTTTAAAGCGTTCATGCATTATCAATCACTAGATAAACGGCGGAGATTATATCTTCCCAGAGTCCTAAGCCACTAGGGTTGTGTCTCTGTGGCACAATCAGTTGTCGCATCCAAAAGGCCTAGCTAACTTTTGTATTTTTTGTAGAGAAAGGGTTTCATTATGTTGCCCATGCTGGTCCCCAAACTCCTGAGCTCGGGCACCTCCGAGGTCTCCCAAAGTGCTAGGATTACAGGCATGAGCCACTGCACAGGGCCTTATACAATGCTTCTAATTTCAGCACATTTAGCAAACTTATCTTCTGCGGGAGAGGTACCAAATCACATTCCAGTTTATTTCTCAACTCTAATAATGTCCCTTTCTTCATTTACTTGCTGACACAACAAATTTTCTCCCCTCCCGTACTTTTTGTTTTGAGACTAGGTGTCACTCTATCACCCAAGATGGAGTGCAGTGGCATGATCTCATGTCACTGCAAACTCACCGCCCCTGCAACCATGGCACTAGTGATCCTCCAGAAGAGCTGGAACTACAGGTGTGCACCATCAAATCCAACTTTTTTTTTTTATTTTTAGAGATAGGGTCTTGATATGTTGCCCAGGTTGGCCCCAGGAACTCCAACTTCTGGGCTGAAGAGATTCATCTGCCTCGTCCTCCCAAAGTGCTGGGATTTCAGGTGTGAACCACTGCGCCCAGCCTAACAAACTTTCTATACATGTGCCCATGATATTCTTTTCTTCCCCCCCCCCTTTTTTTTTTTGAGACAAAGTCTTGCTCTGTCACCCAGGCTGGAGTGCAGTGGCGTGATCTCAGCTTACAAGCCTGCACCACCACGCCCGGCTAATTTTTGTAATTTTAGTAGAGACAAGGTTTCATCATGTTGGCCAGGCTGGTCTCAAACTCCTGACCAGCCTCCCAACATGCTGGTATTACAGTCATGAGCCACCACCCCCAGCCATGTGCCAATGATATTCTAATAAGGGGACAAATGCCTTTCTGGCTTAAGTAAGGGGGAGGTTAAACAGAAGGACATGGTGGACATTACACACAGATATTCAGTTGCATAGGATGGACAGCTAAACTTCTAAGACATTTTATTTTATTTTTTGAGATAGGGTCTTGTTCTGTTGCCCAGGTTGCAGTGCAATGGCACGATCATAGTTCACTGTAGCCTCAGCCTCCTGGGCTCAAGTGATCCTCCTGCCTCAGTCTCCCAAAGTGCTGGGATTACCAGCCTGAACCACTGCACCTGGCTGAGATATTTTAAAGTCCTCCAACGTCTGTAATTGTTTCTTTTTTATTTTATATATTTAATAAATATATACATATTATTAAGATAATAAATACATACAATTATATATTATGTATAATAAAATATGGTATATATTTTATTGTATATATTTATTAAGAAATATGTATTTTTTAGAGATGAGTTCTCACTATGTTGCCTAGGCTGGTATTGAACTCCTGAGCTCAAGTGATACTCTCATCTTGGCCTCCCAGAGTGCTGGGATTATATGTGTGAGCCACCATGCCTGGCCCTGTTTCTTTTTCAAATTTAATTTATTTATTTAGAGACATGGTTTTACTCCGTCATCCAGGCTGGAGTGCAGTGGTTTAATCATGGTTCACAGCAGCTTCAACCTCCCCAGGCTCAGGTGATCCTCCCACCTCAGACTCCTGAGTAGCTGGGACTACTAGCATACACCACCATGCCTGGCTAAATTTTGTATTTTTTGTACAGACAGAGTTTCATCATGTTGCCCAGGCTGCTCTCCAACTTGTGAGCTCAAGAGATCCACCCACCTCAGCCTCCCAAAGTGTTGATATTACAGGCATGAGCCACTGTGCCCAGCCTGTAATTGTTTCCTGTGATGACCAAGTCACATTGGTCCAGAGAAGACAGGTCACAGTGACCTCTTTGATAGCTTTCTGCCAAGTTGCTTATCCAAAGGGAGCAAAATCACAATGGTCCCAGTCATTTTTTTTCTCCTCCCCTTTCCTCTTCTCTTTATAAATCTTGATTTTACTTTTATTTGATGAAAACAATCTAATGCCAGTTTCCTTCTATATTAATGGAGAATGAGCATGCAGACAAGTGTCTCCGTATTATTAGCCTCGACGGATTTCTTTCAGAGGCTATGTCCATAAAAATTAATCCATCTGACACCCATCATTGGAGCCAACAGAATCCTGCACCTAACAGGCCCCTGGTGCAGACCTGGATCCTTAGAGATATTGGCTCTTGTTCCCTTGGTTCTTGTTTTCATGAGCAGAAGTTGAGCTGTTTTGCTTTTTATATACTAAGTATGGTCATTGAGCAAGTCCTTCCTTTCTCTATCTCCCTCTCTCTCTTTCTTCCATCACTGTTTTCTGCCATCAGTGGCATCAGTGTGGGTTTCTGGTTTTGATGTTATGAAGTGAATTTCTGGGGACAATCTCTGTTAGGTGGTGTTTGACAAGGATCCAGTCCCTGTTTGGTGATATATGAGAGCTGATCTGGTCTGTGAGTCTCTTTTGATGGTCTGTTCATTGTCCTGAGGATAATGGTATTTCCTGATATTTGAGACTGCAGCAATGAGAAGTTGCTCATATCTTGTCTTTCCAATGTTTGGTAACAATTTTTTGGGCTCAATAGCTGTCAATATTTGCAAGAGTGGCATCTCTATTATAAAGATGATCTTACTACTCAATGCCCCCCGTAACCCGCCACTGAACTTCATTCCATAGGAGCTCTTGGCTTTAACAGATTACTATACCTAAAAGAAATCTTAGTACAGAAATAAAACTAAGTCTGTAGCATGAAAGGAGCAGTTTTCTTTGATTCATACACTCAGTTTTCTACCAGCTAAAAAACTCTAACCAGCTGAAATATATGTCCTTTAAGGATTACGTTTAAATCACACTACAGAAAGGAGAAAAGAGATTTATATGATCACAAATAAGCAATGGAGTCAGCAACATAAGCACTTCTCTAAACTCTACAAATCAAAATTTTTTTTGCTTAAGACAGAGTCATGCTCTGTCACCAAGGCTGGAGTGCAGTGGCACGATCTTGGCTCACTGCAGCCTTGGCCTCCCGGGTTCAAGCGATTCTTGTGCATCAGCCTCCTGAGTAGCTGGGATTACAGGGATGCAACACCATGCCTGGCTAATTTTTGTATTTTTAGTAGAGATGGGGTTTCGCCACGTTGGCCAGGCTGGCCTTGAACTCCTGAACTCAAGTGATCTGCCCACCTTGGCCTCCCAAAGTGCTAGGATTACATGCGTAAGCCACTGCTCCTGGCCACAAATCAAATTTAATAATCTCCAGAAAATTAAGGAAGTTCAGCTCTTAATGAAAATGGATTAAAAAAAATGATTTACTCACTTTTATATGCTCCGGAAAGAGAATGCCCTGCCAGACTCAAAAGGGTATCCCAGAATCACTCAGATTTTCAGCAATGAGGGTTTTCCAAGGATCTAATGATGTTCATTTTTTCAGTTTGTTTCCCTTACTGATAAGCATTAATAGATACCACTGCATCTGTTTTCACCTTAAATGATGTTACTTAACGCAATTATTTGCTTTTGAATGCCCCCTAGATTGGTGGAAAGAAATTTTCTAATTTATAAATTTTTTTCTTATGAAACCAATTGTCATACTCTTCCAGTGGAGTGAATAGATAAATTAAGTCCCTAAAGCTTTAAAGAGATTACTGCCCCAATTATCTTAAAGACAGTAATAATTACATATATAAAATTAAAATATGGAAATTAAGCAGGGTGTGGTGGCTCACACCTGTAATCTTAGCATTTTAGGCAGCTGAGGAGAGAAGAAGGATTGAAGCCAGGAGTTTGATACCAGCCTGGGAAACATGGTGAGACCCCTGTCTCTACAAATTTTAAAAAATGAACTAATTTAAAAAAACTAGCCAGCACAGTGGCTCATGTCTGTAGTCTCAGCTGCTTGGGAGGCTGAGGCAGGAGGATCGCTTGAGCCCAGGAGATCCAGGCTGCAGTGAACTATGATTGTAACACCACACTCCAGCCTGGGTGACAGAGTAAGACCTCAACTCAAAATAAAATAAAATAAAGAATAATTTATGGGCTTTTTTTTTCCTGCAATGCCAGGCTGGTTGACTCACACCTGTAATCCCAGAAAATCAGGAGGCTGAGGTGGGAGGAATGCTTTAGGCAAGGAGTTGGAGACCAGCCTGGGCAACAGGGCAAGATGCCGTCTCTAAAAAATTAGAAGGCGGGCTGAGCTGGGAGGACTGCCTGAGCCCAGAGTTCTAGGCTGGTCAGCTGTGGTTACATCAGTGCACTCTCACCTGGATGACACAGCAAGGCACTATTACATTTTTTTTCTACTTAGCTTTAAATGTGATGTTTCATTAGGGAAAATTTTTCTTGTTGAATTTGTAACATGAAAAACGAATAGATTTAGCTATAGATTAAATTAATGGTCTTGGCTGGGCATGGTGGCTCACACCTGTAATCCTAGCACTTTGTGATGCTGAGGCGGGTGGATCATCTGAGGTCAGGAGTTCGAGACCAGCCTGGCCAACATGGTGAAACCCCATCTCTACTAAAATTCAAAAATTAGCCAGGCATGGTGCCTAGCGCCTGTAATCCCAGCTACTCGGGAGGCTGAGGCATGAGAATTGCTTGATCCCTGGAGGTGGAGGTTGCAGTGAGCAGAGATCATGCCACTTCACTTTAGCATGGGTGGCACAGTGAGAGTGTGTCTCCAAAAAAAAAAAAAAAAAAAGAAAGAAAGAAAAGAAAAGAATTTTTCATGTGAGGAAAATGAGTGCTTTCAATTTAGCATGCCTAAAGCTAGGCATTAAAATGAGAGAGCAACCACATCCTACTTCCTGCTTTCTAAATTTTTTTAAGTTAAAAAATATTTTTTTTATTGTATTGAGATGGAGTCTCACTCTGTTGCCCAGGTTGGAGTTCAGTGGCAGGATCTTGGCCCACTGCAACCTCCTCCAGCCAGGTTCAAGCAATTCTCCTGCCACAGCCTCCCGAGTTGCTGGGACTAACGTCGCGAACCACCACGCCTGCCTTTTTTTTTTTTAGTAGAGATGGGATTTCCTCATGTTGGCCAGGCTGGTCTCAAACTCCTAACCTCAGGTGATCCGCCAACCTCGGCCTCCCAAAGTGTTGGAATTACAGGCATGAGCCACCACCACCGGCCACTTCCCCACTTTTGAGCTATGTATGCATCCACTGAAACTGCTTGCTATTGCCACAGTTAGCTATAAAGTAACCTAAACATGCTGCTCTGGACACCATCTCTCACTCCCTGTAGCTGAACAATGTATAGCTAATCAATGTTATTTCTGTAAACCACTGGGAGTTCCTGACAAGCAACTTTTTACCAGCCAACTCCCTGACTCCCTTTTTGGTCTTTACAAACCTGCTTGTAACAAAGGCCAAATAGAACCGATATCCAATATTGTTTGGGTCTGAGCCTTCCGGGCAACTACATTCACATTGGCTCAAACAAACTCTTTAAATCATATTTTGTGCTTAAGCGCCTTCCTTCTATGTCAATGTTTTTGGCCCTGGGAGCAGGATTCAGACTGACTCATCTCTGACCATCTGACTGTCCTCTCAAAGTCCTCCAGGGTGGCTAAATAGTAGTAAGAATTTTATTGGTGATATAAGTTTGCAGTCCAGGAAGTGACAGTCTCCGGTGTGTGTCTTTGAAGAGGCACTTTCTCTTCAGAGACAGAGAGAGAGGGCAGGTTGGTTTTTGTGCCTCACAGGGTGTGTATCACACAATAGAGTCATACATATTCAGTAGGTTTGGGGAAACACCATTTCTGAGGAGTATTGAGCTCATGTGCAATGGGTAAACATATATGTAACATGCACCCCATCTTCACAGATGGGGAAGGGATTTTAGCATAAAATAAGGCAGAAATTGGCTCTTTATATCAAAAGGTGAACTACTGGACACGAAGTTGGTTTGTGTGCAGTCCCTGTAACATGGCTGAAACTGGCTTGATATCTGCAGTTGCTTATTAGGAAAGAATGGAAGGCCACTCCTCTGTCCCATCAGAGCTCTAGTGATCTGGCTTGTAAATCCAGTTGAGAAGGGCTGGGAAGATTTTGACAATTTGCTTGCTAGCTCCTATTGTTAAGGAGTTTAGCAAGAGTGTGGTTTTTCCTGTAGCCATAGGAATTCAGGAAGTTGCCATGCCAGATGAGCCCTGAACCCTGGACAAGTAGCTAACTTTTGTTTCCTTAACCTTACAGTCTGTCTTAGTCTATAAGGGGGCATGTATTTTCATCTCTCAGATCACACCACATTCCTCCTGGACTGGGTGCCTGGCCAGCTCTGAAGCCTTCGAGTACTGACTCTGAGAGAAACACTGGTTGATTGAAGTCTTGGAGTTTGCTTGAGTGTCCTTTTCAGCTCTCCCTTTCTAGAACAGAGGTTTTCTGTCTTTACCCTGTGGGTAAGAGATTTGTGTTTCAGGGGGAAATAACTGCCTTTTCCACCTCTGCATCAGGACAGAAGGTTTGGGTCACAGTCAGGCAAAGAGCTCCCCAGAGAGCTTCTGCCTTTTCTGCCTCTATTCCTCAGCAGGAAGTTCTGGGTCAAGGTATTGGCAGGTAGGCCCTGGTGGTTTTGTTTTATGTAGCATGTTGTTTTGAACATTTGGACTTAGGTTTTCATTTGTGACTAATTCCTGTTAGTTCTTAACTGGAAAGTGCATGGAGGTGTGTTCCCCTGCCCTGAAGAAAAGAAGTGATCTGCTCCCGCTGATCCATTCAGGTGCTCCAAGTGATCGGGGATGTTGCAGAGGTGTTGGGGTCATTAGTCACCATGTGAAGGTGGCCTTATAGGACACTTCCCATCAGAAGAACACTTTTATCAACCCCCTTTCCTGCTCTTCTGGGAGGATATATGTGGGACTCTGTGGCCACCTGGTGGTTAGAAACAGTGGAACCACTGAGACAGTGACACACAACTCCGGTGTTATCTGTAGGAGTGACTTCATAAGCACCACACTGTGACCCAAAACACATCGCAGGCCTTGGTCATCTGAAAAGCTCCTGAATTATGGGAAATCAAGCTTCAAAATTCAGCACACTGTGAAGAAACAACCACCTTTAGAAACACCAGCTGGGTTTATGTATAACACTTATGAAGCATCCTCTTGTAAATATCCAAGAAACTGGACCCACCTAACCATTTCCTGGTCATTTCCTAAGTCATAAGCAGAATGAAGAAAATTGGGATCTTTTGAAATGCTTAAAATAATTTATTAGTGTGCACAATTGGAAAATTTTTGTTTTTGTTTTTTTGTTTTTTGTTTTTTTGATGGAGTCTTGCTGTGTCACCCAGGCTGGAAGGCAGCGGCATGATCTCGGCTCACTGCAACCTCCGCCTCCCAGGTTCAAGCGATTCTCCTGCCTCAGCCTCCCAAACAGCTGGGACTAAAGGGACACGCCAGCATGCCCAGCTAATTTTTGTATTTTTAGTAGAGGCAGGGTTTCACCATGTTGGCCAAGATGGTCTCCATCTCATGACCTCGTGATCCACCCACCTCAGCCTCCCAAAGTGCTGGAATTACAGGCATGAGCCACCGCGCCTGGCCAAAAAATTTGGTTTTAGAACCAAATTAAATGGGAGACATACTTCCAATGATACCTAGAAATTTCTAAAAGAACTGAGAAAATTGCCTCCAGTGAGGAAGTAAGCTGAAGGAAGTCATCTGACACGTTTTCTGAATTGAGAAATATTGAGGAGGCTTTGTCTCTTTCGCCTCCAACTGCTGCTTCTCCTCCTGCCCCTGCACCTGCATAGTCTCCCTTACCTGAGCCCTCTGGTCCTGCCTTGCCTCTTCTTCCATCACCATCACCTGAGGAAAGTCCCCAGGGCTCTGGCCCCTTCCCTGAAACTTCTGTTCTGACAGCCCCTTTCAAGGTAAAACCCACAGGAAGAGGGGAGCCTACCATTCTGTATACTGCTTCACCAAAATGTGAATTAAGAATATTATAAAAAGACTTCCCTGGGCTGGGCGCAGTGGCTCTTGCGTGTAATCCCAGCACATTGGGAGGACTAGGCAGGCAGATCATGAGGTCAGGAGTTTGAGAGCAGCCTGGACAACATGGTGAAACCCCATCTATACTAAAAATACAAAAATTAGCCAGTCATGGTGGCACATGACTGCAATCCCAGCTACTCGGGAGGCTGAGGCAGGAGAATCTCTTGAACTTGGGAAGTGGAGGTTGCAGTGAGCCAAGACTATGCCATTGCACTCAGCCTGGGTGACACAGCAAGACTCTGTATCAAAAAAAAAAAAAAAAAAAAAAAAAAGACTTCCCTGATGAAAATTTACATGAATTTTCCCCTTCTTTCTTTCTTTCTTTTTTTTTTTCTCTGCTCAGTGCAACCTCCGCCTCCCGGGTTCAAGCAATTCTCTGCCTCAGCCTCCCAAGTGGCTGGGATTACAGGTGCCCACCACCATGCCTGGCTAATTTTTTTGTATTTTTAGTAGAGAGGGGGTTTCACCATCTTGGCCAGACTGGTCTTGAACTCCTGACCTTGTGATCCACCCGCCTTGGCCTCCCAAAGTGCTGGGATGACAGGCGTGAGCCACTGCACCCAGCTGAATTTTCCCTTTCTAATTCAAAAGCAACCTCCAAGATCCTATAGGGTTTAGGAGAAAATTTGACTTAATTGTCCAAACTTTTGAGCCTGGATATTCTGATCTTTATCAATTAATTCACATGTTGGTGTAAGAAGGCAGGGCCACTAAATGGTTGGAAAGGGTGAATTGGAATAATCCTTTAGAGGGTTTTTAAAAACAGACAGAAGCAGACAATGAAAGGGTCTGCATTTTTGCCAAATACCTCCATGTTGCCATTACCCAGGTTGTTCCCCAATATGTAGATTGGAGAATTCAGCAATGCACTTAAAAGGCCAAACAAATCTGTCATTGATATTTTAAATGGTTAAGATTTATTTATTGATTTATTGAGACAGGGTCTCACTCTGTCACCCAGGCTGGAATGCAGTGGCTCCATCATGGCCCACCACATCCTCAACCTCTCAGCTCTAGCAATACTCCCACCTCAGCCTCCCGAGTAGCTGGGACCACAGGTGCATGCCACAATGCCCAGCTAATTCTTTGATTTTTTTTTTTTTTTTTTTGTAGAGAGGACATCTTGCTGTGTTTTCCAGGCTGGACCTGAATGAACTCCTGGGCTCAATCAATCCTTCCACCTCAGCCTAACATTTACACTGGGAGCAGAGATGCATTTGGAGTAGGTGATGATTTTGGAATGCTTTAGAAGCAACATAGGTATCTGATTTCATCAGGTCAAGCCATCAAAAATGACCAATAAATCTCTGATCTCTTAGAAGCAATTTGAAAACCCTTATCTTTGGCCATCATCAAAATTCCTGGTCATTCAAAACTAGATATTCCGGAGAGCAAGGACAATCATTTTGCTGATGCTGCAGCTAAGAATGCAGTTCTGAAGGTGGCATCAGACACAGAACTTCTCGAAATGACCTTGCTGACTTATGACCCATTGAAGACTTCATTAGAAGTAAAAGTGGGCTGGACATGGTGGCTCATGCCTGTAATCCCAGCACTTTGGGCGGCCCAGGCTGGTGGATCACTTGAGGTGAGGAGTTTGAGACCAGCCTGGCCAACATGATGAAACCCTGTTTCTACTAAAAATACAAAAATTAGCTGGTGTGGTGACACATGCCTACAATTCCTGCTACTTGAGAGGCAGAGGCACGAGAATTGCTTGAACCTGGGAGGCAGAGTTTGCAGTGAGCCGAGATTGCTCCACTGCACTCCAGCCTGGGTAACACAGCTAGACTCTAGCAAAAAAAAAAAGAAGCGTAAGTGGGAGCTCCTAAGCAGGAGAGGGATCTCTGGAAGGATAAAGGGAACAAGTTTCTTCCAGAAACAGGCTTATGGTATGGGCCCAATGATACACTGATCCACCCCTTAGGCTTCAATTACCCTGAATACAGTACTTCATAAGCTGCCTCATTGGAAATCAGATAAAATGTTAGCATGGGGAAAGCAATGGTATTGAAAATCATTGCCTATGATTGCAGAAAAGGTTTATTCTTGTGGTACTGTTTGTCCCAAACATCACCCTGGAAAGCCCCTTCATGGGTCACAAGGACATTTTAACTTTAGGACCCTTCGAGACATGGCAGTTAGACTTTATCCAGCTGTCTCCATCTCAGGGTCACAGATACTTTCTGGTGTTAATTTGTACGTGCTCACTGGGGTGAGCATTTCCATGCCAATGAGCCACAGCCCAAGTAGTAGGTAGATTGTGATTAGAAAAGGTAATTCCTGGCTGGGCGTAGTGGCTCACCCCTGTAATCCCAGCACTTTGGGAGGCCAAGGTGGGCAGATCACGAGGTCAAGAGATCGAGACCATCCTGGCCAACATGGTGAAACCCCGTCTCTACTAAAAATACAAAAATTAGCCAGGCGTGGTGGTGCACACCTGTAGTCCCAGCTACTCAGGAGGCTGAGGCAGGAGAATTGCTTGAATCTGGGAGGCGGAAGTTGCAGTGAGCTGAGATCGTGCCACTGCACTCCAGCCTTCCAATAGAGCTAGTCTCCATCTCAAAAAAAAAAAGAAAAGAAAAGGTAATTCCTCATGGGGAGTGCCATCTGAATGCCATAGCAACTGAGGAACACACTTCATTGGTCAGGTAATTGGATCCATTTGTAATGTTTTGCCTATGTCCCAACATTTCCATTGTGCCTGTCACCCATAATCCTCTGGGCCGATGGAATGTACTAATGACACAATAAAAACTCAGTTGGCAAAGCTAACAGAAGTTTTTAACCTTTCTTGGCCAAGGATCTCCCACTGGTTCTGGAAAATGTCCACACTCCCTCTCTTTGAAATAATAACGGAAGACCCATGCAGTGGTTAGATGAAGGCGCTTATGAATCTGCACTTCTTAAAGGTGACTTTCTCCATTACTGCTAAGATCTCTCAAAACTTACTAAGAACTCCACATTAATAAAGGATTCCTTTCATAATGCACTCCTGGGAGATGAAAATACTAAAAATCACGGCCTATAACCTGGAGATGTTGTTTACTAGAAACAACACCAAATAAAATATTCCCCCCAAGACTGTTGGAAGGGACCACATCAGGTATTATTATTATTTTATACATTTTTTTGAGATGGGATCCCATTCTATTCCCCAAGCCAGAATGCAGTGGCACAATCATGACTCAATGTAGCCTTGAACTCCTGGGTTCAAGCCATCCTTCTGCTTCAACCTTCCAAATAGTTGGGACCACAGGCATGGGCCACTGCACCTGACTCACAACAGGTATTACTGACCAATCTGTGCCATTAAACTTACGTGCGTTGACACACGGATTCATGTTTCTCTTGTAAAAGGCAACCCTGCCAGAGTGAACATCTGTCAGGAGATTTTCACTTAAAGGTAACTCAATCTTCCTGACAGAGATGGCAAGTAGCTGACATCTGTGGTAGTCCGCTTTCACCCAAGATACTGGCCTGTATAATCAGTTACAATTCCAGTGCTCACTGCACCTGAAAGAGTTAGTCTCTTTTTTGTTGACTGGAATACACACACCATTAGGGCTCCTTTAAGTTGTAGGGGTTGTCTCTTGGTGGTTTTGGTAAAATCACCCTATATGCATATTCTCTTAAGATATGCCACACTAGTCCTATTGTGTGTATGTGTATATACATATACATACATACATAGCAAAATACTTATGATCAGATTTCTGTTTTACTGTCCCTAACTAATTTGATTACAGCAGGGAGGGATAATTCTCTGATCAGAATCTCACAAACCATTACCTCTGTGGGAAATTTGACAAGGTTCCAGGTTTGCCACTCAGAACCACAAACCACTTTTGACCGTAATGACCCATTGGTACATCCTGTGCTAAATTTCACCTGTATTCCTCCTGATTGCACTCACGATGCAACTCAGGGTCATATCAAGCAAAACCTGTTTATCTAATCTGTCTGAGTCACCCTAACCTTCCTGGCACACGTCTCAGTTTAACCATCATAATCGTATTGTCAAAATAACTGCCTGTAATCCCAGCACTTTGGGAGGCCAAGGCAGGAGGGTTACTTGAGCCCAGGAGTTTGAGACTAGCCTGGGCAAAATGGTGAAACACTGACTTTGTAAAATATATACAAATTAGCTGGGTGTGGTGGTGTCCACCTGTAGTCCAGCTACTCAGGAGCATGAGGTAAGAGGATGACTTGAGCTCAGGAGTTCGAGCCTGCAGTGAACCCTGATGATGTCACTGCACTCCAGCCTGGATAACAGAGTGAGACCCTGTCTCAAAAAATAAATAAGCTGGGTGTGGTGATGTGTGCCTGTAGTCCCAGCTGCTTGGGAGGCTGAGCCATTGAGCCTTGGAGGTCTAGAGGTCAAGGCTGCACTGAGCTGTGACCTTGCCACTGCACTCCAGCCTGGGAGACAGAGTCCTTGACTTAAAAAGTAATTATAATAAAAATAAAAAGTACAAAACCAACCAAACAACAAAATTGTCACTTCACTCTGAAATAACAGTGGTAAACACCATGATGCTACTGGAAAGTTAAAAGAAAAACACTCGGACAGTCGCGGTGGCTCAAGCCTGTAATCCCAGCACTTTGGGAGGCAGAGGCGGGCAGATCACAAGGTCAGGAGATCGCGACCACCCTGGCTAACACGGTGAAACCCCGTCTCTACTAAAAATACAAAAAATTAGCCGGGCATGGTGGCAGGCGCCTGTAGTCCCAGCTACTAGGGAATCTCAGTGTGGCGTCAACCTGGGAGGCGGAGCTTGCAGTGAGCCGAGATTGTGCCACTGCACTCCAGCATGGGCGACAGAGTGAGATTCCGTCTCAAAACACACACACACACACACACACACACACACTCTCCTGCTATCAGGATCCAGCCTGCCCTCTTGCTCTAAATTTCTGACCCACGATTTTAATGCCCAAAAGCTGATGTACTCAAATTATAGTGCACTTACCTGTTCTGCACCCGCGTTTATTTTTGTCTCTTGAAAAGATCACCATCCATGGCCCTATAAATGTCTTAGGAAATGGAATGATGAAGTGCAATGTCATTATTGTTATGTATTTCTCATCGTTTTACTTCTGAGAAAACTAATTTCATGGTATTCTGAAGACTAGAGATGATTCAACAAGTGACAGAAGCTGCAGACTTAACTGAGGCCTCTCTGTCTCTCTTTTTTTTTTTTTTTTTTTTTTGAGACCGAGTCTCACTCTGTCACCTGGGCTGGAGTGCAGTGGTGTGATCTTAGCTCAGTGCAGCCTTGAACTCCCAGGCTCAAGCAATCCTCCTACATCAGCCTCCTGAGTAGCTGGGACTAAGGTGTGTGCCACTACACCTGGCTATTTTTTGTGTTTTTTGTAGAGATGGGGTTTTGCCATGTTGCCTAGGCTGGTCTCGAACTCCTGGACTCAAGCAATCCACCCATCTTGGCCTCCTGAAGTGCTGGGATTACAGATGTGAGCCACCGTGCCTGGTTGTAATGCCCTTTCAATTGGACTTTTGGGCATTCTTAAAAATTCCTCAGTGAGGTGGCTTCTTTCCTCCCCTGTCCCCTGCCTGGGACAGGACTATCCAGGAATAAGCCTTTCTGGCAAAGAGGGACACCTTGAATGAGCTTTTGATCATCAATGCTTTCAAGAAGAAAGTTTTTTAAAAATGTTTTATCTGAGGAATGTGAGCCCTCTCAGATGATCAGGCCCAGAGAGAGGTTAAATCGAGACAGCAACCACTTTCTGCTCCTTCCTTTTGAGCTGCACTGAGCTATGTATTCATCTGTTGAAACTGCTTGCTATTGCCTCAAGTAGCTGTAAATTAACCTAATAATGCCACACCAATCCCTGTACCCCCATACCCTATAACTTAACAACATATAGCCAATCACCAATCAATGTTATTTCTGTAAACCAATGAGAACTCCTGACAGGCACCTTTCTGTCAGCCCACTGTCTGTCCCTGCTTTTGACCTTTAAATACCTGCTTGTGACAAAGATCAAAGGGAGCTCAGATCCAAGGTTCCTTGAGTGTGAGTCTTCCAGGCAGCTCTCTTCATGTTGGCTCAGGTAAACTCTAAATTATATTTTGTGCTTCAGCCTCTTTCTTTTAGGTCAACATGCTCAACAATAGCAGAAGAAATAAATAAGTTAGTGTATATTCCTACAAAGGAATACACATAGAAACAAATAACCATATGAATAACATGAAAAATTCATAGACATAAGACTGAGTGAAAGAAGTCAAACCTATGCCTCTGCTTCTGAAACCGCCTTTGCAAAAGTTACAACTGGGACAATTATCACAGTGAAAGAGATCTGACCTAACTGATTCCATCTTGTTTCTAACGTCCAAGCTGTCCTTGTTGATTGCTGGGCACAGGCCGAAATAACTTTGGGAGGAAATTAGTTTATGGTTTAGCTGTGAAACAAAGATGATAATATCATTTTCCCAAAGCAAACCCCCTTCCTGCCTGGGGACTAGACTGCCTTTGCAGGACTAACAAAGTAGCCCTGAGATTAGAAATTATGGTTTAGGAGTCATGTAGCCTCTGGCTGCAAGATTCTAAACCTCCCCAAATTGTTCCTGGAGATCACATCGTTATTGGAAAACCTAAGATCAGTGCTTGAGATATTTTGCCGACCCTGCACTCAGTGGATCAGCTGGCACCAGCTAGACTGATAACCTGGCTCATCTGGTCTTGTGGCCCCCACGCAGGAACTGACCCAGCAGAAGACCACAGCTTCAGCTCCCTGTGACTTCATCTCCGACCTGACCAATCACAACTCTCAACTCACTGGCCCCCAACCACCAAATAAAAAGTGCAGGTCTTTATTGCAATTCCCCTGTGTCGAAAAATTGGCTCTGTCTAGGCAGCAGGCAAGGTGAACATGTTGGGCAGTAACACTCCCCACAAAACCCACTACACACTGTATGACTCAGCTTATATGAAAGTGAAGGGCAGGAAAAACTTGCCTGATAGATTTGCAGAGAGGGGGGTGGAAACCATTAATAAGTCTGTGGAGTATTGTCAGAGTTTGGTGTTGTAGTCTACATATTAAAAGTAATCAGTTAAACACCTGAAATAAAATTTCCCCCAAATATTTTTGCCAAATTTGGATGACTTTGTTTCTGTCTTTGCAGCATATAAACTGTTAACATGAGGTAAGCGCCAAGGTCTAGAGAAGGCAGTGGAAGAGATGGCAAACTCCGGCACCATGTCTGCGTGTCCAGTGTGCTCTGCTGGAGCAGCACATTTTTGTACATTGCTGTATTTGAAAAAACCCTGCAAGAATCATGAAACTGGACGACCATCTTTATAACACTCCCAGTGATAAAACAAGTAAGAATGGCTGGTTTGTAGTCATCTGAGCAGCCTCTCTAGTTTCGTAGATATGGTTTCTCTCTGATATCGAACGACTTCCAATGTCAAGCGGAATGCTACATCACAAGGATAACCGTATGTGAAAAGAACCAGTTTTCTTTGTAATCCTGAACTTTCTAGTTTGCGCATTAAAAGACATTATTTGAAGAAGAGCGCACAGGCTCCAGCTGGCCGCCAAAGGGGTCCTTGGCATCACAGACTAAGAACCTACTTCTCTGGGAGAGACCAGGGGCGTGGATGGGAGGGAAAAGAGGGAGAGGCAGGCGTCACTTCCTCCGCCGGCTCCCGCAGCGGGTTCATCGGCTGAGGTGGCAGAGGGTGGGGCAGAAGAGCAGAGCCGGACCGGGAAAGGTGCTGTCGGTGACATCACGGATAGGGCGATTCCTGTGTAGATGAGGCATCTCAGGGGCTGCTGCTTCGCCACGGAGGATTTCTCCTGCTGTGGGAGCAAGTCCAGGACCGCCGGTTGGACGTGATAGTCCCAGCTGTGTGTCAGGGCTAGGAGGGCTGGGGGTGGGGGTGGGGGGCGGTGGGGGGTTGCGCGTGGGAAGTGACCGTGCGTGTAAGGGGTGAGGCGTATGGAGCTGTGGCAGGGCGGAGGCGTATGATCTCATACTTACCTGGCAGGGGAGATACGATGATCACGAAGGTGGTTTTCCCAGGGAGAGGCTTATCCATTGCACTCCGGATGTGCTGACCCCTGCCGTTTCCCCAAATGTGGGAAACTCGACTGCATAATTTGTGGTAGTGGGGGACTGCGTTCGCGCTGTCCTCTGAATTTTGTGCTGGAAAACGCAGATTGTATGTGAAGGGATACTTTTAGTAGTGCATAATATGGGTGGTGTCATGTTATTTTTACAGTTGGATGGCTGGGGAACAGAAGTGGCATGTCGTTGTCCTCGCTGGAGAAGGAACAAGCGTCAGCCGTTGTGAGCCTGTTTATCACAAGTTAACTAGCGCGAAGGCTGCATAGCTTTTCCCTTTGAACATAAGGCTGCTTATTGCAAAAATTGATCCATGGTCTCCAGTCTCTTGGGGTCTCACGCTCTGTGAAAATCTTCGTGTTTTCCCCTAGGCCCCTGTCACCTTTTACACAGCCTCTGTTTCAGGATTTCTGTGCTAGCGAGGAATCAGTTCTCACCTCATAGAGCCAGGTGGAAACTACGCAGACAGGCACTCTTCTTTGGGATGAAAGCAGGGCCTTTGGGGCTCTTAGTGTCCCCGTTCGGTTGTAGACATAACACGCTTGCTTTGTGTAGGAGAACGGCTCTGCCAGCGCCCAGGTGTCCTAACGCAATTCATCGAGGCCCGCAGGTCAGAACCGCAGTCTCACTTGTCTTGGCGGAAATGCGCTGCGATCCTCCCTGCACTACATGAACACGAGAATTCCACTACAGAAGAAAACCCCAGTCCTAGTGATGGCGGTTCTGGGCATTTTGCCAGCCTCTCCCAGGGTGTGTTTTCTGACCCCACCCACTTCTGATCTGTAATGTCCTGGTCAATAGAAACTACCTGGCCCAAACGGAAAAGGCAAGGAGGAACACAGCGGGAAAGCCTATGGCGTTCCCTGGTGGCTACCCCGGGGACTGCACTCATAGATCCGCGTGTTCCGAGAAGCCTCTGCCATCCCGACTAGGGTGCGGTGCAGAAACCCGCGGCTCCAAAGAAAACCGGCTAGAACGCACAGGAAGCCCAGCCAGTGTTCAGGACACTGCGAGTGGAAGCCATACGTCCTACGGACTGATCTAGTTTGATGAAGACGAGCCATTTACTTCTAACCCCAGCAGCGGACATTGCCTTGCTCAAATATAAAATATATGAACCAAGACGAAAGCAACTTTCATTGCGTTACTAATGAGCAAACGGGTTTTTAGAATGGTTAAGAAATGTCCCTTGTTTTGGGACCGTCATCACTAACGTATGCTTGGGATTCCTGATCGAGGAGTTTCTGAGCAAAGCAGCCCACCAATCCAGTGGCTGAGAACGGCTTGGATATTGGCTTCCAGGCGCATCAGAAATACCGAGGTTCTGACAAAGACGTGAGCTTCTGTCTGCCTTTGGGAAGGCCTTCTTCCAGTACTGGCGCTGCCGCTTGCCTTCTGTTTGACCTGGGGCCAGGTCCTTCAATTTGCTAGGCTTCAAGTTGGAAAGTGTTACAGGAAAATAATAAGACGAAGTACTTCTTAGAGTTATTGCACAGATTACAGAAGATAGTCTAATAGTACAGCTAGCATCCTGTATGGCTTACATTAAGGATTTGCTGATAGGAAACAACATCCCAGATAAAGTTTTTTCCCCCTTAATTATGAAATATAACAAAGGAAATTGTGTAGGCTTCTGCTTCAGGCCTCTGTAAAATTTGAATGAATTTTGCACTTATGAAGATTACGTCCTTTTACAAAATAAGTTAATACTAAAGAATGACAAACGGAATTTACAAAACAAATATTAACAAAAAGAACTTGTTCTTAGCAGCTTTGTTTACAATAGTCCCCAAACTGGAAACAGTTCATATGTATCAAGAGGTTAATGGACCTTTTGTGATATATTCATCCAATGGAATACCACCCTCAGTAAGATGGGACAAATTATGGAAACATGAGATAACATGGGTGAATCTCAAAAGAGTGCATTCTGTGTGGTGCCATCAAGGTGAATTTCTGGAACAGGTGAAACTAACCTGTATAGTGGCAGAAAATACATCATTAATTGCTGGGGTCAGGGAGTCGAGGGGACTGACTGCAAAGGGCACAAGAGGACCTTCTGGAGTAGTAGACATGTCATCAAACTTGAAATGGATGTATTGTACCATATTCAACCAATGCCTTAATCAATTTGATTGTAAAAAGTAGTAAGAAAACCACTGCAGGCCAGACGTGGTGGCTCACGCCTGTAATCCTTGCACTTTGGGAGGCTGAGGCAGGCGGATCACCTGAGGTCAGGAGTTTGAAACCAGCCTGGCCAACATGGAGAAACCCCATCTCTACTAAAAATACAAAAAAAATTAGCTGGGTGTGATGTAGACGCCTGTAATCCCAGCTACTCAGGAGGCTGAGGCAGGAGAATCTCTTGAACCTGGGAGTGGAGGTTGTAGCATGTGGAGATCGCGCCACTACACTCCAGCCTGGGTGACAGAGCAAGTGATGCTGCTCTAAAAAAAAAAAAAAAAGAAAAAGAAAAAGAAAACAAAAGAAAAAGAAAAAGGCCGGGCACAGTGCTTCATGCCTGTAATCCTAGCACTTTGGAAGGCTGAGGCAGGCAGATCACAAGGTCAAGAGATCGAGTCCATCCTGGCCAACATAGTGAAACCCCATCTCTACTAAAAATACAAAAATTAGCTGGGTATGGTGGCACACGCCTGTAATCCCAGCTACTTGGGAGGCTGAGGCAGGAGAATTGCTTGAACCTGGGAGGCGGAGGTTGCAGTGAGCTGAGATCGAGCCACTGCACTCCAGCCTGGGCAACAGAGAAAAACAAAACAAAACAAAACAAGAACTCCATCTCAAAAACAAACAAACAAACACTGCAAATCATAATGCATTCTACTTAATTTAACTTATGTTTAGCTTTAGAGGATTCCTTTAGAAAAGCGTCTCTCTAAATGTGATTGAGAGTTCAGGAATTCCTTCGTTTCTGTTTCTGTCTCTTTGTCTTCAGTTAAATTCATGCACCATTAAATGGAATATTTGTTTTTTGTTTTTTGTTTTTTGTTTTTTCGTTTTTGTTTTTTGTTTTTTCGTTTTTGCTTTTGTTTTTTTTTTTTTTTTTTTTTTTGAGACGGAGTCTCGCTCTGTTGCCCAGGCTGGAGTGCAGCGGCGCCATCTCGGCTTACTGCAAGCTCCGCCTCCCGGGTTCACGCCATTCTCTCGCCTCAGCCTTCTGAGTAGCTGGAACAACAGGCGCACGCCACCGCGCCCGGCTAATTTTTTGTATTTTTAGTAGAGATGAGGTTTCACTGTGTTACCCAGGATGGTCTCGATCTCCTGACCTCGTGATCCACCCGCCTTGGCTTCCCGAAGTGCTGGGATTACATGCGTGAGCCACCGCGCCGGACCCAAATGGAATATTTGTAAAATAAAAATAGAGTCTAAGCTCAATATTAGAAAAGCATATATATATATATACATATATATATGTATATATATATATGTATATGTATATATATAATATTTAGCTCCTATATATATGTATATATATAATAGATAGCTCCTATATATGTATCTATATAATAGCTCCTATATATATGTATATATATAATATATAGCTCATATATATATATATATATTTATTGTTCTGTTTTTTCTTTTGCAGGGGCGTTGGGGGGACAGTCTAGCTAAAATATACATTCTTCTCTCTGTAGATATACCAGAAGAACATGATTCAATCAGTGTTGCCCTAATGTTAACAAAAGTTATTTTGAACTTATGGTGATCAGAAATTTTACATATCTGTACTTTTTCTGTATTAGTGTTATGGTTTATGCTAAGCATGTATAATTTAAAAAAAATGAGAGTAACTTTAAAATGATTTGGAAGAAAAATATGTACATATGTGAACAGTACTTAATTCCAGGTGGTGGGAATATGGATGACTGGTTATCTTCTTCTTTCTGTATCTTTCATATTTTTAAATGGAAAAACTCAATGACCTGGAAGTGAAAGAACAGATTTGGAAGGGGTGTGGGGCAAGTGAGAGGAAAATGCAAGAGAAGGACAAACCTAGTTCTGGCAGGATTGTGTTTAAGTTGGAGGTTTCTAGGGAGCAGTTGTTGGGATAAGAAGGATATGGGGAGGCAGGAGAATCATGAAAATATTTAGGACAGTGTGTTGCCTGTCATATTATTCCTCCTCCTTTCCTGTTTCTTCAAAAGAAATATACAGACTTACACTTCTTTTCAAGCATATGTACTATTTGTGTTTCTCTTTTATTAATGTAACTGGTGAGTTTATCTTGCTGGTTGCCCAGAAAAGCCAATGGAGCTGAGAAAAGCAGGCTTCCTGCAATAGAGAAAGAATCTAATAAATGCAGAGACAGCTAAGTGACCAGGACAGAGGTTTATTATTACTCAAATCTGTCTCCCCCCAAATTCAGAGGACACTTTTTTTTTTTTTTTTTTTTAGGATAGTTTGGCAGGCAAGGGGCTAGGGAATGGGGAAAGCTGATTGGTTGGGTTGGGGATAAAAATCACAGGGAGTCAGAGCTTGTCTTCCTGCACTGAGTCAGTCCCTGAGTGGGGGCCACAGGACCAGATGAGCCAGTTTACCGGTCTGGGTGTGCCAGCTAGTCCATCATAAGGCAGGGTCTGAAAAATACCTTGAACACCAATCTTAGGTTTGACACTAATGATGTTATCTATAGGCACAATTGGGGAGCTTAGGAATCTTGTGGCTTCTGGCTTCATAGCTCCTGAGCCATAATTTCCAATCTCGTGCCTAATTTGTTAACTTTGCTAAGGAGGTCTGATCCCCAAGAAAGGAAGAGGTTTGTCTCGGGAAAGGGCTATCATCTTTGTTTCACACTTAGACTTGGAACTAAACTCCTCTCATATTTAGCCTGGCTTATGTCCAGGAATGGACAAGGGAAGCTTGGAGGTTGGAAGCAAGATGCAGTGCTCAGGGTCACTTAGCCAGGGAAGGAGGATGTGAAAGCAAGAATTTGAAGTGAAGGCAGCCTAGCTCCAGAAGACATTCTCAGAACCACTGTGTTTATATTGCTCCTAATGAAAGTGCCCTGGAAAAAATTATGACAGTGAGAAAAACTTGACATAGAAAAAGTATGACAGTGAAAGAAATCTGACCAGAGTGACCCTGGGCAGGTAACTTAACATCTCTGCATCTCAGTTGTCTCATATGGAAGATAAAGATGATGGTGTGACCTTGGCCTGTGGTAAAGACTAAATAAGTAATTATGCACACTCATTGTCTGTGCCTGACATGTGGCACTTGGCATGTCAGGCACAGTTGATGAGTGTTCATATGTTACTTATTTGCATGTTAGCTCTTGTATTATGCCTGCAACACTGCACAAAGAGCAGATGTGACCAGGTGCAAGGGCTCATGCCTATAATCCCAGCACTTTGGGAGGTCGAGTGGGCAGAGCACCTGAGGACAGCAGTTCGAGACTAGCCTGGCCCTCATGGAGAAACTCCATCTCTACTAAAAATACAAAAATTAGCCTGGCATGGCAGTGCACCTGTAATCCCAATTGCTTGGGAGGCTGAGGCAGAAGAATCACTTGAACCCAGGAGGCAGAGGTTGCAGTGAGCTGCGATTGTGCCACTGCAGTCTAGCCCGGGTGATAGAGTGAGACTCCATCTCCAAAAAAATAAATAAACCAAAAGAGCAGATATGATGACAATTTGTTGTATTGAAGTTACAGCAGTGATACTTTCCAGTGGCTGTGCACCCTCCCAGGGAAACTGCAGCAATCTTCTCACCAGCAGTAATCTCCTGGGCTGGGAGGTCCCAGGAAGGCCCCTCAATCTCCAGCAGGTTTGACCCTCAAGGAGATTCAGGGAATGAGCTAGAGAAGTATTTCTATCTGGGAGGAACTGGGGGTTTGTTAGCTCATCTGTTCAGTTCATCCAAAGGGGAATAATGATTCAATTTCTTGCTTCAAACCTGCCTCAATAAAATTTTTACAGTTTTACAGTGGAAGACATTTTGTACATGTAAGGGAGGAAATATGACTCTTCCTCACCCAGCCTAGGTTCACTGCTGAGAACCTTATAGCAAAAGACAGACTAACAAGAGAAGAGCATATCTAGTTATTTAATGTAAGTTTTACATGATAGAAGAAGAGCCTTCCTAAAGAAATGAAGACCTGAAGAAACAGCTAAACTTCAAGTTGTTTTTTTTTAACGGTATGTTTGATGACTAGTGGATAGTCATAGAGAAGTGAGATATGATGAAAGGAGTATGATCTAATGGTAATAAACTGGGGGAAATGTAGCCAGGCCTGTGTGCTCAGACTCTGTGTCGCTGTGTCTTCAGACACAGCAATGCATCTTTCCTCTGGGTACAGAGAGAGCACCTCTCACATGAGAGCCTTATGATCTGCTTTGGGGAAGAAGGGCAGGGGGAGGGTGACAGTGACCTTCCTGCTTTTGTTGTTTTCTCAAATTCCTTTAGCATAAAATATTCAATACCCCAAGGTGTTATATTTTGGAGTAGTGTGTCCTGAACCTCACCATATACATGCTACAAAACTCAGAATCTTTGAAGAGTGATACTTATGACTATAAAATATTTAAATTCAAAATACAAATGATGGCTGGGCATGGAGGCCAGCACGTAATCCCAGCAATTTGGGAGGCCCAGGCAGGCAGATCACTTGAGTCCAGGAGTTCGAGACCAGCCTGGCCAACATGGCAAAACCCCTGTCTCTACAAAATTAGCTAGGCACCGTGTTGTACACCTGTGGTCCCAGCTACTTGAGGAGGACGGGCTGAGGATCAATTTAAACAATATCATATGTAAAAACAATTTTTTTTCCTTTAAGTTTAGTCAAGTGAAGCAGTGGGAGTGGAGAAGGAACAAAGAAATCTGTAGCTAGTTGTGATAATTGGTTGTAAACAGGAAGGATTTTTGATGCACTGTACAGTTACCAGTTACATATGCTCTAAAGCTGGTGGTGAACAGCAACAACAGCAGTGTTCTGGTCCCCCCTACACTTTTTTCTAGGGATAACAATTTTGTTTTCTTCCTTCCTTCCTTCTTCCTTCCTTCCTTTTTTCCTTCTTTCTTTTCTTTTCTTTTTTTTTTTGCGACGGAGTCTTGTTCTGTCGCCAGGCTGGAGTGCAGTGGCGCCATCTCAGCTTCAGCTCACTGCAACCTCCGCCTCCCAGGTTCAAACGATTGCCTTGTCTCAGCCTCCCGAGTAGCTGGGATTACAGGCACGCGCCAAGACGCCCGGCTAATTTTTGTATTTTAGTAGAGACGGGGTTTCACCATGTTGGCCAAGATGATCATCTCCCGACCTCGTGATCCGACTGCCTCGGCCTCCCAAAATGCGGGATTACAGGTGTGAGGGATAACAATTTTCAATGCATGCAGTCAACCTCTACATATTGTTGCTCTTTGACTGCCCAGTTTTCCATCCTAGGCCCTGCAGTCCAGCCTGCAAGGGGAAATGGAATTTGTGTGTTTTCCTTCCTATCAGTCCACTCCAAGGAGCCAACAAGGCACCTCTCTCCCGTCTCCCACCCCACACCTCCGCACGCCCTCCAAACTGAGCCCCTCAAAGACTGCGGTGTTTTTCAGTCCTTCGTAACCGCTGAAAATTTTCATATTTGCAAAATATGAAAATCAGAGCGATGGTCCTGAGCGTCTGGCGGGACATCTTAGCTTGCTCTCAAGACCCACCATAAGCCGCATCCAAAGTGTTCCGCCAAGCAGAAGAAAAGATTTTTCATCTGTCGCGTCCTAAGGCATCTTCTCCTTGGGGCAAGGTACTGGCAGGAAGAGGGGGAGCCCCCACCGTCCCGCACTCATCCCTCCGAGCTGCTCAGGCTCCTCTTACCCGTGGTGCTGCGGGAGACCGGCCCGGCGACCGAAGGTCAGAACCCGCGCTCCCGGCCCGGGCGCTTGAAGAGGCCGCCGCGCGGATTTCTCTTTACGGTTGAAATTTTGGGACGAAAGAATGAGATTTCCTGGAGTCGGGTTCCAAAGCTTAGTGAAACAGCGACTTTTAGGTCCCGCAATAGAGACGTAGGAGCTAGAAATTAGGCATGGAAATCTGAATATGAAGAACAGAGTAAATTAACATTCGGAAGAGGATGGGCCATCCGAATAAAACAGTGTTACTTCTAAGTTAGGTCTCAAACCATCTACCCTAAACTGAGACATAATCACCAATGACTGAGCTAACCCCATCAAAATTTCTCACGTCACCGTTTACTTACCAAAAAGACAATGGATGCGATTACGAGATTTCCCGAGTGAAAGGAATCTCGGGGTCTAGCACTGAGGGGCCGCAGCCCTTTTAGTGTAGGAAACCTATCACCCCGAGGCCCAGGGTCGCCCTGAGAGGGGATGGGGACTTGTTCGGTTGCTGGGACGCTGGCTGCGGGGTCCGGGCCTCCGATTGCAGGGGGCCGGGAGGCTCGCCCAGGACTGGGACCAGGATTGGTGACTCCGATGGGATGTTTGGGCAATTTCCCTGTGGAGCAGGCCACTGCAAGAAGCCGGTTTCTGGGACCCAGACCACTGAGGAGGAAAAGGGAGAGGAGGAGGGACATCGTAGGGGACGCATTGCGAGGCCGGAGCAGGAGGGACACGGGAGAGGAGGAGGGACATTGCAGGGGACGCATTGCGAGGCCGGAGCAGGAGGGACTAGGGGATTTGCAGCAGCAGAGCTTCCTTCCCCGGGACCCAAACCTTCCTTTCTCTTCTTTAACCCAGGACTTGGTACGAAGGGCAAATGTAAACCACATCCCTTTCACTCTGTCTTTGAGGGTGGAGTTTGCTTCCCAAAGTGGCTTCTGGCTCCAGAGTAAAAGGCCAGCAGACACCAAGGTACCACCGAGATTTGAACTCGGATCGCTTGATTCAGAGTCCAGGGTGCTCACCATTAACCCATGGAACCAGCTGTTGAGAATACTCTCAGTTATGAGCATTTGACAAGTGAATTCTCAGCCTCCATAGTCACCAGAATTTCCTTTTCAGGTATTTTTTTCTCTTTGTCACACAGGACTTGAGTACCTTTAATCTACAATAGGAGGAGTCGCCCCAGACTTACCTCTCTCTGCCCTTCTCTTTAGGTTTCTATCTCAGAGAATGAGATTAAGCACCTTTCAGGATTAGGAACAGAGAAGAGCTATATTTAGGCCTCCACTAAAGCCAACAGTTCTGCCTGGGTTGCCAGAGTTTCCTGCTCTGAAATAAACATTCTGCCGAGACCCTCTACCCGCTGGGGTTTCTTTCTTTTTCTTTGCAAATTTCCTTTTCCCTTTATCCATGGGGCACTGATAACCATTTCTGGAACAAGATTTGGGATATGCTGGAATTTCTGCTCTTCTTATTCTGCCTTCTTCTCCTCCTCTTTCTCCTCCTCCTCTCCTTCTGTTTCCAGTCCCCTCTCTCTCCTGCTCCCTGTCTTCCTCACACTACCCCCACACCCATTTTCCCCAGCTCCCTCCAGCTTTCTATACTTCCTGCCTCCTCCTCCTTCTCTGCTCCTTTTTGGCTACCGTTCCTCTTCCTTCTCTAGGCTCCCACCCTACCCACCACCAGCCTCCCACACGCAGCCTACACTAACAGAAGAATGGCTACCACGAGCTGAGAGGAAGTTGAGGAATATGTTTCTAGTCAGGACACTTTGGGGGATCTTTGCTGGGGATTGTGAGTGCGGTGACACCAACCGAGATGATGAATATCAGCCAGTCCTTGAGGCCTGGGGAGGACCAGCAGATCCAAGGCCACCCCATACCTGGGGTGACCCAGAAGAGTCATGTTCACATTCCAAAAGGCTAAATCTGATTGCGAAAGTCCAAGGAAATTGAAAGCAGTAGGAGCCATCGTCTTTGCAAGTCCAGTTCCAAGTGGAAGGATCATGGTGCTTCCTTCCAGTCACCACAAGGTCAGCACACAGGCATTTGCATTGCCTAGGACTCAACTGGTACCCTGGATCCCTGGCTAGGGCCTGTCCAGAGAAAAGCTAGGCGTGGGGCCCATTTCCACCTAGGCAGAGGTTCCTGGGGAAGTTAGGTGCTCACCAAGAGATTGCCCCTTACCATCCTCCTGAGGGTGTGTGGAGCCTCAGCGCTGCTACCTCTTGGACTCCACCCTCCGGATGCCACCACCTCCCACTGTCCAAGCCTTCCAGTGAAGTCTCCAAGGCTCTGATTTTTGAATCATCCTGATTTGGTGCGTCAAGAGCTGCCTCCCACAAAGTGAGCAGATGTGGAGAGCTGCCAGATCTAAAAGGTAAAATCGCAAGGCATTGCCAGCTAGATAGGGACAGAGTTCCCTCTCTATTTGATGATTTGGATTCAAAGGGTAGATGTCATGGCCCCTAAACATCACAGCATGACCAGGGCATGCCACCCACGACCTGCAGTGCCCTTGCACCTGGTTAGGTGTAAATTATTTTACTGAAGCAGACAAGTGTTCTCTTCTGGACTTTTTCCTTCCTTAGTGGCTAGATCTCTCTCTCCCTCTCTCTCTCTCTCCCCCTGAGTCCCCCCATTCTCTACCCACCTTTATTTTCTCTATTTCCACCCTGTTGCCCCTCTTCCACCTGCTTTCTCCTGTTCAGCTTTCATGGTTCACCCCTTCCTTGCCCACTGGCATCCCCCAAATTAAAGCTGCTGCACTGTCCTGGGTGGGGAGGTGGGTATGGCTGTAGACAGTGCCCTCCAGACATGTCCAGGATGGGGAAACATAGTGCAGCTGCCAGCATAATGCTTTAAAAGAATGGCCACTTTCAAAAGCCTTTCACATCTCCTAATCTGGGATCTTTTGGGACTAAAACGTTATGGACCATAGTGGAATTCTTTTTCCTCCAGGACCTTGTGGTGGATGCCTTCTTTCACTGAGCTTTCATGTGTGGCTATTAAGTGCCAGTCCCTGCTCTTGGACAGGGACATCATTGTGAGCAAGTCTCAAGTCACTACTCATGGAGTGGGTCTGGAGCTCACCTCTGCAGGCATCAAGAGGTGTCAGAGAGAAAGGGGCATGGCCAGTTTGTGTCTTTCCCATGTGGCCACTCACTGAGTCCTGGGGAGTGGAAGTCAGTGCAAGGAAAGAAGCCCAGTGAGAAAGCAAATGGACAACATCAGACCTGGGGCTGAGGCCCCCACCTGCAGCGGGGCAGCCTCTGAAGCAGGCAAGGGGCAGCAGGGAAGGTCGTGGCCTGGTGTAATCTGGTGTTGGGTGCCCCAGCTCATTCATGTGGATGCCCAAACTTACCCAAAGGCAAGATTCAATATCTCTGTTCTTCAGAAGAAAATGTGTCTTCAGAGGAGAACGGAGAGGTTGGGGAACACTTTCTTACCCCCATGCTAACTGTACTTGATGTTACAGTATGGTATCTCTGTGCTATAATTAGTTAGCATGTGGTCATTAATGGAAACGATTGATGGTTTAAGCCCATTCCCAGATATTCTAGTCTTCATCTAAGTTCCCTCCCTCCCTCTTTCCCTCCTTTTCCTTCCTTCCTTCTCTTTCTTTTTAAATAGACCACTTTGCACTGAAATCTAAGTTCTTTTTCTGACATTTAATTCTCTCACAAAATTTGCCAAAATCTCTGAAGCTGCCTTTATCTTTCAGTCAGGGAGCTCATTCTGTAGCCTGCAGTTCCTCCCTGTCTCCTTCTCCTTTGATCTGTGGTTCCAAGTATTTAGCAAGTTCTGCCCTCCAAGGTGATTTCACCCTGTCCTTACTAGAACCTACACTGTCTGGAGTGCTGATGCCACTACGACCTAACTGATCTGCCATCTGGATTCCAGGGGCATCCCCAGGCACAGAGGGTGAAGGCACAGACATTGAAATCTTCAACTGCTCTGACTCCAGTTTGGTGCATCTCAATGCCAAGTATTAACCACATGATATCAGGATGCCACCAAAAATTGAATTTGGAGCTTTC
Organism: Homo sapiens; assembly: GCF_000001405.40. Taxonomy (NCBI): domain Eukaryota; kingdom Metazoa; phylum Chordata; class Mammalia; order Primates; family Hominidae; genus Homo; species Homo sapiens. The sequence continues at coordinate 148,350,560 of NC_000001.11, read as the reverse complement.
ACATTCTAACTTAGAAAAATTAATAGATATTACTTTATAGAACAGTTCTAGGCTTACAGATAAATTGAGCAGCTACTATAGAGAGTTTCCATGTGCCTCCCTGTCCTTCAATACACAATTTCCCCCATTAGTATCTTGCAGTATTGTGGTACATTTGTTACACTGGATGAACCAATATTGATAATTATCATCAACTGAAGTCTATAGTTCACATTAAGTGTTTTGTCTTTTATCTTATTTTTTTAAAACAATTCTTTGGGTTTTGAAAATTACAGTGTCATGACTCCCAAATACAGTATCATGTAATAGTTTCACTGCTGAAAACTCCCTGTGCCTCACTAGTTCATCCCTCCTTTCCCTCCTTCACCCTTGGCAACCACTGATCATTTTACTATCTCTATCTTTTTGACTTTCTCAGAATGTCCTACAGTTGGAATGATACAATATGTAGGTTTTCAGACTGGCTTCTTTCAGGTATTATGAATTGAATGTTTCTTTATGTCTTTTCATAGCTTGATAGCTCATTTCTTTTCATCACTGACTAATATTCCATTGTATGGATACACCACAATTTGTTTATCCATTCACTTGTTGAGAAGGGCGTCTTGGTTGCTTCCAGTTTTTGACAATAATAAATAAAACTGCTGTAAATACCTGTGTGCAGGTTTTTGGGTGAACATAAGTTTTCCTCTCATTTGGCTAAATAAGTCAAACTGCCATTGCAAGATTATAGGGTAAGATTATGTTTAGCTTTGTAAAAGAAAAAAAAAACTCCCAAACAATTTTCCAAAGTGATTGTACCATTTTGCATTTCCACCAACAATGAATGAGAGTTCCTGTAGCTCTGTTTGTTTGACAGCTTTTGGGATTGTCACTTTTTACAGATTTTAGCCACTCTAATAGGTGTGTTCTGTTATCTCATTGTTTTCATGTGCAATTTTCTAATGACAAATGACTTTGAGTGTCTCTTTCATATACTTATTTGTTATCTGTATATCTTTTCAGTGAGGTGTTCAGATCTTTTGCCTACTTTTAAATTGGGTTGTTCACTTTCTTATTATTGAGTTTGAAGAGTTCTTCATTTATTTTGGGCACCAGCCCTTCATCAGATCTGTATTTTGCAAATATTTTCTCTCAGTCTTGACTTGTTTTTTCATTCTCTTAACAGTGTCTTTCACAGAGCAGAAGGTTTTAATTGTAATGAAGTTCAACTTTTCAATTTTGTTTCTTCCATGGATTGCGCTTTTAATGCTGTTTCTAAGAAATCATCACCAAACCCAAGGTCACCTAGCTTTTCTCCTGTGTTATCTCCTAGGAGTCCTGTGGTTTTGAACCTTACAGGTAGTTATAAGATCCACTTGTGAAAGTTATAAGATCTGTATGTACATTTATTTATTTTTTCATGTGGTTGTCCAGGTGTTTTCGCACCATTTGTTGAAAAGGCCATCCTTGCTCTGTTAAATTGTCTTTGCACCTTTATCAAAGATCAGTTTATTATATTTATGTAGGTCTATTTCTGGGCTCTGTTTTCTTTTCCATTGATCTATGAGTCTGTTTTACATTTTTTCACCAACTCCATACTGTTTTGGTTACTGTAGCTGAAGTTGGCAGTGCCAATCCTCGGGGATTTTTTCTGATCTTCTCCATGAGAACTTTGTTGGGTTTCTAGTGGTCAGATTTAGGAAAGTGTGAGATTCCCCCCATGACTGGTTCTCAGAGCGTTTTTAATGCTCAAGCCAAGCCACCCTCAGCTTCTAGTAATCTGTCAATACTATTTAAGTTCTCCTCCCAGGTGCTGGCTCCAGCAGTTTCTGTTCCTGGTAAGCTGTGACTCCGTGCATTTGCCTGTCTTTCTAGTTTTCAGGGTGGCAGCGACCTCAATTCTCTGGCCGTATAAGAAGAGTTGTTGGTTTTCAGTTTGTTCAGCTTTATTCTTGTTGTGAGGACAAATGGTGACTTCCCACCTCTTTATATGTCAGAATTGAAACCGGAAATTTCATATAAAAAGTTACTTGTGGCCAGGCGCGGTGGCTCATGCCTGTAATCCCAGCACTTTGGGAGGCTGAGGTGGGTGGATCACAGGGTCAGGAGTTCGACACCAGCCTGACCAACATGGTGAAACCCCGTCTCTACTAAAAATACAAAAATTATCCAGGCATGGTAGCATGTCCCTGTAATCCCAGCTACTCAGGAGGCTGAGGCAGGAGAATCACTTGAACCCAGGAGGCGGAGGTTGCAGTGAGCCAAGATCACACCATTGCACTCCAGCCTGGGCAACAGAGTGACACTCTATCCCCCCCAAAAACAAACAAACAAACAAACAAAAAAGCTTACTTGTAATAAAGCTCACCAATTGCGCAGCCATCAGCAGTGTCACATTTTAGAATATTTTTGTCTTTTCCCAAATTCCCTCAAGCCTCTGCACAGTCATTTCCTAATCTCTGGTGCCCATGACTGGGCCACAACAAAATAAAAATTTGGAAAACCAACATCATTAAATTTCAACCTTTCTTAGATTAGGATTTTTAATAGTGAATCACTGTCTTACTTTTGTGACATTTAGAGGAAATATTGCATTTTAGGGACTTTTTTGAGGAACATAATAGTCCTGTTCATTGCTCTTCATTAGTTGTTTCATTTTTGCTGATAACTGATAGTTGTTACCAAACCTCATCTGGCAAGCCTAAATGAATGAGCTAAAAAAGAAAAAGAAATCTGCTATAAGAAATAGAGATAGATGATGAATTTGCACATAAGATTATGTGGAGTTAGTATTGTACCATCTTTATTCTTTCAGAAATTTGGTTGGTAACATTAGAGATACTCCTCACATGCTTGGAATGCCTCTCATTATCTTCTTCAGGTTGCAAGGGCTCCAGAATAGTGACATAAAGGTGAACGTGAGCGCAAGATTTTTGCTGTAGTTCTTTGCTCTTTAATTTTTTTCTCTTAGAGGGATTAGCTTCCATGTATCTGAAATAATAAATCAAGAGTAGAGATAGGCATCTGTACCAGTTTTCTATTGCTGCCTATTAACACATGCAACAAACTAGTGGATTGAAACCACAGAAGTCTGGAACAGAGGCTGGGTTCTCTGATAAGGGTTTTAGGAAGCTGAATCCAGGTGTGTCTGGCTATGTAATTATGTGGAGCTCAGGCTACTTCTCCAAGTTCACTTCAGGTGTAGGAGGAATTCATTTTTGGGGGGTTGAAAGACTGGGTTTTCTTTTTGTGTGCTGGCTGTCAGGCAGGAGACGCTCTAACTCCAGAGGCCACCTGCATTCCTTCTCACCTGGCCTTTTCCATTTTCCAACCAATAACAGCTCATGGAGTCCTTCTCAAGCTCCCTTTCTTTCTGACATCACCCTCTCCTGACAGCTAGAGAAACCACTGGCATGTGTGCAGTGATGTGATTAAATCCAGTTTACACAGGTAACCTCACCATCTTAAAGTCATATAACTGGCATATAACAACATAATCACAGGAATGATGTTTCATCACCTTAACAGGCTTTAGAGACAAGGGTGTGGCATGTTTGGGGGCCATTTCAGAAATTCCATCTACCACAGTCGGACACTCACATTCCCCCATTTGCAAAATACATTCACCCTCTACTCTAAGGTTTCCAAATTTCATGTCATTAAAGCATTAGCTCAAAGTGAAAAATGTTATGTAGACCACACCAGATCAAAAGTTTAAAATCTTATCTTAGTCAACTATACCAAGTGTGAATGAGGCTTCTGAGGGTGTCCATTAAGTCCAGATCCTTGACATAATTCCCTTCCCTCTATCAACCTGTGAAACTGAACAAACGGCTTATCTGCCCTCTGTGTGCAATGGTGGGACAGACATAGAAAAATGATTCTAGCGATTCTTGTTCACAAAGGGGAAACATGGAAGTAACAAAGAAGTCACTGATCCAAAACTTTTTTGAAATTGGGCTGAGCAAAGTCCAGCAGGAATTTCTTGGTTAGGATCCAAAACCTGGAACTAACCCTCTGTGACATGGGGCTTGCCTCTGGGCTCTGCCTTTCTTTCTATCTTTATAGAAATCATTTTATTTTCCTTCTTCTCCTACTCCTTTGGTTCTTCCTCTTTCTACTTATGGCAGCATCCTCCCCTTAATCCTTGGCACATTATCCCCAGCAGAATTGGTCAAATGTTGCCCATGTCACGGTCCTGACCATCTCCATGAGGGGCTGTCCTTGTGACCCCCTGCTCCCCTGGGACCCTCTTCACTGACCTGACCTCTCTGTCATGATTGCTTCCAGCTGACCTGGCTGGTTTAGGAGAAAACCTAGAATTGTGGAGACCCAGAACCAATCTCTGCCCTGTCTTATCTCCAGGAGAGGAAGAAAATAACAGGTATCATCATGGAGAAATGACCCACATGAGGGCTGAGACTCTCCAGCAGTTTCAGGAGAGGAAACTCCCTGAAGAATGGAGGAGCTGAGATCCCAGGCTGGGAAAGCAGGCTTGTGTTAAACATTACTTAATCTTTATGTGCTCCCTGCCCCAATCTACCAGCCAGTGAATGACAACTGACTGAGCATAAATACTAGGACTGTAGAACGGTTATAAAGCGTTTGTCCAAGGAAAAGCCCTTTTACTTTATTTGTTTTCACAGTGGAAATTGCTGTTTTTGATCCAAAGTTTTCTGAAACACAGCAGTGAGTTCCTGGAGGGTGAGTTAGCTGCTTTAGACCTGGAGGCTGAGGCCAAGGCTTGTGTGGTCGATCTGCTGCCACCATGTGGTGAGGGAGCCTGGGAGAGTCTTAGTCTTTCTTGGCTTCACTTTCCTCCTCAGTGAGTTAGGGGCTTATTGTTCCTCTCTGAGGTCCCTTCCTACTTTGTTTTCTCTGAGTCTCTGAGGAACTGAGATGGTTTTTAATGCCACCCAGGACCTGCAGCTGAGACCTGACTCTGTGTGTCTCCTGCAGGAGCCTGAGCTGAGTCCCTACACTGGAAGCCCAGAACTGAGGGAACAGATGAAAGAAAGAAAGTCAGCAGGTTTAGGGGATGAGAACAACCCACAAAGGACAAGCCATTGGTAAATGAAAACCAAAGAAGGGGGAAATAAGGACAAATTGGGACAGAAGCCTCAGGGGAAATGGGCAATGCCTATCATCATCCAAGCCCTCAAGGAGTAGCGTGAGCTGAGCAGTGGGGACTGAGAGAGAAATTTACTCCACAGGAGTCTCCTGCCCCTGGCCAGGGAGAGCCACAGGGTGGATCAGAGCTGGTTTATAGTGAGGGGGCAGCAGCAACTCCAAGGGGGGAAGATGCGACCATGAGCCCCGCCCCAGACCCAGGAGCCTTGACCTTGGGGCTGCCATAGCAGTGGATGCTCTTCAGGTCAGTGTGGGTTAGAGGGAATAACCATGCTGGGAGAAGGGTTGGAGACATCCATTCTTACATAAAAAGCTCTGCCCTAGGTCAGGTGCCAGAGTAAGCGTCCCTTGCTAGTATACAAAGCAGTGATACTTATAATATTCTTCTGTACTTACAGTTGAAGGAGGTTTCCAAATGATATCTCATAAATATTTATTGGGTGTTTAATTTTCTTTACATTGTGTTAAACACTTGGGATTCAGATATTAATGTCTCCCCAAAGGAACTCAAGCCCATGAGAGAAAGAACAGAAACATAGCATTTTAAGAAAATATGGAAGTTCCCCCATATTGGGGTGTTGTGGCAACCCAGAGAGTGGGAGTTTAGGTGAAGACATTGCTCCTAACGACAGGGGGAACCATAAGAGGACTTCTTCAGAACAGACTCATTTTCCTCTAATGTCCCACAGAGACGGATCCTGGGGCATGAATGGTGTAAGGCAAGGGCCAGTCTAAGGAAAGGGATTTGCTGCATCCTGGGAGAAATCTCAGCATCCCTGACAGGATATTTGGGACAGGAATGCAGGTGAGAGGAGGTTTGCAATCGCTTTTATTCAATAATTGATGAACACTCTCCTGAGAACTCCCTCAGTGCTAGACCCTGAGCTGGGAACCATGAACACAGAGATTAGTAAGATATGATCTCAGCTTTCACAGAACTCTCAGTCTAGTGACCAGCGATTCCTGAGAAGTATGGTGATGGTGGGTTCATTGGAACCAGTGGTTCATGCTGCATGGAGATTACCTCAGTGGATGGCCTGGTCTCTCTTCTGTTTTTTTTCAAACAGCTGAATGACCTGTCCTGGGCCAGTGAACCTGGACTTCAACCAGATGTCAGAATCTCAAGGTACAACCAACATTTTCGCTCCATGTTGGGTCAAAACAGTTAACACAGCCAAGATATTCAAGGTTTCAGTAGATACTGACTAAGTCCTGGCCAGCTGTGAAAAGAAAGAGGTGAGTTTAACAAGAATTCTAAAATTGTCCTTGACATAGTAATCACAGATGATCTATCTTCTGTCTACTTTTATATATATATATATATTTGTGATGGAGTTTCGCTCCTTTTGCCCAGGCTGGAGTGCAATGGCATGATCTCAGCTCACTGCAACCTCTGCCTCCGGGTTCAAGTGAATCTTCTGCCTCAACCTCCTGAGTGGCTGGGATTACAAGTGTAGGCCACCATGCCCGGCTAATTTTCTATATTTTCAGTAGAGATGGACTTTCACCATGTTAGCCAGGCTGGTTTCAAACTCTTGACCTCAGGTGATCCACCCACCTCAGCCTCCCAAAGTGCTGGGATTACAGGTATGAGCCACCGTGCCTGGCCTCTGTTTGGTAATTGAAATGCTTTGCAGACTTCAAGATTCACCTGTGTCCAAAATAAATTCTATATCAGTCATAGTACTAGCATTTAGAAATTGTGTATTTTATCCTCTAATTATAGATTAAATACCTAAGGTGGAAAGGAGTAAAGCAGCTTCCATGAATGTAGTGAGAATGTAGGGGGGTTAGGGACTAAAGTCCTGCCTTAGGATTCCCCAGCAGTTGCCAGTCACAATTTTTGTACTCTAAGAAACAACAACAACAACAATAACAACAAAATGACAACCTGTTTTGTTCCTCTGCTTACCCTATCCAATTCTCTACACCATAACATCTCTGCTTATCAGGCAACTTGGATTCTCAATTTGTTGAGCTCAACAAGTGCATTTCCTGAGCCCCTGTGAGTAAAGCATTATGCTAGTTATGGCGGGTGATACAGAGGAAGCACAGAAGAGTCCTTAGTGACAAGAGCTTAAGATTTCTGCTCCCAGCTCAGCCTGAGTTGCCTGGAGGTGAGAAAATCAGTAGCCGACACACAGGTGCATTCTGGTGAAAGGGTCGATGATAATGAATAGTGGTTCTGACAGGGCTGGGCTCTTAACCTCCCAAAGATGCTGGTCAAACAGGATCTGGAGGATCTCTGCACATAGTGTCTGACTACTGACTGTCATAAATGAATGTCGCCAAGTCTTGGCCTGGATCCCCTCCCTTTGTTTCATTTCACAGATTACATGTTGACAGCAGGAAAATCAACAGAAAGACCATGAGGCTAGACTCCAAAAGACTTAGTAATGCTGCTGGGTGGGCCATGAATTTCTAAAAACTCGTGAAGGGCCTTCTCAGAAGTGAAGTTTTAGGAAATATAAAATGCATAGCTGGGATACATTATAGTGTACTGATAGAACAAATATTGGATATAGCAGCATCTAATAACTTCTGGAGGAAAAAATATTTTTCACATTACTCCAATTATGGCCTCATACGTCAAAAAAAAAAAAACAACAGCAACAACAACAACAACTAAGAGAACCACTAACATCCATTGGTTTTGCAGAAACAGGATACCCTTAGTGTACCTAAAATTGGAAAAATGGCTCTGCCTTTAGGGCCATGGAATGAAACAGACTGTGTGGTAGTTGACACAGGAAGAACAGAGTGGAGTTTATAACAATGGCCACAAGACAGTGAAGAAAATGCTTTGGGGTTCTTAAGCAGCAGACGAGGTGACTCAGAGGAATGTTAGACAATCGCAGAAAAGCAACTTTAGCAACATTTTCAACTCAGTGGGCACTGCATACTTAGTCCATGCTCTGCATCCATTCTTTCACAGTCTGTCCCTTCATCAACTTGGGCCTACAATGACTTTTCTGGGAGAGGAGAGGGATCAACACAACAGCATGCACACACCTGAAATAAAGAATGGATTTCTAATTTTCAGATTTTAGTCTCTGACCTAACCAAAGAAGTGACTACCATAGATGTTAACTATTAATAACATAAATGATGCTACTAAATATGCAGATCTTATATAACAAGGTAAAACAGCTTAAAAAATAGATGGTAGAACTGTAGTCCAGGGACGCTAATAGAAGTGACCCATAACATTACATCATCTCCACTTCCAATAACAATCAGGTAAAAGAAGGAAGGAGACTGGCAACCCAATGCACAGAACTATATATAACAGGCATACTATTTATTGGTTGGTTATAAACCAGTGGGAATAAATCTTTGTATATACTGACTCTTGGTTTATGTCACTGAGGCACAGCATGGAACAATAGAAACCGGACTGTAAGATAAATTCATTTGAGTAACTGGACTTTTGTAAACCATTAGACAGACATTTGAGAAGCCAAATTTAAAGCTGTTTGTGAGCCATGTTAGCCTATCAAGGTTGAAATTCAGGAGAGATACATAATGACAAATAAATGCTTTTGGTTTTTTGTGACACAGTGATCTGATGCATTGGGAATGTGATCTTGTGAATCACTCAGGTGAGCAAGCCTGACATGAGTGGGCATAAAGGTCAGTAACTGAAGAGGTACCAAAATGTGCTACATGTGTCAATTGTGACCTAAAGAACTGAAGGCATTCACCCTCCCTTGAAGTAATGAAGCTGACACAGCAGGGGGCTGCAAATTCCACTGCAGATCAGGGTCTTGAAGCTGACATACTGAAGAGTGGACTCTCACTTGAGATACAGAGTAGGAACTACTGTTTCCTATGGCTACTGAATATCCCACAAACTAATCTCCTCAGCATGCCATTATTAATTATTTTAAAGCTCTTTAAGGTCTCATTTTATAATAGATCACATCAGAAGGAAGACTAATAAGGATCAGGTACAAACTCATACTTGCTGGACATATCATTGCATATCATCCCAAAGTTTCTGGCACTACATAATACTGGAGTAAATTCTTGAATATTAAATTTTAAACTAAGGGAGAACATTGGCTTCTAAATTTTACAACTATAGTATTGCAGCTAAACACAAGTGCAAATGGGCAGCCTTATAACTGCATGAGTAATCTTAATGAAAACTTATTGGCAAACATACAGAACATTTCACATGCATTTATCTACAAAGTACAACTCTTCCCAACCTCAGAACTTGATATGCGTTAGGACTTTCCTCTCCCTTGGGCTGGTGATAAAGGTCCAATTGAAATGAGAAAGATTCTTCATGCCTGGTAAATATGAAAGTTTCCAAAGATACTGCCACTGGCCGATCAAACCTGAATTCAAAAAGCATTTGTTTCTAGCAGGATATAAGATCAATATGCAAAAATAAATTGTATTTATGCAATTGCACGGCAGAATTTAAATGTAAAAGGAATATCATTTACAATAATGTCAAGTGTATAAAATCCATAAATGTGAATATGACTGAAAATTAGAGCATATTTCACAGAGAACATAGTGCAGGCCTAATAACTGGAAAGATATTGTTTGTTCATGTGTAAGAATATTGTTGAGATGTCCATTTCCCCTAATTTGATCTATAAATTCAATGCAATCTGACTCAAAATTTCAGCATGCATCGTTGGTAGAAAATGGCAGCTGATTCTAAAATTAACATGAACTAGCATAACAAAAATGCCTATATAACGAAGAGCAAAATTGGAGGGCTAGCTCCACCTGATTTAAAGAACAATCACAGAGTTGTAATGGCCACAACAGAGCTTTGGTATGTGATCAATTAAATGGATCAAAAGAAAATAGAGTCCAAATATAAACCAATACATATATTGAGAACAGATTTTTGACAATCTTAAAAAAGCAATGTATTTAAAAATACATAATATTTCAACAAATGATTGAGGATTTTCTTTTTAAGCAATTGATGTAACATATTTGTAACTATATAAAAATAAACAAGTAGAAAAAATTGAATTCATGTGTCATATCATATATAAAAATTAGTGGTTACAAGAGGCTGAGAAGGAGATAGGGGATAGGCTGAGAGAAGGAGATGGGCTGAGAAGGAGACAGGAGAGAAGGAAGAAAAGGTATTGGTTAATGCATATAAAATATAGTTAAATAGAAGGAATAAGTTCTAGTATTTGATAGTATATACAAAAATAACTTCTTGTATATTTTAAAATAACTAGAAGAGAGGAATTGGGATATTCCTAACATAAAGAAAAGATAAAGTTTTGAGGTGACAGATATACTACTTACACTGATTTGATCATTACAAATTGTATATGTTTATCAAAATACCATGTGTATCCCCAAAATGTGTACAACTATTATACATTAATTAAAATAATGAAAAGTACATCTTAGACAAATTAACAATGATTCCAATCCGATCAATTATTTTTTCTGACCACAATGGTATGAAACTAAAAATTAACTACATAAGGAAAACTGGAAAATTCAAAAATACATGGAAATTAAACAACATAACTCTTAACAACTGACTGATCAAAGAACAAATCAAAAGGGAAATTTGATTGAGGCAAACAAAAGTGAAAACAAACAACATAATCTTTTGGAAACAGCAAAAACAGCTCTAAGAGTCAAGTTTATAACCATAAATGCATACATTAAAAAAGAAGAAAGACTTCAAATAAACATTACACCTCAAGAAACCAGGAAAAAAACAACAAAATAAATCCAAAGTTCAGTGAAGAAAGGAAACAACATATCGATGCAGAAGTCAATCAACTGAAGAATAGAAATACTACAGAAAAATAAACAAAACTGAGTTGTTGGGTTTTTTTTTTCCTTTTCCTTTCTCTTTCTCCCTCTTTTTAGGAGAGACAACATCTTACTATTCTTCCCAGGCCTACTGGGAACTACTGGCCTCCAGTGGTGATGCAACGTAGGCCTCTCACACCCAAGTTGTATTTCTGGAAAAAGTAAAATTAACAAACACTTGGCTAAACTAAGAAAAAAATAGAGAAGACTCAAATAAATAACATCCGAAATGAAAGTGGAGGTATTACAACAGAAGCCTCACAAGTAAAAAGGATCATAAGAAACTATCATTAACAGCTCTATACCAACAAATTGGATAACCTAGAGTAAATGGATAAATTCTTAGAAACATACAAACGACTAGGATTGAATCAAGAAGAAACCGAAAGCCTGAACGACCAATAACAAATAAAAGGACTGAAGAACCTCCCAACAAAGAGAAGCCCGGGACCAAATGGCCTCACAGCCGAACTCTTCCAAACATTCAAAAAAGAATCGGGCGCGATGGCTCACTCTTGTAATCCCAGCACTTCGGGAGGCCAAGGAGGGCAGAGTACCTGAGGTCAGGAGTTCAACACCCTGGCCAACATGGTGAAACCCCGTCTCTACTAAAAAAATACAAAAATTAACCGGGGGTAGTGGTGCGTCAGTGTAATCCCAGCTACTTGGGAGGCTGAAGTGGGAGGATTGCATGAGCAAGGGAGGTTGAGGCTGCAGTGAGCTGAGACTGCATCACTGCAATCTAGCCTGGGCAACATAGCGAGACCATGTCTTAAAAAAAAAGAAAGAAAGAAAAGAAAAGGAAAAAAGAAAGAAAGAAAAAGAAAGAAAGAAAGAAAAAGAAAGAAAGAAGGAAAGAAAGAAAGAAAGAAAGAAAGAAAGAAAGAAAGAAAGAGAAAGAAAGAGAAAGGAAGAAAGAAAGAAAGAAAGAAAGGTATTGCTGATGAAACTGTAGCCTCTTTCACAGCTCATCAAAAAGCTATTCATTCACTGGCTAAGGTTGTACTAGATAATCGCGTCACTTTAGATGATGTATATTTTCAAAGACACTATTAGCCTTATTTAAAAATGGGTAGAACCTGGGCTAGGTGGCTCATGCCTGTAATGCCAGCATTTTGGGCAGCTGAGGTGGGTGGATCACCTGAGGTCAGGAGTTTGAGATCAGCCTGTCCAACAGGGTGAAACCCCGTCCCTACTAAAAATACAAAAATTAGCTGGGCACAGTGGCATCTTCCTGTAGTCCTAGCAACTTGAGAGGCTGTGGCAGGAGAATCGCTTGAACCCAGGAGGCAGAGGCTGCAGTGAGCCGAGATCGTGCCACTGCACTCCAGCCTGGGAGACAGAGAGAGACTCTGTCTCAAAAAAATAAAAACAAAACAAAAACAATGGGTAGATACAGCAGCACTTACAAGAGTTCATAAAAGGAATTGTACATTGTCAACTGATAGTGTGGAGAGAGCAGCCCCCTGCCCACCTGGTTGTGATCTATGCACAACGCTTGCCCACAACCACCTTCTCCACTTAGTACAACGCAGCCCAGAACACCAAGGGGAGAGCCCCAGCAACAGCAGCCTCCGCAGCCCGCTTTAGATGATAGATTTAGCTGAGCAGGGAGGTGGATGTGTGGTGTTTACAACCTCTTGTTGCATATACATAAATAAATACTTCCCATGAAGTAGAACCTCATCTAGAAAAAATTAGAAGTCATTTGGCTACAAGAAATCATGAAAGAAGAACTGGGATGTGATGTTTTCCCTGATGTTTTTCGTTGGCTCCCTAATGGAATAGGTTCCCTTACTGTTCTGGCATACAGATTCTCTTTGTGATTCTCATTCTTGTGTGAATTATATGTGTACTATTCAAATAATTAATGCTATATATTTCCTGCTTCTGAGAAAACTGATTTTATGGTATCTGAAGACTAGAAATGATTCAACGAGTGATAGCTGCAGACTTAACTGAGGTCTCTCTCTCCTCCTTTTTTTCTTTTCTTCTCTTTTTCTTTTTTTTCTACTCGGTGTCACCCTTTCAATTGGGCTTTTGGGTGCTCTTAAAAATTCCTCAGTGAGGCAGCTCCTTTCCTCCCCTGCCCTCACCGTGGGAAAGACTATCTGGGAATGAGCTTTCCTGGCAAAGAGGGACACGTTGGCTGAGCTTTTGATCATCAATGCTTTCAAGAAGAAAGATTTTTTAAAGAATTTTTATCTGAGGAATGTGAGCCACTTCACATGATCAGAGAGACATTAAATCAAGACAGCAACCACTTTCTGCTTCCTTCTTTTTGAGCTATGTATTCATCTGTTGAAACTGCTTGCTATCACCCCAGGTAGCTGTAAATTAATCTAATAATGCCACACCAAACACTGTATCCCACACCCTATAACAAGGGATAGCCAAGCTCTCATCAATGCTATTTCTGAAAGCCAATGAGAATTCCTGACGGGCACCTTTCTATCAGCCCATTGTGCATCCCCCCCTTTTGACTTTTAAAAACCTGCTTGTGACAAAGGCCAAAGGGAGCTCAGATCCAAGGTTCTTTGGGTGTGAGTCTTCCAGGCAGCTGTCTTCACATTGGCTCAAGTAAACTCTAGATTCTATTTTGTGATTCAGCCTCTTTCTTTTAGGTCAACATGTTCAGCAACAGTAGAATAAATAGATAAGTTGGCCGATATTCATACAAAGGATTGTGCACAGAAACAAATAACCACATGAGTAACATGAAAAATTCATAGATGTAAGACTGAGTGAAAGAAATCAAACCTATGCCTCTGCTCCTGAGACCGACTTTGAAAAAATTATAACTGGGACAATTATCACAGCAAAAGAGATCTGACCTAACTGCTTCCGTCTTGCTTCTAACATCCAAGCTGTCTTTGTTCTTTCCTGGGCACAGGCCAAAATAACTTTGAGAGGAACTTAGTTTATGGTTTAGCTGTGAAACAAAGATGATAACAGCTCTTTCCCAAAACAAACCCCCTTCCTGCCTGGGGACTAGGCTGCCTTTGCAGGACTAACAAATTAGCCACAAGATTATAAATCATGGTTTAGGATCATGCAGCCTCTAGCTTACAAGATTCTAAACCTCCCCAAGTTGTTCCTGGGGATCACATCACCATTGTAAAACCTAAGATCGGTTTGTGAGATATTTTGTAGCCCTGCACTCGATGCATCAGCTGGCACCACCCAGATGGATAAACCAGCTCATCTGATCCTGTGGCCCCCACCCAGGAACTGACCCAGCTCAAGAGCATGCTTTAGCTCCCTGTGAGTTCATCTCTGACCTGTCCAATCAGAACTCCCAACTCACTGTCCCCCACCCACCAAATTATCCCTAAAAACTCTGGTCCTAGAATGCTCAGGAAGACTGATTTGAGTAATAATAAAACTCTGGTCTCCCACACAGCCAGCTCTGGGTAAACAACTTTCTTTATTGCAATTCCCCTGTCTTGATAAATTGGTTCTGTCTAGGCAGCAGGCAACAGGAACCCACTGCGCAGTTATACTCCCCCAAAACCCACTACACACTTTATGATTTGATTTATATGAAAGCAAAGGACAGGAAAAACTTGCCTGATAGATTTGGAGTCTGTGGAGTATTGTCAGAGTTTGGGATTGTATTCTACAAATTAAAAGTAATCAGTTAAGCACCTCAAATAAAATTTCCCCCAATTTTTTTTCTCCAAATTTGGACCACTTGTTTCTCTCTTTGCAGAATATAAAGTGCTAACATGAGGTAAGTGCTACGGTCTACAGAAGGCCATGGAAGAGATGACAAACTCCAGCACCATGCCTGAGTGTCCAGTGTGCTCTGCTGGGGCAGCATATTTGTACATTGCTGTATTTGAAAAAATCCTACAAGATTCATGAAATTGGACCACCGTCTTTATAGCACTACTAATGGTAAAACAAGTAAGGATGGCTGGTTTGCAGTCATCTGAGCAGCATCTCTAGTTTCATAGATATGGTTTCTCTCTGATACTGAACGGCTTCCAATTTCAAGTAGAATGCTACATCAGAAGAATAACGATGGGAAGAGAACTAGTTTCTTGTGTAATCCTACATGTTTTAGTCTGCGCATTACAAACCATTATTTGAAGAAGGGTGGACAGCCTCCAGCTGTCTGCCAAAGAGGTCATCGGCAACACAGGCTAAGAACCGGCTTCTGGGCGGGCATGATGGCTCAGCCTGTAATCCCAGCACTTTGGGAGGCCGAGGCGGGCGGATCACCTGAGGTCAGGAGTTCGAGATCAGCCTGGCCAACATGGTGAAACCCCGTCTCTACTAAAAATACAAAAATTAGCAGGGCTTGGTGGTGTGCTCCTGTAATCCCAGCTACGCAGAAGCCTGAGGCAGGAGAATCGCTTCAACCCTGGAGGCGGAGGTTGCAGGAAGCAGAGATGATGCGACTGCACTCCAGCCTGGGCGACAGAGCGAGACTGCGGCTCAAAACAAAAAACTACAACAGAAACACCTGCTTCCTTGGAAAGATTGGGGCGGGGAAGGGAGGGAAAGGAAGGAAAGGCAGACGTCACTGTCCCCGCAGTCTCTGGCAGCATGTTGGTCGGCTGAGTGGCAGAAGGTGGGGCGGAAAAGCAGAGCCGGACGGGAAAGGCGCTGTCAGTGACATCACGGATAGGGCGACTTCTATGTAGATGAGGCAGCACAGGGGCTGCTGCTTCGCCACCGGCTGCTTCGCTACGAAGGAGTTCCCGTGCTGTGGGAGCAAGTCCAGGACCGCTGTTCAGACCTGAAAGTCCCAGCTGTGTGTCAAGGCTGGAAGGGCTCCGGGGTGCGCGGGGCAAGTGACCGTGTGTAAAAAGGGTGAGGCGTGTGGAGCAGTAGCAAGACGGAAACGTGTGAACTCCTAATTACCTGGCATCGGAGAGGACGTTATGAAGGTTGTTTTCCCAGGGCGTTGCTTTTCCATTGCACTGTGGACGTGCTGATCCTGCGATTAACCCAAATGGGAGAAATTTGGCTGCACAATAACAGTGGAGAACTGCGTTAGTGCTTTCCGCTGAAATCTTGCAGTGCAAAAAGTGAATTCTGCAGGAAGGGCTACTCTTAGTTTCTACTTAGCTTTCTACGGGTTTGTAGCTTTGCTGGCATGTTAAGTGTTGTCCTACAGTCGCAAGCATAAGAAAGAGAAAGTATTGTGTTACTGTCCTCTCCGCCCCTATCATGAGCTTGCTTAACACAAGCTAAGTGGCCCCAGTGCTCTTCTCTTCCCTTTCCACGTGGGGCTGCTTTTTCAAGATTGCTTCATGGTCTCCAGTGTCTTGGGTTCTCACCCTATGTGAAAACCTTCGTGTTTTTTCGTAGCCCCCGGAGTCACCTTTCACACAGCCTGTGCTTCTAACCGCAGCCCCCACAGAAGTTTGTAGGATTTCTGTGCTAGCGGGGAATGTGTTCTCACCTCCTAGAGCCAGGTAGAAATTCTAGGCAGACGGGTGCTGTTCTTTGGGATGAAAGCAGTGTCCCTGTTCGGTTGTAGACACAACACGCTTGCTTTCTGTAGGGGAACGGCTCTCCCCGCGCCCAGGTGCCCTTGCTTATGTTCACCGAGGCCTTCAGGTCAGAACCGCAGTCTGACTTGTCGGCAGAATGTGTCGGCGATCTACCCCAACTACCCAGCAATAAAATGGGACACATTACAGAAACATGAGATAGCATGGATTACCTCAAAAACATCATGCCGAGTGATGAAAAGAGGGCATCCTGTGTGGCGCCATCAAGGTGAATTTCTAGAACAGGTAAAACTAACCTGTATAGTGACAGAAAATACATCATTAATTGCTGGGGCCAGGGGGAGGGCGGGACTGACTGCAAAGGGCACAAGAGGACCTTTTAGAGTAATAGTCATCAAACTTGAAATGGATGCATTGTACCATAGGCAACTCACACCTTAACTTGGTTGTAAAAAGGAATAAGAAAACCACTCCAAATCTTAATGTCTTCTCCTTAATTTAATGTATGTTTGCCCTTAGAGGAGTCGTTTAGACAAATGTCTTTCTAACTGTGCTAGGGAGTTCAGGAATTCCTTCATTTCTGTTTCTGTCTCTTTGTCTGCAGTTAAGTTCATGCACTATTAAGTGGAATATTTGTAAAATAAAAATAGAGTCTAAGCTCAATTTTATAAAAGCATACATATATGTTTTTATATATTTTTATATTTTTAAATATAGAATTATATATACTATATAATTTTATATATTAAATATATATTTTATATATTTTTATAATTTTATAATTTTTTCAGGCATATATATCCTTCTTTATTTTTTTTCTTCTTTTTTCTTTTGTGGGGCCTGGGGGGAACAGTCTAGCTAAAATATACTTTCTTCTCTCTGTAGATATAACACAATACCATGACTCCAGTGTTGCCCGAATGTTATGAGAAGTTATTTTTGAACTTAAGGTGATCAAAAATTTTACATATGTTTACATTTTCTCTACTGTTAGTACGGTCTATGCTTAGCATGTATAAATTTTTTTTAAAAAAGACAATAGCTTAAAAATGATTCGGAAGAAAAATATGTAGATATGTTAACAGTAGTTAATTCCAGGAGGTGTGAATATGGATGACCAGTTATCTTCCTCTTTATGAATTTTTTATATTTTTAAATGGAAAATCCTCAATGACCTGGAAGTGAATGAACAGATTAGATTTGGAAGGGGTGTAGGGCAGGTGAGAGGAAAATGTTAAGGGAAGGACAAACCCAGTTCTGGCAGGACCATGTTTAAGTTGAAGGTTTCTGGGGAGAAGTTGTTGGGATAAGAAGGATATGAAGGAGGCAGGAGAATCATGAAAATATTTAGGACAGTGTATTGCCTGTCTTATCATTCCTCCTCCTTTTGTGTTTCTTCAAAAGAAATACAAAGACTTAACATTTCTTTTGAAGCATGCTTACAATTTGTGTTTCTCTTTTATTAGTGTAACTGCCTGGTAAGTTTATTCTGCCCATTGCCCAGATAAGCCAATGGAGCTGAGAACAGCAGGCTTTCCACAATAGAGAAAGAATTTAACAAATGCAGATGCAGCTGAGGGACCAGGACAGGGGTTTATTATTACTCAAATCTGCCTCCCCCAAAATTCAGAGACTAGGGTTTTTGTTTTGTTTTGGTTTTGGTTTTTGGTTTTTGGTTTTTTGTTTTTTAAGGATAGTTTGGCAGGCAGGGGGCTAGGGAATGTGCAAAGCTGATTGGTTGGAAATCACAGGGTGTAAGAGCTTGTTTACTTGCACTGAGTCAGTCCCTGGATGGGGCCACAGGACCAGATGAGCCAGTTTACCAGTCTGAGTGGTACCAGCTAGTCCATCACAAGGCAGGGTCTGAAAAATATCTTAAACACCAATATTAGGTTTGACACTAATAATACTATATATAGGCACAATTGGGGAGCTTAGGAATCATGTGACTTCTGGCTGCACGGCTCCTGAGCCATAAATTCCAATCTCGTGCCTAATTTGTTAGCTTTGCTAAGGAGGTCTGATCCCCAAGAAAGGAAGGGGTTTGTCTCAGGAGCGACAATCATCTTTGTTTCAGAGTTAGACTAAACTAAACTCCTCTCATAGTTAGCCTGGCCTATTCCCAGGAATGGACAAGGGCAGCTCAGAGATTAGAAGCAAGATGCAGTCAGTTAGGTCAGATTTCTTTCACAGTCATAGTTTTCCTATGTCAGGTTTTTCTCACTGTCATAATTTTTGCAAGGGTGATTTTGTTAGGAGCAGTATAAACACAGTGGTTCTGAGAATGTCTTCTGGAGCCAGGCTGCCTTCACTTCAAATTCCTGCTTTCAAATTCTTCTTTGCTGGCTGAGTGACCCTGGACAGGTCACTTAACATCTTTGTGCATCTCAGTTTTCTCATATGGAAGATGAAGGTGATGATGTGACCTCGGCCTGAGGTAAGGACTAAATGAGTAAACATATGCACACTCATCAACTGTGCCTGACATGTGGCACTTTGTGTTGCAGGCACAGTTGATGATGTGCATGTGTTTCTCATGTGCATGTTAGCTCTTGTATTTTGCCTGCAACACTGCACAAAGAGCAGATGTGATGAAAACCAGTTGTACTGAAGTTACAGCAGTGATACTTTCCAATGGCCATGCACCCTCCCAGGGAGACTGCAGCAATCCTCTCACCAGCAGTAACCTCCTGGGCTGGGAGATCCCAGGAAGGCCCCTTAATCTCCAGCAGGTTTGACCCTCTAGGAGCTTCAGGGAATGAGCTAGAGAAGTATTTCTATCTGGGGGGAACTGGGAGTTTATTAGCTCATCTGTTCAGCTCATCCAAAGGGGAATAATGATGCAATTTCTTGCTTCAAATCTGCCCCAGTAAAATTCTTATAGTTTTACAGTCAAAGACATTTGTACATGTCGGGGAGGAAATATGACTTTTCCTCACCCAGCCTAGGTTCACTGCTGAGACCCTCACAGCAAAAGACAGACTAATAAGAGAAGAGCAGATGTATTTATTTAATGTAAGTTTTACATGACAGGAATGCCTTCCAAAGGAAATGAAGGCCCATGGAAACAGCTAAACCTCAGTTTTTTGTTTGTTTGTTTGTTTTTTAAGAGTAGTTTTATTGAAGAATGGATAGTCATGGAGAAGTATGATAAGACAATAAAAGTATGATCTAACAGTAACAAACTGGGGAAAACGGGGCCAGGCCTCTGTGTTCAGGCTCTTCTCTGTGTCCCTGTGTCTTCAGACTCCAGGATGCACCTTTCCTCTGGGTACAGAGAGGGAACATCTCACATAAGGGTCTATAATCGACTTCAGGAAAGAAGGGCAGGGGGAGGGTGACAGTGACCTTCCTGCTTCTATTGTTTATTCAAATTCCCTTAACATAAAATATTCAATACCCCAAGATGTTATATTTTGGGGTAGCATGTCCTGAACCCCATCATGCACATGCAACAAAACCAAGAATATTTGAAGAATGATGACTATAAAACATTTAAATTCAAAATACAATTGATGGCCAAGTGGGGTGGTTCACAGCTGTAATCCCAGCAGGGAGGAGCAGGAAGGCCCAGGCAGGCGGATCACTTGAGTCCAGGCATTCGAGAGCTGCCTGGACAATATGGCAAAAGGCAATCCTTACTAAAAATACAAAAATGAGCCCAGCACACGGTGCACACCTGTTGTTCCAGCTACTTTCAGGGGGTGGGGAACGGGCGGGCTGAGGATCAACTGAAACAATATCATATTTACAAATAACTTTTTTTCCTATAAGGCTAGTCAAGTGAAGCAGTGGAAGTGGAGAAGGAACAAAAAAATCTGTAACTGGTTGTGATCAATTATTTGTAAAGAGGGATGAATTTTTATGCACTATACACTGTTTTCAAAGTCACATATGCTGCAAAGCTGGTGGTGAACGGCAGTGCCCTGGTCCCTTCCTACACTTATCCGTAGGGATAACAATTTTTAATGAATGCAGCCAACCTCTACATAAATACTGTTACTCTTTGACTGTCCAATTTTCCATCCCAGGCCCTGCAGTCCAGCCTGCAAGGGGAAACGGAGTTTGTGTTTCCTTACCTGCCAGTCCACTCCAAGGAGCCAAGAAGGCATCCTCTCCCACTCCCGCATCCTCCAAACTTAGCCCCTCAAAGACTGCAGCGTTTTTCAGTCCTTCTTAAACGCTCTCAGCCCCAAAATATGAAAATCAGAGGGATGGTCTTGAGCGCCTGGAGCGACATGTTAGTTTGCTCCCAAGACCCATCAGGAACCTTATCCCAGGTGCTCTGAAGAGCAGGAGAAAACATTGTTTAAATCTGGTAACGTCCTAAGGGGTCTTCTCCTTGGGGCAGGGTCCTGGCAGGACGAGGGGGAGCCCCACCGTCAGAGACTCGCCCCTCAGAGCTGCTCAGGTTCCTCTTCCCCGTGGCCCTGAGGGAGATCGGCCAGGGCGACAGAGGATCAGGACGGGGCCTCCCAGCACCCGAGCTAGAAGAGGCCGCCGCGCGGATTTCTCTTTCTGGCTGAGATCTTGGGACGAACGAATAGATTTCTCGGAGTCAGGTTCCGAAGCTTAGTGAAACGGCGACTTTTAGGACCGGCAATGGAGACGCAGGAGCTAGAAATTCGGCATAAAGATCTGAATATGAAGAACAGAGCAAATTAACATTCGGAATAGGATGGGCCATCTGAATAAAACAGTGCTACTCCCAAGTTAGGTCTCAAACCATCGATCGTAAACTGAGACACAATTTCCAATGACTGAGCTAACCCCATCAAATTTTCTCACGCCATTTACTTACCAAAATGACAATGGATGCCATTACGAGATTTCCCGAGTGAAAGGAATCTCGGGGTCTAGGATTGAAGGGCGGCAGCCTTTTTAGTGTAGGAGACCTCTCACCCCGAGGCCCAGGTCGCCCTTAGAGGGGGTGGGGACTTGCTGGGTCGCTGGGTCCCTGGCGGGGGTGTCCAGGCCTCCGATAGCACGGGGCCAGGAGGCTCGCCCAGGAAGGGGACCCTGCAGGCTCGGTGATCCCAACTGGATGATTTCGCAATTTCCCTATGATCCGGGCCACTGTGATAACCTGGTTTCTGGGACCCGGAACATCGAAGAGGGAGACGAAGAGGGGACGAACAGCGCGGGGGACATCGCGGGGTTCAGACAGCGGGAGTAGAAGGGACACGGAGGCCCGCAGCGCAGAGCTTCTGAAGAACGTCAGCGGAATCCCCATTCCATTTAGGGAGTAAAAGACGGCATTATCGTCCCAGTTACACAGAAAGGTTCCACAGAGACTCGAACTCAGATGGCTGGATTCAGAGTCCAGAGTGCTTACCATTACACCATGGAACCTCACAATGCAAGTTTTCTGCAGGTGTGTGGATTCCTAATAAGTATCAATAGTTCCCACCCACCCATGTCAAGGCATTTCTTTTGATCCCACAAGCAATACCTGAGGAAGGTGGACCTGCAGGAAGGACCCAGCCCTCTTGCTTTCTCTCTGCCCTCTCCTTTGATCGACTTCTATCATTTCATGTGCACCTCGGAAAATAAGGCAAAATCCACTGTGGATTTAGGGCCAGAGAAGAGCCCTTGAAGCCTCGGTCACAGAGGCTTCAGGACCGACACAGTCTGGGTCCTGTTTTGAGGTGAAATTCATTCCTTCCTTCCTTCCTTCCTTCCTTCCTTCCTTCCTTCCTTCCTTCCTTCCTTCCTTCTTTCCTTTCCCTCCCTCCCTTTCTTTTTCTTTGTTTCTTTCTTTGTCTCTCTTTCTGTCTTTCTTTCTTTCTTTTCTTCCTTAAATCTCTCTCTCTCTCTCTCTCTCTCTTCTCTCTCTCTCTCTCTCTTCTTTCTTCCTTCCTTCCTTCTCTTTCTTTCTTTTCATCTTTCTTTTCATTGAGATAGAGTCTCCTTCTGTTGCTCAGGCTGGAGTGCAGTGCAGTGGCAGTGGGCAATCTCCCCTCACTGCAACCTCCATCTGTCGGGTTCAAGTGATTGTAATCCCCAGTGGCTGGGATTACAAGTGTGGGCCACCATGTCCAGCTAATTTTTGTATGTTTACTAGAGATGAGGTTTCGCCATGTTGGCCAGGCTGGTTTTGAACTCTTGACCTCAAGTGATTTGCCTGCCTTGGCCTCCCGAAGTGCTCAGATTACAGGTGTGAGCCACCGCACCCAGCCCGGAGATGAAATATCTGCAAAATTTCTGTTATTTTCTTGATGCTTTCCCTCTTTTCCATTTGCCCAAGGAGGCCAGATGATTGTCAAAACAGGACATGGGACTTCCTGGGCACTTTGCCCCCTTCCTCCCTGTAGCATATAATAGAAGACAGCAATCAAGTGAGATTGGGAAGCAGGGAATCCTTTATTTTTTTATTCATATTCT
Source organism: Homo sapiens (assembly GCF_000001405.40). Classification (NCBI taxonomy): domain Eukaryota; kingdom Metazoa; phylum Chordata; class Mammalia; order Primates; family Hominidae; genus Homo; species Homo sapiens. Next base: position 148,327,779 of record NC_000001.11, on the reverse strand, counting down.
TCTATGTTTCGTTGGTTGGTTGGTTTTAACAAAATTTTCTCACCAGAAATGGAGATTTGTTGGATTTAAAATAAAAGAAATCAGCCATGTTTACATTTCTATAAAACACTCAAACCAGGCCATACTCTCCTACTATGACTCAAAATCAGCCATATACTGTCGAGGTCAGGAGCAGGGCCCTGATATTGAAGCACAGTGTATTTTCTCAGAATTGGCCAAGTTGATACCATTACAATTTGTCAATATATCATGACCCATTAATTACAGTCTTTAAAAGTGTACATGTATTGCTACTGAAAGCCCGGGAGTTCGGTCTAGGCCCTGCTACTCAGCTCACAGAAAGCCAATCACTGAGACATTGAGTATTGCTGAGGAAGAAGGCTTTAATTGGGTGCTGCAGCTGAGGAGATGGAAGATCAGTTTCAAATCAATCTCCCTGATCAACTAAAGTGAGGGGTTTATGTAGCAGGGAAGAAATGTTAACTGTGGGTGGGAAAAGAGGAACTAGGGAAGGGTGAGGAAGCACTCATGATGAGTGAGGGGTCTGGCATCTCATTGTCTGGAGGCTGTCATCTGCTGAGTTTCAGGTCTGTGATGCTTTTTGAGAGGCCTGAGAGGCCTTTGCTGAGGAAGGAACTCAGATAAAACAAATGTCCTAAGTTTCAAGCTTTAAGACCAGAAGGGTCCATTTCTATGTCTATCCAAAAACACTGTCTGTGGGACTCTTGGGTTGATTTCAGTCCCCACTTTCTATTTGTCAGTTCCTCAATCATGGGGAATCTGATCATCCATCTTTCTGGCTGCATCATGTGGAGGAGGGGCATCCTGAGCAGCTCCACACCATGGGTGACTGCATGGCCACCCAGGAATCAAACATTCATCTAATACTGTAGTTTCTCCTGAAACACAATCTTCCTCTCTCCAGTCCCTCACTTCCACTAAAGACAAAACACAGCAGGACCAACCTACCTGCAAAAGAAGCTTCAGTCCCATATACTTGGCCTGATTACCCACACAAAGTGCAGCAAGAATCCTTGTTCATATAGGCTCTCCTAAATAGGCTTTGCTGGAATATTTCACAACACCATTTCAGGCAAAGCCCTGGGAAAATTACCAGTTCCTCCACTTGTGTCCCATTATAAAAGAAAACAGAATCTTATTGAACTCATGCAAACAAACACATTGTCATGAGTTAAGAATATTCAGTTTACAAATTCTGTAGAAATTCGTCAGAGAGAGAACAATATGCCTCAAATTCTATTTAGAAGACGATTCTACTCAATTGTTGCAGTCTATAAATAGCTCAAAAGGAAACAAGTTCTCCAGACTCTGAAGAATCAACAATGTTTGAAACAAACAAAGGCCATAAAAACTTATTTCAGTCCTCTATTAGTTCAATCCATGCAATCAACTCCTGCTCTGCGTCACATTGGGGTAGCAATCTCTATGAACACATCCGTCTTTCTATTAGTGCCCTGGAAATTTTCTCTTTACTTCAGTGGCACAATCTCCAAAGTTATCAGAAGAGTCCTGCATCCAAGAGTCCTTTTCATGGACTTCCCCAAAGAAGAAAGGCCTGGACTGTAACTGATTATAAGTCACTTTTTAAGAAGAATCAAAGCAAAACAACAATTGTGGATGACAAAAGCCTTAAGACAGCCATAGTTATAGATACAATTGACAAGGGAATTCTGTTGTTTCTGTGGCACACAACAATTTAACATAATAATCATAATTATTACTGACAGCATAGCAGAACTCTAGGAATCTCATACAATCCTGGAACACACATTAACAACACATCTGTGTCAATAGAACCCAAAGGAAGTGAAACACCACCTCAGATTTGACAATGCTCCTTGCATAATTCTACATAACAAATAAGTCTAAGAAGCCTAATATATCTCTCTTGGACTTCAAGAACCTAATATCCAAAAAGTTAATTTGAGGCCCAAAGGGTTGAATTTAGAAACTTTACTCTTAGAAAGTTTGCCAGATATCAAAGTTTTGAGACACTTGACATCACAAAATAGGATCACAGGTCACCTTAGTATAGTCAATCATTTAGCCAAAATGATAAAACAAAAATGTTCACCCTTTGCTAGAAAAGAGGCTGAGTTTTCTAAACAGTAAGAGCTAATGAAGACAACATGAGGCCATGTGTATGTGTCTCTCCCCTTCCTTCTTTTGCCCTGCAGTTTACTTTGAAAGTAAACAAAAATATTTTATCTATTATTAATACTACACAAACATTTTGATCAAAAGAGAAAACCAAATTTTACCTTTGTGTGGTGTATTAAAATGTTAAAGCTAATTTTAATAAAACCTTATACACAAGTTTAATTATAATCAGTTTGACCAGAGCTCGGATTTTAAGGCAGTAGCTTGCCGATGCTCCCAGCTGAATAAAGCCCTTCCTTCTACAACTCCGTGTCTGAGAGGTTTTGTTTGTGACTCATCCTGCTACCTTTCTTGGTTCCCTGACTGGGAAGCGAGGTGACTGACAGACTGCCAAGGCAGCCCCTTAGGCGGCTTAAGCCTGCGCTGTGCAGCGTCTCTGCGGGAGACTTCGGCCAGCCTGAGTGACATGATCCAAAGAGCGCTTCGGGGTAGGCAATTGCCCCGGTGGAACGCCTTGCCAGAGCAATGCATAGCAGGCCCCCGCGGAGGATTAACACAGTGGCTGAACACCGGGAAGGAACTGGCACTTGGAGTCCGGACATCTGAAACTTGGTAAGACTAGTCTTTGGAACTTGCCCACTCCATTTGAGTGGAACCACGGCGTGCCTTTATTAGCAGTTTGGTTTTGGTTTTGACTTGGTTTGAATTGCTTGACAGGACTAGTCTTGGGAACTTGCCCATTCCATCTGAGTAGAAGCGTGGCCTGATCACCCACAGCGTGCCTTTATTGGCACTTTGGATTTGGTTTTGACTTGGTTTAAATTGCTTGACAGGACTGGTCTTGGGAACTTGCCTACTCCATTTGAGTGGAAGCGTGGCCTGATCACCCACAATGTGCCTGTACCGGCACTTTGGTTTTTGTTTTTGACTTGACTTAGATTGCCTGATACTTCGGTTTTGGTTTTGACCTGGCTTGGATTTCTGGATACTCTGATTTTGGTTTTGATTTTGGTTTGGTGTAAACTGCAGAAGTGTGTGTGTGCCCTTTTTACCTGTTTTTTGTTTTGTGGTGTGTGGCGTGTGGTGTGAGCGTGGTGTTTTGTCTTGAAGAAACATGGGTCAGGCACAAATAAGCCCCCCCCACTAGGAACTATGTTAAAAAATTTCAAGAAAGGATTCAATGGAGACTATGGAGTCACTATGACTCCAGAAAAACTTAGAACTTTATGTGAAATAGACTGGCCAGCATTAGATGTAGGTTGGCCATCAGAAGGAAGCCTGGACAGGTCCCTTGTTTCAAAGGTATGGCATAAGGTAACCTCTAAGCCAAGGCACCCAGACCAGTTTCCGTACATGGACAGTTACAGCTGGTTTTAGACCCCCTTTCCCTGCCCGCAGTAGTTAAGAGAACAGCAGCATAAGCAGCTGGCAGAGGCAAGTAAAGACCATCAGAGAGAAAAAGAGGCCATCTATACCAATTCTAAGTTAATTTAGACTAAACAAGGTCTTATTAATAGCAAAGGACAATTGAAATCCCAAACTTACAAGGTTTTCTACAAAAGTGAAGTTTGCTAAAAGTTAACAGTGTAACATGTATTATGGTAACTTCTAATCTTGTGGCCTTAGACAGTCTATCCAAAGACATAAAGAAAGTTCACTTTAAAAAAGGAAAAAAAAGGAGGAAGCAGAATTTATACAAACAAAAAGTTATGTGGTAAATTCTTGTCCTGAAATAAATTAACTGGTTGTTTAAAGAAAAAAGTGTTTGTAATAAGTCAGAAAGTTGAGACATGTTGAAAAATTGTCTGTGGAAGTCGTGAAAGAAAAAAAGTTATAAAAAAATTTTATGCAAACAAAGTTGTATAATTTAAAAGTAATAAGGCCTCCTGAGTACTATTAAAGAAACAGTTTATGTGCAAGGTGTATAAGAAAACTAAAATATACCTTTGGTAAAAAGATTATAAGGAGGCATTAAAAAAAAAAGTCAGTTTGACCATGAGGTAAGAGTTCCAAAAACCTTTCATAACCTTTTATACTTTTGTATTAAGGAGTAGATAAATGCTCTAGAAGACCCTGATATTGCAATACACGAGCCCAGATGTTGGCCTTGCATCAGTGTGCTCCTGACTGTAATGTCTAATTTATAGAAAATCTCTGAATTTGAGAGGCCAGAGTGTGTGGATCACTTGAACTTAGGAGTTTGAGTCTAGCCTGGGCAATATGGTGAAACATTGTGTCTACCAAAAATACAAAAAAAAAAAAAAAAAAAAAAAAAAAAGAAAGAAAGAAGAAAGAAAAGAAAAGAAAGAAAGGGAAAGAAAAGAAAGTCTCTGAACTAAACTTATCCCTCAAACTCCAGCCTACAATTCTCACGTGCCCACCTCTTCTGTCTAGAGGAAGAGGGGGCATGAGGTGGAAAACGGGACATGTGGGATTGTTGGGCCTAAAGGGATTGAATGGTTTCAATTTCTGGTTCTGTGTCTTGTGAAAGCAGTTCATTTTGTTTGTCATCTTCCCCAGAGTCTGAAGACAAGGCATTAATTGGTGTCAATATTCAGGATTTAGAAGGAGAAGCTGCCTTTTTCAGACCCAGGAGACAAAGCCCTGTAAGCTAATAGCATAAGGATTAGTTAATAGGACATTTGTACTGCAGAAAGTTCTATTTCTCTCTAACGTGTCACCGATAAAAACACTATGATCTGCTGTCCAGTAGTTACTGCCTGCAGCACTTCAAACCATCGTATTAAAGTGGTTAGGATACTCCTTGCATGTAACTAATTGCCAGCATTCTAATGACAGAACTGTGACCGAAAGCATCAAAAATGTGACAGAACCTATGCCAAACTTTTCAAAGTAAGACAATTAAATTTTCTCTCCATCATTTAACAAAATACTAAATGCAAATATCAGTTTTGGAAATTCAGTATGAGGATAAATAATCTCCTTTTATTTAAATATTATACAACAAAACAAGAACAAAGTGAGAATAAACACACAGTCAGTTTTTTTTTGGCTATTTTATTTATTTATTTATTTTGAGACAGAATCTCCCTCTGTCACCCAGGTTGGGGTACAGTGGCAGGATCTCAGCTCACTGCAACCTCTGCCTTCAAGTTCCAGGTTCAAAGGATTCTCCTGCCTCAGCCTCCTGAGTAACTGGAATTACAGCTGTGTACCACCATGCCCAGCTGATTTTTGTGTTTTTAGTAAAGATGTTTTGCCATGTTGGCCAGGCCTTGAACTCCTGTCCTTCAGTGATCTGCCTGACTCAGCCTCCCAAAGTGCTGAAATTATAAGAATGAGCCACCACACCCATCTTTCTTTTCAGCTATTTTAAAAGAGCATAATCACATATTTCCAAGGTTGGTTTCTCGATGTGGTACTCATAACTGATTAGGTTGCTTTCACCATTAAAATCTTCAAACCAGTGCAACAATTTACATGTTTTGTTTTCAAGTACACACATGAAAGCCCAACAGTGATACAAGGCTTGGTATCAAAAATCACTAGAAATTCTCACAGCTTGTTTTTATTACCACTTCATCCAAGTGAATGTCACTTAATTTTAATAATGCTAAACACAACTGAAGGAGGTTGAGAGAAATCCAATCAACATAATATCCTTAAGGACAAGGCCAATCTTTCTGGATGTTGGAACTTTGTACCCACATCACAGTTTTTCCTCATTAAAGGAAAGGGTCTGCAACCAACTCAAATGATTGATTGCAAGTCTTCCCTTGTCCAGTATAGACAGCTTTTGTGTCTAACTCTACCTCAGCAGCTGGCCTATACCTGGGGCCAGCTATAGGCCAGGGTTGGAAGGGTTCCTTGCTCCAACATCAGTGGTAGATGCCTTTTGTTTCATGTGAGAGAAGCAACCAGATTTTGTGCCTGTACTCTAGTGGTGGCCAATCATGACCTATATGCCTCCACCACTGTGGCAAGCTCAAGAAACTCTCTTTCCCTGCCACATGTGTCTTTTCAGCACTTAGGATGTGAGAGGAAAGACCCAGCAAATGGGCAAAAACCATGCTATGTATCTGGAACTCTCAGACTAAGCTGTCACAATAGTTCACACTTGGCCTTTAAGAAACGATAAAAACTTCAGTGTTTGGTTTCCTGTTTCTGCATTAGCTTGCTAAGATAATGTGCACTGCTTTTGACCTGGCGCAGTCATTCACATGTCTGATCTCAGCACTTTGGGAGGCGGAGGTGGGTGGATCATGAGGTCAAGAGTTCGAGACCAGCCTGGCCAGTAAGGTGAAACCCTGTCTCTACTAAAAATACAAAAATTAGCTGGGCATGGTGGCTTGTGACTGTAGTCCCAGCAACTCAGGAGGCTGAGGCAGAAGAATCACTTGAACGTAGGAGGTAGAGGTTGCAGTGAGCTGAAAACGTGCCACTGCACTCCAGCCTGGTGACAGAGCTAGACTGCATCTCAAAAAAAAATTATATATATATGTATATATATATACATATATATACATATATACATATATATACATATATACATATATATACACATATATACATATATATAATAATGTGCACTTCTTTGAATATTTTACCCTTTTCTGCCCATTAAACCATTAGAGCTGGCATTTCCTTTTCTATCCCATCTGAGAGACTTAAGTGCATTGTAATTTGCAGCAATTAGTATTATATTGGAGATGACGTCTCATTCCCACCACCTCATTGTATGATTTCTGCGTTTTTGCTTTGTTTATAAAATCTCTTCCTGCCTTTCTTAACTAGACTGGTCTGTCTGGGTAAATTTTCTGTTTTTCTGTAGTGTTTTTGAAATCCATGTCCCTGATTAGTTAATATGTTTTCTTAGATCTCAGGTGCACAGGGAGAAGGTAATCATGTACCTTAGCTCAGGGCACATTATGGTGGCTGCTTTGAGCAAGGCCCTTACTGTCTTTCCTTCTTTTCTCTGTTTATCCCACTCCCATTTCCCTGTCCACTTCCAGAAACACGTTCTGAGGAGTTTAGTATATGCTCTTTTATCTCACACTTTCTCTGCATATTTCAATAAGGAGATGTCTTCAGAAAACATACATTGTTCTTTGGGGATGGAGGATGTTAAAACAACTTTAAAGTGTGAATTGGTTTCCAAAAACCCATTCCATCCTCTTTACTCCATTCTGTGTACTATCTTCTCAACTTTTCTATTCAAATAGAAAAGTTTGTGTATAAATGTGGGGAGGAAGAAAAGAGTCAAGCCAATGTAAAATGGGCAAAACACTTGAACAGTGTTTGTTTACCAAAGAGAATTTCTTAATGGCCAAATTGCATAAGAAAGGATTCTTGGCATTATTACTCATTCAGGAAACACAAATTTAAAATGCCATGATACTCCATAACACACTCATCAGAATGGGTAACATTTAAGAGACAGGGAAAGCCACTGGCTTATAAAAATGCAGAGCAACTGTAACTCTTGTTGCTGGCAAGAGAATGCAATAGTATTGGTGGGAGTGGTGGCTCACGCCTGAGATCCCAGCACTTTGGGAGGCCGAGCTAGGTGGATCACTTGAGGTCAGGAGTTTGAGATCAGCCTGGCCAATGTGGTGCAACCCCATCTCTACTAAAAATACAAAAATTAGCTGGGCGTGGTGACAGGCACCTGTAATCCCAGTTACTTGGGAGGTTGAGGTTGAAGTAGGAGAATTGCTTGAACCCGGGAGGCAGAGGTTGTAGTGAGCAGAGATTGTACAATTGCACTCCAGCCTGGGTGACAAAGTGAGACCGTCTCAAAAATAAAATAAAATAAAACAAAACAAAATAAAAGAGAATACAATAGTGCCACCATTCTAAAATACTGTCTGATAGTTTCTAATACAGTTAAAAATACACCCACTTCATGACCCAGCCATTCCATTGCTGGGTTCATGCTCAACAGAATTGAAGGCACAGGCCCATAAAGAGACCCATAATAGAATATTTGTAAACACCTTATTCACAATAGCCCAAACTAGAAATATCCCAATTGTCTATCAACTGTAGTATACTCACATGTTGGAATAACACTCATTAATAACAGCAAAGAGCTGAGATACATGTCATAAAATGGAAGCATCTCATAACAATTGTTGCATTTAAAAAAAGAAAAACACAGGCAAAATCAGTATAGTCCTTTACGTGATTTCTACAAGAAGTAAAAGTATACCACAGAGATAGAAATCAAATAGTGATTGCCTAAGTGGGGATGGGGTGAAGATTGACTGAAAAGGGGTTCTCACGACCTTTTGGTCTGTTGAAAATGTGCTGTAACTTGATCTAGGTGATGGTTTTTTTTGTCAAAATGTACTGGGCCACGCACTTAAGATTGGTGCACTTTGGTCTCTGCGGATTATACTTCAGTCATTTATTGGTAGCAAAAAATAAATAAATAAAAACAAAATTAAAAATTGGGGTTGGAGAATGTCATTAACTTTAGATTTTACTGTATTCGTTAGGTTTTACTTAAAATACCCAGTTGGAGTGTGAACTCTCATCTTCTCTTGTTCATTTCTGATTTGGCCTGAAAAGGCCCCACGGATTCTTGAAATATCTGAGTCAGAACAGCGGGTACAGCCATATCATGTCAACAGTAAAAGATTCCAATAAGGCTGACTGAGAGGGGGCATCTCATCTTTTGGGTGTTGTACTTGCTCAGAGAGGAGGCAAAAGTCTTTCAAGATAACCGGACCCCTAGGCATGCAGCGTAGGGGTTCCTTCTATTCTCAACACTACCGGGAGTTCCTAAGCCACAGGAAAGTTGTGACCTTTCTAGCCGCAGGTCAGAGGCTCAGCCTAGGCTGAGACTGGAGGCGAAAGGGAAAGAAGAGCACTACACCCTAGAATGGATGTGGCCATGACTCGGATTGGAGACAAGGCTGCTGGGGCCACAGCGCAGAGTACTAACCACAATACGATCACCGCAAGCCACAGGAGCTGAAGGGCGCCGGGCTCTTTGTTTAAACGTAATGCAGGGCTGCTTCCTTTTTGGAGACCTAAGGGTCCGCGTAGATTTCGTTCGTTCTTGGTGTCTCTCCGTTTTTCCCCCCTTTCTTCCCCATTCTGCTACAATAAAAAAAACACTTCTCATCTCTCCCTTGTGCAGTCCTTACCGCTGCACAAAGCTACTGGAAAGTTTCTTCTTCCTGGTCCACGCCTCTACCGACTTCCTTGCCCTCCTCCTCGCAATTCCCTGTTGGATTCACCCCTTGCCCGGCTCCGGCCTCCTGCGCAAGACAGGCACCCAAAAACAGTGCAGCTGAGTCCCCGCAGCTCCCTGCCTAAGAGTGGCAAGAGAGGCCACTGGAGGCCTCGCCGCTTGCGCGCCCCACAGGATGCCCGATAAAGCAATCGGAAAAAATGCTTTTTAAAAAGAACCTACTTCCCCTTCGTGACGAGCCCCGGCAACATGTCGAAATCCTGTATCTACAAAAAATACAAAAATTAGCCGGGCGTGGTGGCGCTCGCCTGTCGTCTCAGCTACTTGGGGGCTGAGGCAAGAAGATCACTTGGCCCCGGGAGGTCGAGGCTGCAGTGAGCCTTGTTTGCACCACTGCACTCCAGCCTGGGGGACCAAGTGAGACCCTGTCGCAAAACAAAACAAAACAAAACTTCCCCACAGAAAAATAGTTCATGATTTACATTCTCAGGACTCTTCAAAGGACTAAAAGTTAAAGGCGACAATGGATTCACTCGACGAGTCTTAGTCCTGCGCCCTGGTGAATGGCAGACCCTGCTCCCTGCGAGGGGATCACGAGGAACTCTCACCACCATCCCTGCCCTGGTGGAGCCCGCCTGCGGACACAGGATCCGAAGATGGCAGCGGAAGCTCTGCAGCGGCCCCTAAAGCGATTGGGCAGTGTGGGCACAGGCTCCCTCACGGGGTGAAGGCGGCGCAAAGAACTGGAAGAGCCATCCTGGGAGCCCACCGGGCATTCAGCTTCCCTTGGGCCCCCAGGCGGCTCGGGCCCGGGTCGCAGACTGGGGCGTTTCCGGGGGCTTCTGAAGCAGGCGAGGGGCAGGGCGGGCGAAGGCCATTCGGCTGTCCTTCTGGCTCCAGAATCTCCCAACCCGCGGGTGTGCAACGTGATCAGCGCGACTCACCGCTCTAATGTCTCCGGTTTTCCCTCCTGAGGGGCAGGCCCTCAGGACAAAAGGGATGGGGAGAGTTTGGTGAGTGTGCCCTGCACGTAGCGCCCGGTAGAATCAGTAGCAGCGGTCTCTGTTGCGCAATCAGCGCGTTTGGCTGTTAACAGAAAGGCTGGTGGTCCGAGCCCAACCAGGGACTCCTCGCTTTGTTGTTTTAACCCATTTCTGTTGATATACAATCAACTCCAGCCTAATCAGGAGACACACATGTCCTCTTCCCCACCTTCTTAGGTCTGAGGCTTGGCAAGGCCCATGGTGCCTTGTACCTGTCAAACTCAAGAATCCCAGAGACCTTAGACAGGAACTCACTTCTGGTGTGATAAAAATGTTCTTTGCTCCCATGGAAGACTTGGGGGAGTAAAGTGCCTCTAGTTTTTCATGTTTAATAATAGGAGACCTATTACAGTAGTATTCTGTCCCCGGATGTGCCTGGGTTTAAGTAATTCCTCTATCAATAATGTGACCAGTGGAATCAGTCATCCTCATGGTGATCCTCGCCATTGTTTGTGAAAACAGCATTTCTTCCTCTGTTTGTGCATGATTTAACCCTTTTCAAGATGTTTTTGAAATGAGGTGGGTTTCATGGCTTTAGGATTACAAATGATGCCGCAATCTCCACTATTCTTGTACACATATCTTTGGACACTTGTGCAGATATTTCTATAGTGTAGAGAGGAGGATGTGCCATTTTTACATTACAACATTTATTTAATGCTTCTAATTTGAGTACATTCTGCAAATTTATCTTCCGTGGGAGCGATACCAAATCATATTCCAATTTGTTTCCCAATTCTATCAATGTCCCTTCTGTCATTTACTTGCCGGCACAACAAACGTTTCTACACATTGATGTATGATATTCCACTGAGAAGAGAGGCATCCTCCTGGCTTAACTGAGGGGGTGTACAACCGAAGGAAATGGTGGACATTACGCACAGATATTCTGCGGCTTAGGATGAGCTGCTAAACTTCTAGGATGTTTTAAAGTCCTCCAATATCTGTAATTGTTTTCTGTGGTGACCAAGTCACGTGGGTCCGGAGAAGATGGGCCACAGTGACCTCTTTGTCAGCTTTCTGCCAAGTCGCTTATACAAGGGGAGCAAAATCACAAAGGTCCCAGATAATTTTTTCTTCTCCCCTTTCCTCTTTTCTTCATAAATCTTGGTTTTGCTTTTGTTTGACCAAACCAATGTAATGCCCATTCTCCCTCCTATACAGTGGTAAATTAACATGCAAATAGCTATCCCTTTATTATTCTTTGATAGATTTCTGCTGTGGCTATGTCCATAAAAATTAGCCCATTTGCGATACATCATTGGAGCCAACAGAACCCTGCACCCAACAGGCACCTTGTGCAGACCTGGACCCTTAGAGCTATTGGCTCATGTTCCTTCGGTTCTTCTACTGAATATCATGAGTAGAAACTGAGCTCTTTGGCTTTTACCCACTACTCTGGCTATAGTACATTTTTTCTCTCTCCTCTTTCTCATTTTTGTATCATGATTTTCTGCCATCAGTGGCATCAGTGTGGATTTCTGGTTTTGATGTTATTGAGTGAACTTCTGGGATTGTTTTATGGCTGTATAACAGTCAGTATTAAATCCTTCTGTTGATGAAGATTTGTGTTATTCCCAGTTTTTCCTTAGTAGAAAAATGAGGTTAATAAGAACATTTTTGGATGTATTGTTCATTTAATGGGGGTAATCAATAAAGGTAAGTGTGCTTCCTTTTCAGGTAGGCTTAACTCGATGAGAAACTACCAATTATTAGAACAGCTGTTGTGCTAAATTGCAGTCCAACTAACATCACACAGCAATATCATACACACTCTGTATGAGGAAGTGGGAGAGGCAACAACTTTCAAAATCAGTTTTTCTATGTTTCCTTTCATTTTCTAGTGAACCCTTAATGGCATCTTTGAAGGTGGCTATGGTCACACCAAGTGTCACCACCAGCCTATTCAAGTCCTGCCTCAGAGCCATGGAGTGATACACCAGGGCAGCCCAGCCAAGTCTCGGGCTCATAAATACCAGGCAGTAATAGATGCCTATGAAATGAGAAGGGTCAGATGATTCCTCCCTCTCCCATCATGTCTGTGCCTCTCTTTGCAGCTGCCGTGCCGCTAAAAACAATTGGTCACACTTATTTTGTCAAAGATAAAGTCAGACATTAGTCAAAGCTGTGAAAACAGATTTTCTTCAGTAACTATTGACCATAGAGGAAGGGGCTGAGCTCCATCGCATTTGTGCAGAGGTGATGGCATTCTAAACAGAGAGTGAGGCAGGGGAGAGGGCACAGCACAAGTGAAACATTACAAAAGATTAGTCATTGTAAGCTTCTGCCTCATCAAGACAGCTGTGTCTGCCAGCTGGCAATATTAGACATTAGGATTCTAACCTCCCACAGAGACCGGAAGACAGAGACTCAGTCCTTCCTGAGGACTATACCTCAAAGGAATGGCTTTCAGATCCTGGGAAAAGACACACTGGAGTCCCTAGGAGATACACACATATCTCAAAGGGATGGAGGAAGGATTCCCTTCTTAGTAAGTGCTATAAGAAGGAACCTACCATCATCAGCAGGTACTGGCTAGAACTAAAGTAAGTTCCCCTGGCAGCCTTGAGCTTTCTTAGGCAGGCATTGCCATGGGAGCCGAGGGTCATACACAGGATATGGTCTTATGCTATTAGAAGTCATGATAGAGTCTGATCAACTCTTAGCACAGAGGTTTAAACTGAGTCTTTGTGTGCTGAGTTTGGTTGTTCTCATTTTCCATTCCCCCATCCCATGGTCAAGATTTTACTGGACTCTGATAGATGGACAAGGCCACGGGCCATTTTCAGTGACATTCCAGCAGCCTAGGCATATCTATTGAGATCTAAATGAAAACAAAGAAAACCGTGAGATTGGGAGTGGGCCCCAAAATAGGTATGCATTACCGATATTCGGGAGATAAAAATATATCTAGGCCTTGTCAAAATGGAAAGTGACTTATGCAGCCAAGATGAAATTCAAACTTACATTTTCAAAGTATATAGCCTGTTGATATTTTGTATAAGAAAGCCATGGCAAAATGACAATCCACAAGTGGCAATGGTATGTATGGGTAGGGAGAGACTTCATAAGGTAAAAATTATCCTCACTTTAAATGAAACTCCTATGTGTTGCTACAGTAAGGGAACAGAAGCCAATGTTACGCTGGAGTATATTAATTGTCATGGGATAAACAGGCAGGACATGATGCTACATTTATTAGTAACTTCTATTGAGAGTTTTTGTGAAGGTTAATTTTTGTGGCAATTTGACTGGGCCAGAGGGTGCCCAGATATTTGGTTAGACATGATTTCTCACTGTGTCTCTGAGGGTGTTCCTGGAAGAGATTGACATTTCAATCAGTAAACTCAGTGAAGCAGATTGCCCTCCTGGGTGTGAGTGGACCTCATCCAACCCATGGACGGCTTGAATAGGATGAAGGGTTAAGAAAGAAGTTTTTCTTCTCCACTGTCTTTGAGCTAGGACATCAATCTTCTGCCTTAAGTCTTGGACTTGGTCTTGAACTATATTTGACTCTCCTCGGTCTAGAGCTTACTCAGAGTAGAACTTGGGCTTCTCTGCTTCTGTGTGTGTGTGTGTGTGTGTGTGTGTGTATGTGTGTGTGTGTATCCTGCTCATTTCTTTCTCTGGAGGACTAAGACTAATATAGTATTATATGCCAGTTGCCAGTTTTTGTCTTTATTCTTTTGAAAGGTGTAAAATAAATAAATAAAACAAAACCCTGGACGGTTCTCAAAGAAGAACAGTAAGGATTACTAGAAGTTTTAAACTTTTAGGAAAAGCCCTAAGAACAGCTTTTGTTAAAACAGTCTTCAAGAAAATAAAGGGTGTTGGGAAAAATATTGTTGCCTTAATGTTTTTAAGCAAAGGCATGATCAGTCAAGGAGAAATATACTTAGGATTTTTTTAAGTTAATTTTTACATTTTAATAATTCACATACAATCTTAAGAACTCAGAGAGAAAAAGAGAGGTCCCTTGTACACTTTACTCAGTTTCCTCCAATGGTAACATCTTGGTAATATTTCCAAAATGGTAATTTTTGCAAATACTGCAAATGTATTGCAAATGCCACAGTACCAGGAGATTGACATTGATACAAGCAAGGTACAGAACATTTCCATCAACACTGCAATTCCTCATGTTGCCCTTTTATAGCCGTGAACCTGTCTCTCCAGTGCTGCTCCTCCTTCCCTCCTTAATTCCTGGCCGCTATTAATCTATTCCCCATTCATATAATTTATTCATTTCAAGAATGTTACGTAAGTGGAATCCTACATGTCACCTTTGGGATTACCCTTTGTCCACTCAACATAATTCTGTGGAGATTCATCCAGGTTATTGTGGCTATCAATAATTTGTTGTTTTTTAAAAAAAATTATTGAGGACTATGCGATGCTATGGATATATAACACAATTTGTTTAACCATTCACCTCATGAAAGTCATCTATACATTTTTTCCTCAATTTTGGCTATTAAAAACAAGGCTGCTATAAACTTTAAGTACATGGATTTTGTGTGAACATAAGATTCTATTCCTCTGTGATAAATGCATGGAATACAATTCCTAGGTGGTATGGTAGTTGCACATATAGTTTTAAAAGTAAAAACTATACAGATATTCTCCAGAGTGGGCTGTAACCATTTAGATTTCCACCAGCAATGTATGAGTGATCCAGCTTTCTCTGAATCCTTGACAGCACTTGATGTGGTTACGCTTTTCTTTTGGCCATTCTGATAGGTATGCAGCAATTTCTCATTGTGATTTTAATTGGTATATCACTAGTTGCTACTAATGTTCTGATTTTAACATATGAATTTGGGGTGGCTGGGCACAATGCATCCCATAACAATGTGTATTCTGGTGTGGCTGAGTGTTCTAAAATTGTCAATGGAAGTCCCGCTGGTTGATCATGCTGTTGGGTTCTTCTATATTCTTGTTGATTTTCTGTCTGGTTATTGCATAAATTGTTGAGAAAGGGGGACGTTGAAGCATATAGCTATATTTGTGGATTTGTCTAGTTCACTGTTCAGTAATTTCAATTGTTGTTGCATAGACATTTATGACTTTTGTCAGGGGAGGAGTTGGTGGATTGGTTGTTTCCTCATTATATATTGTCCCTCTCTGTCTCTGATTAGTTTCTTTATTCTGAAATATACTATATCTGACATTAATATAACCAGTCTTGCTCTCCTTTGTCTAAGGTTTGCATGATACATCTTTTCCCATCCTTTGGATTTCAACTTGCCTGTATCATCATATTTGAAGGTAGTCTCTTTGTAGCCAGGATGTAGTTGTGTCGCGTCCATTAACCTACTCTGCCAATCTGTGTCTTGTAATTGGTATATTTAGATCATTGATATTTAATACGATGATTGATAGGGTAGGGCTTAAGCCTGCCATTATATTTTTCCTTTTGTGTTTGTTCTCTCTGGTGTCGTTTTCTGGATATGCTTTCTTTTCCTTACCTTCCTAAGGTGACTTGAACATTTTTCAGAATGGTGTTTTGCCTTACCCATAGTGTTTTTGAGTATATCTGTTTGCATAGCCCTCTTAGTTTTTCCAGACATTCATATGTCTGTGCATCTCTATCTTACCACACAGTATACTGGTGTCATTGTTGTACCAGTGTGAATGAATGATAGATGAGTTACCTCCCTTGTAGGTCTCTTTACCCTCCCAGTTTATAATTATTTCAAAGATTTTTTTTTACAGAGAGTTAGAACCACATCAAATGATGGTATGATTTTTTTCTGAAGCTGTCAATCGTAGTTTAGAAAACTCAAGAGAAGAAGGAAGGCCTATTTTGCTTGCTGTTTGTTTGTTTTTTTTTTAATTTTCTTTCTGATGTCCCAAGGTTCCTTCTTTAATCATTTCCTTTCTGTCTAGAGAACTCCCTTTAGCCTTTCTTTTAAGGTAGAACTGCTGGTCAGAGATTCCCTTAGCTTTTCTTAATCTGAAACTGTTTTGATCTTCCCCTTAATCCCTGAAAGATGTTTCTGCTGGAGAGAGGAGTCTGGGTTGACAATTGTTTTCTTTCATGGCTTGAAAAGCACCTGGCAACTTCATTGTACCTCCATGGTTTCTCATGAGAAATAGATCATCCCCAGAATTGTTTTACCTTTCTAGGTAAGGTGTCACCTTTCTGTGTTGCTTTCAAGATATTCTCTTTGTCTTTCATTTCCAACATTTTATTTTTTCATGTGGCTTGCCATAGACCTCTTTGGGTTTTATTCTATTTGGGGTTCTCACAGCTTCTTGAACCTGTAGGTTTCTGTCTCTTGCCAACTCTGGGAAGCTTTTAGCCATTTACTTCTTTATGTTTGCAGCCTTGTCCTCTTCCTCTTCCTCTTCCCCTTCCAGACATAAATAACAACATGAAAGTGAGACCTTCTGAGGTAGTTTCACAGAGGTTCTGCTTACCTTCTCACCCAGTCTGTTTTTTCCTTGTTAAGATTGTGCAATATCTATTTTTTCATCTGTAGTGGATGGATTTCTTTGCTCTGCACCATCCATTCTGCTGTTGAGCCTATGTGTTGGACTTTTTATTTTGGTTGTTGTATTTTCCACCTCTAATACTTCCATTTGGTTCTCCTTTAAGTCTTGTATTTATTTGCTAAGGCTTTCTATTTGTCCATTGTTTTGAATGTGCTCATAATTACTAAATCATTTTCATCAGGCTTGCTGGCTTTAAAATCTTTGTCAGACAATCCCAACACCTCTCTCATCTTATTGCCAGTGTGTATCGGCTGTCTATTTTCATTCGGCATAAGATTTTCCTGCTTCTTGCTATGATGAAGGATTTTCAACTGAAACTTGGACTTTTGGGTATTATGTTACCAGACTCTCGATTTTATTGAAACCTTCTGTTTTAACTACCTTTTTCTGAGTCTGCTTCTGCAGGGGAAGGGGAGTGGCACCATCTCGTTGAAGCCAGGTGTGTGTAGAAATCCAGGTTTCTCACCTGACCTACCTCTGTTGACAACCTGAGTGGAGGGCCCTCGAGGAAAGAGCGCGCGGATGAGGCCCCTTGGCTTGGAGCCTCTCGGCTTGGCAGCCCTGGAGGCTTGGCAGCCCTGGAGGGGTGGCGTCCACACTCTTGCGCACCCGGGACTCGGAAGCTCAAAACCCGCCGGCTGCTGCCGCTTCTGCGAGCCGGAGAGTGTTAGCCAGGCGAATCCCGCACATGGGCGCTTAGTTCTGGAACTGGATACCCCGCGGGAAGAATCCGGATCCTGTAGCCCGGTTATGGGTCTCCAGTGTCTTCATTTCGGGAGAAAGCGGGGAACCCTCAGACCGGGCCTATTGCGATCAGCAGTCTTCTTACCTGAGGGATCGCAGGTGCTTTCCGGGGCCTTTTGCTAGCACTTTCCTGGGGCCGCGGGAATGTCCAGATGCAGTCGAATTTCATCTGTCACAGGCAGCAATACGCAGTTGCCCAAGGCGGCGCCTAACATTTTCGTGGGTTTGTCCTCAAGGGGCGGTGCTCGGGTCGTTTAGCTAGAGTGGGGTCAGCAGGTTCGCCTCTCACACGAAAGGTGGCTTTCATAATGACCTTTTCTTTTTCTGTTTTTTTAAGGGAGGGGAGGGGAGCTGAGGGGTGGGATGGGGGAAACTAGCTGCATCTTTGATCACAAGAAGTACGGGAGGAGTTCCATTACTACCTGAAACCCCGCTGAGCACAAGGAACCAGGCCTGGTTTGCCCGCCATGAGTTGGATCCGTGAGTTGGATCGGGAGACAAGGGCGCCAGATGAGGTGGACTTCATGTTAGCTTTAGATCCAGAAATTTCCAGTCTTCTCATCTATCGCCAAAATCTTCTTTCTGAAGATTTCAAGATGACAGCTACAATGTCTCTGAAACCAAGGAGGTCTTTCCTGTGAAGCCCACTTGGCTTCCTCGCGCCCCGAGGACAGTGGCGGAACCGGTCGAATTGTGTGGCGGAACAAAAGAAAATGAACGTAAATCTGCACCTGGAGCTCGAGCCAAAGACCCATCCATTCAGTTTCATGCTCTACTAATTGAGCTAGTTGGGGGCAAAAGGGGACCCCTACACATGTCTTTATTGGTAGAGCCCCTTGCGCCAGTTCAGAGATCAGGAAGCAGAGGGATTCGGCTCACAATGAGAGCCAAGTCCGCACTTCGGTGGCAAGGAAACTGAGGCTCGGAAACAGAGCAAGTGCTTGGCTCTGCCTCACACCTTGCTACAGCTAGGCTAGAATGGAACACCTGCTCAGTTTCCTTGTGGCCTGTCCTCAATACAGCCCAAAGCAGCGGCCAGGCTGGCAGAGGCGAGAGGTGTTGAGTAGCTGCTCAGTGACTGCCTGGAGCCCTGCAGTCCTGCAGCCCGCTTGGGTCACAGACAGCCACTTTCAGTTGGCCGCTCCATCTCTTAGAAAGTTCATCTTTCTTTACCTTCTCTTTTTTCCTCTGAAAAGGAGATGGTTGTGTGGGTCAGCTTCCTTGGTGGTCTAGTGGCTAGGATTCGGTGCTTTCACCCGTGCGGCCCGGGTTCAATTCCCGATGAAGGAATACATTTTGTAACATCCCCAAATTGTGTGTGAAGATTTGATAGAGAAACACACAGGTGATGATTAAAATGCAGAAATATGTTCCCAGCAGCAATATTTGTAATAAAGAACAGCAATATTGTAATAATAAATGTTCACCAATTAGGAAATGTTATATGTTGTGATCACTCCATACCCTAAAAGGATATGCAATTATTTCAAAGATGGATGTAGATAATAATAGCCGTGATGAGGCCACCGATGATAATGGTTAATGCTCTTGGAGCATTTACTATGCCTCAGGGCATGGGTTCAATGTTTTACTGCCCTGTCTTATTTAAACTTGGAACAACCCATTTAGAAACGCATTCCTATTGGGCCCATTTTAGAATGCAGAAATGGAGGCACAGAAAACCTGTGACTTCAGAGTCACACCGCCAAGGAATAAGGCTATCTGCTCGCGTCTACGGCTTCATGGACAGAAGTGTCCAAGGTTCTCTTGTTCTTCTGCTAGGGATTGCCATCTTCTCAGAGATGGGCAGCCTGAAGAATCAGCGAAGGCAGGTGCAACGAGGATGGAGGTACAGAAAGGAGGTGTATATTGGGCTTGGGGTAGGTAGATTCTGGAGCTCCAGAACTGAGCTTTTGCCTAAAATGCACCTTTTGCGAACAGCATTTATTTTTCTAACAAACCCCTAAGCCTTCAGGCAGGATTTTCATCATCTAACTTGAAGCAGATGGGCATCAAAGACCCCATATATCTGGACGTGGAAGAATGAAGGTCAGAAAAGAATAGTTACAAGGTTAACTATGCTCCTGCATGGAACAGGATGAGTAGTCTTTAGTTTTTTGCCGATGACTGCCCTAATTGCTCCACAATGAGGCACGTTGTGCCTGGAAGTCTGACGACATCTGCCTCAGACATCTGTCTATTATTAAATGCCCCCATCCCCAGGCTGCGCATCTAGATGCCTGAGGGCGTAGTGACATGGAGGCCAGAAGTTGTGTGGTTGGGTACATTGTTACCAGGCAGTGTGAGTGGGGGCAAGATGCAGGAATGCCAGATCCAGGACATTCTCCCTGGCCCACACTGCCTCTTGTGCTTCCCCTATCAGAAGCGGCCCCACTGCACATGACCACAGTAGCCTCTTGGTCTGAAGTCACCCACTTCCCCTTCCTTCACTGTGCTTCATTTGTCATGCTCACTGCTCGTGTCCCCTGTCCCTGAACGGGGAAACGCTCGTGGGGAGGACACAAGCCGGTTGTGTTCCCACTGCCCAGTCTCTTCTTGAGGCCTCTAGATGTGGGCTCTGTAAGGCAGGATTGGCACACCATGCAGCTACTCACCTAGAGAAAGGATTCACACCTAGTGAGCACCCAATATATGCTCAGTGAATGAAGGCATTCCAATGTCGGTTTCTGAGAGACATCAAGAATTCTACTGGACTTCCCACTTTTAGTCCTTTGAATAATTGGGGTAATGGGAAGATAGAAAAAGCTTTTCAAACCTGGGTGTTCTTTGTAAGGTTTATTCCAAGTCTAGAGGGCACCTTCTGGAATGAGCTCCCCTCTCTGTAAGGGGAAACACCTTCAGTCTGTGGGACTCTGTAGGTAGAGAGGAAGCTGAACCCTGAACATTGAAGAGGAGGAGAAGAAAGTGGGTAATACTGGGGGCAGCCTGGAGTATGAGAGACAGACAGACAAGACACAGGCACACAGACACAGATGGAGAGGTTGGAAAGGCAGGGCTGGATCAAGGAGGAGTTGGGAAGCAAAAGGACCTATATGTCCAAGAGCCAGATTTAGGGTGTAAAAGTTGGAGTTCAGTTTTGCTGAAGAGAGTCAACAAAAGAACCAAGGCAAAGGGGGCCAATAACTCCAAGGATCCAGGTCTGCATAAGAAGCATGGTCAGGTGCAGGATCCTATGGCTCCAGAGATTTGTCTCCAGTGAGATGAGTCTCACAAAAAATCAAAACAAAACAAACACTGTCAAGGAAGGAATAACACAGAGGTAGTTTTTAGCATGCTAATTCACCCTTGTCTAGGAGGGAGAACAGTCCATAGATCGTTTGCATTCAACAAAAGCAGAATGCAATTCATAAAGAAATGAGAAGAGGAACAAATTTCTAGAAGAAGCCATTCTTTCCCCTCCTATTTGATAAGCCTCTTGACAGGAAGCAGCTCAGGGTCCCTCCAGCCAGTTTTCTCTGGACTTAGTTAGGTAGATCACCAGAGAAAACAATTACAATTATTGGAAGACTTTCTAAACATCTTGGAGGTTTAGCTGTGGAACACTTATCAGAGAGTATCTCTGGGCAGTGTCCACCATGTCTTTCTGCTGCGCCTCCTGCTTAGGTAAGTCAGGCAGGGCACCACCCCGTCACTGGTACATCAGACTGGTGTGTGGAAACTTTGCTGAGCTGCCAAGAGCACGAAGGAAAAGGCTGTCTCACTGAGTTGGAAAAATATGTTGGAAGATAAATTGGCACACCTCCTGTTGAAGTCAAACTAAGAACACGTAAACAGATGCCTTCAGCTCCCAGCAAAGTTTGAGTAACAGATGCCTGATTTACTCTCCTGCCTGAAATCTCCCCACTGCTCCTCTCCACAAACAAACAGGTGCCTGTAATGCCAGCAGTTTGGGAGGCCGGGGTGGGCTGATCCCTTGAGCTCAGGAGTTTCAGACCAGACTGGGCAACATGATGAAACCTCATCTCTACCAAAAAAATTTCAAATAATTAGCCAGGCATGGTGGTGTGTGCCTGTAGTCCCAGCTAGTCAGGAGGTTGCAGTGGGACGATCGTTTCACCCTGAGAGGCAGAGGTTGCAGTGAGCCAAGATTACATCACTGAAGTCCAGCTTGGGCTACAGGGTGAGACCCTGTCTCATGAAAGGAAGGAAGGAAGGAAGGAAGGAAGGGAGGAAGGAAGGAAGGAAGGAAGGGGCCAGGTGCACTGGCTCACAACTGTAATCCTAGGACTTTGGGAGTCTGAATCCGGCAGATCACAAAGTCAGGAGATGAAGATGATCCTGGCTAACATGGTGAAACCCCTGTCTCTACTCAAAATACAAAACATTGGCCGGGTATCGTGGCACATGCCTATAGTACCAACTACTTGGGAGGCTGAAGCAGGAGAATCACTTGAGCCAGGCAGGCAGAGGTTGCAGTGAGCCCAAATCATGCCAAAACCACACTATCAGAGATGGTAAAGTCGTTGGATGGGATTAACAGCAGATTAGATGTTGCAGAAGAAATGATCAGGGAACATGGAACCATGAATAATTGAAAATATGCAAAATGAAACTTACAGAAAAAAGAAATTTTTTTAAATGAAAAGATTATCACTGAACTGTAGGGCAGACTTAAGAGGTCTAATTTATGAGTAATGGGAGTCCCTGAGAAGGAGCAGGGAGGAAAGGAAACATTTATTTTCTTTCTTTGTTATTTTTCTTAGGAATGGGGTCTCAGTATGTTGAGACCCAGGCTGGTCTTGAATTTCAGGCCTCACTCAACACCTCCCGACTTGGCCTCCCAAAGGCGTGAGCCACTGTGCCCAGCCAATTTCTGAAGAAAAATAGCTGGAAAGTTCCCAATCATAACAAAAATTATAAATCCAGTGACCCAAGGAACTGAGGAAACAAAAGCACAAGAAACATGAAGAAAACCACTCCTAGATACCTCATAATAACATTGCTCAAATCTGGCCAGAAGAAAAAGACATTGTACATACACAGGAGCAAAGATGAGGATTGCATCAGCTTCCTTTCTGCTCTTGCCGGCCTCTACCAGGAGCAGCAATGCACACGAGCAGACAGAGAAGCAACATCTTTAAGGTACTGAGGGCAGGGGAAGTTAACCTAGAATACTATGCCAGAAAAAATAAATTCCCAAAACTGGAAGTGAAATAAGGACATTTAGGCCAGGCACGGTGGCTCAAGCCTGTAATCCCCAGCACTTAGGGAGGCCGAGGTGGGTGGATCACAAGGTCAGGAGATTGAGACTATCCTGGCTAACACGGTGAAACCCCGCCTCTACTAAAAATACAAAAAAATAGCCGGGCATGGTGGCGGGTGCCTGTAATCCCAGCTACTGGGGAGGCTGAGGCAGGAGAATGGTGTGAACCTGGGAGGTGGAGTTTGCAGTGAGCCGAGATCGCCCCACTGCACTCCAGCCTGGGCGACAGAGCGAGACTCCATCTCAAAAAAAAAAAAAAAAAAAAAAAAAATGACATTTAGAGATGTACAAAAGCTGACCGAATTCACTAGCAGCCAGCTGAGCCACACTACAAAAACCGTGAAAGGAGTCCTCCAGGCAGAAGGAACCCAATACCAGACAAAAATCCAGATCTTCATTTCCAGAGGAAATGAAGAACACCAGAAATGGGTAACTATAATAGGTATTTTCTTATTTTGTAAATTTCTTTTGTGAAAATTTGACCATTTAAACAAAAGCAACAATGGGTTGTGGGGTTTATAACATGCCCAAAGGTAAAGTGCATGTCAGCAATAGCATCAAGGCCAGAAGGCGAGGTATAACATCACTTGAAGGTTGACTGTGATAAGTTAAAAAGGTTGGCTATAAGCCCTAAGGCAATTACTAAAATAACAAATGAAAGAGTTATAGCTAATAAGCCAAAAGAGGAGAGAGAATGGAATGATATAAAAACAGCGTGGACACTATGATAGAGTAATTGCTCTTTCTATAGTAATTGCAGCTCTATCCTATAGAAATACTTATACACCAGTGGATGACAATGCCCGTACAAGAATGACTAGAGCATTATATGTAATTGTAAAATCACAGAACCAATTTAACCTCAAAAGCGTATGGAAAGGGCTAAATGAATGACAGTTAGAGAGACAGAGAAAGAGAGAGAGAGAGAGGGCGCCAGGCGCGGTGGCTCACTCCTGTAATCCCAGCACTTTGGGAGGCTGAGGCGGGCGGGTCACGAGGTCAGGAGACCGAGACCACCCTGGCCAACATGGTGAAACCCGGTCTCTACTAAAAATATAAAACTTAACTGGGCGTGGTGGCCCATGCCTATAATCCCAGCTACTCGGGGGGCTGAGGCAGGAGAATTGCTTGAACCAGAGGGTCGGAGGTTGCAGTGAGGCGAGATCGCGCCAGGGAACTCCAGCTATGCAACAGAGGGAGACCCGGTCTCAAAAAAAAAAAAAAAAAAAAAGGTGAGAGAGAGTTCCCAGAATCCTAGTGGACCTTGATTTACTTCCTCTTGTCCTACGCGAGACAAGGAGGAGTGGAGGGTAAAGTTGGTCTCGCTCTGCCTTTCCATGAAACCATGTGCTCGATAGAAGAAAGTTGCCAGCGGTTTAAGCATTTTTAAAATGCAAGAAATAGCTCTATAGAACAGGCTCGAACCACCCACCTCCAGGCTTGGAAGCAAGCATACCAACCGACTGAGACACACAGTCAACTCTCGTTCTGGTATCACCAGACCAAGGGACGATCCAACGTTCGGCGGAGCTACTGCCTTTTGTAGAACAATTGTGCAGGCTCCAAAGCCTCGGAAAACCTGAGAGGCGCATCTTGCTGGCTACGGTTGAAACCCGTGCATTGGGTGATTCCGAAGCTGGAAGGGCAGCGGAATGGCCTTCGCCCCGTCCTGACCCTCGCAGGCGTCAGACCCAGCATCCCAGGAAACGCCCGGGTCCGCGACTCCCTGGGCCTGAGCCGCGTGGGTCCCAGGGGAAGCAAGCAGAACGCCCCGTGGGCTCTAGTGATGGCTCTTCCCCTTCTTGGCTCCGCCTTCACCCGATTCTCTACTGCTGCTTGCGCTCCCCTCGCTCACCTCGGCCTCGGTCGGTGGGGCGGGAGAGAGGAGGGGTGAAAAGCAGAAATACGGAGAGGCCCCACAGAAGCAGAGGAGGTGCGGACCAGGACAGAGAGACCTCCCGAGAGAGGCTGGTGCAGGGAGGCCCAGGCTGGAGTGGAGGAGATGAGAATTGTTCTCATCACGTATGAAGATTGGGAGGAAGGGAGGGAAAAGCAGAGCGGGCATGAAAGAAAAGCGCGAGTCCCCTGTGGCTGTCTGGGAACGAATCCGCCTAATAATCGAAATCCATTGACGTCAAAAGGGCTAGAGCAAGCTCCGCCATCGCGGCTTAGCCTGTGGCTCGCCGTGATCGTATAGTGGTTAGTACTCTGCGTTGTGGCCGCAGCAACCTCGGTTCGAATCCGAGTCACGGCAATGTCGTTAGTCTAGGCTGTCAGCTCTTCCCTTTTGCTCCCGCAACCAGGCGCGTCAGGGGAAGGAAAAGAGACCTCACACCTTACTAACTTGGCGAGGAATCCAAGGGAAACCCTGGACGTGCTCCCTCCTGTTTCTGAGCCTCACGCAGCAAATAACCCAGTCGGCCCTGTTGGTGGCTTACACGAAGGCAATGGTGTGCTCAGAACCGTTCTTCCGGTCACTGGGGGCACGTCGGGGTAAGGAAAAGAGACCTCACAGCTCACTAACCTGGGGAGGAGTCCAAGGGAAACTCTGGACGTGCACCGTCCTGTCTCTGAGCCTCACAGAGCAAATAACCCAGTCAGCCCTGTTGGTGGTGGCTTACACGAAGGCAATGGTGTGCTCAGAACCTGTTTTCCAGTCACTGGGGCTGTTACACACGAAACGACAAGAAGCTTTTAATGACTTTAAACTCCAAACTCTTTGTTGTGGCCTACAATGGCTTGTCTCTGTGCCCGTCACCAAGTTTGTATGCCAACAGCAAAGTGTGAGGAAAGGCAATCTGGTGCCAGGGGTCTTTCCACCTCCACTCTGCCACGTAGGAATGGGCCTTGGGCCTGGAGCACTTCCTTCCTGAGAGATAAGGAGTCATCACAGCCTGTGCTGGACTCACCTCCTTGTGTGGGAGTATCTTTCCCCCGATCAGACTTGGTGTGTACCCCTTTGTTCCACTTAAGCATGTGCATCAACTGGCACCTGGCCAGCTGCTGTATCTGCCCCCCACTGAGGGGAGGAAGCGGGGGTCCTTTCTTCTGCTTCTCAAGAGGCTGTGTGTGCAGGCCAAATGGAGGGACCTGCTGGCCATGGGGGACCAACGCCCAAGACTGAAGCGGAGCCCACACCCCGCTCTGTCTCCTCTCTGTATGAATAATGTGTTGTTCTCCCGTCCAGTCTCTGACTGCCTTGTATTTCCTTGGCGACTCTGATACCAAGAGGCTAGGGCCAGAAGTGTTCAGACTCCTGCTGATAGGAAACCGATGCCACTTGCTGGACAAGATGAACGAAAATTCTTCTTGTATAGGTCTTTTTGTGGACACGTGCATTCATTTCCCTTGAGGAATACCAAGTACTGGAATTGTTGGATCATAGGGTAGGTGTAATATTAACTTTATTAGAAACGGCCAAATGGTTTCTTCCAGAATGCTTTCTCACCAGCAAGGAGAGTTCCACTGGCTGGACATCCTTGACAGCGCGTGGTGTTTACTGTTTTTTAAATACACCTGTTCTGGTGGATGTAAAACGGTACCACATCGTGGCTTCAATTTGTGTTTCCTTTAATGAGTAATGCTGTTGAGCATATTTTCTAATGCCTTTTCACCGTTTAGCAATCCTTCTTTGAGAAGACAGGCTTTGAAGCATTTTCCCTAATTCAATTGGCTTTGCTTTTTATTACTGATTTGTAAAAAGTACTCTCTATATTCAAAATTTGAGCCTTTTTTTTTTCAGGTAAACACAGTGCAATTATCTTCTCCCAGTCTGTGGCTCACCTTCTCACTTTCTCATGGTGATTCTTGATGAGCAGAAGTTGATAACTTTGGTGAAATTCTACTTTGCTTTATTTTTTCCTGTTATCTCTTAAGGCAGAAATGTATTCTGCTACATTCTCTTCCAATAACTTTAGGGTTTCGTTTTAATTTCTAAATCTATGGCATATCAAATTCATCTCCTGACCACAGCAAACTTAGCATCTGCTAATGTCCTGATCACCAGAAAACTTCTGTATACTGTAAATACACTGGCAAGAGTTACTTCTCTGCTGTTTCACAGCTATGGGCCCTGTGCCTCCCTCCATTTCTTCCCTACTCCTCTCTCCCTCTGTCTCCTTCTCTGTCCTTCTGTCTCTCCTCTGATGCAGCTGAGAATCCCAGAGACATCTGAAACAGAGAAGTGGACAGGTCCAGTCTAATCTATGTCCAAGAACCCAGGTTCTGTATTAGAAATCTATGTCGGCCCTTGCCTGACCTTGGTTAACTATCTTAAATGTTATGTGCCTCAACATTTTTCTGTGGAAGGTTGGGCCTCTTTGGGAACTCTGCCTTACACTGCTGTTGTCAGACGGGCCTGGATTTAGTGACTACTCAATCAATAACGTAATCACTAGAATTATAAAAATCATTATCATTGTCCTCTGCCTTATTTGTGAACAATCACTCTCCAGATTGTTTTCACTTTACCTTTGCTTGTAGAACTTCACGCAGATGGAATCACGTTGCATCTACTCTGTTCTACATGCTTCTTTCTCTCTGCATAATGTCTCTGGCTCTATCCATTGCTGAGTGTAGCAGAAGTTCATTCCTCTTTCATTGCTGAGTAGTATTCCATTGCAAAGAGACAGCACAGTTTGTTTGCCATTCTCGCCCCACCTCCACCCCGATAATGAGCGTCTGGGTATTGGCTATTCTGAATAAACCGGTATTGGGTATTCTGAATAAGCCGGCTTTGAACTTTCTTCCCACAAGAGATTTTGAGGGCACCTGTTTTCGTGTCTCTTGGGGAAAACCTAGTTGCCTAATTGCTGGTACCAAAGAGTGAGATATGTGCAAGATCATAAAAACTCACAAAACTTGGCCCAAAGTAGTTGTGTCATTTTACATTTCCAGCAATGACGTGTGAGAGTTGTGGTTGTTCTTCATCTTCTCCAAGATTGGGTGTTTCCTCTCCTTATAAATTTAGCCATGCTACTGGGAGTTATAGTGGTGTCTCAATGTGGTTTTGATTTCCATTTTCCTGAGAGCTAAACATATTGTATATGCTTTGTTGACCATGTGTGTACCTTTTATTCTTATGTATCTGTTCAAGTCTTTTACCCATCTAGCATACTTGGGTTGATTGGTTTGTTGTTGTTGTTGTTGTTGTTGTTGTTGTTGTCCTTGTTGTTTTAATTACCAGGTAAGAAGATCTCAGCATACTTTATAGTTACAGGGTTTGGGGGTCAGATAAGTTTCGTGACTATTTTCTCCCTGTCTGAGGCTGTCTCATTTCTTCACTTTCTTTGTTGCCTCTTTTGATGAGAAGATATGGCTAATATTTGATGAAGTCTAATGTATCAAGCCTTTCCTTTATACATTTTTTTCTGTGCCCTATTTAATAAATCTCTGTCTACCAACAAGTCACAAAGTATCCTCGAAATGCTTTATATCTTTGGCTTTTATATTTTGGTCTATAATGTGTCTCAAGTTACTTTCAAGTGTAGTGTGAGGGAGAAATAACCTTGTTCGTCTACCCCTTCTCCTTTATGAAAGGCAATTAATTGAAACTATTTCCTTTGCCCCATTAAACTGCTTTTATTGAAAACCTATGGCCAGTCATGGTGGCTCATGACTGTAATCCCAGCACTATGAGAGACTGAGGCCTGTGGATCACTTGAGCCCAGGAGTTGGAGACCAGTCTGGGCAACATGGAGAAACCTCATGTCTACTAATATGTGCCTGTAGTATGAGCTACCTGGGAGGCTGAGGCACGGGGATCGCTTCAGCCTGGGAAGCAGAGATTGCAGTGAGCCGAGATCGCGCCACTGCACTCTAGCCTGGATGACAGAGTAAGTCCCTGTCTCAGAAAACAAAAAGAAATTAACAAACAAACAAAAAACCTATGAACCTTATAGCTGTGGGTCAGTTTCAGGTCTCCAAAGTCAGTCTGTTGATGTATTTGTGTCTCCCAATGCCACTTGCACACTGCCTTGATTATAACAGCTTAGAGTGAGTCTGAAACTCAGGTTGTGCAAGTCCTCTGGTTTTCTTCTTTTTCACACAGCATAATAAGCTTTGAAATAGGTCATAACTCATGTAACCATCACATAGATCAAGATATGCTGTCACTTCATACCTCTCATTTCAGTGTGGGATACAAGTACTTGCACATCTATGCTGATTGCCCCCTTGGGGCCAAGGATCATTGTTACGGGAAGTCAGGGACCCCAAGTGGAGGGACCGGCTGCAGCCAAGGCAGAGGAACATAAATTGTAAAGATTTCACCTTAATATGGACATTTACCAGTTCTCAAATAATACTTTTATAATTTCTTTTGCCTCTCTTTACTTTAATCTCTTAATCCTGTTATCTTCATAAACTGAGGATATACCTCACCTCAGGACCACTGTGATAATTGTGTTAACTGTACAAATTGATTGTAAAACACGTGTTTGAACAACATGAAATCAGTGCACCTTGAAAAAGAACAGAATAATAGCGATTTTTGTGAAACAAGGGAAGACAACCATAATTTCTGACTGCCTGTGGGGTCGGGCAAAAAGAGTCATATTTTTCTTCTTGCAGAGGGCCTATAAACGAACATGCAAGTAGTCAACATATCACTAAATTCTTTTCCTAGCAAGGAATATTAATATTAATACTCTGGGAAGAGAATGCATCTCTGGGGGGAAGTCTATGAACGGCCACTCTGGGAATGTCTGTCTTGTGCAGTTGAGATAAGGACTGAGATAAGCCCTGGTCTCCTGCAGAACCCTCAAGCTTACTAGGGTTGGGAAAACTCAGCCCTGGTAAATTTGTGGTCAGACCAGTTCTCTGCTCTCAACCCTGTTTTCTGTTGTTTAAGATGTTAATCAAGACAATACATGCACCACTGAACATTGACCCTTATCAGTGGTTCTGCCTTTGCCGTTTGCCTTGTGATCTTTGTTGGACCCTTATCAGTGGTTCTGGTTTTGCCCTTTGCCCTGTTCCCTCAGAAGCATGTGATCTTTGTTAGACCCTTATCAGTGGTTCTGCTTTTTGCTATTTGAAGCATGTGATCTTTGTACCTACTCTCTGTTCTTACACACCCTCTCCTTTTGAAACCCTTAATGAAAACTTGCTGGTCGGAGACTCAGGTGGGCATCACAGTCCTACTAATATGTGATGTCACCCCTGGCACCCCACCTGTAAAATTCCTCCCTTTGTACTGTCTGTCTTTATTTCTCAGCTGGCTGACACTTATGGAAAATAGAAAGAACCTACGTTGAAATATTGGGGGCGGGTTCTCCCAATAGATCCTCTCTTCTACCCTCTGGAGAGAATAAATCTTCAGTTGTCTGCAGGGAGGAGGAACACACAAAAAGTCCACAACACTCAGCACAGAGTCCAGATTTTGGTAGTGGGGTTGATGGGGAGGAAGCTCACATTTCAGGCCTTTCAAAATCTTAGGAAAAGTTTTCTTTATTTCTAACTGTGAAATGTACAAAGCTTTGGGTCATTTATAATTTCTTCTTCTTCTTGAAAGATCACAGGAGACCTAATATTTGTGTCCCCCCAAAATGCCTTGGTTGAAACCCTAACCTTCCCCTGTCCACCCCTGGAAAGTGTTAAAATTAGGAGGAGGGGCCTTTGGGAGGTAATTAGATCCAGAGGGTGGAGTCCTCCTGAGTGGGATTAGTGCCCCTATAAAAGGGACACTAGAGAGCTCTCTCAGCCTCTTTCAGCCCCCTGCAGATACAGTAGGAAGATGGCAGTCTATGACCAGGAAGAGGTTCCTCACCATAACCCTACCATGCTGGCACCTTGACCTTAGACTTCCAAACTCCAGAACTGTGAGAAATGTCTGTTGTGGATCAGCTACCCAGTTTATGGTACATTAGCTCCAACTAAGACAGAGATGGAGTCCCATGGAGGGTGTCTAATTTTTGATGCTGGTCATTGCATTCTTCATGTGGGATGTTGCAAATTAGAAACTGAGGGAGAGCTGACCTTTCCTGCATATGTAAGAAGAGAGTGGAGGGGCAAAGATACAGAATGGGAAAGAACAAGCTGGAACCAGAAAACTTATTTCAGGGTCTGGCACTTGAATGTCTTATTTTAGAGAAAGAGAAGACACTGGTAGAAGACCTTCAGTGGAAACCTTCAGCAGATATTTAAAAGCCATTCAATTACATCTTCACTTGTTTGTATGTAGTTCCTCTTTTCCCATCTTTGTAAGTGTGGCACAGGTGAACTGGATGTGTTTATTCAATGTGTTTTTGGAATGCATGTGTAAATAAAAATGACTGTGTCATACTTCCCATATTCATCCCGGAACCTCCTAGAGTTCCCTTAGGTTCTGCCAATTGTACATTGAAAGTACAACAGGCCCGTCGTGGGGATTAATTTTCATTGAACATTTCTAGGAGGAGGGAGGAGGAGGTGGGGGGAATGTGACAGTCTCAACAACAGTTGCTATACTACTCTTACCAAAGTGGTTTTCCTATGTACTTCTCAACAGATCGGCCCTTTCTTCAAATAAGAGCAGTTGGAACAACAAAAGCTGTTCAGTTGTACCCTTGGAATCCACGGAAATCCTGGGTAGGGAAGCTCCAGTACCACCAACTGGAAAGACTGGGAATGCCTAGTAGCTGGTACTGGCCATTGTCGTAGGCTTTGTCCACTTTGACAAACTGAAGACGGGGACTCGACTCACCTTCGCCAGCCACAGGAGGACCTCCAGACGAGGTTAGGTCGACTTCATGGTAACTTTAGATCTTGAAACCTCACAGGATTTTTCTTCTCTTCCCCTTGATCTCTCTTCCGCTTACTCAACAGGACCGGACTCGCCGCCTTTCTTTCCCGTCAGAAAGGGATCCCTTGCGGACAAGACCGAAGTGAGTAGCTGGTTTCCCCTACGTGTCCTTCCGGGGCTGGGTGTCTCGGGAGCTCAGGCTGACAGGAGACCTAACTACCGGCGACTGAGACCAGCAGGAGCCTGGAGGGGCGCGCACCAGGGTGGAGGTTTGGTGCCGGGGGTTGAGAACAACAGTCAAACCCTCTTCTTCCCTGTACCGCGCACCTGCCCCCTGGGATGCCGAACGAAGTGGCCCCTAAGGCTTCTCTGCAGGTCCAACCGAAACAGGCCTGAAGTTCCAGGATGGGCGAGAGGATCCTCTTTGAGCGAAACCAGCCTTCTGCCTGGCTGGCCCTGGTCAACACACTCGGAAGAGGCCGATTTGGAGGACAGAACGGAAGAAAAGACCTAAAGGTAGAATCTCATGATGTCGAGATGTTAAAACCCTCAAATTTTTCCAAATATGCAGGGGGGGAAAGAGGATAATAATATTCCCAATATCGCAAGAGTTATACACCCCCGCGTGAAATGGTCCTTAATAATATTCCAAGGCGGAGGGGATGATGTTACTACATATATCGCAGAAAGTGTACACCCCCCAGGGATATTATTCCCATGATCCTGGAGGGAAGAGGATATTACTTTAAATATCACAGAAGGTGTACACGCCCCCAGTGATATTGTTTCTAATTTCAACGTGGGAGAGGAGGATATGACACCCAACATCGCAGGGAGTAGAAACACTCCTGTGATACTGTTCTCAATATTCAGGGAGAAAGAGGTTGATATTACTCCCAATACAGATGAGTGTACACAGGTCTGTGAAATAGTTCATAATTTCCAGAGGGGGAGTTGATATATACTCACAATATCGTAAACAGGCTATGAGTCCACCGTGGATCGTAATAGCTAGGGGTGGAGAGATCGTTGCTATTACTCCCCTTATTGCGGGGGGTGCCTCACCCCCCTGAGATGTGGATCGTGATAGCCGGGGCAGGTGGAGGGGGTTCCTATTACTCCCCATATCGCAGGGGTTGCCTCACACACCTGCGATGTGGATTGTGACAGCCAGGGGGGGAGAGGGGGTTGCTATGACTCCCCATATCGCGGGGGGTGCCTCACCCCCCTGCGATGTGGATTGTAATAGCCAGGAGAGGATCCAGAAGTCAGAATCCATTTTCTATCCAAACCATATAGAATAGTGATGGCTTTGGTTTCTGAGAATAGATCCAGGCATGGAATCACACAGACTTTCATTCAGAGCTGGGTTTTGCCATGTGCAAGTACCTCACCTCTTAGAGGAGATGAGATAAAATATGTGGAACACTTTTCACAAGTCTGGCACACAGACAGCACTCGCATATTTTTAGTGCTCTTATTGTTGAATCCTTTGGGAGAAAAGATAATAGATTAGAGTGTGGATTTTTTTCCCTCAGGTTTTGTTTTGAGCTCAGGCTGCTTTATTCAGTGATGACCTGTATTTACTTCATAAGCAGACACTTCATTGGAGATTTTAGCTATATTTTCCCCATGGGCCCACTTTATGCTGAAACAGTAGCACAGATGGTGAGACAGTTTAATGCCATTGCCTTACCTCCTGATAACAGCATCGTTGACATGTCAGCACTCCATGTCAAAATATTATGACAAGCATAATAAGTAAAATAAATTAAAAACACTTATTGATTTTAAGTGTTATTTCCGTCTACTATCAATGACATACGATGTCAAATGTGATATAATTGAAGTATATTTTAAGCAAGATAATTAACAAATTGGATTTTGGAGTTGATTCTTTACATGCTTTATGCAATTTCATGAAAAATCCCCGTATGTAGACACAAATCAACAGAAGCTCCTGGCCATGAATATTGTAATATACAATTCCAATGATACCCTTCCTACCAAGGCATCATGCCCATACACATGAGATGAGAGAAGAGAGAAAAATATGCTGTTGACTTTGCTCACACCATTCTGGTAGAAATCAACAGCCAACCCAGCATTCATACAAAACTTAGAATTGGAGTAGTGGTAACTTGCTCTTCATTTTATCTCAACCCCATCAAGATCTACCTTCTCTGTACTGAAGGTTTCCTAGGCAAGGGTAGAGATTGGGCTGGGGCAGAGGTACACCCAACCAACCACCACCTTCTGGACCCCATCGGGGGTGACATCACGTTTTCATGAGGGAAGGCTTTAATAATAACAAAATCCGAGTGCTACAGAAGATGAAAAGCCCCATGCTCTTCTGCACTGGAGAGTGAAGCTTTTAGTACAACAATGTGGTTAAAAAGCAGGAGGAGAAAAGGAAGCAGAGGCATCAATTACAATTAGAGATTTCCTGACAAGGCCTATGCTAAACGAGTTATAGAGGCAATTACCCTAAAAATTTTGAAGCAGCCATTTGCTCAGTAACTTACACCGACCTGACACCCAACCAGAGATTGCCATAAGCAGGGAATTTATGGTGTTAGAATGCTGCTTTAGCGTAAATTACCTCAGGGAACAGATTTAAACCAGTTGCATTTTAAAAATTATGCAGCAACAACAACAACAAAATGAGTTTATGCAAACTCAATACCAATTGCAGAATGGGGCCCTCTAAGTCTTTATCTTCAAAGATGCTGCATTCCTTCTCGCCTGTTTGTTTTCTCTCTCTGGATGAAGATTCACAGCATTAATACATAATAACTGTATCTCACTCCATTACGGGTAGTTCAAGGCCGCTCCGCATAAACTATATGCACGGCTTTGTGTCTTCATCTTTAAAACCACCAAATACCTTGGTCACAGACATATGTTAGGTTTAATGCATCCCCTGCCATAAATGTGTTGCTTAAGACTAATGAACAAACGAAAGTTTGTTTAAACCTCTTTGTGAAAATCAAACTAGCTTTCAACAGCTATTCCTGTATTTATTGTCAGATGTGAATCATCACTGAGGTGCTTTGCCCTGAACTATAACCAGTTAATGCTCATAGTTTCATGGTACTAATTCACTTGCTATGGTTTTCGTTTTTTGTTGCATTGTTTTTCCCCCTCTCTTCTTCCTTTCTGTCAGTACCATCTCCAGAAAGGCACTGTATGAAAAGTCCCATGTTGTTTCTGGCAGAACTGACACATTTGTGCCTAGCATAGTGATGCTGTTGTCTGCAGAAGGGTCACAGCCTTCAGGGACTCTCCTGCCAGTGCTGTATTTTGCCTGCACCCCTCTGGCTTGGCTTCTGCACTGAGACCCTCCTAACAAGTGAGCACAAGCAAGACACTCTCCCTGCCTCTACCCCCACCCCTCCTCACAAAGTAGCTGTTTTTTCAAACTCAGCAGCACTGAAAAGCTCCCACCAGATTTACCCATTATACTAAATATCAGGTTTTAGAAGCTGGGAACTGTTATTCTAGTGTTGCTGGGTGTCATTAAGGTTGCACGTCTATGCTTGTTTAATTTTTCTCCTGCCATGAAGCAAATTAAGTGCTCGGAGGTTTTTTCTGTCTCACTGGGGTCCACCCAGAAGAGAAAAGAGAGTAAGTGTTCCAGGGTTGTGTAACTGGATTTTTTTTGCTGTTTTCATTATGAGGAAGGAATTAAAAATCCCTCCTAGTCAGTACTTAAAATATCAAAGTCATTGTTTAATGCCTTTGAGTCACTGTACAACTAATTCAATTGCACAGTATAGCACCGTTTCATGGTGTGTGAAACACAGATAGTACATAGAAGTGATTGCAAAGTTGAATAAACACCAAATTAGTTTTAAAAGTCTGCGACTTCCCAGTGGAGTCTTTCAAACTGAACGGCACTATTGTCTGACAAAGTCGATGGCCACCAAAAGGTTGCATTACCTTCTGCTTGTGCTAATGGAAGAGAGTGTCCCCTGACACTGTGGCACCTGGAGGAGAAGGCCATCCTCTGGGAGGCTTGTGTGCTGACAACTCCACATAACCAGCCTGCTTGTCACTCAGGGAGACATGACCACACAACACAGCCTGGAGTGGACAAGGAAGAGAGATGGTGTAGGTGAAAGAAAGGCCATGGCCAAACGAGAGACCCCAGGACAATTTTTAAAGCAGTTTGATATAGATGAAATATTGTAATTTGAGAATTAAAAAGACAAAGTTAGGCCCCATGCTTTGTTGCTTCCTGGCTGTGAGACTATTTTCAACTCATTTAACATTTCTGAGCCTCAGTCTCCTTATCTGTGCCCATTTGGTCAATAACAATTTTTCACTAACTATTATGTATTTTCTAGGCACTGTTCTAAGTGCTGCAGTGCTGGGGCCACAATATCAAACAAAACAAGTGAGTCAGTGTCTTCAGTGAAGTTTACTGTATATTATAAACAGTCATAGAATTCAAAGACAATCATATAACCAACTCTTTTGGATGGCTTAGGATGTGCCAGGTACTGTGCTAAGGACAAGAGATATAACCAGATACAAACCAGTCCCCATCCTCAATCATTACTTATTCACTCAACAAATATTTTTGAGTACTTACCCTGCACCAGGCACTAGGGATATAACAGATAAAAATTAAGTCTCTCGCTTCATGAAGCTTTCATTCTGATAGAGGGAGACAGGCAATAAGCAAATAAATGGTTTATTCCACCACCCCTTCAAGTCTTCACTCAAATGTTCCTTTTTCAATGAGACTATATAACCAACGTATTTAAAATTTCAACCACCATCCTGCATTCACTGCTTTTCATCTTGCTAAGGTAGTTAATATGTGTTAATTTGACTGAACCACAAGGTGCCCAGATACTTGGTCAAACATTATGCTGGGTGTGTCTGTGAGCATGGTTTTGGATGAGATTAACATTTGAATCAGTACACTGAATAAAGCTTATTTCTTTCCCCAGTAGATGATCCTCATCCAATCACTTAAAGGCCTGAATAGAACCAAAAGTCTGACCTGCCCATGAGTAAGAGAGAGCTCCTTCTGCCTGATTGCTTCAGCTGAGATATCAGCCTTTTCCTGCCTTTGGAATTGAACTGCAACACTGGCTCTTCCTGGGCCTCAAGCCTGCCAGCTTTTGAACTGTAATCACACCATCATCTCTCCTGGTTCTCAGGCCTTTGGACTCAAATCAGAAACACACCATGGGCTCTCCTGTGTCTCAAGCTTGCCAACTGTGATCTTGAGACTTCTCAGCCTCCATAATCACATGAGTCAATTGTTGGTTCTGTTTCTCTGGAGAACCCTAATCCATCACTTTACATATTTCTTCCATTACACATATTGTTTCCCAGCATATTAAATAATTTACTGATTATATTTTTGGTTTATTATTTATTTCTCCTCCTGGAATGTAAGTTTCACAGAGATCTTGTTCATTGCTAGATCTCAAGCCTGGCATCTAGTAGGCATTCAGTAAATAGCTGTTGAAAGATGAAAAAATAAATGTAATCTGCCAAGTGGAGGTAGGTACTGTGAAGAAGAATAAAACCAAATAAAGGAACTTGAGGGGAACAAAGGCACTTCTTTTTATAGAAGGTAGTCAGGCCCTGGTGGGACAGTGGATATTACTACTGGGATATATTTTTTATCTTCCAAACTAGGATATCTTCCTTAATCCTGAGATCCTTGTAGATTCACATGGAGTTATAGGAAATAATACAGGGGAGTCTCATGTAGCCTCTACCCAGTTTCCTTGAATAGTACCATCTTGCAATATCATAATCAAGATATACCTATTGATACAATGTAGAAATCTTATTTGGATTTTCCTAACTTAACTTGTACTTGTTTGTGTGTGTGTTTAGTTTCATGCAATTTTTCACATGTTTAGGTTCGGGTATCTACCACCACAGTGGAGATACTAAACAGTTCCTTCACTACGAGGATCTCCCATGTTGCCTTTTATAACCACATCCACCTCTGCACCCTTTACCCTTACCCTTTTCCAATCTTGGGCAACCACTATTCTGTCCTCCATTTCTATACTTTTTGTAAACTAGGACACTTTTGAAAGCAAAGGGGATACTATTAATAATTACGGCAGGACAACTGGTTAATGAGCACTGTCCCTGATGAAACACATGTGGGCATCTCTTTATTATAGAACAATCACGATATGGTTTGACTCTGTTTCCCCACCCAAATCTCATCTTGAATTGTAATCCCCACATGTCAGGGGAGGGGTCTACTGGGAGGTGATTGAATCTTGGGGGCAGACTCCCTCCTTGCTGTTCTCATGATAGTGAGTGTATATTTTTTTCTATACAAGGCACACCAATGAGTACTTTTTAATTAACCACAAGATATGGTTGTTTGGAAGTGTGTGGCACTTCCCCCTTCACTCTCTCTCTTTCTGTCCTGCTGCCATATAAGAAATGTCTTGCTTCCCCTTCTGCCATGATTGTAAGTTCCTGAGGACTCCCAGCCATGCAGAACTGTGAGTCAATTAAACCTCTTTTCTTCATAGATTACCCAGTCTCAGGTAGTTCCTTATAGCAGTGTGAAAATGGATTGATACAAATCATAACAACTATATCTAACAGTCATGGAATGGGTTCAGCATGCCAGGCACTCCACTGATCTTTGTCCACATTATTACTTTTAAAACCCAAAAAAAGCATGAGGCCAATACTGTTATTGTTCACATTTTACAGAGCAAGAAACAGAGGCAGCGAGGCATTAAAACACCTGTCTAGGGTCACAGGGTGTACAGCTTTCAGAGCCAGGAATCATAACCAGGTCTGTCTTGTTCTAAAGCTTGCCTTTTGTAACTCCTGCACATTAAACAAATAATCACAACTAATTTCTTAAATAATTACAAGAGAGCCAAGTGTTTTGAAGTATAAATACAAAGGGCTACCGAAGCATAAAATGGGAATTGGAAAAATACCTACCTCACCCAGAATTATTGTAAGAATTAAAAAGCACTCATTGGTGCACTTTGTATATCAAAAAGAACCTTTAAAAGTGTTCAGCATTGTCAAACTTTGTACCAGGAGAGATAGTCTTATCTGGACATTCATCACCTTGAATTTCCAAAATGTTAAGCGCCATCTCCTGAACAGTGCAATAGCTTTCTGTATACACTTTGGAATACTGACAGAGAATAATGAATTTTAAATTTTTAAAAATCTACAGTTTCTGACTGCAACTCAAAGAAAGTATTCACTCTGACATCATAAACTGTATAGCAGAGTTCGCCCTACAAAAGAAATTGTCTATGATTTCCCCCAGATGTGAGGATCCATCACTGAGGGAAGGAGTACGTTCCTTATGCTCTGGGCAAATCTCCGAGAGTTCCCTCTGACGCTGGAATTTTTTCCTCAGATCCAAGATCCAGTTAGTGGCCAATTCGTGATTTCCTGTCCGCCAAGTGCGTGGGCATTGATCTACAGGCGAGTTTCCCCACCTCCAGGGAATGGCTACTTCGGGGTCGGTGGGGGCGGGTGTCCTCCGGTGGATTGTAAGGTGTTTAGCAGCATCCCTCACCTCTGCTGACTAGATAGATGCCAGGGGTTAACATTCTCCCTCCGGGCTTCCCCTAGTCGTGGTCTTGTGTACCAGCAGGGATGGGGGAGGCATGTGAGGGTGAAGTTGCCGCCTGATGAGAACCATTGGTGCACATAGTCCTGTCCTCTGAGCTGGTGCACAGGACTCTGCAGATGAAGGCTCAGGGGTCGATCCAGCTCGAGACCCCCTATCTCCCCCTCACAGTCGAACCTTAAAATTTGAGTGTTTTAACATCTCGACATCATGAGATTCTAC
Organism: Homo sapiens; assembly: GCF_000001405.40. Lineage (NCBI taxonomy): Eukaryota > Metazoa > Chordata > Mammalia > Primates > Hominidae > Homo > Homo sapiens. Next base: position 148,288,440 of record NC_000001.11, on the reverse strand, counting down.
CTTTAGGTCTTTTCTTCCGTTCTGTCCGCCAAATCGGCCTCTTCCCAGGGTGTTGACCAGGGCCAGCCAGGCAGAAGGCTGGTTTCGCTCAAAGAGGATCCTCTCGCCCATCCTGGAGCTTCAGGCCTGTTTCGGTTGGGCCTGCAGAGGAGCTTTAGGGACCACTTCGTTCGGCATCCCGGGGGGCAGGTGCGTGGTGCCAGGGGAAGAAGAGGGTTTGACTGTTGTTCTCAACCCCCGGCACCAAACCTCCACCCTGGTGCGCGCCCCTCCAGGCTCCTGCTGGTCTCACTCGCCGGTAGTTAGGTCTCCCGTCAGCCTGAGCCCCCGAGACACCCAGGCCCGGAAGGACAAGTAGGGGAAACCAGCTACTCACTTAGGTCCTGTCCGCAAGGGATCCCTTTCTGACGGGAAAGAAAGGCAGCGAGTCCTGTCCTGTTGAGCAAGCGGAAGAGAGATCAAAGGGAAGAGAAGAAAAATCCCGTGAGGTTTCAGGATCTAAAGTTATCGGGAAGTCGACCTAACCTCGTCTGGAGGTCCTCCTGTGGCTGGCGAAGGTGAGTCGAGTCCCCATCTTCAGTTTGTCAGAGTGGACAAAGCCTACGACAATGGCCAGTACCAGCTATTAGGCATTCCCAGTCTTTCCAGTTGGTGGTACTGGAGCTTCCCTACCCAGGATTTCAGTGGATTCCAAGGGTACAACTGAACAGCTTTGTTATTCCAACTGCTCTTATTTGAAGAAAGGGCCGATCTGTTGAGAAGCACATAGGAAAACCACTTCGGTAAGAGTATAGTAACTGCTGCTGAGACTGTCACATTCCCCCTCCTCCTCCTCCCTCTTCCTAGAAATGTCCAATGAAAATTAATCCCCACGATCCGCCTGTTGTACTTTCAATGTACAGTTGATGGAACCTAAGGGAACTCTAGGAGGTTCCGGGATGAATATCTGAAATATGACACAGTCATTTTTATTTACACATGCATTCCAAAAACACATTGGACAAACACATCCAGTTCACCTGTGCCACACTTACAAAGATGAGAGAAGAGGGACTACATACAAACAAGTGAAAGATGTAATCGAATGGCTTTTAAATATCTGCCATTTCCACTGAAGGTCTTCTTCTCTGGATACACCTACCAGTGTCTTCTCTTTCTCCAAAATCAGACATTCAAGTGCCAGACCCTGAAATCAGTTTTCTGGTTCCAACTTGTTCTTCCCCATTCTGTATCTCTGCCCCTCCACTCTCTTCTTTCATATGCAGGAAAGGTCAGCTCTCCCTCAGTTTCTAATTTGCAACATCCCAGTTGAAGAACGCAATGACCAGCATCAAAAATTAGACACCCTCCATGGGACTCCATCTCTGTCTTAGTTGGAGCTTCTATAATAATGTAACATAAACTAGGTGGCTCATCCACAACAGACATTTCTCACAGTTCTGGAGTTTGGAAGTCTAAGGTCAAGGTGCCAGCATGGTAGGGTTATGGTGAGGAACCTCTTCCTGGTTATAGACTGCCATTTTCCCACTGTATCTGCAGGTGGCTGAAAGAGGCTGAGAGAGCTCTCTAGTGTCCCTTTTATAGGGGCACTAATCCCACTCAGGAGGACTCCACCCTCTGGATCTAATTACCTCCCAAAGGCCCCTCCTCCTGATTTTAACACTTTCCAGGAGTCGACAGAGGAAGGTTAGGGTTTCAACCAAGGCATTTTGGGGAGACACAAATATTAGGTCTCCTGTGATCTTTCGAGAAGAAGAAGAAATTATAAATGATCCAAAGCTTTGTACATTTCACAGTTAGAAATAAAGAAAAATTTTCCTAAGATTTCAAAAGGCCTGAAATGTGAGCTTCCTCCCCACCAACCCCACCACCAAAATCTGGACTCTGTGCTGAGTGTTGTGGACTTTTTGTGTGTTCATCCTCCCTGCAGACAACTGGAGATTTATTCTCTCCAGAGGGTAGAAGAGAGGATCTATTGGGAGAACCCGCCCCCAATATTTCAACGTAGGTTCTTTCTATTTTCCGTAAGTGTCGGCCGGCTGAAAAATAAAGACAGACAGTACAAAGGGAGGAATTTTACAGGTGGGGTGCCAGGGGTGACATCACATATTAGTAGGACTGTGATGCCCACCTGAGTCTCCGACCAGCAAGTTTTCATTAAGGGTTTCAAAAGGAGAGGTTGTGTAAGAACAGAGAGTAGGTACAAAGATCACATGCTTCAAATAGCAAAAAGCAGAACCACTGATAAGGGTCTAACAAAGATCACATGCTTCTGAGGGAACAGGGAAAAGGGCAAAAGCAGAACCACTGATAAGGGTCCAACAAAGATCACAAGGCAAACGGCAAAGGCAGAACCACTGATAAGGGTCTGTGTTCAGTGGTGCATGTATTGTCTTGATTAACATCTTAAACAACAGAAAACAGGGTTGAGAGCAGAGAACTGGTCTGACCACAAATTTACCAGGGCTGAGTTTTCCCAACCCTAGTAAGCCTGAGGGTTCTGCAGGAGACCAGGGCTTATCTCAGTCCTTATCTCAACTGCACAAGACAGACATTCCCAGAGTGGCCGTTCATAGACTTCCCCCCAGAGATGCATTCTCTTCCCAGAGTATTAATATTAATATTCCTTGCTAGGAAAAGAATTTAGTGATATGTTGACTACTTGCATGTTCGTTTATAGGCCCTCTGCAAGAAGAAAAATATGACTCTTTTTGCCCGACCCCACAGGCAGTCAGAAATTATGGTTGTCTTCCCTTGTTTCACAAAAATCGCTATTATTCTGTTCTTTTTCAAGGTGCACTGATTTCATGTTGTTCAAACACGTGTTTTACAATCAATTTGTACAGTTAACACAATTATCACAGTGGTCCTGAGGTGAGGTATATCCTCAGTTTATGAAGATAACAGGATTAAGAGATTAAAGTAAAGAGAGGCAAAAGAAATTATAAAAGTATTATTTGAGAACTGGTAAATGTCCATATTAAGGTGAAATCTTTACAATTTATGTTCCTCTGCCTTGGCTGCAGCCGGTCCCTCCACTTGGGGTCCCTGACTTCCCGTAACAATGATCCTTGGCCCCAAGGGGGCAATCAGCATAGATGTGCAAGTACTTGTATCCCACACTGAAATGAGAGGTATGAAGTGACAGCATATCTTGATCTATGTGATGGTTACATGAGTTATGACCTATTTCAAAGCTTATTATGCTGTGTGAAAAAGAAGAAAACCAGAGGACTTGCACAACCTGAGTTTCAGACTCACTCTAAGCTGTTATAATCAAGGCAGTGTGCAAGTGGCATTGGGAGACACAAATACATCAACAGACTGACTTTGGAGACCTGAAACTGACCCACAGCTATAAGGTTCATAGGTTTTTTGTTTGTTTGTTAATTTCTTTTTGTTTTCTGAGACAGGGTCTTACTCTGTCATCCAGGCTAGAGTGCAGTGGCGCGATCTCGGCTCACTGCAATCTCTGCTTCCCAGGCTGAAGCGATCCCCGTGCCTCAGCCTCCCAGGTAGCTCATACTACAGGCACATATTAGTAGACATGAGGTTTCTCCATGTTGCCCAGACTGGTCTCCAACTCCTGGGCTCAAGTGATCCACAGGCCTCAGTCTCTCATAGTGCTGGGATTACAGTCATGAGCCACCATGACTGGCCATAGGTTTTCAATAAAAGCAGTTTAATGGGGCAAAGGAAATAGTTTCAATTAATTGCCTTTCATAAAGGAGAAGGGGTAGACGAACAAGGTTATTTCTCCCTCACACTACACTTGAAAGTAACTTGAGACACATTATAGACCAAAATATAAAAGCCAAAGATATAAAGCATTTCGAGGATACTTTGTGACTTGTTGGTAGACAGAGATTTATTAAATAGGGCACAGAAAAAAATGTATAAAGGAAAGGCTTGATACATTAGACTTCATCAAATATTAGCCATATCTTCTCATCAAAAGAGGCAACAAAGAAAGTGAAGAAATGAGACAGCCTCAGACAGGGAGAAAATAGTCACGAAACTTATCTGACCCCCAAACCCTGTAACTATAAAGTATGCTGAGATCTTCTTACCTGGTAATTAAAACAACAAGGACAACAACAACAACAACAACAACAACAACAACAACAAAACCAATCAACCCAAGTATGCTAGATGGGTAAAAGACTTGAACAGATACATAAGAATAAAAGGTACACACATGGTCAACAAAGCATATACAATATGTTCAGCTATCAGGAAAATGGAAATCAAAACCACATTGAGACACCACTATAACTCCCAGTAGCATGGCTAAATTTATAAGGAGAGGAAACACCCAATCTTGGAGAAGATGAAGAACAACCACAACTCTCACACGTCATTGCTGGAAATGTAAAATGACACAACTACTTTGGGCCAAGTTTTGTGAGTTTTTATGATCTTGCACATATCTCACTCTTTGGTACCAGCAATTAGGCAACTAGGTTTTCCCCAAGAGACACGAAAACAGGTGCCCTCAAAATCTCTTGTGGGAAGAAAGTTCAAAGCCGGCTTATTCAGAATACCCAATACCGGTTTATTCAGAATAGCCAATACCCAGACGCTCATTATCGGGGTGGAGGTGGGGCGAGAATGGCAAACAAACTGTGCTGTCTCTTTGCAATGGAATACTACTCAGCAATGAAAGAGGAATGAACTTCTGCTACACTCAGCAATGGATAGAGCCAGAGACATTACGCAGAGAGAAAGAAGCATGTAGAACAGAGTAGATGCAACGTGATTCCATCTGCGTGAAGTTCTACAAGCAAAGGTAAAGTGAAAACAATCTGGAGAGTGATTGTTCACAAATAAGGCAGAGGACAATGATAATGATTTTTATAATTCTAGTGATTACGTTATTGATTGAGTAGTCACTAAATCCAGGCACGTCTGACAACAGCAGTGTAAGGCAGAGTTCCCAAAGAGGCCCAACCTTCCACAGAAAAATGTTGAGGCACATAAAATTTAAGATAGTTAACCAAGGTCAGGCAAGGGCTGACATAGATTTCTAATACAGAACCTGGGTTCTTGGACATAGATTAGACTGGACCTGTCCACTTCTCTGTTTCAGATGTCTCTGGGATTCTCAGCTGCATCAGAGGAGAGACAGAAGGACAGAGAAGGAGACAGAGGGAGAGAGGAGTAGGGAAGAAATGGAGGGAGGCACAGGGCCCATAGCTGTGAAACAGCAGAGAAGTAACTCTTGCCAGTCTATTTACAGTATACAGAAGTTTTCTGGTGATCAGGACATTAGCAGATGCTAAGTTTGCTGTGGTCAGGAGATGAATTTGATATGCCATAGATTTAGAAATTAAAACGAAACCCTAAAGTTATTGGAAGAGAATGTAGCAGAATACATTTCTGCCTTAAGAGATAACAGGAAAAAATAAAGCAAAGTAGAATTTCACCAAAGTTATCAACTTCTGCTCATCAAGAATCACCATGAGAAAGTGAGAAGGTGAGCCACAGACTGGGAGAAGATAATTGCACTGTGTTTACCTGAAAAAAAAAGGCTCAAATTTTGAATATAGAGAGTACTTTTTACAAATCAGTAATAAAAAGCAAAGCCAATTGAATTAGGGAAAATGCTTCAAAGCCTGTCTTCTCAAAGAAGGATTGCTAAACGGTGAAAAGGCATTAGAAAATATGCTCAACAGCATTACTCATTAAAGGAAACACAAATTGAAGCCACGATGTGGTACCGTTTTACATCCACCAGAACAGGTGTATTTAAAAAACAGTAAACACCACGCGCTGTCAAGGATGTCCAGCCAGTGGAACTCTCCTTGCTGGTGAGAAAGCATTCTGGAAGAAACCATTTGGCCGTTTCTAATAAAGTTAATATTACACCTACCCTATGATCCAACAATTCCAGTACTTGGTATTCCTCAAGGGAAATGAATGCACGTGTCCACAAAAAGACCTATACAAGAAGAATTTTCGTTCATCTTGTCCAGCAAGTGGCATCGGTTTCCTATCAGCAGGAGTCTGAACACTTCTGGCCCTAGCCTCTTGGTATCAGAGTCGCCAAGGAAATACAAGGCAGTCAGAGACTGGACGGGAGAACAACACATTATTCATACAGAGAGGAGACAGAGCGGGGTGTGGGCTCCGCTTCAGTCTTGGGCGTTGGTCCCCCATGGCCAGCAGGTCCCTCCATTTGGCCTGCACACACAGCCTCTTGAGAAGCAGAAGAAAGGACCCCCGCTTCCTCCCCTCAGTGGGGGGCAGATACAGCAGCTGGCCAGGTGCCAGTTGATGCACATGCTTAAGTGGAACAAAGGGGTACACACCAAGTCTGATCGGGGGAAAGATACTCCCACACAAGGAGGTGAGTCCAGCACAGGCTGTGATGACTCCTTATCTCTCAGGAAGGAAGTGCTCCAGGCCCAAGGCCCATTCCTACGTGGCAGAGTGGAGGTGGAAAGACCCCCGGCACCAGATTGCCTTTCCTCACACTTTGCTGTTGGCATACAAACTTGGTGACGGGCACAGAGACAAGCCATTGTAGGCCACAACAAAGAGTTTGGAGTTTAAAGTCATTAAAAGCTTCTTGTCGTTTCGTGTGTAACAGCCCCAGTGACTGGAAAACAGGTTCTGAGCACACCATTGCCTTCGTGTAAGCCACCACCAACAGGGCTGACTGGGTTATTTGCTCTGTGAGGCTCAGAGACAGGACGGTGCACGTCCAGAGTTTCCCTTGGACTCCTCCCCAGGTTAGTGAGCTGTGAGGTCTCTTTTCCTTACCCCGACGTGCCCCCAGTGACCGGAAGAACGGTTCTGAGCACACCATTGCCTTCGTGTAAGCCACCAACAGGGCCGACTGGGTTATTTGCTGCGTGAGGCTCAGAAACAGGAGGGAGCACGTCCAGGGTTTCCCTTGGATTCCTCGCCAAGTTAGTAAGGTGTGAGGTCTCTTTTCCTTCCCCTGACGCGCCTGGTTGCGGGAGCAAAAGGGAAGAGCTGACAGCCTAGACTAACGACATTGCCGTGACTCGGATTCGAACCGAGGTTGCTGCGGCCACAACGCAGAGTACTAACCACTATACGATCACGGCGAGCCACAGGCTAAACCGCGATGGCGGAGCTTGCTCTAGCCCTTTTGACGTCAATGGATTTCGATTATTAGGCGGATTCGTTCCCAGACAGCCACAGGGGACTCGCGCTTTTCTTTCATGCCCGCTCTGCTTTTCCCTCCCTTCCTCCCAATCTTCATACGTGATGAGAACAATTCTCATCTCCTCCACTCCAGCCTGGGCCTCCCTGCACCAGCCTCTCTCGGGAGGTCTCTCTGTCCTGGTCCGCACCTCCTCTGCTTCTGTGGGGCCTCTCCGTATTTCTGCTTTTCACCCCTCCTCTCTCCCGCCCCACCGACCGAGGCCGAGGTGAGCGAGGGGAGCGCAAGCAGCAGTAGAGAATCGGGTGAAGGCGGAGCCAAGAAGGGGAAGAGCCATCACTAGAGCCCACGGGGCGTTCTGCTTGCTTCCCCTGGGACCCACGCGGCTCAGGCCCAGGGAGTCGCGGACCCGGGCGTTTCCTGGGATGCTGGGTCTGACGCCTGCGAGGGTCAGGACGGGGCGAAGGCCATTCCGCTGCCCTTCCAGCTTCGGAATCACCCAATGCACGGGTTTCAACCGTAGCCAGCAAGATGCGCCTCTCAGGTTTTCCGAGGCTTTAGAGCCTGCACAGTTGTTCTAAAAAAGGCGGTGGCTCCTCCTAACGTTGGATGGGCTCTTGCTCTGCATGGTGATACCAGAGTGAGAGTCGTCTGTCTGTGTGTCTCAGTTGGGTGGTGTGCTTGTTTCCAAGCCCGAAGGTGGGTGGTTCGAGCCTGTTCTATGGAGCATTTCTTGCATTTTAAAAATGCTTAAACCGCTGGCAACTTTCTTCTATCCAGCACATGGTATCATGGAAAGGCAGAGGGAGACTAACTTTACCCTCCTCTCCTCCGTCTGTCGCGCAGGACGTGAGGACGTAAATCAAGGTCCGCTAGGATTCTGGGAACCCTCTCTCTCTCTTTTTTTTTTTTTTTTTTTTGAGATGGAGTCTCGCTCTGTGGCCAGGCTGGAGTGCAGTGGCAAGATATCTCGCCTCACTGCAACCTCCGACTCTCTGGTTCAAGCAATTCTCCTGCCTCAGCCCCCTGAGTAGCTGGGATTATAGGCACGCGCCACCACACCCAGCTAATTTTTGTATTTTTAGTAGAGACGGGGTTTCACCATGTTGGCCAGGGTGGTCTCAATCTCCTGACCTTGTGACCCGCCCGCCTCAGCCTCCCAAAGTGCTGGATTACAGGAGTGAGCCACCGCGCCGCTCTCTCTCTCTCTCTCTCTCTCTCTCTCTCTCTCTCTCTCTCTCTCTCTCTCTCTCTCTCTCTCTCTCTCTCCCTCTCCCTCTCTCTCTCTCTCTCTCTCTTTAACTGTCATTCATTTAGCCCTTTCCATATGCTTTTGAGGTTAAATTGGTTCTGTGATTTTTTTATAATTACATATAATGCTCTAGTCATTCTTGTACGGGCATTTTCAGCCACTGGTCTAAATATTTCTTTAGGCTAGAGGTGCAATTACTATAGGAAGAACAATTACTCTATCATACTGTTCATAAAGTTTTTATATCATTCTATTCTCTCTCTTCTGTTGGCTTATTAGCTATAACTCTTTCTTTTGTTATTTTAGTAATTCCCTTAGGGCTTATAGCAAACCTTTTTAACTTATCACAGTCAACTTTCAAGTGATATTATATCTCACCTTCTGGCCTTGACGCTATAGCTGACATGCACTTTGCTTTTACGCATGTTATAAACACCACAACCCATTGTTATTGCTTTTGTTTAAATGGTCAAATTTTTACAAAAGAAATTTACAAAATAAAAAAATACCTAGTATAGTTACCCATTTCTGGTGTTCTTCATTTCCTCGTGGAGATCTGGATTTTCATCTGGTATTGGATTCCTTCTGCTTGGAGGACTCATTTGATGTTTCTTGTAGTGTGGGTTGACTGGTAGTGAATTCGGTCAGCTTTTGTACATCTCTAAATGTCCTTATTTCACTTCCACTTTTGGGAATTTATTTTTTCTGGCATAGTATTCTACATTAACTTCTCCTGCCCTCAGTACCTTAAAGATGTTGCTTCTCTGTCTGCTCGTGTGCATTGCTGCTCCTGGTAGAGGCCGGCAAGAGCAGAAAGGAAGCTGATGCAATCCTCATTTTTGCTCCTGTGTATGTACAATGTCTTTTTCTTCTGGCCAGATTTGAGCAATGTTATTATGATGTATCTAGGAGTGGTTTTATTCATGTTTCTTGCGCTTTGGTTTCCTCAGCTCCTTGGGTCACTGGATTTATAATTTTTGTTATGATTGGGAACTTTCCAGCTATTTTTCTTCAGAAATTGGCTGGGCACAGTGGCTCACACCTTTGGGAGGCCAAGTCGGGAGGTGTTGAGTGAGGCCTGAAATTCAAGACCAGCCTGGGCAACATACTGAGACCCCATTCCTAAGAAAAATAACAAAGAAAGAAAATAAATGTTTCCTTTCCTCCCTGCTCCTTCTCAGGGACTCCCATTACTCAAAAATTAGACCTCTTAAGTCTGCCCTACAGTTCACTGATAATCTTTTCATTAAAAAAAATCTCTTTTGTCTGTGAGTTTCATTTTGCATATTTTCAATTATTCATGATTCCATGTTCCCTGATCATTTCTTCTGCAACATCTAATCTGCTGTTAATCCCATCCAGCGAATTTATCATCTCTGATATTGTGGTTTTGGTATGATATCGGCTCACTGCAACCTCCGCCTCCCAGGTTCCAGTGATTCTCCTGCTTCAGCCTCCCAAGCAGTTGGGACTACAGGCATGTGCCATGCCGCCCAGCTCATTTTTTGTATTTTGAGTAGAGATGGGGGTTTCACTGTGTTAGCCAGGATCATCTTCATCTCCTGACTTTGTGATCCACTGGACTCAGACTCCCAAAGTGCTGGGATTACAGTGGTAAATCACCGCACCTGGACCCACCATCCCTCCCTCCCTTCCTTCCTTCCTTGAGACAGGGTCTCACCCTGTAGCCCAAGCTGGACTTCAGTGGTGTAATCTTAGCTCACTGCAACCTCTGCCTCCCAGGCTCAAGCAATCCTCCCACTGCAACCTCCTGAGTAGCTGGGACTACAGGCACACCTATAGTCCTGGCTAATTCTTTGAATTTTTTTGGTAGAGATGAGTTTTCCTCATCTTGCCCAGTCTAGTCTGAAACTCCTGAGCTCAAGGGATCAGCCCACCTCGGCCTCCCAAACTGCTGGGATTACAGGCATCTGTTTGTTTACAGTATTGTATTCTCTTGCCAGCAACAAGAGTTACAGTTGCTCTGCATTTTTATAAGCCAGTGGCTTTCCCTGTCTCTTAAATGTTACCCATTCTGATGGGTGTGTTATGGAGTATCATGGCATTTTAAATTTGTGTTTCCTGAATGAGTAATAATGCCAAGAATCCTTTCTTATGCAATTTGGCCATTAAGAAATTCTCTTTGGTAAACAAACACCGTTCAAGTATTTTGCCCATTTTACATTGGCTTGACTCTTTTCTTCCTCCCCAAATTTATACACAAACTTTTCTATTTGAATAGAAAAGTTGAGAAGATAGTACACAGAATGGAGTAAAGAGGATGGAATGGGTTTTTGGAAACCAATTCAAACTTTAAAGTTGTTTTAATATCCTCCATCCTCAAAGAACAATGTATGTCTTCCAAAGACATCCCCTTATTGAAATATGCAGAGAAAGTGTGAGATAAAAGAGCATATACTAAACTCCTCAGAACGTGTTTCTGGAAGTGGACAGGGAAATGGGAGTGGGATAAACAGAGAAAAGAAGGAAAGACAGTAAGTGCCTTGCTCAGAGCTGCCACCATAATGTGCCCTGAGCTAAGGTACATGATTACCTTCTCCCTGTGCACCTGAGATCTAAGAAAATATATTAACTAATCAGGGACATGGAATTTCAAAAACACTACAGAAAAACAGAAAATTTACCCAGACAGACCAGTCTAGTTAAGAAAGGCAGGAAGAGATTTTATAAACAAAGCCAAAACACAGAAATCATACAATGAGGTGGTGGGAATGAGACTAACTGTGCCTGTCATCTCCAATGTAACACTAACTGCTGTGAATTATAATGGATTTAAGTCTCTCAGATTGGATAGAAAAGGAAATGCCAGCTCTAATGGTTTAATGGGCAGAAAAGGGTTAAATATTCAAAGCAGTGCACATTATATTATATATATATATATATATATATATATACGTATATATTGTATAGGAGGGAGATATACATATATATACATTTTTTTTTTTTGAGACGCAGTCTAGCTCTGTTACCAGGCTGGAGTGCAGTGGCATGATTTCAGCTCACTGCAACCTCCACCTCCTTGGTTCAAGTGATTCTTCTGCCTCAGCCTCTCGAGTACCTGGGACTACAGTCACGCGCCACTGTGCTCAGCTAATTTTTGTATTTTTAGTAGAGATGGGGGTTTCACCATATTGGCCAGGCTGATCTCGAACTCTTGACCTCATGATCCACACGCCTCAGCCTCCCAAATTGCTGAGATTACAGGTGTGAACGACGGTGCCAGGTCAAAAGCAGTACACATTATCTTTAGCAAGCTAACGCAGAAACAGGAAACCAAACACCGTGTGTTTTCACTTATAAATGGGAGCTGAATATGAGAATGCATGGATACATGGGGTTGGGGAGCAAGGACAACACACACTGGAGCCTATTGGAGGGTGGGGGTTGGGAGGAGGGAGAGCATCAGGAAGAGTAGCTAATGGATGCTGGGCTTAGTACCTGGGTGATGGGAAGATCGGTGCAGCAAACCACCATGGCACACGTTTACCTATAAGACAAACCTGCACATCCTGCACATGTACCCTGAACTTAAAAGAAAAGTTGGAAATAAAAAATGTAAAAAGGAAAGAAAACAAACAACAACAACAAAAAGAGCAGTGCAAATCTGTACCATGCTCATTATAAACAAAAGAATGAGAGTGAAAACATGAATATCCAACAAAAGCAAACAACAAAAGAACACTTTCTGTTAGCTAGAGGAGTAATATCCTAGCATCTACCTAGAATCAAATGGAACTGTTTTTCCCTGAACTGGCCTCCTTGGGTGGCCAACCAGGGTGAGGTGAAGGGAAGAAATCTGGGAGTGAAATGTCCATTTCTTCGCTCTTGCTTAGGTCTCTGTAAGGCATAAGAAGTTAAAAGCAAGATCCAATCCCAGGCCTTTTCCAGGAATTCAAAAGAGGTGTAGGAGGAGAGAAGTTCAATTATCACCCTGGTCTCCTGGAGTATCCCAGGCATAGTCCCAAGAGTTCAGCTTTCCAAACCAGGGTCCCTGTTCTCTGACAGCCTTTTTTGGAGAAAGTACTGATGTTCCTGTCAAGGTTGGGAGGAAAGGGTTTGAGAGGCACCAAGCAATGGGGAGGCAAAGAGAAGACATCAACAAGCGAGGCAAGAACTTTCCACAGGCTCACACTGGATACAGGACCAGAGACAAGAAACTGGGTGAATTTCTGATTTTTCCTACAGAGGTTTGTTATCAAGTTGCACAGAGCCTACTCAGAATAAGGCTTTTTCAAGTCAGCTCTTTTAATGTGAAGCCATAACTTTGTGGTGTTGCCTGATGCAAATCACCACTGCGAGCCTTTGCTCTGGGTGTCTTTTTTGTTAGTCACATCAAAGAGAACACAGCGAAAATCTTGACTCCTTTCCCCAAGTCTGTGTCTTAACTGTTTCCAAGGCTGCAGAGCTCAGGGTCAGGAGGCACTGGCAGTTCAGTGGTAGAAATTACACCTCCCACCCGGGAGACCTGGATTCCATTTCTGGCAAATGCAGGGTCCTGTCTTTGTGCCCTGTGGTTTTTACATTTACTTACTGTAATTGTGACCCTCAAAGAGGTCACAGCCACACTAATAAAGAAAAAAAAATGGAAGCTACTGTATAGTCCTCGGGTTCTTTCCCTAGCTGAATTTATCTTTCTTTTATTTATTTATTTTTGTTAGTTTGTTTGTTTGAGACAGAGTCTCGGTCTGTCACCCAGGCTGGAGTGCAATATGTGCAATCCTGGCTCACTGCAACTTCCACCTTCTGGGCTCAAGCGATTCTCCTGCCTCAGCCTCCCAAGTAGCTCTAATTACAGGTTTGTGCCACCATTTCCTGCTAATTTTCCTATTTTCAGTAGAGACGGGGTTTCACCATGTTGGCTAGGCTGATCTTGAACTCCTGACCTCACATAATCCACCAGCCTCTTACAGGGTGTACCCGGCCCTGGAGCGGAATTTATCTAAGCAGGGACTTTATAGAGACAGTCTATGAAGCAGCCAGTGGGTCTGGTTGGTCTCTGCGTTTCTGCATATTTGGCCCTAAAACTGGTGCTACTTTTATTGTCTCTGCTGTCAGATCCCTGCAATACAAAGAGTCACCTGATCACGGATTCTCTGCCTGGACCTTGGATAGACCATTGGACCACATCTTGTGATGGAGTGCGGTTCAAGAAATGACATTCCCGAAAGGAGAGAAGCTGTAGGGTTGGGCGGACACACGCAGTGGTGGGGGACTGGGGCCCAAGGGGAGGCGTGTGGGGAGGAACCCCTCCTGTCCAGGAAGGCCCAGTCTTTGGTGGTCTCGGCAAAATGAAGGATGGGCCCCAAGTGGAGAGCAGCACGTCCACAGAACTCATTTCTATCACCCCAGTTTGTTTTACACTCCACCAGGAAAATCTTCTGTCCACGGGACTCTTTTTTTTTTTTTTTTTGAGACGGAGTCTAGCTCTATCGCCAGGGTGGAGTGGAGTGTGCGATCTCAGCTCATTGTAACCTCTGCCTCCAGGGTTCAAGGCATTCTCCTGTTTCAGCCTCCTGAGTAGCTGTGATTACAGGCAGGCGCTGCCACGCCCAGCTAATTTTTGTATTTTTAGTAGAAACGGGGTTTCACCATGTTAGCCAGGTTGGTCTCGATCTGTTGACCTCATGATCCACCTGCCTTGTCCTGCCAAAGTCCTGGGATTACAGGCATGAGCCACCGTGCCCGGCCTCACAGGATTTTTTTTTTAATGGGTATGTAGTATTCCATGTTGTGTATGTACCACATTTTCTTTATTTAATCCACCATTGATGGGCACCTAGTTTGATTCCATGTCTTCGCTATTGTGAATAGGCTGGTGGTGATCATAGGAGTGCATGTGTCTTTTTGTCATAATGATTTCTATTCCTTTGGGTATATACCCAGAAATGAGATTACCAATTGAATAGCAGCTCTGTTGTAGGTTCTTTGAGAAATCTCCAAACTGCTTTCCACAGTGACTGAACTAATTTACATTCACTCCAAGGGTTTATAAGCTTTCTCTCCACAGGCTTATCAGCATCTGTTGGTTTTTGACTTTTTAATAGTGGCCATTCTGAGTGGTGTGAGATGGTATCTTATTGTAGCTTTGATTTGCATTTCTCTGATTATTAGTGATGATGAGCATTTATTTCTGTGTTTGCTGGCTGCCTATATGTCTTCTTTTATGAAGTGTCTGTTCATGTCTCTTTGCCCACTTTTTAATGTTTTTTTTTCTTTTTGATTTTTTTAAGTGCCTTATAGATTTTGGACATTAGACCTTTGTTGGATTGACAATTTGTGAATATCTTCTCCCATTCTATAGGTGGTCTGTTGACTCTGTTGATGGTCTTTTGCTGTGCAGAAGCTCTTTCACTGAATTAGGTTTTACTTGTGAATTTTTGTTTTTGCTACAATTGCTTTTGTGGACTTGGCCATAAATTCTTTGCCAAGGCTGATGTTGAGAATGATATTTCCTAGGTTTTCTTCTATGATTTTTCTGCTTTGAGGTCTCAGTATGTATTGTGCCATTGCAAATGACAACCAACCAGAGACTAATCATTACAAGCCAAGAAAGGGAATTTACCTTATTGGTGGCCAGAAAAACGTCCAACAAAAGAAAATTAGTAAAAGAGATTCCTGGGTGTCTTTTTCTATAAAGCATGGGGGATTGTTTTCTGTAGAGTTCAGCAAACATTTTCTGTAAAGAGCCAGAGATAGTAAGTATTGCAGGCTTGTGAGCCAAGAGGCAAAATCAAGGCTATTATGTAGGTGTACATATAACCAGGAAGAAAACAAATTTCTATACCATTTTAACAGATGAGATTCTAAGCTAACAATAGTAAATGAGTAGAACTTCTCAGATGGTAAATGCTCTTTGCATTGAGAGCCTAGGTCTGCTCAGCTTTCCTAGGCTGCCTGGTACAGCCCTCCCTTTCCACCCCTCAGGCTGTTTCCTCCCTGTTTTCCTCAGAAGCATGCCATACCTAAGACCTACTACCCTGAGAAGCAGTGAAGTGCTCCTGGGGCCCACCAAGGCCACACAAGTCAAGGAGTGGATGGCCTTGCTCCAGCTACTGCTCAGATCACCTTTGCAAGATGACATTGTGTTGGGAGATGGTCATCAGAGCCAGGGCCATGGAAGATGCTGTCAGGAGGTGAAATGACTGGTGCCCAGGGGGAGAAGTGGCCAAGCACCTCTGCATTCAGCCTCACAGAAATCTCAAGGGGATGCAGAAATGGAGACGGGGCAAATGGAAAACTCTTTCAAGCAAAGTTTTAGGGCCCTGAACTGATCTCTGCTTTTCCTCCTACAACCTGCCACACCTGCTATTTTCTCACCTCTGTGGATGGAAACTGCATCCTTCCATATGCTCAGTCAAAAAATCTTTAAGTTTTCTTTGACTTCTGATCTTTCCTTCACATCCTATAGCTGTTTAGTCAAGAAATCACATTATGCTGAGCAATCAGGTGTGGTCCTTAATCCACACCATCCTTTCCCCCTAGTTTATAAACCTTGTAAAGTCATTCTCCTGATAAAGACAATAGGATTTCCATGAAATTGTACAATTTCAATCCTTCCTGGATGCATGACTCACTTAAAAGCACTGCTTTGTTTGCTACCATTTTCCCCTATTTTTATTTCGTACCTGTTTGACCTGCACTCTTTCCCATATGGCAGGCACTTCAGCTCAAGTATGCTTTCCTAATCATAGAATTAGCAATAATAGCAGCCTTCCTAACAACTTCTTCCTGGCCCCACCACCAGGCAAACGTCATAGGATTTAATAGGTAAAGAATCGTAGGATCGTCCCTATTGCTTGGTGTTATAAAATGAATTATTTTCCCCTGAATTCATATGTTGAAAGTTTAACCCCCAACTTGACTGCATTTAGAGACAGAGTCTTTAAGGAGGAAATTAAGGTTAATGAGGCCATACAAGCAGGGCCCTAATCTGGTAGGAATGGTGTCCATATAAGAAGAGGAAGGGCATCAAAGAATCTCTCTCTTTCTCCACACAGGCACGAGGAAAGGCTATGGGAGCACAAAGCAAGAAAGTGGCCTTCTGCAAGCCAGGAAGAGAGGCCTCCCCAGAAACCAACTCTGTGAGCTCATCGATCTTTGACTTTTGGCCTCCAGAACATTGAGAAAATAAAAGTCTGTTGTTAAACCACCCAACCTTTAGTATCTTTCTATGGCAGCCTCAGCTGACTAATACCCTTGGTAGGTGGGCGGCATTCACTTTATTGGGCTACACAATGTGAAATTAAAGTAACTTTAGCAATAGGCACCATCTAATTTCATTGTATATATATTGTGTCTTTTGCACTAATATTGCCTTTTTTAATTGTATGTATATTGATGCCTGGGCCTAGCATTACAAGACCAGTAGAAATAGGAAGAAAGAAAAGAAGGTGGGAAAGATATCAAGTTCCATAATTGCATCCTCTACCCACATCCAGTTCTTAGAATCTTTTCCACTGGAGGCTGCACCTGTGTACCCTCAAATTCAATCTGAGCACACAATCATTTAGACAACCAAGGAAACTTTTCCAATTTTCAGCATCTCACACTTGGGGAAACAAGTATTTCAATCACTAATTTCAATATTCATTGAGATAACTGTTCTGAGGTTGATGAAAAATATGGTGTATCCATGTACTGTTGCCTTCTCCTGGGTCAAGAATGATGTCTTTACTCTGCTGGCTCACATTTGACCAGAAATTGGAGTCCCAGCAAGCTGTTCAGGAAGACTATTTTAAGATAGTCCCAATATCAAACTTGTTCTAAGACTAGTATGCTGATTGAGGAGAAAGAGCCTCATGACAAAAATTCAGCTAGAGCTGTGGGTGACAGTTGCATGTTTCAGTACTGGTCTGGGCCCAGGTTTCCCGTGAGCACCTAATGAATTGGCTCATTGGCAGGGATCGTCAAGGTGCTCACTATGTCTACCTCACAGCCTCAAAATAAGTGATCAGCTAACAGAATTTGTGTAGTATCCTGAAGGGAAGTTAATCCAGAAATAAAGGAGAATATAAGGATTTTTTTAAACAGACATGTGATTCAACAGTTGTTTAAGATGTAGAAAGCTGTAAGAGACAGTTGTTCCCACTCTAATGACGAGAAAAAGCTGTATGGTCTGCGAAATCATGTGTTTTGATCTCACCAGAGAGCTGAAGTTGCAAGGCCCCTGGGTCAACTGAAGTCCAAAGCATGAGAAACCCCCCTATAAAAGGACAAACACATGAAGCAGTTCATCTCTGACAGATAATGGAAGGAAAAGATGACAGCCATAAATGTTGGTTGGAGATAATCTCTGAAGTTTTTATTGTTTCTTAAAGGCCAAGTGTGAACTATTGTGACAGCTTAGAATCTCTGAGAGTCCCAGACACATAGCATGTTTTTTGCCCATTTGCTGGGTCTTTCCTCTCACATCCTAAGTGCTGACAAGACATGTGTGGCAGGGAAAGAGAATTTCTTGAGCTTGCCACAGTGGTGTAGGCATATAGGTCATGATCGGCCACCACCAGAGTACAGGCCCAATACCTGGTCACTTCTCTCACATGAAACAAAAGGCATCTACTGCTGATGCTGCAACAAGGAACCCTTCCAACCCTTGGCCCCAGGTGTAGGCCAGCTGCTGAGGTAGAGTTAGACATAAAAGCTGTTTATACTGGACAAGGGGAGGAGACTTGCTCTTGCCCAAGACTTCCCATCATTGAAAGGCAGAGTTCCACTACCCCAAGGGGATGTCACAGGAACACTAGGACTCAGGCATCCGTGGCCTGAGGTTTGGTACACACTCAATCCAATCAGTAAGTGAGTTGGTTTCAGTCAATCATTTGAGTTGGTTGCAGACCCTTTCCTTTAATGAGGAAAAACTGTGATGTGGGTACAAAGCTTCCACGGTCAGAAAAGTTGGCCTTGTCCTTAAGGATATTATATTGATTGGATCCCTCTCAAACTCCTTAAGTTGTGTTTACCATTATTAAAATTAAGTGACATTCACCAGGATTAAGTGGTAATAAAAACAAGAGGTGAGAATTTATAGTGATTTTTGATCCCAAGCCTTGTATCACTGTTGGGCTTTCATGTGTGTACTTGAAAACAAAACATGTGCAATTGTTGCACTGGTTTGAAGATTTTAATGGTGAAAGCAGCCTAATCAGTAATCAGTACCATATCAAGAAACCAATCTTGGAAAGATGTGATTATGCTCTTTTAAAAGAGCTGAAAAGAAGGCCGGGTGTGTTGGCTCATTCCTATAATTTCAGCACTTGGGGAGGCCGAGTCGGGCAGATCACTGAAGGCCAGGAGTTCAAGGCCAGAAGCCTGGCCAACGTGGCGAAACGCTGTCTTTACTAAAAATACAAAAATCAGCTGGGCATGGTGGTGTATACCTGTAATTCCAGTTACTCAGGAGGCTGAGGCAGGAGAATCCCTTGAACCCAGGACTTGAAGGCAGAGGTTGCAGTGAGCCGAGATCCTGCCACTGTACCCCAACCTGGGTGACAGAGGGAGATTCTGTCTCAAAATAAATAAGTAAAATAGCTGAAAAAAATGAAATGACTGTGTGTTTACTCTCACTTTGCTCTTGTTTTGTTGTATAGTATTTAAATAAAAGGAGATTATTTATCCTCATACTGAATTTCCAAAACTGATATTTGCATTTAGCATTTTATTAAATGATGGAGAGAAAATTTAATTGTCTTACTTGGAAAAGTTTGGCATAGGTTCTGTCACATTTTTGATGCTTTCAATCACAGTTCATTCATTAGAATGCTGGCAACTAGTTACCTGCAAGGAGTATCCTAACCACTTTAATACAATGGTTTGAAGTGCTTCAGGCAGTAACTACTGGACAGCCGATCATAGTGTTTTTATTGGTGACATGTTAGAGAGAAATAGAACTTTCTGCAGTACAAATGTCCTATCAACTAATCCTTGTGCTATTAGCTTATAGGGCTTTGACTCCTGGATCTGAAAAAGATACCTCCTTTTGCTAAATCTTGAATATTGACACCAATTAATGCCTCATCTTCAGATCCTGGGGAAGATGAAAATCAAAATGAACTGCTTTCATGAACCAGAAATTGAAACCATTCAATCCCTCTAGGCCCAACAATCCCACATGTCCCGTTTTCCACCTCATGCCCCCTCTTCTTCTAGACAGAAGAGGTGGGCACGTGAGAATTGTAAGGCTGGAATTTGAGGGATAAGTTTAGTTGAGAGACTTTCTTTTCTTTCCCTTTCTTTCTTTTCTTTTCTTTTTTTTTTTTTTTTTTTTCGTAGACACAATGTTTCACCATATTGCCCAGGCTAGACTCAAACTCCTAAGTTCAAGTGATCCACGCACTCTGGCCCTCTGGCCTCTCAAATTCAGAGATTTTCTATAAATTAGACATTACACTCAGAAACACACTGATGCAAGGCCAGCATCTGGGCCCGTGTATTGCAATATCAGGGTTTTCTACAGCATTTATCTACTCTTTAATACAAAAGTATAAAAGGTTATGAAAGGTTTTTGGAACTCTTACCTCATGTTCAAACTGATTATAATTAAATTTGTGTATAAGGTTTTACTAAAATTAGCTTTAACATTTTAATACACCACACAAAGGTAAAATTTGGTTTTCTCTTTTGATCAAAATGTTTGTGCAGTATTAATAATACATAAAATATTTTTGTTTACTTTCAAAGTAAACTGCAAGGCAAAACAATGAAAGGGAGAGACGGATAGAGTTGGCCTCATGTCTTCATTAGTTCTTACTGTTTAGAAAACTCAGCCTCCTTTGTATCAAAGGGTGAACATTTTTGTTTTATCATTTTGGCTGAATGACTGACTATTCTAAGGTGATCTGTGATCCTATTTTGTGATGTCAAGTGTCTCAAAACTTTGATATCTGGCAAAATTTCTAAGAGTAAAATTTCTAAATTCAGCCTTTTGGGCCTCAAATTAACTTTTTGGATATTAGGTTCTTGAAGTCCAAGAGAGATATATTAGGCTTCTTAGGCTTATTTGTTATGTAGAATTATGCAAGAAGCATTGTCATATCTGAGGTGGTGTTTCACTTCCTTTGGGTTCTATTGACACAGATGTGTTGTTAATGTGTGTTCCAGGATTGTATGAGATTCCTAGAGTTCTGCTATGCTGTCAGTAATAATTATGATTATTATGTTAAATTGTTGTGTGCCACAGAAGCAACAGAATTCCCTTGTCAATTGTATCTATAACCATGGTTGTCTTAAGGCTTTTGTCATCCACAATTGTTGTTTTGCTTTGATTCTTCTTAAAAAGTGACTTATAATCAGTTACATTCCAGGCGTTGCTTCTTTGGGGAAGTCCATGAAAAGGACTCTTGGATGCAGGTTTCTGATAACTTTGGAGATTGTGCCATTGAACTTAAGAGAAAATTTCCAGGGCACTAATAGAAAGACTGATGTGTTCATAGAGATTGCTAGCTGAATATGACAGAGCACGAGTTGATTGCATGGATCAAACTAATGGAGGACTGAAATAAGTTTTTATGGCCTTTGTTTGTTTCAAACATTGTTGATTCTTCAGAGTCTGGAGAACTTGTTTCCTTTTGAGCTATTTATAGCCTGCAACAATTGAGTAGAATAGTCTTCTAAACAGAATTTGAGGCATATTTTTCTCTGTCTGCCGAATTTCCACAGAATTTGTAAACTGAATATTCTTAACTCATGACAATGTGTTTGTTTGCATAAGTTCAATAAGATTCTGTTTTCTTTTATAACAGGACACAGGTGGAGGAATTGGTAATTTTCCCAGGGCTTTGCCTGAAATGGCGTTGTGAAATATTCCAGCAAAGCCTATTTAGGAGAGCCTGTATGAACAAGGATTCTTGCTGCACTTTGTGTGGGTAATCAGGCCAAGTATATTGGACTGAAGCTTCTTTAGGTTGGTCCTGCTGTGTTTTGTCTTTAGTGGAAATGGGGAACTGGACAGAGGAAGATTGTGTTTCAGGAGAAACTACAGTATTAGATGAATGTTTGATTCCTGGGTGGCCATGCAGTCACCCATGGTGTGAAGCTGCTCAGGATGCCCCTCCTCCACATGATGCAGCCAGAAAGATGGATGATCAGATTCCCCATGATTGAGGAACTGACAAATAGAAAGTGGGGACTGAAATCAACCCAAGAGTCCCACAGACAGTGTTTTTGGATAGACATAGAAATGGACCCTTCTGGTCTTAAAGCTTGAAACTTAGGACATTTGTTTTATCTGAGTTCCTTCCTCAGCAAAGGCCTCTCAGGCCTCTCAAAAAGCGTCATAGACCTGAAACTCAGCAGATGACAGCCTCCAGACAATGAGATGCCAGACCCCTCACTCATCATGAGTGCTTCCTCACCCTTCCCTAGTTCCTCTTTTCCCACCCACAGTTACAGTTCTTCCCTGCTACATAAACCCCTCACTTTAGTTGATCAGGGAGATTGATTTAAGACTGATCTCCCATCTCCTCAGCTGCAACACCCAATTAAAGCCTTCTTCCTCAGCAATACTCAATGTCTTAATGATTGGCTTTCTGTGAGCTGAGCAGCAGGGCCTAGACCGAATTCCTGGGCTTTCAGTAACAATACGTGTTTACTTTTAAAGACTGAAATTAATGGGTCATGATATATTGAGAAACTGGAATGGCATCAACTTGGCCAATTCTGAGAAAACACACTGTGCTTAAATGTCAGGGGCCTGCCTCCTGACCTGGACAGTATATGGCTGATTTTGAGTCAAAATAGGAGAGTATGGCCTGGTTTGAGTGTTTTACAGAAATGTAAAACATGGCTGATTGCTTTTATTTTAAATCCAACAAATCTCCATTTCTGGTGAGAAAATTTTGTTAAAACCAACCAACCAAACAAACATAGAAGTATATGAATAAAAAAATAAAGGATTCCCTGCTTCCCAATCTCACTTGATTGCTGTCTTCTGTTATATACTACAGGGAGGAAGGGGGCAAGGTGCCCAGGAAGTCCCACGTCCTGTTTTGACAATCATCTGGCCTCCTTGGGCAAATGGAAAAGAGGGAAAGCATAAAGAAAATAACAGAAATTTTGCAGATATTTCATCTCCGGGCTGGGTGCGGTGGCTCACGCCTGTAATCCCAGCACTTCCGGAGGCCAAGGCGGGCGAATCACTTGAGGTCAAGAGTTTGAGACCAGCCTGGCCAACATGGCAAAACCTCATCTCTACCAAATATACAAAAATTAGCCGGACATGGTGGCCCATGCTTGTAATCCCAGCCACTGGGGATTACAATCACTTGAACCCGACAGATGGAGGTTGCAGTGAGGGGAGATCACCCACTGCCACTGCATTGCACTCCAGTCTGAGCAACAGAAGGAGACTCTGTCTCAATGAAAAGAGAGGAAGGGAAGGGAAGGGAGGGGAGGGGAGGGGAGGGAAGGGAAGGGAAGTTAATCTCGGCACAGGAAACTCTGCCACCGAAGCTTGAATGAAAGAAAGAAAGAGAGAGAGAGAAAGGAAAGAAGGAATGAAGGAAGGAAGGAAGGAAGGAAGGAAGGGAGGGAGGGAGGGAGGGAGGGAGGGAGGGAGGGAGGAAGGGAGGGAGGGAGGGGAAGGGAAGGAAGGAATTTCACCTCGGCACAGGAAACTCTATGACCGAGGCTTCAAGGGCTCTTCTCTGGCCCTAAACCCACAGTGGATTTTGCCTCTTTTTCCGGGGTGCAAATGAAATGACAGAAGTCGATCAACGGAGAGGGCAGAGAGAAAGCAAGAAGGATGGCTCCTTCCTGCAGGTCCACCTACCTTAAGTGTTGCTTGTGGAATCTAAAGAAATGCCTTAACATGGGTGGGTGGGAACTAATTCAGACACCTTTAACAACTTTATGTTGCATGGTTCCATGGTGTAATGGTAAGCACTCTGGACTCTGAATCCAGCGATCCGAGTTCGAGTCTCGGTGGAACCTTTGTGTTTCATTGGCATGGTAAGGCCGTGTTTTACTTCCTAAATGGAATGGAGATTCCGCTGATGTTCAGAAGCTCTGCGCTGCAGGTCTCGGTGTCCCTTCTGCTCCCGCTGTCTCAGCCTCGCGATGTCACCCTCTTCGTCTCCCTCTTCGGTGTTCGGGGTCCCAGAAACCGAGTTATCACAGTGGCCCGGACCACGGGGAAATTGCTGAATCATCCTGTTGGGATCACCGAGCCTGCAGGGTCCCCTTCCTGGGCGAGCCTCCTAGCCCCGTGCAATCGGAGGCCCGGACCCCCCCCGCCAGGGACCCAGCGACCCAGGAAGTCCCCACCCCTTCTCAGGGCGACCTGGGCCTCGGACATTCGGGCAACACTTGACTCATGGTCTTGTGGTATATCTACAGAGAGAAGAATGTATATTTTAGCTAGACTGTCCCCCCACAGGCCCTACAAAAGGAAAAAGAAGGAAAAATAATAAAGAAGGATATATATACCTGAAAAAATTATAAAATAATAAAAATATATATTGTATATATTTAAAATATATAAAAATTATATATTAAATATAATTATACATTTTAAAAATATATTAAAAATATATAAAAGCATATATAAAAGCATCCATTTCAAGTTTGATGACGTGTTTATTACTTTAAAAGGTCCTCCTGTGCCCTTGCAGTCAGTCCCGCCCTCCCCCTACCCCAGCAATCAATGATGTATTTTCTATCACTATACAGGTTAGTTTTACCTGTTCTAGAAATTCACCTTGATGGCGCCACACAGGATGCACTCTTTTCATCACTCGGCATAATGTTTTTGAGATGATCCATTTTATCTCATGTTTCCGTAATGTGTCCCATTTTATTGCTGGGTAGTTCGGGTAGTTGGGGTAGATCGCAGCACATTCTGCCGACAGGTGAGACTGCGATTCCGACCTACGGGCCTTGGTTAATATAAGCAAGGGCACCTGGGCGCGGGGAGAGCCGTTCCCCTACAGAAAGCAAGCGTGTTGTGTCTACAACGGAACGGGGACACTGCTCTCATCCCAAAGAACAGCACCCGTCTGCGTAGAGTTTCTACCTGGCTCTAGGAGGTGAGAACACATTCCCTGCTAGCACAGAAATCCTACAAACTACTGCGGGGGCTGCGGTTAGAAGCAGAGGCTGTGTGAAGGGTGACTCTGGAGGCTACGAAAAAACACGAAGGTTTTCACAGAGAACCCAAGAGACTGGAGACCATGAAGCAAAGTCTGCAAAAAGCAGCCCCACATAGAAAGGTTGGGGAAGAGCCCTGCGGCCACTTAGTTTGTGTTAAATAAGCTCACGACAGCGGCGGAGAGGACCGTAACGCGATACTTTCTGTTTCTCACGCTTGAGACAGTAAGGACGACACTTAACATGCCGTCAAAGCTACAAACCCATAGAAACTAAGAGTAGCCCTTCGCGTAGAGCTCACGTTTTGCACTGCAGTATCTCAGCGGAATTCACTAACGCAGCCCCCCCCACTACCACAAATTATGCAGTGGAATTTCCTACATTTAGGAAAATCGCAAGAATCAGTACACACAATAGAAAAAACCTCACTCTGGAAAAACGATCTTCACAATACTATCTTCCCTCCCAGGTAACTACGGATTTGCACACCTCCGCCCCGCCACAGCTCCATACGCCTCAACCTTTACACGCACGGTCACTTGCCCCGCGCGTCCCCGAGCCCTCCTAGCCCTGACACACAGCTGGGACTCTGAGGTCCGACCAGCTGTCCTGGACTCGCTCCCACAGCACGGAACTCCTTCGTGGCGAAGCAGCAGGTGGAGAAGCAGCGGCCCCTGCGCTGCCTCATCTACATAGAAGTCGCCCTATCCGTGATGTCACCGACAGCGCCTTTCCCGTCTCCGTCAACTTTCCCGCCCCATCTTCCGCCACTCAGCCGACTAACATGCTACCAGAGCCTGTCCACCCTTCTTCAAATAATGGTTTGTAATGCGCAGACTAAAACATGTTGGATTACACAAGAAACCGGTTCTCTTCCCATCGTTATTCTTCTGATGTAGCATTCTACTTGAAATTGGAAGCCGTTCAGTATCAGAGAGAAACCATATCTATGAAACTAGAGATGCTGCTCAGATGACTGCAAACCAGCCATCCTTACTTGTTTTACCACTAGTAGTGTTATAAGGACAGTGGTCCAATTTCATGAATCTTGTAGGGTTTTTTCAAATACAGCAATGTACAAATATGCTGTCCCAGCAGAGCACGCTGGACACGCAGGCATGGTGCTGGAGTTTGTCATCTCTTCCACCTTCTCTAGACCTTAGCACTTAACCTCATGTTAGCACTTTATATTCTGCAAAGAGAGAAACAAGGTGGTCCAAATTTGGAGAAAAAAAAATTGGGGGGAAATTTTGAGGTGCTCAACTGATTACTTTTAATCTGTAGAATACAACCCCAAACTCTGACAATACTCCACAGACTCCAAATCTATCAGGCGAGTTTTTCCTGTCCTTTGCTTTCATATAAATCAAATCATAAAGTGTGTAGTGGGTTTTGTGGGAATATAACTGCCCAATGGGTTCACGTTGCCTGCTGCCTAGACAGAACCAATTTATCAAGACAGGGGAATTGCAATAAAGAAAGTTATTTACCCAGAGCCAGCTGTGTGGGAGATCAGAGTTTTATTATTACTCAAATCAGTCTTCCTGAGCATTCTAGGACCAGAGTTTTTAAGGATAATTTGGTGGTTGGGGGCCAGTGAGTTGGGAGTTCTGATTGGTCAGGTCAGAGATGAACTTACAGGGAGTTAAAGCATGCTCTTGAGCTGGGTCAGTTCCTGGGTGGGGGCCACAAGATCAGATGAGCTGGTTTATCCATCTGGGTGGTGCTAGCTGATGCATCGAGTGCAGGACTACAAAATACCTCACGCACTGATCTTAGGTTTTACAATGCTGATGTGATCCCCAGGAACAATTTGGGGAGGTTTAGAATCTTATAAGCTGGAGGCTGCATGACTTCTAAACCATCATTTCTAATCTTGTGACTAATTTGTTAGTCCTGCAAAGGCAGTCTAGTCCCCAGGCAGGAAGGGGGTTTGTTTTGGGAAAGAGCTGTTATCATCTTTGTTTCACAGCTAAACCATAAACTAAGTTCCTCTCAAAGTTATTTTGGCCTGTGCCCAGGAATGAACAAGGACAGCTTGGACGCTGGAAAAAAGATGGAAGCAGTTAGGTCAAACCTCTTTTGCTGTGATAATTGTCCCAGTTATAATTTTTGCAAAGTCGGTCTCAGGAGCAGAGGCATAGGTTTGACTTCTTTCACTCAGTCTTACATCTATGAATTTTTCATGTTATTCATGTGGTTATTTGTTTCTGTGCGTATTCCTTTGTATGAATATAGGCCAACTTATTTATTTATTCTACTGTTGCTGAACATGTTGACCTAAAAGAAAGACCCTGAAGCACAAAATATAATTTAGAGTTTACTTGAGCCAAAGTGAAGGCAGCTGCCGGGAAGACTCACACCCCAAGAACCTTGGATCTGAGCTCCCTTTGGCCTTTGTCACAAACAGGTTTTTAAAGGTCAAAAAGGGGGACACACAATGAGCTGATGGAAAGGTGGCTGTCAGGAATTCTCATTGGTTTTCAGAAATAGTGTTGATGAGAGCTTGGCTATCCGTTGTAATAGGGTGTGGGATACAGTGTTTGGTGTGGCATTATTAGATTAATTTACAGCTAACTGGGGTGATAGCAAACAGTTTCAACAGTTGAATACATAGCTCAAAAGGAAGGAAGCAGAAAGTGGTTGCTGTCTTGATTTAATGTGTCTCTGATCATGTGAAGTGGCTCACATTCCTCAGATAAGAATTCTTTAAAAAATCTTTCTTCTTGAAAGCACTGATGATCAAAAGCTCAGCCAAGGTGTCCCTCTTTGCCAGGAAGGCTCATTCCCAGATAGTCTTTCCCACGCTGAGGGCAGGGGAGGAAAGGAGCTGCCTCACTGAGGAATTTTTAAGAGCACCCAAAAGCCCAATTGAAAGGGTGACACCGAGTAGAAAAAAAAGAAAAAGAGAAGAAAAGAAAAAAAAGAGGAGAGAGAGACCTTAGTTAAGTCTGCAGCTATCACTTGTTGAATCATTTCTAGTCTTCAGATACCATAAAATCAGTTTTCTCAGAAGTAAAGCAGTAAATATATAGCATTAATTATTTGAATAGTACACATATAATTCACACAAGAATGAGAATCACAAAGAGAATCTGTATGCCAGAACAGTAAGGGAACCTATTCCATTAGGGAGCCAACGAAAAACATCAGGGAAAACATCACATCCCAGTTCTTCTTTCATGATTTCTTGTAGCCAAATGACTTCTAATTTTTTCTAGATGAGGTTCTACTTCATGGGAAGTATTTATTTATGTATATGCAACCAGAGGTTGTAAACACCACACATCCACCTCCCTGCTCAGCTAAATCTATCATCTAAAGCGGGCTGCGGAGGCTGCTGCTGCTGGGGCTCTCCCCTTGGTGTTCTGGGCTGCATTGTACTAAGTGGAGAAGGTGGTTGTGGGCAAGCGTTGTGCAGAGATCACAACCAGGTGGGCAGGGGGCTGCTCTCTCCACACTATCAGTTGACAATGTACAATTCCTTCTATGAACTCTTGTAAGTGCTGCTGTATGTACCCATTGTTTTTGTTTTGTTTTGTTTTGTTTTTGTATTTTGAGACAGACTCTCTGTCTCCCAGGCTGGAGTACAGTGCCACGATCTTGGTTCACTGCAACCTCTGCCTCCTGGGTTCAAGCAATTCTCCTGCCACAGCTTCTCAAGTTGCTAGGACTACAGGCACATGACACTGCACCCAGCTAATTTTGTATTTTTAGTAGAGATGGGGTTTCACCATGTTGGCCAGACTTGTCTCAAACTCCTGACCTCAGGTGATCCACCCACCTCGACTGCCCAAAGTGCTGGGATTACAGATGTGAGCCACTGAGCCTAGGTTCTACCCATTTTTAAATAAGGCTAATAGTGTCTTTGAAAATATTTGTCATCTAAAGTGATGCAATTATCTAGTACAACCTTAGCCAGTGAATGAATAGCTTTTTTTTGAGCTGTGAAAGAGGCTACAGTTTTATCAGCAATATTTCTTTCTTTCTTTTGTCTTTCTTTCTTTCTTTCTTTTTTTTTTTTTTAAGACATGGTCTTGCTATGTTGCCCAGGCTAGATTTCAGTGGTGCAGTCTCAGCTCAATGCAGCCTCAACCTCCTTCTCTCAAGCAATCCTCCCACCTCAGCCTCCCAAGTAGCTGGGACTACAGACATGCACCACTATGCCTGGCTAATTTTGGTTTGTGTTTGTTTGTTTTGTTTGTTTGTTTAGAGACAGGGTCTCACTATCTTGCTCAGGATGGTCCCAAATTCCTACGCTCAAACAATCCTCCCACCTGAGCCCCTCAAAGTGCTGGGATTACAAGCATAGGCCCCCAAGCCTGGACTCTTTATTTTTCTTTCAAAGAGGAAGAGTGGCTCTGTCGCCCAGGCTGGAGTGCACTGTCACTGTCATAGCTCACTACAGCCTGGAACTCCTGGGTTTAAGTGATCCTTCCACCTCAGCCTCTGAATCACTGGGATTATAGGCCAGAGCCACCATGCCCAGTTTTTATCAGCAATGTTACCTAAGGCTAAAGAAGGATTTCTAACCATGGAAAGCAACATCCCATCAAAGCAAAAGCATGCTCCCCTGAAAATGTTTGGAGTTATTTCTTAATGGCCAGGCAGATAATTAGCAAATTTTCCCCCAACAGGATCTCCATCTATTACTAAAATAGAGTGGTGGGCATGCCTAGTGAAAAGCTTGAGGACACTCATCCAATTTTTTGTTTGTTTGGTTGGTTGTTGTTTTTTTTTTTTTTAAGATGGAGTCTCACTCTGTCTCCTAGGCTGAAGCCCAGTGGCATGATCTTGGCTCACTGCAACATCTGCCTCCTGGGTTCAAGTGATTCTCCTACCTCAGCCTCTTGAGTAGCTGGGAGTACATGTGAACACCACCATATGCAGATAATTTTTGTATTTTCAGTAGAGACGGGGTTTCACAAAGTTGGCCAGGCTGATCTCGAACCCCTGACCAGAGGTGATCCACCCGCCTCGGCCTCCCCACTCATCCAATGTTGGATTTCTTCAGAGCTATATATGTATAGCGGTGACCAAATATCCTAAAAGACATTGCACTTCATCATTCCATGCCTTCAGACATTTAAGGGCCATGGATGGTGATCTCCTCCAGAGACAAAATAAATGCTGGTGCACAACAGGTAAGTGTAGTATAATTTGGGTACATCAGCTTTCGGCATTTAAACTATGGGTCAGACATGTTAGAGCAAGAGGGCAGGTTGGATCCTGATTGCAGGAGGGAGTGTTTTTCTCTTAACTTTCCAATAGCATCATGGTGTTTACCACTGCTATTTCAGAGTGAGGCAACATTTTTTGTTTGGTTGGTTTTGTTTCGGATTTTTGTTCCTTTTCAGCCACGGTCTCACTGTTGCCCACACTGGAGTGCTGTGACAAGATCACAGGCCAGTACAGTCTTGACCTCTTGACCTTCAGGGCTCAATGAATCATCCTACCTCAGCTTCCCAAGTGCTGGAGTTACAGGGACACACCACCACCATGCCCAGCTTATTTATTTACTTTCTGAGACAGGGTCTCACTCTTTTGCCCAGTCCGGAGTGCAGTGGTGTCATCAGAATTCACTGCAGGCTCGAACTCCTGGGCTCCAGTCATCCTCTCACCTCATACTCCTGAGTAGCTGGGACTAAAAGTGGGCACCACCATGCCCAGCTAATTTTTGTATATTTTGTAGAGACAGGGTTTCACCACTTTGCCCAGGCTAGTCTCAAACTCCTGGGCTCAAGTGATCCTCCTGCCTTGGCCTCCTAAAGTGCTGGGATTACAGGCAGTTATTTTGACGTACAATTGTGATGGGTTAAACTGAAACATGGGGCAAGAAGGTTAGGATGAGTCAGACAGATTCGATAAACAGGTTTTGCTTGATGTGACCCTGATTTGCATTGTCAGTGCAATCAGGAGGAATTTACAACTTAAAGGAGCCCTAACAGTGTATGTATTCCAGTCAATAGAAAAAGAGACCAACTCTTTCAGTTGCAGTAAGCACTGGAATTGTGAATAACTGCTTATACAGGCCGGTATGTTGGGCGAAATTGTACCATAACAGATGTCAGCTACTCGCCATCTTGGTTAGGAAGATTGCAGGTCACCTTTAAGTGAAAACCTCCACTGACAGATGTCCACTGTGGTAGGGTTGCCTTTTAGATATGAGAAACATGAATCTGTGTGTCAATGCCCTTATGTTTACTGCCACAGAGATTGGGAAATAATACCTGATGTGAGCCAGGTGCAGTGGCCCGCACCTCTGGTCCCAGCTAGTTGGGAGACTGAGGGAGGAAGATGGCTTGATCCCAGGAGGTAAAGGCTACAGTGAGTTATAATCACACCACTGCATTCTGGCCTGGGCAACAGAGTGAGACCCCATCTCAAAAAATAATAATAATAATATTAATAATACCTACGTGGTGCTCTCCAGTGGACTTGGAGGGAATATTTTATTTGATGTTGTTTCCAGTATTTGATGTTGTCTCCAGTTTATAGGCATAATTTTTTATATTTTCATCCCTCAGCAGCTCATTATGAAAGGAATATTTTATTAATTTGGAGCTCTTGGTAAGAAGTTTTGTGAGAACTTAGCAATAATGGAGAATGTTACCTTTAAGAAGTGCAGGTTCATAAGCCCCTTCATCTAACCACTGCATGGGTCTTCCTGTTATTATTTCAAAGGGAGGGAGTGGAAGTTTTCCAGAAACAGTGGGGGATCTTTGGCCAGGGAAGGTTAAAAACTTCTGTTATCTTTGTCAATTGAGTTTTTATTGTATCATTATTGAGTTGCACTAGTCCAGAGGATTAGGGGTGACAGGCACAATGGGAATGTTGGGACATAGGCTAAACATTACAAATGGATCCAGCTACCTGCCTGATAAAGTGTGTTCCTCGGTTGCTATGTAGATCAGATGGCATTCCCCATGAGGAATGATTTTTTTCTAATCACAGTCTACCTGCTACTTGGGCTGTGGCTCATCAGTATGGAAATGCTTCACCCCAGTGAGAGCACATATAAATTAGCACCAGAAAGTATCTGTGACCCTGAGATGGAGACAGCTGGATAAAGTCTAACTGCCATGTCTCAAAGGGTCCTAAAGTTAAAATGTCCCTGTGACCCATGAAGGGGTTTTCCAGGATTATGTTTGGGACAGAACAGATAGTACTACAAGAATAAACCTCTTGTGCAATCATAGGCGATGGTTTTCAATAGCACTGCTTTCCCCATGCTATCATTTAGTCTGAATTCCAATGAGTCAGCTTATGAACTACTTTAAAAAGGGTAATTGAAGCCTAAGGGGTAGATCAGTGTATCATTGGGCCCATACCATACGCCTGTTTCTGAAGAAAAACTTGTTCCCTTTATCTTGCCAGAGATCTATCTTCTGCTTGGGAGATCCCACGTGTGCTTCTTCTAATAACGTTTTCAATGGGTCATAAGTCAGCAAGGTCATTTAGAGAAGTTCTGTGTCTCTTGTCACCTTCAGAGCTGCATTCTTAGCTGCAGCATCAGCAAAATGGTTGTCCTTGCTCTCCAGAGTACCTAATTTTGAATGACAAGGAATTTTGATGATGGCCAAAGATTTGGGTTTTCAAATTGCTCCTAAGAGTTCAGAGACTTATTGGTCATTTTTGATGGGTTGACCTGGTGAAATAAGAAACCTAGGTTGCTTCTAAAGCATTCCAAAATCACCACCTTCTCCAAATGCATCTCCGTGGTCAGTGTAAATATTAGGCTGACGCGGGAGGATTGACTGAGCCCAGGAGTTCAAGACCAGCCTGGAAACCAAAGTGAGACCTCCTCTCTATAAAAAGTTGAAGAATTAGCCAGGTGTGGTGGCATGCACCTGTGGCCTCATCTACTCGGAGGCTGAGGTGGGGGGATTGCTAGAGCCCAGAAGTTTGAGGCTGTGGTGGGCCATGATGGAGCCACTGCACTCCAGCGTGGGTGACAGAGTGAGAACCTGTTTCAATAAATAAATAAATAAATTATTTTCAACCATTTAAAATATCAATGACAGATTTATTTGGCCTTTTAAGTGCATTGCTAAATTCTCCTCCAATCTACTTCTAAATCTAAAGCAGAGCCTGCTTTAGAAAGAGAAGAGGAAAATGTATTTCAATTTAGAAAAGGGAAGTCTTTTACAATATTCTTAATTCACATTATGGTGAAGCAGTATACACAATAGCAGGCTCCCCTCTTCCTGTGGGTTTTACCTTGAAAGGGGCTGCCAGAACAGAACTTTCAGGGAAGGGGCCAGAGCCCTGGGGACTTTCCTCAGGTGATGGTGATGGAAGAAGAGGCAAGGCAGGACAGGAGGGCTCAGGTAAGGGAGACTATGCAGGTGCAGGGGCAGGAGGAAAAGGAGCAGTTGGAGGCGAAAGAGACAAAGCCTCCTCAATATTTCTCAATTCAGAAAAAGCATCAGATATCCCCAGTTTAAATCCTCAATGGAGGCAATTTTCTCAGTAGTTCTTTTAGAAATTTCTAGGTATCATTGGAAGTAAGTCTCCCATTCAATTTGCCTGATTCTAAAACCAAATTTTTCCAATTGTGTGCCCTAATAAATTATTTTAGTCATTTCAAAAGATCCCCATTTTCTCCATTCTACTTATGAGTTTTTCTGGTTAGGTGGGTCAGGTTTCTTGGATATTTACAAGAGGATGCTTCATAACTGTTATACAGAAACTCAGCTGGTGGTTCTAAACGCGGTTGTTTCTTCAAAGTATGCTCAGATTTTGAAGCTTGATTTCCCATAATTCAGGAGCTTTGCAAAGATGACCAAAATCTGGGATGTGTTTTGGGTCACAGTGTCCTGCTTATGTAGTCACTCCTACAGATATCACCGGAGTTGTGTATCACTGTCTCAGTGGCTCCCACTGTTTCTAACCACCAGGTGGCCACAGAGTGCATCTGCTC
Organism: Homo sapiens; assembly: GCF_000001405.40. Lineage (NCBI taxonomy): Eukaryota > Metazoa > Chordata > Mammalia > Primates > Hominidae > Homo > Homo sapiens. The sequence continues at coordinate 148,255,029 of NC_000001.11, read as the reverse complement.
TGGGGGACCCATCGCTCATATACCCTCCCATAAGAGCAGGAAAGGGGATTCATAAAGACGTTCTTCTGATGGGGAATGCTCTACGAGGCCGCCTTCACATGGTGAGTAGTGACCGTGACACCTCTGCAGCGTCCCTGGTCACTTGTAGCCCCTGAAAGGGTCATCGGGAGCAGATCACTTCTTTTCTTCAGGGCTGGAGAAAGTACCTCCGTGCATTTTCCAGGTAAGAACTAACAGGGGCCGGGCACATTGGCTTACGCCTGTAATCTCAGCCCTTTGGGAGGCCGAGGTGGGCAGATCACCTGAGGTCAGGAGTTTGAGACCAGCCTGAACAACATGGAGAAACCCTGTATCTACTAAAAACACAAAATTAGTTGGGCGTGGTGGCACGTTTGTAAAACCAGCTACTTGGGAGGCTGAGGCAGGAGAATCACTTGAACCTAGGAGGCGGAGGTTGCGGTGAGCCGAGATCCCGCCATTGCACTCCACCCTGGGCAACAAGAGCAAAACTCCATCTCAAGGAAAAAAAAAAAAACTAACAAGAATTAGTCACAAGTGAAAACCTAAGTTCAAACTTTCATAAAAGCATGCTACAGAAAACAAAACCACCGGTGCCTACCTGCCAATATCTTGACCCAGACCTTCCTGATGAGGGACAGAGGCAGAAAAGGCAGAAGCTTTCCACACAGTCCTTTGCCTGACTGTGACCCAAACTTTCTGTCCTGAGGCAGAGGTGGAAAGGGCAGTTTTTTCCCCCTGAAACTCAAGTCTCTTAACTGGAGGGTAAAGACAGAAAACCTCCATTGTAGAAAGGGAAGGCTGGAAAGGACAACTCAAGCAAACTCCAGGCCTTCAACCAAAGAGTGGGAAGGTCCAGATTTCAGGAGGATTCACCACTTACTGCCCATCTGTTTCTCTGAGTCAGAACGTGAGGATTTCAAAGCTGGCCAGGCACCTAGTCCAGGAGGAATGTGGTCTGAGAGACAAAAATAGATGTCACCTTGTAGACTAAGACAGACTCTAAGGTTAAGAAAACAAGAGTTACCTACGGGTCAAGGATTCAGGGCTGGACTGGCATAGCAACTTCCTAAATTTCTGTGGCTAGAAGAAAAACCACACTCTTGCTAAACTCCTTAACAATAGGAGCTAGCAGGCAAATTGTCAAAATCTTCCCAGCAATTCTCAACTGGATTTACAACCCAGATCACCAGACCTCTGATGGGACAGAGGAGTGCCCTTCCATTCTTTCCTGATAAGCAACTGCAGACCTCAAGCCAGTTTCAGCCATGTTACAGGGACTGCACACAAACCGACTTCATGTCCTATAGTTCACCTTTTGACATAAAGAGCCAATTTCCATCTAATTTTAATGCTAAAATCTCTTCCCAATGTGAAGATGGGGTGCACGTTACATATATGTTTACCCGTTGCACATGAGCTCAACACCCCTCAGAAATGGCGTTTCTCCAAACCTGCTGAATATGTATAACTCCATTGTGTGATACACACCGTGTGAGGCACAAAAACCAACCTGCCCTCTCTCTCTCTCTCTCTGAAGAGAAAGCACCTCTTCAAAGACACACACCGGAGACTGTCTCTTCCTGGACTGCAAACTGATCTCACCAATCAAATTCTTACTACTATGTAGCCACCCTGGAGGCCTTTGAGAGGACAGTCAGATGGTCAGAGATGAGTCGCTCTGCATTCTGCTCCCTGGGCCAAAAACGTCGACCTAGAAGGAAGGGGCTTAAGCACAAACATGATTTAAAAAGTTTGTTTGAGCCAATGTGAGGACACTTGCCTGGAAGACTCAGATCCAAGCAATCTTGGATGTGGGCTCCATTTGCCCTTTGTTACAAGCAGGTTTCTAAAGACCAAAAAGGGAGACGGGGAGTTGGCTGGTACAAAATTGCCTGTCAGGAACTCCCTGAAGTTTACAGAAATAACATTGATTAATGATTAGCTATACATTGTTCAGCTACAGGGAGTGAGAGATGGTGTCCAGTGCAGCATGTTTAGGTTGCTTTATAGCCACTTGTGATGATAGCAAGCTGTTTTAATAGATGAATACACGGCTTCAAAACAGGGACATAAGACGTTGTTGCTGTCTCATTTTAATGCCTAACTCTGGGCTTGTTAATTTGAAAGCACTCACTTTCCTCACATAAAATTTCTTTTCTTTCCTCAGACATTTGAATTCTTTATAGTTTAGGAATATTTTGAATAAATATGTATTTGTTTTACATGTCTTTGGTAAACCATATTCACGTTTCTCTAGAAATAGAAATTCCAATAGAAATATAATGCCAGGCATATACGTACTTTTAAATGTATTAGTAGACATGTTTTAAAAAGTAAAAAGAAAGAGGTGAAATTATTTTTTATAATATATATTCAACTAAATATATTTAAGGTATTATCATTACCCCATGTGACACTAGCAAGATTTCAAGTGTTCAATAGCTACCCGTGGTTTGTGGCTATCATATTGGAAAGCACAAGTCTATGGGGTAGAAAAGTTGAATTTCTGGGTCATAGCATATATGTATGTGTGTTTTACCACTAGAATATACAGGCAAACAATTTTCCAAAGTTTTTGAACTTATTTATACTCTTGCCAGAAATGAATAGAAGATTATAACGCTTCCGTTGTGCCAAAATCTGGGAATGTCTTTTTTTTTAAGTCAAGTTTACTGAGGTATAATTAAAACTCACCAGCGTTACATGTTGTACGTGGTTCTCAGTGATATACTCTCTTTGCAAAGCTGGCTTTTGGTGGTAGCTTTGATTTAAAAGCTAATGCCACGTAAAAAAATTCAATACGTAGGGCCAGGCGAGGTGGCTCATGCCTGTAATTCTAGCACTTTGGAAGGATGAGGTGGACGGATCACTTGAGGTCAGGGGTTTGAGATCAGCCTGGCCAAAATGGTGAAACCCCATTTCTACTAAAAATACAAAAATTAGCCAGGTGTGGTGGGGGGAACCTATAGTCTCAGCTACTTGGGAGACTGAGGCAGGAGGATCATCTGAGCTCTGGAGGCTGAAGTTTCAGTGAGCTATCATTGCACCACTGCAGTCCAGCCTTGGTGACAGAGTGAGACTCTGTCTCAAAAACAGAAAAAAAATGTATATATATATATATGTGTGTGTGTGTGTGTGTGTGTGTGTGTATATGTATATATATACACACACACATATATATATACACACATATATATGTTGTGAACTCAACAAGCAACACTATTCTCCAAGTAAAGTAATATAGAGAGAGAATCTTAAGGCAATCAAAATTATTTATTATTATTTATTAACTAATTTTAAGGCAATTGAAATTTATTATTTTTTATTAACTCTATTATTATTATCAAAATTATTTATTAACTCCATTATTAACTCCATATAATCATTAATATCGGTCATGGATTTTAAAATTAACTATATATCTTGAAATTATACATTGAGCTGACATTTAATAGAGGATGATGGCATCATGTATTAGATGACATCTAAATATATTTACGAAGAAATTGTAAGTGGAATAATTCAGTCTCCTAGTTTCTAGAATTATCTCCTTTTAAAGATATTACCTACTGAATTAGTAAGTAACTGAGTCCAAATCTCACCCTACTTGCTGCATGACAGCCAAGAAGTCAGGAGACACAAGGTGTTGGGGCAGGGAAGGTGACTTTATTTCAGAGGGCTAGTAAACCAAGAAGATGGTGAACTAATGTCCTAAAGAAACATCTCAAGTTAATAAAAATTTCTGGCTTCTTGTATGTTAGGGAAAGGGGTAAGAAGCAGGGGATTGAGGTCAAGAGGTGGCTGACACTCCCAGACATCTGGGCAGCAGTGAGGGCCCAAGGGGGCTTTGAAACTTCTTTCTCTTTGGTAAGGTCACCTGAATAGAACACGGTTACTTGTGTGCATACATCCCTTAGCTCCTCAGGGGTTAGTTTTGGGAAGGGACTATTACATCCTTGCATTATTGTTATTATTATTATTATTACTATTGAGCCTGAGTTTCGTTTTTGTTGCCCAGGCTAGAGTGCAATGATGCGATTTCGGCTCACTACAACCTCTGCCTCCCAGGTTCAAGCGACTCTCCTGCCTCAGCCTCCCAAGTAGCTGGGATTACAGGCATGTGCCACCAGACCCAGCTAATTTTGTATTTTTAGTAGAGATGGGGTTTCGCTATGTTGGTCAGGCTGGTTTGGAATCCCTGACCTCAGGTGATCCACCCACCTTGGCATCGCAGAGTGCTGGGATTACAGGCATGAGCCACTGCGCCTGGCCTAATTAGCTAATTTTTAAACATTTGTAGAGACAGGAGTCTCACTATGTTGCTCAGGCTGGTATGGAACCCCTGGCCTCAATCGATCTTCCCTCCTCAGCTGCCTAAAGTGCTAGATTACAGCTGTGAGCTGCCACACCCTGCTTAATTTTCTTATTTTAATTTTATATATGTGATTATTACTGTACTTCAGATAATCAGGCAGTAATTTCTTTAAAGTTTTAGAGACTTAATTTATCTATTCACTCCACTGAAAGAGTATGCCAATTGGTTTCATAAGAAAATATATTTATACATTAGAAAAATTCCTTCCACCAAACCAGGGGGCATTCAAAAGCAAATAATTGGGTTATGTAACATCATTTAAGGTGAAAACAGAGGCAATTGTGTCTATTAACAATGCTTATGAGTGAGGGAAACAAACTGAAAAATTAACATCATTAGATCCTTGGAAAACCCTCACTGCTGAAAATCTGAGTAATTCTTTGATCCCCTTTTGAGTCTGGCAGGACATTCTCCTTCCAGGCATATAAAAGTGAATGAATAATTTCTTTTCATCCATTTTCATTAAGGGCTGAACTTCCTTACTGTTCTAGAGATTGTTAAATTTGATTTGTGTAGTTGTGAGAAGTGCTCAAATTGCTGATTCCATTGCTTACTTGTGATCATATCACTCTTTTTTTCTCCTTTCTGTAGTGTGATTTAAACTTCATCCTTAAAGAGCATATATTTGAATTTTTCAGCTAGTTAGAAACCTGAATATATGAATCAAAGAAAACTGTTCCTTACATGCTGCAGATTCAGTTTTCTTCCTGTGCTAAGATCTCCTTTAGGTCTATTAATTTGTTACGGCCAAGAGCTCCTACGGAATGAAATTTGGTTGGGGGTGAGGGGCATTGAGTAGTAAGATCATCTTTATAATAGAGATGCCACTCTTGCAGATATTGACAGCTACTGGGCCCATAAAATTTTTACCAAACATTGGAAAGATGAGATATGAGCAACTTCCCATTTGCTGCAGTCTCAAATATCAGGAAATACAATTATCCTCAGGACAATGAATAAACAATCAAAAAAGACTCACAGACTAGATTAGCTGTCAGGTATCACCAAACGGATGGATTCTTGCCAAACACCACACAACAGAGAGTGTCCTGAGAAATTCACTCCATAACATTTACCAGAAATCTACACTGATGCCACTGATGGCAGAAAACAATGATGCAAACATGAGAGAGAGAGAGAGAGAGAAGGGAAGGACTTGTCCAATGACCATACTTAGTATTTTAAAGCAAAATTGCTCAGTTTCTGCTCATGAAAACAGAAGAACTGCGGGAACAAGAGCCAATAGCTCTAAAGATCCAGGTCTGCACCAGGGGCCTGTTAGGTGCCGGATTCTGTTGGCTCCAATGATGGGTCTCAGATGGACTAATTTTTATAGACATAGCCTCTGAAAGAAATCTATCAAGGAATCATATAGAGACACTTATTTGCATGCTCATTCTCCATTAATATAGAAGGGAGAACTGGCATTAGATTGTTTTCAGCAAATAAAAGTAAAATCAAGATTTACAAGGAAAAGAGGAAAGGGGAGGAGAAAAAAATATCTGGGACCATTGTGATTTTGCTTTCTTTGGATAAGCGACTTGGCAGAAAGCTATCAAAGAAGTCACTGTGATCTGTCTTCTCTGGACCCATGTGACTTGGTCACCACAGGAAACAATGACAAGCCAGGCACAGTGACTCACGACTGTAATACCAGCACTTTAGGAGGCTAAGGCAGGTGCATTGCTTGAGCTCAGCTGGAGAGCAGCCTGGTCAATGTGATGAAACTCCATCTCTACAAAAAAATACAAAAATTAGCCAGGCATGATAGTGTATGCTGCTAGTCCCAGCTACTCAGGAGGCTGAGGTGGGAGGATCACCTGAGCCCAGGGAGGTTGAGGCTGCAGTGAGCCGTCATCATGCCACTACACTCCAGCCTGGGTGACAGAGTGAGGCCCTGTCCCAAAATAAATAAATTTTAAAAAGAAACAGGGCTGACCATGGTGGCTCATGCCGGTAATCTCAGCACAAAACTTTGGGAGGCTGAGGTAGGAGGATCACTTGAGCTCAGGAGTTGGAGACCAGCCTGGGCAAGATAGTGAAATCACATCTCTACAGAATTATTATCATTTTTTAATAGCCACCTATGATGGTGCATACCCATAGTTGCAGCTACTTGGAAGGCTGAGGCAGGAGGATCACTTGAGCCCAGGATTTTGAGGCTACAGTGAACTATGATCATGCCACTGCACTGCAGCCTGGACAACAGAGGAAGACCTTGTCGCGAAAAATAAAATAAAATAAAATAAACATAAAATGCCTTAGAAGTTTAGCTGTCCATCCTATGCAACAGAATATCTGTGTGTAATGTCCACCATGTCCTTCTGTTGTATTGTCCCCTTAGTTAAGCCGGGAGGGAACCTGTCCCCTTATTAGAATATCATGGGCACATGGCAAACACGGTGGCTCATGCCTGAAATCCCAGCACTTTGGGAGGCCGAGGCAGATGGATCTCCTGAGCCCAGGGGTTGGAGACCAACCTCGGCGACATAGCAAGACCCTATCTCTTAAAAAAAAAAATGGTGAATGCGGTGGTGCATGCCTATAGATCCAGCTACTCTGGAGGCTGAGGTGGGAGGATCACTAGAGCCCAGGGGGTGGAGGTTGTAGTGAGCTGAGATCAAGCCACTGTACTCCATCCTGGATGACAGAGTGAGACCTAGTCTAAAATAAAGTGGGGGTGGGGGGGTGGGTAGGGTGGCAGACAGTTTGTTGTGCCAGCAAGTAAATGAAGAAAGGGGCAGTATGAGAGTTGAGAAATAAATTGGAATATGATTTGGTATCGCTCGTGCAGAGGATAAATGTGCTAAATGTGCTGAAGTTAGAGGCATTATGTAAGGTCCATTGCAGTGGCTCATGCCTGTAAATCTTGGCACTTTGGGAGGCCTCGGAGCTGCTTGAGCCCAGGAGTTTGGAGACCAGCCTGCGCAACATGTTGAAACCCCTTCTCTACAGAACATACAAAATTTAGCAGGGCACCATGGCCCGCGCCTCTAATCCCAGCTACTGGGAAGGCTGAGAGATGGGAGGATCACTTGAGCCTGGGAAGACGAGGCTGCCATGAGACATGGTTGGGCCACTGTGCTCCAGCCTGAGAGACAGAATGAGACCCTGTCATAAAAACTAAAAATAAAAATTAAAAAGCCTGTAATGTAGCAGTGGCACCTCTAGTTCTCTACACTATAGAAATATCAGTGGTCAAAGATATATGTACAAGAATGATGGTTTCAAGATTCTTTGTAGTCCTAAAATCATGAAGCCAATCTCTTCAAACACATTTTGAAAAGGGTTAAGTAAATCATGTACCAACTGAGGGGGGAAATGCTGTTTTCAAAAATGATGGAGAGGATTATTATGATGATCAATGATTCCACTGGTCGCATTATTGATTGAGCAATCACTAAATCCAGGCCCATCCTGGGGATAGGACACCTCTCTAGGCCTCCTATTAAAAATGAAAAAAATGGAAGCTGGTCTATAATCCATCCAAGCCTATAAGGGGCAGGCATGAGGATTTTATCGCACCAGAAGTGACTTGTTTGGTCTCTGATTCTTGCACTCAGGCACAAGACAACCTGACATTTCAGGAGATGGTCTGTCAGAATTGGATCTCTGAGTGGGGTGGCTCTTGATAGGGATCCCTGTTAACTGTGACTAGAATCCTGAGAAGAGAAAAACCTTCCTGAAATGGGCATATCCCTGGCTGGCCTGGAACCAACCTTTCGGACTTAGGACTATGGGAAGAATAGGGGGAGATTCTCTAGTGATGATAATACATGAATGCTTTAAAAGCTAGAACAGGCGTCCCTGGGTGGTCTTGAACTACTCACCGTTCGGTTAATAGCCGAACGCTCTGACCGATTGCGCCACAGAGACAGGTACTAGCGATTCCACTGGGCGCTATAGGCAGGGCGCACTCACCGAACTCCCCAATCCCTTCCAGCCTCAGAGCCCGCCTGGCAGGACTACTGAGCAAGGCCTTGGAAAATCGGAGCGATTAGAGCGGTGAGTCGCGCTGGTCACACTGCACACCTGCGGGTTGGGAGATTCTGGAGCCAGAAGGAGAGCCGAATGGCCTTCGCCCGCCCTGCCCCTCGTCCGCTTCAGAAATCCCCGGAAACGCCCCGGTCCGCGATCCGGGCCCGAGCAGCCAGGGGGCCCAAGGGAAGCTGAACGCCGGGTGAGCTACCCGGATGGCTCTTCCGGTTCTTTGTGCGGCCTTCACCCAGTGAGGGAGCCTGTGCCCCCTGCCCAGTCGCTTTCGGGGCGCTGAGGAGCTTCCGCTGCCATCTTCGGATGCTGTGTCCCGCACGGAGGGTCCACCAGGGCAGGGATAGTGGTGAGGGTCGCTCGTGGATCCCCTCGCGGGGAGCAGGGTCTGGCACACACCAGGGCGCAGGATTAGGACTTGTTGAATGAATCCATCGTGGCCTTTATCTTTTAGTCCTCTGAAGAGCGTTGAGAATGGAAATCATAAGATATTTTTTCCATTAGGAAGTTCTTTTTACAAGGCGTTTATTCAGGTTGACTTCTCGGCACCCCGCGGGGCGGGCAACGGGCAGGGCCTCCAGTGCACCTTCTGCGCAGTGGAGCCGCGGGGGCCCAGCTGGGCGGTGGTCGGGTCGTGAGGCGGGAGGGCGGGAGCGGGGGAAGGGAAAAGCAAAAGCGGGGAAAGAAGCCGGGGAGCGGTGGACCAGACATTCAGACCTCCTGAAAGGCTCGTGCGGAGGCAGAGGCGGGATCTTCCGGAGGTGAGAATTGTTTTGTTATTGTAGCAGAATGGGGAGGAATTGAGGGGAAAATGGAGATAGAACCTGAAAGAGCCCCAAACGCGAGAACGTGTAGCTCCCCAAGTGTAAGATCTCACAGAAGAACTAGACTGAAAACTAGGCGTCTGGGAAGCCTGAAATCCTTGGAGGAGTGGCATCATCATGACCCTCTGTGTTCTCACTTATAAGTGGGAGCTGAATGATGAGAATACATGGACAGATAGAGTGGGGGTGGGGACAACACACACTCGAGCCTGCCAGAGGGTAGGGCTGGGAAGAGGGAGAGCATCAGAAAGAGGAGCTAATGGATGCTGGGATTAGTACCTGGGTGGTGGGATGATCTGTGCAGCAAACCACCATGGCACAGGTTTATCTATGGAACAAACCTGCACATCCTGCACGTGTACCCCTGAAATTAAAGTAAAAATTGGAAATAAAACATTTAAAAAGAAAAGAAAACAAACAACAACAACAAAAAAGAGTGGTGCAAATCTGTACCAGGCTTATTGTAAACAAAAGAATGAGAATGAAAACATGGATATCAGACAAAGGGAAATGGCAAAAGAACGCTTTACATTAGCTAGAGGAGTAATATCCTAGCATCTAACTAGAATAGAATGGAATCGAATGGAATTGTTTTTCCCTGAACTGGCCTCCTTGGGTGGCCGACGAGGGCGAGGTGAAGGGAAGACATCTTGGAGTGAAATGTCCGTTTCTTCGCTCTTGTTTTGGTCTCTGTAAGGCATAAGAAGTTAAAAGCAAGATCTGATCCCTGGCATTTTCCAGGAATTTGAAATAGGTACATGAGGAGAGAAGCTCAATTATTACCCAGGTCTCTGGGACTATCCCAGGCACAATCCCAAGAGTCCAGCTTTCCAAACCAGGGTCCCTGGGTTCTGAAGGCCTTTTTGGGGAAAGTACTGATGTTCGTGTCAAGGTTGGGAGGAAGGGTTTGGAAGGCCCCAGGCGATGGGAAGGCAAAGAGAAGGTATCAAGAAGCAAGGCAAGAACTTTCCACAGGTTCACGTTGGATACAGCACCGGAGACAAGAAACTGAGTGAATTTCTGGTGTTTTCTTACAGAGGTTTGTTATCCAGTTGTACAGAGTCTATTTCAGAATAAGTCTTTTTCAAATCAGCTCTTTTAATGTGAAGCCATAACTTTCTGGTGTTGCCTGATGCAAATCTCTAATGTGAGCCTTTGCCCTGGGTGTCCTTTTTGTTAATTACATGTTCCAAAGAGAACACGGTAAAAATCTTGACTCCTCTTCCCATCTCCCGATCTTACCTTTTTCCATGTAAAGGCCGCAGTTTTTGCTAGCAGGAGGCGTCAGTGGTTTTAGTGGTGGAATTCCTGCCTCCCATGCACGAGATCCGTGTTCAACTCCTGGTTGGTGCAGCGTGCAGTTTCCGCACAATGCGGTTTTTACATTTATTTACCATAACTGTGTATACTCAGGCAGGTCACAGCCGCAATAATAAACAGAAGGAAAAGGGAACTACTGTATAGCTTTCCAGTTCCTTCTGGAGTGGAATTTCTCTAAGCAAGGACTTCGCAGAGACTGTCTTTGAAGCAGCTAGTGTGTCTGGTTGGTCTCTGCGTTTGCATATTTGGCCCTAAAACCGACGGGACGTTTATTGTCTCTTCTGGCGGATCCCTGAAATACACAGTCACCTGGACACTGATTTCACTGACTGGACCTTGGACAGACCACGTATCGCGGTGGAGTGAGGCTCAAGAAAGGAGAGAAGCTGTGGGGTCGGACAGACACACGCAGTGGGGAAGGGGCAGTGGGTACGGGGGCCCAGGGACAGGGGAGGCGTGTGGGAAGGAACCCGCACGCAGATGAGGGGAGCTGCAGAGAGGGACCTCGGATCTTCCTGTCGAGGAAGGCCCAGTCTTTGGTGGTATCGGCAAAATGAAGGATGGGCCCCAAGTGGAGAGCAGCACGTCCCCAAAACTCATTTCGATTACCCCTGTTTTATACTCCACCAAGCAAATCTTCTATCTAGGGGATTCTTTGTAATACGTCTCTTTAAGCATCGTGCTGGAGAGGCCATGACAATCATTACCTCTGGAGATTTGCGGAGGAAAGCTGGAAAAGGAAAGCCCCGGGATCATCTGGTTTGTCCTCCCCTGTTTTCATCTACTCTTTTCCTCAGGGAAGCTTATATTGTGTCCAGGAGTCGCATCGCAGCTGCGTCACTGGTGGATTAAGATCCGCTGATGGCGGGGCGTGGTGGATCACCCCTGTAATCCCAGCACTTTGGGAGGCCGAGGCGGGCGGATCGCAAGGTCAGGAGATCCAGACCATCCTGGTCAACATGGTGAAACCCCATCCCTACCAAAAATACAAAAAATTAGCTGGGCGTGGTGGTGCGCGCCTGTAGTCCCAGCTACTCGGGAGGCTGAGGAAGGAGAATCGCTGGAACCCGGGAGGCGGAGGTTGCAGTGAGCCGAGATCGCACCACTGCACTCCAGCCTGGCCACAGAGCGACACTCCGTCTCAAAAAATAAACAGCCGCTGACAAATCTCTTTCGTGAAGGGGTAAGAGCCGCAGTTGGCCCATAGCAAGGGAGTCAGAAGCAAGAGCAGAACCGAAAATACTTTTCTCTATGTCGTTCTCTCTCTCCTACCTGTGAACATCAACCTTCCACACACACCGGTTCAAAACCGCCTTGGTCTCTAAGGGAGATTTACCATTTTTCACAGGTCCCGTAAGCCATGTTTCCTTCTTGCTTCTACAGTTTTTCCAGGGCTGAGTTTCAGGAGCTGGTCAGCAGTGCAGGCTACTTCAATATCCTGGTTCAAAACCATTTGTCTGGTTTTGCTAGTAAAGTGCCTCCTAGACCAGAGATAAGACGTGTTCCTTCGGCTTCCATTTTCTAGAGATAATTGGTATCATTTCTTCATTAAATGTTTGGTAGTAAAACCATCTAGACCTGGTGCTTTGTTCTGGAAGGTTGTTAATCATTGATTCAATTTCATTAATAAATAGAGATCTATTTAGGTTATATATTTCTCCTTGTGTGAGTTTTGGTAGACTGTGTCTTTCAAGAACTTGGTCCAATTCATCAAGTTATCAAATATGTGAGCGGAGAATTGTTGATAATCTTCATCTGTTATCCTTTTAATATCCATGAGATCAGTAGTGAGGACCTTCTTTTCTTTTTGTTATTTGTAATTTGTATCTTCTCTCATTGTTTCTTGGTTCACCAGCTGGATGTTTATCAGTTTTATTGATTATTTTAAAGAACTACATTTTCTTTTTGTTGATTTTTCTCTATTGATTTCTGGTTTTCAATTTCCTTGATTTCTCCTCTAATTTTTATTGTCTCTTGCTTTCCACTTACTTTGGATTTAATTTTTTCTTGTTTTTTGAGTTTCCTAAAGTGTAAGTTCAGATTATTGATTGTAGATCCTTTTTCTTTGCTACCATATGCATTGAATACTATGAATTTCTTTCTAAGCACCAATTTTCCTGCACCCAGAAATTTTTTATAAGTTGTATGTTTATTTTCATTTAGCTCAAAATATGTAATTTGCCCTGAGACTTTTTCTTGACCCATGTGTTACTGGAAATGTATTGTCTGATCTCCAGTTTTGGGATTTTGCAGCTATCTGTTGTTGATTTCTACTTCAGTTCCATAATTTGAATGGAGGGCATATTTGGTATGATTTCTATCCCATTAAATATGTTGAAGTGTGTTTTATGGGCCAGAATGTGGTGGATCTTGGTGAACACTCCATGTGACCCTAAAAAGAATATGTATTCTGCTCTTGTTGGATGAAGTAATCTAAAAAGTCGGTTGGATCCAGGTGACTGATGGTGGTGTCCAGTTTCACTACATCTTTATTGATTTCCTGCCTTCTGATCTGTCAGTTACTGATCCTGAAGCCTCCCACTGTAATAGTGAATCTGTCTATTTGTCCTTGAAGTTCTATCAGCTTTTGCCCCTGATATTTAGATGCTTTAGGTGCATATCATTTAAGGATTGTCATATCTTCTTGGAGAAGTGACCTCTTTATATTATATAAAGACTCTCTTTATCCCCATGATTTTCCTCCCTCTGAAGTCAGCTCTGTCTCAAATTAATGTGGCTACTGTAGTTTTTTTGTTTTTTTGTTGGTTTGTTTGCTTTTGTTTTTGTTTTGTTTTTTGTTTTGACTGAGTTTCGCTCTTGTTGCCCAGGCTGGAGTACAATGGCGCAATCTCAGCTCACTGCAACATCCGTCTCCCAGGTTCAAGCGATTCTCCTGCCTCAGCCTCCCAAGTAGCTGGCATTAAAGGCATGCGCCACCATGACCGGCTAATTTTGTATTTTTAGAAGAGATGGAGTTTCACCATGTTGGTCAGGCTGGTCTTGAACTTCTGACCTCAAGTGATCCACCTGCCTCGGCTTCCCAAAGTGCTGGGATTACAAGTGTGAGCCACAGTGCCCAGCTGCTACTCCAATTTTCTTTTGATTACGATGGGTATGATATATCTTTCTCCATCTCTTCACTTCTAATATCTCTGTGTCTTCTTATTTAAAGTAGGTTCGTTGTAGATGACATATAATTGGACCTCATTTTCCATTCTGCCAGTCTCTGTCTTTTAGTTGGTGTACTTGGACCATTCACATTTAAAGTGACTATTGATATCATTGGATTAATATGTACCATATGTGTAACTGTTTCTATTTTTTGACTTTCTTCATTGTTTCCTTTTGTGTCTTTTACTCTTTTTCTACCTTCTCTGGCTATAATTGAACATGTTATATGATCCCATTTTTTTCTTCTCTCTTACAATACAAATTCCATTTCTTAAAAGAAAAATTGTGTTTTTGTTTTCACCCTATTGCTTGCCATATATACTTACAAATAATCTAAGTCAACTTAAAGTAATGTTATGATGCTTCATGGGTCATGCAGGTACCTTAAAAACAAAATTCCTAATTCCTTTCTTACCACCTTTTAAAACATTACTCTCATTCATTTGATGTATTAATAACATATAATCATCCAATCAATTATTGCTGTTTTTCTTATTTTGACAGACGGTTATATGAATTAAGAATAAACATAATAAAATATTTTATTTTTAACTTCATTTATTCCTCCTCTAACTTGCTTCCTTCATGTAGATATGTCTTTAAACTTTGTGGTTTTTTTCTTCTTTCTGAAGAACTTCTTTTAACCTTTCATGGAAGACAAAATTACTGGTGACAAATTCCCTCAATTTTTGTTTGTCAAGAAAGTCTTTTATTTCTCCTTCACGTTTGAAGGGTAATTCTAAAGAATTCTAGGTTAACAGAGTTCTTTTTCCTCCAATACTAAATATGTCAGCTGCATGCTGTTCTTGCTTGCATGGTTTATGAAGAGAAGTCTAATGTAGTACTCATCCTTGTTCTTCTAAGGTAAGGTGTTTTCTTTCTCCAGCTTCTCTCAAGATGTTCTTTTGTCTTTGATTTTCTACACTTTCAATATTATATGTTGGATGCTTAATTGCATGTGTAAATTTGGCTGGGCCATGGTGCCCAGATATTTGGTCAAATATTATTCTGACGTTTCTGTGAAAGTGTTTTTTGATGAAATGAGACATTGAAATCAGCCGACTTTGAGTAAAGCAGATGACACTCCATAGTGTGAGTTGGCCTCATCTAGTCAGGTGAAGGCCTTAATAGTATAAAACCTGACCTCCCCCTAACAAGGAGGAATTCTGCCAGCAGATTCCCTTTAGACTTGAACTGCAACTCTCTCCCGAGTCTCCAGCCTACTCGCCTACCTCATCAGATTTGGTCTCACCAAGCTTCCACAATTATATGAGCCAATTCCTTAAAATCAGTCTCAATCTCTCTCTCTCTCTCTGTCTCTCTTCTCTCTCTCTCTCTCCTCTCCATCTTCATCTCTATCTTCTATTATGAGAAGTGGCAGGTAAAGAAGATAGGAAAAAGAAAACAAATCATGTAATTGTCATATGGAAATATTTGATGTTGAAAATTATAATTTAGGCCAGGGGCGATGGCTCACGCCTGTAATCCAGCACTTTGGGAGGCCGTGGCAGGCAGATCACGAGGTCAGGAGATCCAGACCATGGTGAAACCCCGTCTCTACTAAAAATACAAAAAATTAGCCGTGTGCGGTGGCTGGCGCCTGTAGTCACAGCTACTCTGGAGGCTTAGGCAGAATGGCGTGAACCTGGGAGGCGGAGCTTGCAGTGAGCCGAGATCACACCACTGCACTCCAGCCTGGGCCACAGAGCGAGACTCCATCTCAAAAAAAAAAGAAAAAGAAAAAAGAAAATTATAATTTAAAACGTATAAACCAAATATTAGAAGTGTGTCCAGTTCAAAGGGGAAAAAACTATCAAGAACATTTTAGTGCAATATTAAACTTGACCTATACAACCCTTCCTAAATGCCAAAGGCATACACAGACAAACACACACACTATCAGAGAATACAAATAACTAGAACAAAGAAATGTAGTAAATACAATCTACAACATATGGTAAACATAGCCTACAATGTGGAAGTGTTTAGAAAATAAACTCGGAAATAAAAATGTTTTTATTAATTCGTATCATTACCTGCCAAAACCAATCAACATAATAAAAGATTATAACACTGAATGTAAAAAAACAATTCACCAGTCCAAAGTGATAGACAAAAAATTTTAGTTGTATGGATTAAAGTTAACTGTGGACAAAAATTAAAACCCAGGCAGGAAATTTTTTTTTCAACAACAGAAACTAGCAAAAACAAGGATATAGTAAAAACTGAAATAGAAAATTTCCAGTGTAGAGATATGAATATAATAATAGACACAGGCAGGGATGATTAATAAATGATAAAATGTTTAGAGGATGATCATTAGAATACAGGACATTTATACTCTTGAAAACCACTTTCCCAAATACTTCATTATAAGTAAGGTGTCTCTAAAAGGGACAGGTCTTCTAGATTCCTCCTTAACCAAGTGACAGTCCTAGTATCACGATAATGGTGATGGACAAACTGGACCTTCTCTGCCTGCAGATGGGCTGAGGTAGGAAACTCTCAGTAGTGACTCTGCAGTGTTCCTGGCAAAACGTTTAGGCTGAATTTAATCATGAGGACATTTTCAGACAACTTCAGAATGTAGAACATTGAGCCAGACAGCTGACCTGTCCTCTACAAACAAGTCCATGTCACCACCATCCATGACAACAACAAAAAGATGAGGAGATACTTTCGGTTCAAAATAACTAAAGAAATGTAGCTACATTATGTTTTTACTTTTTTTGAACCCAAAATGTCTCTTCTCCTTTTTGTTGTGTGATTCATGGTGACATGGACTGTGTGAAGGAGACAGGTCAGTTGTCCTGCTCAGTGTTCTACATTCTGCAGTTGTCTGGTGATTACCTCCTATGAAACTCAGGCTAAGCATTTTTAGCAAGAACATGGCATTGTTCATATTCTGCACCGGCAAATTCCCTGTTGTCTACAGGATGGAAGTGAGAGGAGCAGGGCTAAAGCCTCTCAATGCTGTTTGTCCATCTGGCTTTGGTCTTCCTAAGTGTTGATATCAAGTGGAGGCTGAAGGACTGTGGCTTCTCTAACCAAAATTGTGGGTTAACAATTGTCAAGAGCAGTCAGTGGTTCTGAAATACAATCCTCAGCCATGGATCCCTCCTGTGTTGTGTTGAGCTTTCAATTGCTTTGCTCTTTTAGTTTTTTTCATCAAACGAAAATGCTTTTTGTGATATCCTTTCTTTCTTTTCATTGTTCCAGCAGCATTTAGTATCTGTAGGAGACAGAGAAGGAAAGATCAAATGGGCATCTTTGTCAGGTCCTGCTGATGGCTGAGTCTAGAGGGACTGCTAAGTGGTGATAGCCCAGGGGCAAACTGAGCTCCTGCTAGGAGGATGAGCTGAAGGCTGAGCCGAAGGCTGAGTGAAGAGGCAAGTGCCATCCACAAGTGAAAAGTAAATGCCCCTGAACTTCCAGTCAGCTGAGGTGAAGGATATAGGGACCCTAGCTCTGCCCAACCAGCAGCCAGTGACATCAGCCCCTTTCCTCCTGATTCCTTCTGTCTGGAGCAGAGTGATGGCTTTTCACACCCCTCAGTGAGGATGTTCTCAGCATCAACCATGAAAGCTCAGAAACAGAGGGCTGCAGAAGGAAAGGACCTTTTACAGAGAAACCCACTCCCTTACAGCTCCATGTCCCCGTCTCTTAGGGAAGGGTGTGCAGGGCCATGGGAAGAACCCTGGAGGTGAGATACAGGAAGGACCTCAGACCACATCCACATCCAGTTCTGCCTTTTACAACAGAGGAGCAGTGATGCCACAGGGCTGACTTAACTAAAGCCACGTGACTTGCTATTGACAACCCTGAAACTAGAACCCACGCACGAAGTCCCTTTCAATAAGTTGGAGAGAAGAGAGAGTCAATTCTCCAATCTGGAGTTCTTGACAGTCACTAGAGGTTGCTGGGTCACCTTGGCTAGGATAGGAATGAGCTTTTACAAAGAAATATGATGTCACTGCTACTTGTTTTGTCGGTAAAATTAAAAATGAGAAAAGACAAAAGAAATATTATGTGTTCTTCCAAAAAGGATCAGAAAAAAAGGAAAAGGAAAGAGTCAAATGGAATTACAAAGGAAGGGTGGTGATTGTAACCATGGCCCAACTTATTATCCCTAATTCCCTGAAGTTGATTCCATACCTGGTTACACCTTAAGGCATTTCTAGAAATATTCTCAATATCTGATCGACAAAACTCTGAAGTAGAAAGTGAAAAGGATTAGTTTGTGTTTTATTACATTCTCCTCTCCCTGTTATATTTTTCCCAAAGTGGTTTGTTGGGAAAGATTTCTTTTTAGTATTTTATGCCAGCGTCAAGGGTAGCATAAAAAAGTATTCATATATCATCTCTTCCTGAGTTTCAGTTTTATTATTATTATTATTATTATTTCTTTTTTTTTTTAGATAGAGTCTTGCTCTGTCACCCAGGCTGGAGTGTAGTGGTGCGATCTCAGCTCACTGTAACCTCTGTCTTCCAGGCTCAAGCGATTCTCCTGCCTCAGCTTCCCAAGTAGCTGGGATTACAGGCACGTGCCATCACGCCCGGCTAATTTTTGTATTTTTAGTGGAGACAGGGTTTCGCCATGTTGGTCAGACTGGTCTCGAACTCCTGACCTCAGATGATCCACCCTCCTTGGCCTCCCAAAGTGTTGGAATTAAGAGGCATGAGCCACCATGCCCGGCCGAGTTTCAGTTTTTACTTATTATTATATTCTCTCTAGTTGAGTGAGAACTACGAGTTCTCTTTGAGGATTTGGCTGAATGAAAAGAATTGAGCAAAGCAGAATTTTTACACTGCAGTGCTGAACCCATTCATGGGCTCTGGAATCAGTGTGTGGAAATGTAAACTGCAGGATTTATTTTAAAATTGAAAAGAAAGCTGGGCATGACGGCTCATGCCTAAATCCCAGATCTTTGGGAAGCCAAGGTGGATGGATCACTTGAGGCCAGGAGTTTGAAATCAGCCTTCCCAACATGGTGAAACCATGCCTCTACTAAAAAAATACAAAAATTAGCCAAGTGTGGTGGCATGCACCTGTAATCCCAGCTACTCAGGAGGCTGAGGCATGAGAATTGTTGAAGCAGCGAGACGGAGGTTGCAGTGAGCCGAGACTGCGCCACTGCACTCCAGCCTGGGTGACAGAGAGAGACTCTGTCTTAAAAATAAAATAAAATAAAACAAAACATAAAATACAATAAAATAAAATTGAACAGAAAATGCTAAATTTGAATATGTGTAATATACGAGGTATTGTTTTCTGTATACTGGGTTTCAATATAATGACTATTTCTTATTTTACTTGTATTTAAAATTAAGCAAGTGTGCTTTAAGTAGAGAGACTATAGGTCTAATCCACCTATTTTCTTGTTTTTCTTTTTTATTTTTTTCTACATTCTACAAATACTACTGTTGAGAGGTGAATACAGATCCCATCAATGTCTGATGGATGCTCAGCCTTTTGTGTGGAGTAGCCACACAAGTGGTCATCTCCATGTTGAAAACCTGAGGTCAGAGTAGACCAGTGGTCCTTGTCATCTTCGGTTGTATATTAGAATATCATGGAAGTTTTTTAAAGGTACTGATGCTCACATCACACCCCAGACCATTTAAGTGAGAATCTCAAGATGTCAGTTCAAGGCATTCATGTTTATTGAAATCTCACCAGGTGCTTATTACATGGTAGCAGGATTTAGAGACAATGAATGAACCAACCTGATTTCCCATCATTTTCTTTCCTATCCTCATTTCTCTCATGATTGCCTTCATTCTCTGTGGCTCTATGGATTTTAGTCTTTCTTCTGACAATTTCGGTTAAATCTCTCACTTGGGCTGGTCTGAGGCAAAGTCTGTCCTGTAGATAGGTTCTTGTCTATCATCTTATGTAGACATAAAGCTGACCCCTGGACTCACTTTTCTCAAAGTTAATTCATTAAATGCTCTCGTATTTCTCTGTCCTCAAGATTCACCTGAGTTGTGTTTTAGATTCTAACTGAGCTTGTAGAAGTAGATATGTGAATAAAAAGGAGAGAGGTGAGAATGTACCTCGTGGTCTATGCAGGTTCAAAGTCCTGCCCTGCCCTCTGCATCTACCTTCGGCTGAGGTTCCTTTGGAATGTCATAAATGTTCTCCAGTTAATGTCAGCTAAGTGACTCCATGAGGAGCAGGCACAGTCCCTGGAAACTTCATCCACGTTGGCATAAGGTTGCCCATCTGGAGCTGAAGACACACCTGACTCCAGGCTAGTAGGGAACTCTCTTCTGTGACCCAGGTTCTAATTTAGTTTTTGATTTGGGGTTCTTAGTGCTCATTTTTAACACTTCTCATTCCCATGTACAAGGTGAGGGTTAAAGTTTGACTTAGTTGGGTTGCTCAAAAGCTGTCCCAAGAGAAAAATCTGTGTATAAATGACGTATTAAAGCAATGCTCCCAGCAGAAAGGGGCAATGGAGTTTGGGATGCAGGAAGGAAAGGCAAATTACTCAAGCCGTGCAATTCCAGGCAAAGAACTCTGTGTTTAGCAGCTCACACCATGCACTTGGAGGGAGACAAGGAGGCTGGGCTCTCCTGCAGCTGTGAGAAGGACTCTCAGGACAGCAGCAGTGGGAACAGAGCAGAGTTCAGAGAGCAAACAGGTGATGAGGACCAGAAGGGCCTGGCAGGGTGGCAGCCCATGGGACACAGAGGTTAGACCAGACAGACATGACAGCAGCTGCTGGAGAGAACAAATACAGAAGAAAAAAGCAGTGGGAGAAGGAGCTGTCATCACAGACAGAGAGAAATAAGGAGTGAGTGCAGCTAAGAGCCATAGATGTGATTACCTTCGTACTCTAAGCTTGCAGGCCAGGGAATCTGCAGGCCAGTCTCCACTTGCTGAATGGGAGCTTTCTTTTGGTCATCTTCGGTTTTAGGACACTTGAGGCATGAATGTGGCCAGTGACTTGATGCCCATGTGTGTTGTCAGCTGAGCCTTCAATAGCATCACCTTCCAGCTGGTGAGGGTTCTTCATTCCAAGGGAAGTCTCTAAACCCAGCTCTGAAAATGAAACCACACCCAACAGCATTCACTGTCATCCATGATCTTACTGTGACTTTCTCTTCCACCCAAGAGGATCATCAGAGAAGGAAAGCGGCCTTGAACAAGAAAATCCAAGGGGTAAAGGGAAGCCAAGAAAGACATTTGGGTACTTTCTGTATTGTTGATTTTTCATGCATCACCCAGTAATGACAAGATTGCCAGGAGGAAAAGGTGATCCCAACTGGCAAACATATTCAAAAAATTTAGGATTAATAAACCCAAATAGCTTCCAAGTAGATAAGGCAAAGGCAAGGAAATCACACTGGATACAGGCTGTGTTTTGGGAGGGAGGAGATTCTAAAAATCAAGCAAAATCAACGTTAAATGAACATATGAGAGAAAAGAATTGGGAAGACTAAACATGGGATATTGATGAAATGATCATACAGATAGGTACATTGCATATATCTACATTTTATTAAAAATACATGCAAATATGCATAACGTATATAACAGTGACATAAATGCATATATTTATATATAAAAATCTATTGGAAGAAATTATTACATAGGGATGTGGAAGGTGTTGAATTAACATTATAATCACTAACATTACAATCTAGCCCATTGAAATTGGAAAAAATTTTGGAAAAATAAGACTATTGAGAGAGAGAAGACATGGTGAGAAACAAATGCCCTAGTAGACAGCAGGGAGAAGTCACTAGAGAATGAAACAAAAGGCATTCATTCTTTCCTCCTGCCTGGAGCCTGGTTAGTGCTCTGGACTCCTGGGAAAGCCAGCAGGTGAGAGCGTTGGAGCCAGGTGGGTGAGTCCTGACTGGGGATGTGGGAATCCATGGAGAAGCAAAAGAGACATCAGTGGGAAGAAATCAGTTTAAATACTCGAAGTTATCAGGGCACGTGTCAGGGACTACGCATCCCCCGACACTCACTGAGCGTCTTCCATGTGTCCTCTCCACGGACCCAGAAAGTGCTCGTTACCTCAAGTGACCCTCCTTCCTCCTGAGGACATGGGTCCCTTATTCCTCAGCTGGGGGCATCGCCTGACAGATAAGCACCTGGCAGCCCCAGGGGCTCCAGGAGGAGATATTGAGT
This sequence comes from Homo sapiens, assembly GCF_000001405.40. Lineage (NCBI taxonomy): Eukaryota > Metazoa > Chordata > Mammalia > Primates > Hominidae > Homo > Homo sapiens. The sequence goes on along the minus strand of NC_000001.11, from coordinate 148,233,182 downwards.
GGGACAGAGAGTAAGAATGAACACGACCCAGTAGAGATGGGGTTTCACCATGTTGGCCAGGTTGGTCTTGAACACCTGACCTCAAGTGATCTGCCTGCCTTGGCCTCCCACTGTGCCCAGCTGCAGCTAATTTTTTGTATTTTTAGTAGAGACAGGGTTTCCCTGTGTTGGCCATGATGGTCTTGAACTCCTGGCCTCAAGTGATCTGCTCACCTGGGCCTCCCAGAGTGCTGGGATTACAGGCGTGAGCCACCACACCTGGCCAAGAAACAACCATCTTATTTTGTGCTTTTGTTTGGTCCACCAGATCTATGTTTCTTTTTCTCACCTTTCTTGCCTTTCTTTTGAAATGATTATTTTTTCTTACCATCTATTTTTTTCCTTTTCTGTTGATATGAAAATAATGTACTCTTTTTCTATTCTTTGAGCAGTGGCTCTCTGGCTCTAGAAATCACACAATAGTCACCCTTTCCTTAGCAAAGTCTTTTTTTTCTTTTTAATTTAAAGACAGGGTCTCACTTTGTGGCCCAGACTGGGGTGCAGTGATGCAGTCACAGCTCACTACATCCTCAACTTCCCCAGCTTAAACGATCCTCCTACCTCAGCCTCCCCAGTAGCTGCGACTACAGGCACATACCACCACACCTGGCTAGTTTTGTTTGTTTATTTTTTGTAGCAACGAGGTCTCGCTATATTGCCCAGGCTGGTCTCAGACTTCTAGGCTCAAGCAATCCTCCTGAACCCTGGCCTCCCAAAGTGCTGGGTTTACAGGTGTGAGCTACCATGCCTGGCCTAAAGTCTAATGTTAATCAGTACATTTACTGTCCTTCTGGAATGAGTATAAGGACCTTAGAATAATTTTTTTTTTTTTTTTTTTTTTTTTGTGATGGAGATTTGCTCTTATCCCCCAGGCTGGAGTGCAATGGTGCTATCTCGGCTCATGGCAACCTCCACCTACTAGGTTCAAGCGATTCTCCTGCCTCAGCTTCCCGAGTAGCTGGGATTACAGGTGTGCACCACCACACCCAGCTAATTTTTGTATTTTTAGTAGAGATGGGGGTGAGGTGGGTGGATTACCTGAAGTCAAGAGGTCAGGACCTTAGAATAATTTAACAAAACTTCCCTTTCTCCCTAGTTTCTAGCTGGCAACATGGAGTTGCTATACATTTTAATTCTGTATATTTTAACACTCTGTAAGACATGCATATTACAGCTTTTAAGGTCAATATTTATGTTTACCCATATATTTACCATTTTTAAAATTCTTAATCCTTTCTGTGTCTCTGACCCTTTAGCCTAAGTCAGTTGGTTGTGAATTCTCTCAATTCTTGTTTGTCTGAAAATGCCTGTATTTTACTTTCATGGTTGAAGAATATTTTGCTGGCTATAAAGTTCTATAATAGTTTTTATTTTCTATAAGAACATGGAGAATATATTCCCATTTTTCCTTTGGTTTTTATTTTTGTGCTTTAGAAACTTAAATTAAAATTTTTTTTTCTGGACGCTATAAAGATTTTTTCACTTTTTCTTTTGTTTTCTGCAATATCTCAGGGTGAATCTTGGTGTAGATTTCTTTTTTCTTTATCCTGCATGGAATTCTTAAGTTCTATGAGTCAGTCCTCCAAAATTCTCAGTCATTTAACCATAAAAATTTAAATATTGCCTTTGCTCCATTTCTCTCTCTTGTAAAACTGCAATTAAATATATGTTAGACTTTTTCAAGATGTCCTCCCTCTCTCTTATCCTCTCTGCTATATTTTCTGTTTTTGTCTCTTTGTGCTGTAATATGGAAAGTTTATTCTGACTTATTTTTCTGTTCAATAATTCTTTCTTCAGCTATGTCTAATATGCCCTTAAACTCACTCAATTAATTCATAATTTGTCATTATATTTCCCCTTTTCAAAATTATGTCACTTTTCCCCCTCAGTGTCTTTCTGAAATTTTGAAGCTTTTCTTTTCTTTCTTTCTTTTCCTTTTTTTTTTTCTTTTTTAAGGCTTGGTAGGCATAGTTGTTTTATAGTTGGTATCTAATAATCCCAATATATGACAAACAGTCTTTGTTGGTCTGTTTCTACTATCTTCTTGTTTTAACTGGTTCTTGCTCATGGTACCTTGTTTCCTATGCATTTTGTTTTCTTTGTGTGCTATTCAATGTATTTTAGGAATACTTTGAGACATAAGATGATAGTGCCTCTTACAAGAGAGTATTTTAATTTGTTTCTGCCATGATTCTAGAGATGCTACTAATGCAGGACTATCTTAATCTAAGTTCGAGGCTTCAGGTTCCCTAAAAGAGCCAAATGATGAGAAGCTAGGCTGCAAGTCTTTTGAAGGACTGGTTTAATTCTGGTTTACCCTTACCCTGAAGTGATAACCTTGCTAGGTTCTACCTTACAGTGGCAGGTGGTTTATCTGAGTCTTAAGCTAAGGTGGACCCTGAGCTTTAAGTCTTGTTTCCTCTGCCCTGAAAGACCCCCACCTGCCCTAAGCAAATGCAGTTTCACAGTTATTTCTTCGAGATAAGCAAATCTCATTAGGGCCAAACAGATTTTAATATAGGGGCTTCATTTTTTCTAGCTTTTGACTGGGCAGTTTCTTATTCGATTAACTATTTGGTGCTTTTGGAAGGTGTGGGTTTTCAAAAAATATATTTCCCAATTTCATTTTACTTTTTCTCAGCAGAGGGGTTACTCTGAGATAACTAGTCTACCACTATAGGAAATAATATATATCTATTTTTGTATTTCAGTCTTTAGCACAGTTTTGGTCATTCAATCTTTGTTAAAGAATGATGATATGTGTGGCCATGGGCATTGGAATCAAGTTGTAGAAGCTATGGTTTCTTTCTTCAAGGAACTTATCATTTAATAAGTGAAGAAAAAAATCACAAATAAAACTTAAATAATGACTATATTTTCTTTGTAGAAGTGTAAATTAATATACCTTTTTGGAGAAAAATTTGGCATTGCTTATCAAAATTAAATATACTCTTTGGCTAAATTCCACATCTAATAATTTATCTGATGTATACTCCACACATACTTGGACAGGTGCTTAAAGATGTGTATATGAGTACTTTTTATTGATAACAGCATGTTTGTAATACAAAAGACAAAAAGGTCTAAATATCTATTGAGATGGGACTGATGAAATAAATTGTAATATAATGTAATGAAATAATGTGCGGCCATTAAAAAGAATGAGAGAAGATTAACATGTATTGATAAGGAATAATTTGCATGATATATTCAAGTGAAAACAAAGAAATAAACAAGAAGCTTGATAGGACAGTTGACCCTTGAACAATTGGTCGTTAGGGGCACCTACCCCCTCAACACAGTTGCAAATTTGCATATGACTTTTGACTCCCTCAGAACTTAAAAATCAATAGCCTACTGTGGATTGGAAGCCTTACTGATAACATACACGGTCAATTAACACATACATATTTTGTGTGTTATATGTGTTATATACAATATTCTTAAAGTAAGTTAACATGTTATTAAGAAACCATAACGAAGAGAAAATACATTTACTATTCATTAAGTGGAAGTGGATCATCATAAAGGTTTTCATCCTCATCATCTTTACATTGAATAGGCTGAGGAGGAGGAGGAAGAGGAGGGGTTGGTCTTGTTGTCTTGTGGGTGGCAGAGGTGGAAAAGAATCCATGTATAGGTGGACCCACATAGTTCAAACCCATGTTGTTCAAGGGTCAACTGTATATATAATATGCTGCACACATGCATGCACACATATATACACTTGCTTAGAAGTTCATAGAGCATCTCTGAAAGACTATCAGAGGAACTGCTGACAGTAGTTATAGGCTGGGCACAGTGGCTCACAGGTATAATCCCAGCACTTCGGGAGGCCGAAGTGGGTAGATCACTTGAGCCCAGGAGTTCAAGACCAGCCTGGGCAACATGGTGAAATCCTGTCTCTACAAAAATATACAAAAAATTAGCTGGGCATAGTGGTGCACACCTGTACTCCCAACTATGCAGGAGGCTGACCTGGGAGGATCGCTTGAGTCCAGGAAGTTGAGGCTGCAGTGAGCCACGATCACACCACTGCACTCCAGCCTAGGCAACAGAGTGAAACTCGTCTCAAAAACCAAAACCAAAACAAAACAAAAAGCACAGTGGTCATATCTGAGGAGCACAGTGGTCATATCTGAGGAGAGTAACTGGGACTTGGAGTACAAGAATAGGAAGTAAACTCTTCTCTGGGAGCTTTTGTGTTCTATATTATAGTTTATATTTATTTTTCCCATGTGCATTTTAAAACCATTACGTTAAAATACAAAAAGTGCGAGGACAGTAGTGTATTAGAAGGCATACTATACTGATGGTCAGTTGACCTGAGCTGTAGTTTGTTTTTGTTACGAAGTCCCGTGATCTTTCCAGAACTCAGTGTCCTCTTCTATGAAATGTGGACACTGACCTAGCTGGTCTCAAAGGCCTCTTTCAATTTTAACATTCCCCCATTCCATTGACTAACACAGAGATACTTTTATTGCAGAAGTGCTTCGGTCAGGCAGTATCTTTGAAAATAATTTGGCCAATGAAAGCCCTGGCATTGGATGAAAGTGCTAGCTGCTGGGAATGCTACCCCTCCTTTTGGTTCTCTTTCAAGTCCTTCAGGTATTACACTGTGCTTTCCCTGAGACAATAAACTGAAACAACTGATTTCTTTAGCTTCACAGTTTGAAACTGTGGCTTTTAATATAACCTCACATTTGAAATATTTTAGGCCTGTTTTTCTTTAGGATCGGGTAGGTTTAAATCTCTGACAGATTGACCGAATCTCATTACCCCCTATTATACTATACAATGAAAGCTTATTTCCTAAGTGTTTCCACATTTTATGCTCACATTCACATAGATCTAAGTGGCCGAAACATTTAACTAAATGGACTATTCATACAATCTTATTTCCGGGCTGGTCATCTATGTCAATGATAACAGTAGCATTCATCGCATGGCTATGAATCTGAATCTTTAAAAAAAAAAAGAGAGAGAAAGAATAATTATTTAAATCTAAACTATGCTCAGACTAGTGATTTAAAAGCTTTTTTAATTAAAAAGTAATTTAAGTTCATTTTCAAAGGTTCAAACAATACAGAAGTGTATAAAGTAAGAATTGAAAGTCTCTTCGCTGCTCTAATCTCACTCCTCAGAGGTGATCACTGGTAAGTATGGTATATATCTTTTCAGGTACACATACACACACACACACACACACAAACTTCACTTTTATAATAATGAGATTCTACTGAACATGCTGTTTTACAATTTGTTTTTGTACTCAGCAATATGTTGTTCTTGGGGTACACAGAGCTGTACCTCACTCTTTTTTTTTTTTTTTTTTTTGAGACGGAGTCTCACTTTGTCACCCAGGCTGGAGTGCAGTGGCACAATCTTGGCTCACTGCAAGCTCTGCCTCCCAGGTTCACGCCATTCTCCTGCCTCACCTCAGCCTCACAAGTAGCTGGGACTACAGACGCCCTCCACCACACCCGGCTAATTTTTTCTATTTTTTAGTAGAGACAGGGTTTCACCGTGTTAGCCAGGATGGTCTCAATCTCCTGACCTCATGATCCGCCCGCCTCGGCCTCACAAAGTGTTGGGATTACAGGCGTGAGCCACCGCGCCCAGCCTACCTCATTCTTTAAAGGGCTATAAACTATTCAATCACGCTGATGAACTAGCATTTATTTGCATATTTTCTCAGTGTTGGACCTCTAGAGTTAGTTTCCATTTATATGTTGTGAGAAACCATGTTGTATTGAACTTAGACATTTGGCTAGAAGTTTTATAGAATGTTTTCCTTGAATTAGGGTTCTAGGCACTTCCTATATGCTAGGCACCAGTGTAAACACTTTACAAATATCAACTTTTAAAATTCCCATGACAACCCCATGAGTTATAGATACTATTATTATCTCAGTTTTGCAGATGATAAACTTAGGCTCAGAGAGGTTAAGCAACTTGTTTGAGATCTCATGGTTCTAATTGGTAGAGCCAGGATTGGAATCCAGGATCTCTGAATCCAGAGTCTGTCCTTAACTCATATGCATTCTGCTTCCTCATAGGATAGGTATATTTGGAATCTTGATAGATACTGCCAAGTTGTCCCTGAAAAAGGTTCTATCAATTTATATTTCCACAAACTGTATTTGAGTGTTCACCCATTTTCCTATTTCATTACCAAACCCTATGTTCTCACTTTTAAATTTTTTTGCCAATTTGTGGTTGGAAAAATAGTATCAAATTATTGTTTTAACTTACAATTAATGCACCATTAACATTTATAATACTTAGCTTTTATTAGACCTGTACTACAATAAAATACATAAAAGAATTCTTCATCATTTCCAGATTATCATCCCAGAGCCCTCCCTGAAGCCCACACACAGCTTCTTCAGGAAATGCTGACAGCATGGTATACACATGGCTTCCATGTTTGTCATGGTTCCAAAGTTTGCTTTTGAAAGAGTTTAATTTCTTTCTTTCTTTCTTTCTTTCTTTCCTTTATTGGCTAAACTCCCCCCACAGGACCTGAGTGAGCAGAAGGCTTTTCAGAATTACAGCCTGAACTATTTCTTGAGCAATTTGGGAACTCATTTCTAAAGCAGTCCTCAGATTCACACAACGTAGTTTGTGACGGAGTATGCCCAGAGCAGGTAGGAAAGGCAAAACAGCATTTTGACACTGAGGGATTTAGCAGAAAGATCTGACCCAACAAGTAAAAACTCTTTTAAAGGTTCAGTCAAATTTATTCTCATCACACTCCTCTGGAATGCCCAACAGGCACATGTTTTGTCAATGAAAATTGTTTTCAATCTCATTGATGTTTTGTTTGGCAAGAACCATTTCTTTCAACAATTTCTTATTAATCATCTATAATTTTTCACTTCTGACAGTGTTATCACCAGTGCTTTCAGTAACTGCATACTTATAAAACAGCCAAACTTCAACCTGTGTTCAGTTTTTATCTGTTTCTTGGGAATGTAATTTGGACAAAAAAGTTACCAATGTATTTACAACCAAATTTCAGATCTTCAACATTACAGAGGGTAAGAAATGTGAACACAATGGAATTCTTCTATCATCCTTATTTTGTGAGATCTAATTAGTGTATACTCACCTTCCCAGTAATGTCATGTTAGCTTTCTCCCTGTCTTTGTGGCTTGTAGATTTCTGTCTCCAGGGGCATGGTTTGCATTGTGGTGATCCAGATATGGATAAGGCAACATCCAGTGTCTTAATAGGGTCCTGCCTTCCAAACAAATAATTCACTGTGGCTCTAAGATTGTGTCTTTCTGCATATGCCAACTGAAGCTGTTTTAGCCAAACTACCTTCTACATAGGCCTAGTGAAAATACCTTCAGGGCTAGATGAAGGTGTTTGGCATGCTTTTTCTTCCATGGTGGGGGCAACATTGGGCAGTGCTGCCTTCCTGGCTGTGAGCAGCTTGTGGGTCCCCAGGGACCATTTCACTGGACTTCAGCTTAAACATTGTTTATACATGGCCATCGATTTCCTTTACCAAGAGCTGCCAATCCAATGGCATTAGCCACACCTGCCATGCACTTCCACCCCTCCTCAACCAGGTGGTAAGCACAGGAGACGAACTGGTGTTAGGAGAAAAAGCCATACCGATGGTCCAGTGCAGTGGGATAGCCAGGAAACTTGTTAGAAATTCAATTCCCTGGCCCCACCCTACATCTCTGGGTGATTTGGATATAGGCCATAACATTTGAGAACTGCTGCTCTGGCTTAATACATCAGAATCTTCCACTTTATTATTTTATTTCCATATTTGTATATTCCTCTCTTCCCCTTTGACATTTTCTGTCATGGTTTTGCTTTCTAAATGTCTTTAAGCTGTCTTGTTGATGGGGGTGCACCCTGACGAATGGTGTGCTGGCAAAGATTTAACAAAAGGCTCCAGAGGAGGGCAGACTTGAAGTGGAGCCTTCAGTGGGCAGTGTGAAGGGTGCTGATTTCAAACAACTCATCTGGTATGACTGAACATGAAGTTGGGAAGAGATGTGCATAATTGAAGTGGGTGAGAGCCAGTCCAGCACCCTGCAGAGAGGTAACAATAATTTTGTAGGTACTTCCTCAAATTTAACTCAATGGAGGTTTAGATTGGGTTTAGATTGAGTCATTAGTTGCAGGTCATTTGTTGAATCATTGAATACTTTTGGTTGTTAAGGTGACTGAAATACTCAGTTGATGTCCTTTAAGATCACTGAAAATATTTAAAATCAGCTTACATATGGTATTTTGGAAATGCCACATACGTAATGGATTAAAACCCACAACTATATTTGCTGCCTTTCCTATGCATGTCCTGTCAAAATTATTTTTTGGTGGACTATAAGCCCTAAAACAACATGGACCTTGTTTTCCTCTCCATTATATTCTCATTACTTATACTCAGCATTGTTTAAAAAAAAGTTTGTTGATGTAATAAATGTGCAGTTGATATAATAATGTAATAAATGTATACTGCCATAACAAACTACGACAGACTAGGTGGCTTAAACAACATTTATTTCCTCACAACTTTGGAGGCTAGAAGTCCAAGATCAAGGTGTCTGCAGGTTTGGTTTCCTCTGGGGCATTTCCCCTTGGCTTGTGGATGGCCATCTTCCACCTGGGTCTTCACAGTCTTCCCTTTGTACATGTTTGTGTCCAAATTTCCTCTTCTTATAAGGACATCAGTTGTATTAGTCTGTTCTCACACTGCTAATAACGACATACCTGAGACTGGGTAATTTATAAAGGAAAGAGGTTCAATGGACTCACAGTTCCACATGGCTGGGGAGGCCTCAAATCATGTCAGAGCGCAAGGAAGAGCAAAGTCATGTCTTACATGGATGGCAGCAGGCAAGAGAAGATAATGAGAGCCAAGCAAAAGGGGTTTCCCCTTATAAAACTATCAAATCCTGTGAGACTTATTCACTACCACAAGAACAGTATGAGGGCCAGGCATGGTGGTTCATGCCTATAATCCCAACATTTTGGGAGGTAGAGACGTGTGGATCACTTGAGGTCAGGAGTTCAAGACCAGCCTGGCCAACATAGTGGAACTCCATCTCTACAAAAACACAAAAATTACCTGGGTGTGGTGGCACGTGCATGTAATCCCTGCTACTTGGGAGGCTGAGGCAGGAGAATTGCTTGAACCCGGGAGGTGGAGGTTGCAGCCAGCTAAGATTGCACCACTGCAGTCCAGCCTGGGAGGCAGAGTGAGACTCCATCTCAAAAAAACAAAACAAAACAAAAAAGAATGGTATGAGGTAAACCACCTCCATAATTCAATTATCTCTCACCAGGTCCCTCCCACAACATGTGGGAATTATGGGAGCTACAATTCAAGATGAGATTTGGGTGGATATACAGCCAAACCATATCACCAGTCATATTGGATTAGGGCCCACCTGAATAACCTCCTCTTAATTTATTACTTCTTTAAAGACTTTATCTCCTCATACAGTTATATTCTCAGGCACTGGGCGTTAGGACTTCAACATATGAATCTAGGGGAGAGGGGAGATATAATTCAGCCCATTACAGTAATGATCAAAACTTCTATATTTTAAGGTTCTAATTGCATAAGGAAAAAACAAAACATCAATTGTGAATTACAAGTATATTACACATATACATTTATGTTTACCTCGATATTATAACTTGTATTGATACAGCCTTATCTAAGAAGTGACAAACTAATATTTTATAAATTGCAAAAGTATCTCTCCCACCTCTCCCCTCATCTCATACTGCCTTATTTTTGTTGCATGAGGTTTTTTTCCTGCCAAATGAGTTAGAAGAGTGGAAGAGATGGAAATGTAGTTTGCATATACAGAAAAATTAGGTATTGAAACGTATGTACACATACTATATATATAACATATACGTATCTTGTGCTGTAAGAATAAAGTGTGGGCAATTTATCCTAGCACATACTTTCACTGTAAGGAAAATATCATTGGGGAGATTCAACTGCAAAAGTCTGATCTCACATTTCTGAGATTATTTTTTGATCTGATGACTATGAGAACAACACAAAAGTTCAAAGTGTGGAAAGTTTATAGAGCCTTTGGGGTGTCATTTTCTTGGGAAGGAGTAGGCTCCAAAGAAGCTAGAACTTTCTGGGTTGAGACATAACTCCTCTGTAGTCTTCACGCTGACCAACTATGAAGAGGGCATCACGACACCTGACTTCTGGCCAGCTTCTTGTTTTTTCCTTATTAACACTCTGTCATCTTAAATCCTGTGGTGACGTAAGTGAATCATTACACAACACTTTGATTTTGATTTTACACTACAGGTTTTTTGTTTGTTTGTTTTTAGGGTAGGTGTAATTTTTTTGTTTCTTGTTGGGATTACTATCAGATTTTTAAAAATTATTTATTTTATAGCTTTTTAAGTTGGGGTTCTCTTTTGATCAGTCAGCTTTCCTTTAGAGATCCCCAGAATAATTTCAACATGCCTTGAGGGCATATGTTCTTATAATATAATAGCATGACTAAGTGGTTATTGGCCACCAACCTAGCACAGTGAGGCATGCTGTTATTACACAATTACACACATCCTGGTGTGTGTCTTATTATGTAATTGTAATTCAAAGATGCTGCTGAAAGCAATTACATAAGTCCTGTTCATTTCACAGAGAATCGAAAGGGCAGAAGTAAAGCAGAGTCAAGCTCCTAGGCATTGAGGGCAGTCATTCTTTCTTTACTTATTTTTGAGACAGGGTCTCACTCTGTCACCCAGGCTAAAGTGCAATGGTGCAATCTCAGGTCACTGCAACCTCCACCCTTGGGGCTCAGGTGATCCTCCCACCTCAGCCTCCCAAGTAGCTGGGGCCACAGGCACGCACCACCATGCCCAGCTTTTTTTTTTTTTTTGTATTGTTGGTAAAGATGGGGTTTTACCATGTTGCCCAGTCTGGTCTTGAACTCCTGAGTTCAAGGAATCTGCCTGCCTCAGCCTTCCAAAGTCCTGGGATTACAGATGTGACCAACTGCACCTGGCTGGGCAGCCGTTCTTTAGATGGTATGTCACATCTCTTGATAGAAGATTAGGTGACCATTCTCAGGGCATTGAATTGGCACATTTTGACCTTCTTATCCAACATTTCTTTTTTTCCCAGACAGCAAGCAACAATAGCAGCACCGTAATTTGTCGTTTTATATTTACTTTTAAGGTTTTCAATAAAGTAAAATGGAGTGATACAGTGATGATATTCTCTGCCTCTCTAGTCGGACTTTGAATTTTTATTCTGTGTGTCCAGGGGTATGACACATCTTGAATTCCAGGAGGACTTTGAATTTTTATTCTGTGTGTCCAGGGGTGTGACATATCTTGAGCAAATAAAATAAAGCTTACCTACTCCAAGTATAATAGAAACCTAGAAGACAGGGCAAGGAGAGTTGCTTCTATTACTCAGTGTAGCTCTCGGAGTCAGATAGCAAGGACCACTGGTTATACACATTGGGATTCCCTACTGTCAGACTATCCCTTAAGGTTCTCTTCTGATGAAGGTTTTTGCATAGGTGTGCACTTCTGCAGAGGGGCTGGAAACTCCGCCAGGTAGAGTAGGAATTTTTCAACCTGCTCTATGGTTGTCCAGTTGAGGATGTGTTTGTGTGGTTTCTAAAACACATCGAGGAGCCATATAACAGGAGCCAATACTCATTTTTTTTTTGAATGAATGACTTGAGAAAGCAAGCTGCTTCCTCTTTTCTCTTTTTCCAATTTCTCCTCAAATCCCAAAGGATCTTTGAATATCACTGAGTTACTTGACAGGTTAGTGTCCAGTGAATTTACAAGAATTTGGTTTGGAAAGAGCAGGCTGTCTTCCTATGTGATAAGGAGTCCCTAGATAGCAGTGCCTTCTCTTGAGAATGCAGCTAAGCACACTCACAATTGTGCCTCTGTGCAGGGGATATCCCAAGTGGCCAAAAAGAGAAAGCAAAGCATGGAACCAGCTATTGAGTCTGTAATTTTATTGTGAAAACTTGGTACCAGTGTGATGGTAGATCATAAGTTTCTTGAGGACAAGGAGTGTGTCATTAATTTTGTGTCTCCAAGGCCAAGCCCAGGATTTGATGTATAGGAGATCTTTAAAACATGGTCCCTGCAATGGTTAATTTTATGTGCGACTTGGCTAGGCCCTGGTACCCAGATATTTGGTCAAAGATGTCTGGATATTGCTGCAAAGGTATTTTTTAGAAGAGATTAACATTTAAATCATAGACTGAGTAAAGCAGCTTAGCCTCTGTGATGGTTAATTTTATGTGCCATAATGTGAATGGACCTCATCCAATCAGTTGAAGGTCATAAGGAAAAGGCTGATCTCCACTGAGGAAGAGGAAATTCTGCCAGCAGACTGCCTTTGGACTCAAACTGCAACATCAGCTCTTCCCTGAGTCTCCAGCCTGCCCACCTAACCTGCAGATTTTGGACTTACCAGCCTCCATGATTGCATGAGCCAATTCTTTATGAATGAATGAATGAATGAATGTCTTCAACATCTTTGCTTTACTCTGATGCTCTCCCCTACCCCCACAATTCCAGTGAAGTGAGGAAAACTATTTTGCCAAGCCAAAACTTTGGATCTTTGCCCTAAAATCCCAGAGTCTTCCCTTTAAATAGAGAGTGAAAGCCCTGATACTGACAAGGATAAGACAGGGGAAAGATAATTTGGTGGGGGGGTGTTGAGGGAGGAGAAGAATTCACCAACTCCCCTCAAAATCTCTGATTTCATATTTACTGTTAATATCCAATGTAAAAACAGTTGGCTTGATTTAAATGTCTTTGTTGGTTTCCCAAGCCCCATCACCACCACCACCACCGGCTCACCCTGCCAAGGCCTGAGATGCTGAAGACCACTTTTCAGCCTGATGTAATTTCTAACAGCTGAGATACTAAACACTGAAAAATGGGGTTTATAATGGAAATGCTGACAGACTATTAACTATAGCAGCACTGCTCTAATAAGTGGAATGGCCTATCTTAATCTCTAGTTCATAAATATGCAAATACAAGACTGGAGATTTGCTCCAAAAAATGTCTCTATAATTTTAACTGACCTTTACTGATACCAAATGAGCCTGTTGCTTCAGTTTTTGTACGCTGGATATAAAGTACAGGAGATCCAGACGCCTGTCGGCCTAAAGTATATAAAGTTTAAACTGCCAGCTACTAAACTCTGGGCTCAGATTCCATTTCTCTTCACATTCACAGTCTTTATTGACATTTTCATTTTTTTTTCCCCAGGGGGTGTAAGCCGAGTCGGGGCGGGGCGGGGGGAACAAACCTTGTTCATCCCCCTTCCCCCACGACATTACTTCCACATTCACAGCGCCTGCCCAGCCAAAATTCATGGATCGCCTCAAGGACAAACAGGCCATCTACACTGAATTATAAATTTGAGTTTTATCCAGTTTTCTGCCTTTGGACCAAATGGGCAGCAAATCCAGTGACTTCATATTTAATAACCTAGATGTCATTTGTACTGTGTCTTTCAGCACAGAGTAAAGAATTGGATGGCTAGCAGTTTTGCAGATTTTTCCCCCTAATTATTTGAAGCTGTTCAGCCTGGTATTCGAACTATTGATGCAGAGCCAAATTGCCAGCAGGGGAGAGATCTGTCCAACCCAGGAGCTAAATGAGTCACTGAGAGTCAATCTGTTTTTCCCTTGCTGCTGGGGTTTCCTCTGGCCCTGGCCTCTCTGTCTCTCTGCTCCAGTCAGACACAGAGCTGCGGGCTCAGCCCTCATTGGCTCCTATCGCCTCCCATTCCCCTCCTCAGCCCTGCTTGCTGCAGCTGTTGATGGGGTCTGACTGGCTGGCTGCGGAGATTCAGGGCCTCAATGACACCATAGTTGAGGCCTTGCTTTGACAGAAAATGAAGACATCTTTGCCTTGTTGCATTTGCTTCTCCAGTAATACATCAGGTATCTGGAGAGTAAGGCCCACAAGCAGAGTGTGTTGTTGGGGTGCGATGCCAGTTCATCAATTCCCGACGTCCAGTTTTCAGAGTGCTCTTCTACTTTTCCTAAGTCCAAATGGAGTCCTTGGTGCCAGAATCCTGCATGTGGTCATAAAATAACAAAAATAAAGGTCTGTGGATGTGCTGGAGGTAGTGGCAGGGCAGAATGCCACCAACATAAGCCAGGCTTGCTGGAGTGGTCACTCTTCAAGCATTGGAGAAAAATTCACAGTGCTTCTAATAACATATTTTTTTTTCCAGTAGAAACATTTTATTTCTAACAACATTTACTTAAAAACAAAATTCTTGTATTCTTCATGTAGGGTCAGTATTCAATTGCACAAAAATATGCAGCCAACTTAAGAACTATATATAAGATTAAGACACCTGGTATTTCATGGTAAATGATTAAATTAACTAACACAGTTATATCCTGAACTTTGCCATTAGGAATGACAATTTTGTTCGATATGCATTGAGGATTGTGGGTAATCTAAACTGGTATGAGCTTTTTCTCTTTGAAACTCAAACAGAATTAAGGAACAGCATTCTCTGCAAACAGAATATGGAGTTTGAGAACAGCCACAAAAAATTCTCTTGTAGTAAGCTGAACTGCCCTAGGAGTACTCAGGAATTAGACAACTCAGGAATTAGAGAATTAGAGAACTGGAGAAATGAGGGGGCGTGGATAGTAGGGAGAGAAAAATTGATTAATTGATTTACTATATTTTTCAAATAGAAGTATCTGGGAAAATAAGACAAAACAAGCAGAGTTGTTTCTTTTTCACAGTGAAGCCCCAGAGGGGTGAAAGCTTTGTTCTCCCTGGGTAGCAAGCTCTTTTTTCACATTTCCGACTGCATATTCCATATTTATGATGATTTTTGGTCTCTCTGTTCCTGGCTTGCTAGGTGGCAAGGGCAGTTAGAGAAAAAAGGCAGATTTATGAAACACAGAAAAATTTCTGACTGAAATCAGGCTTGGATTTGTGAATCACTGTTTTTTCCCCCTGTGGTCACTCCTGTGATGAGGTCAACTGCTTCAATCCTTTAGGTTTTGTAGACAGGTTTCCGGATTCCAGGAGTCCCAGAAGGTCCAGGGAGCGCTCCCCACATTTTAGCCAGAAGTAATTAACTAAAACATAAAGGCCCCACTTTCTCTTTTCACACTTTGAGCCACAGATCATCTAATTCCTAGCTTGAGACATCAGATTTCAGATCATTAGTGCAAAGCATCTTCCACAGGAGGCAATAAAATGTCACTTTATGTAACTCAGCTACAGTTACACTGCCTTCAGAAAGCAGGAATCTCCCTGAAAACAAATTTACATGAAAACAGTCCCATTGTTTGAGAATTTATGCAAATGTTGCACAAAGGGGTTTGATAGTGATTTTAAAAACTTAAATCTTTATCACTGCCTCAAAGATATCCTGAGAAACTTGGTTACCTCTAAAGAATTCCATTGCACTTATTTTTTAAAATGCCTATAATATAGAGTTGTTTTAAAAATTTTCCCTAAACTCTAAACTTCTTTCTCAGCTTCAAAGCCTTCCGTAATGAATATCCTAAAGAGAGCCTAGTGCATATTGGTTTAACACTTACTAGGATCACTCATTACTAGTTAAGAAAATTGAAGATAACAACCATAGCACCAAGTATTTTGAACAACATAAAATGTTTCTCCCGTGGGTGTAGCTCTTAGGGACCGCATGGGGATACACACCCCTCAGTGCTCAATCAGCAAAAGATGAAGCTGTAAGTGTCTCAATCCATGTTGATTGACTCTGAACTCCCCAGTGTTAGGAATCTGGATGTGTCCATTACTGCATGTTCAAACAATGAACTGCCTGCACCAGAAATCTGATTTCTGTAGAAAGACATTAAGGGGCTGGGTGAGGAATAGGGTGTCAACCAAACGTTGTGATATTTTCCTTTGATTTTCACTTTCTTTAAATTCTTTTCCATTTACTACCTAGTGACTGTCTGGCATTGGTACCCTCAGTTTCTTTTCTTCTGCTTTTCCTCCTAATTCAGTGTGGAAGATGATCAAAGTATGACATTTCTTCTACCCCAGAGGCTGGCATTTCTGCAGGCACAAATGAGCTTGGTTTTCAAGCACTGCTCTTTGAACACAAGGAATTCCTTTAATGATCACGCCGGACTATATAGACTTTGGAATCAGACTCTTTGAATTCCAGCTCTGCCATTTACCAACTTTGACACTTTGGGTAAGTCCTTTTAACCTCTTTAAGCCTCAGTTTCCTTTTCTGCAAACAGGAATAATGATAACTAACAATAATAATAATAATCCTTTCTCATTGATTAAAAATAAACTGAGCTGCAACTGCTATTCGTATGCTCTCAACATATGTGTGTGTGAGTATATATTTATTTTATATAGGTACCAATATACTATATACAGTATGATGTAAATAATAAAATGCAAAAAAGTAAACTAAATAATAAGGTTACAAAATAAACAAAAACAAATAATTTAATATTTTCTTTTTATCCTGCACAAATACTGGGAGCATTACTTCCACTTTCAATAACCTTAATGCATGTAGTGTGTTTAGCAGGCTGCATAGCACAAAGTAGTACTCAGGATATGTTAGGTTATTACTTATGTTCATGCCTAAGGAAAAGTTTAATTGGCGAAACTTCAGTCATTCCTGCAATGGAGAACATTCTGTTTCCTTTGGCTTCTTTTTTGACGTGACTTTGCTCTTATATAAGCAGCAGAGAATGGCTGAGTTGTAAGTCAAACTCTTCCAACATGGAAGAAACTTATTGCACAGTTCTGGTCAGCATTTTTTTTCTGCTCAGGTGTGCTCTACATTCACAATTATTTTCCACAAGGTTTCCTGTTTGAAGGAGGATTGGTGACTTCCCTTCCTTCAGACAAGCAATGATAACACAGTTGTGTTCCCTTGTGTGAGTCTGGGGTGACGTTGGCTCCTTGAGAAATGAAAACTTTATCATAAGAATCTGTGAAAATGGGGAAAATGGGAAAAGGAGGACAGATTCAAAATTGGAGGAAAACAGGAAAATCTCTCTTCATCTTTTCTAATTGTTCTTTTAATGAAATCAGTACTGCCCTTTGGCATTAATGATCGTATGCGAAAGGTAAGACACATTGATTTTGGATTTTATTGTTGTAGCATGGAGTATAAGTCTAGATATTTGTATAAATATTCTTGGTAGTGATGCTTCTAATTTCACACTCATTTATTTGTTATTCCTAAGCATTGGTATATATGCTTAGCATTTACATCTATGTCAGGCCCTGTGCTACTTTGAGTGTGAATTTATCTTCTGAACAAAGAGAAGCAAACCAAGGGAAATCCGGAAGCAAATCTAGCAAATCAGAAGCAAATCTTGCAAATGAGGAACACAAGATTTGCTAGAAAATTTAATGTGAACCAAGTAGTGATTGACCTTACATTTAAAAATTAGTATCAACCTTTCTTCTTGGAAGATCATTTCTTTTTTCTTTTCTTTTCTTTTCTTTTTTTTTTTTTTTTTGGACAGGGTCTTGCCCTATTGCCCAAGCTGGAGTGCAGTGGTGCCATCATAGCTCACAGCAGCCTCAACCACCTGGGCTCAAGTGACCTTCCCACCTCAGCCTCCTGAGTAGCTGGTACTACAGGCACATGCCACTATGCCCTCCTAATTTTTAAATTTTATTATCTTCTGTAGAGATGGGATCTCACTATGTTGCCCAAGCTGGTCTTGAACTCTTGGGCTCAAGTGATCCTCTCATCTTGGCCTCTCAAAGTGTTGGGATTACAGGCATGAGCCACCATACCAGGCCTTGGAAATTCTTTTATAACCTAAAATGTAAAAGCTTGGCAAAAATCTTAAAATATTTTTAAAAATCAAGGAATTAAAGGCAGAATAGAAATTTGCATTAATCTTGAGAAAAGTACTCAGTAAGTGCTCAGTAAGTATTTTAATTATGTTTTGGTTATTCTGGATCCACCGGGTGTCCAGGCTTAGAGATTTCCTTTATGTTCAGCCTTTTCTGTTGGCTTCACTCTTCTTGAAGCATAAAATCTTAATGTAGGCAATGGTGATGTGAGTGTGTTTGCATACTTTTTTTGTTCTTCTCTTGTTTCTGCACACAGAAAAGACCACATTTCCTGGTACTTAGGGGACTTGTGACTTGCACTAGCTAATGGGCTATAAACTGAAGTGGGACAATGTACATTCTGGGCCTAGGCATAGAAGAATGCTATGAGGTCCTCTTTGTCTTCTACAGTAGGGACATGACCAGATGGTGTAATCACCTTCAGCCTGGGTCCCTGAGGAACTACCTGGAGTTGCTCCTGGTGCCTGAGTAGCCCTAGGAGCAGAGCATCTCACTAACTTGTGATGAGCATGTAGTGAAACAAAATAGAAACCTTTGTTTTGATGATCCACTGGGATTTTAGGGTTAATTTGTTACCTCAGCATAATCCGGTCTATCCTGAGAGTTGCGGGGTTTTTAGTTTTTATGTTTTTATTTTTCCTAGAAAAAGCAGAGATGTCTAGATCTTTCTCTAAAAATGTTCTACTCTGAGAAATTGTGAGCAAAGTACCACGATTTAAAGCCATCAGGGGACTGAAGTGAGACCAACTTATGAAAAGATCAAGCAAAAGGACTCAAATATTTGAAATAAACATACACGTCCTGCTGGTCAAGTGTGCACATTGGAGAGTCAGCACTGTGTAGTGATTCTTTAAGGGATTCATCTAGGGAATTTGAATTGTGACAAGACTTTAACTTCATGAAAGATGAGGAAGAGTGCCCATTCAGGCTTTTAAAAGTGAGAAATAAAGGGTGACTTTTTAGTATGAGGTTTTCAGAACTTGAAAATAAAGAATTTGTACCACAAATATCTCTAGGAATGATGATCACTTAGGTCTCTGAGAAAAAGATCCACAAGAGTGAACCACAATTGGAAGCAAACAGAACTTATCAACACAGGAAAGTCCAGAGGGAAAATAACATTTTGGGTAAGAGCTCTCAAGTGTGTATCGAAGAGCTCCTAGTGTAACATTTTTCGTCATTGAGCTAATCTGGCATTATATAGGATGAAATCATTTTCTTAAATTGCTAACTAAGAGATGTCATGGAATAAAGCCCCTATGAGTAGAGTGGATATAATCAATATTCTAAGTTTGAAAGATAGTGACATTTCTGATTCCCCTAGCAGCCTGGAAGTGGTGGTTGCATGGCAGGCTCTAAGGCTGACTTGTTGACCTGTGAGGCTCTTTAAAATGTACTTTTAAGGCTGCTTTCTCCCTAATCTTAAACACTTGACCTTTGAGTCTGATATTCTTCAGTATTATTAGATTAGATGATTAGTTATTAAATATACTGTCTCCAGCAAATAGGTAATTGTGTAATGCAATGGCCCTCAGCCTTTCCAGGCCATGTTCCCAAGACATTTAGAGTTAGAACACTGAGTCCTTTTGTAGTAGGAATCTTTAACCCTTTCTGTGGGTCGAAGAACGTACAGGGGTTTCCCTAGGTCTCAAAATCAGCTGACTGACGAAGGGCAGTAAAAAATGTAGAGTGTCACATGTTTTTGAGAGCCATAAAATTCAAAGATCACAGAACTTTTATCACATTTATGCCCACATAAGACTGAGTAATACATACACCAAGATTTTCCCTGTGACAAGCTGGGTGTGATGAACAAATCTAGGTCCTTCCCAGGCTTTATGTTGGGAGTTTGAGAAAAGCTTAAGCACTGTTTTGCAACCAAAAGCATGCAGGTGTTAAAGTTTTAAATGTCTCTATTGCTTCTTGCCAAATTTTGCCTGGCATGAAGGGTTGGGGATGGAGAGGGGACGAAGAATAGAGGGAGGGACAGGATCTAGCATATTTTGATTCCTTAATATATGCAAAGCACAGTGCTAGGCATTTTACATATACAGATTCATTTAATCGTCCCCTAAATAGAAATAAAGTTTGTGTTATTAGTCCTCATTTTGCATTTAAGGAGCCTGAGGCTCAGAAAAGATAAAGTTGCCTAAGTCCAAACAGCCAGTAATTGAATTAGAATTTGAACTTGAGTTTGAAGTTCTTATTCTTTCCAATGTCTCACAATGTCTTTATTTTATTAAGTGCCTACTACATATAGATAAGGTGTTACTCATGTTGGCAGAAAAGGTAAGATGGTCAGGAAAATCTAGGAATGAATTATCCATGTCCTGTTTTTTAATTCAGTGTTTTTGGTAGCACAGTGTAAGGAACACAAAAGTACTGAGACACAATGATCTCTCCTTAAATTCGAAGCCGTAACCTATTTGAGAAGGCAAAGCATCATGTATCAAAGAATTCCTAAATTGGATGCTATGAATAAGTCCAAAAGTTCCCAGAGGTAGAGTAGAATACCTCTGATCTTGTAAAATAGCCAAGATTTGGATAGAAAGGGCATTTCAGGTACACGGCATGGGAAGCCATGAACTGAGGAGTGATGGTTTTGCAGAAAGACCAGCCTGGCTGGGGAGGAGGAGCTGACTGCTCTGATTACCTTCCCCTGCCCTGGTCTAGACTGGTCCTCTGTGCTCCTCTCTCATTGCCTTTATCACACCCAGATAATTAACCACATGTGATGTATGTGCATCCATCTTCCCCTGTGAACTCCTTGGGAATAGGGGCTGCCACCTATTCACCTTCTTATTCTCAGTGCTTAAAGCAGTCCATAAAGCCCATTAGGTGCTCCATAAATAATTGTGAAGTAGATGGATGGAAAGATGGATTTAGATGAAAGGATGAATAGTGGATGATACATTTAGAACAAAAAAGGGAACCAAATTGACACAGAGGCAGGAAAAATGTTGAGCCAGATATGACAGTAAAAAGTTCTTGACTGAGTGTGTAAACAAATACAAATAGTATTTATGAGTGGGTTAGAATGATGAAAGACTAGGAGAACTGAGGTGATTAGAGCATGCATCAGTGAAAGTGAGAATGAGGAAGAATGAGGAATTGAAGTCAGAGAGTAGGGAGCAACCATGGGCTTTGGTTAGAGCTCTGATGGAAGGGAGAGGAGAGAATGGGCATCCTCTAGGAAGAAATGTGGGGTGCAGGGAAAAGGATATTGTTTTAGGAAATAATGAGGACACTTCTAGACACATTGAAAAATTGTAAAATGAGCTTAAATGATGATACTGAGCATTAAGTGCTAAGAGGGGCATTCAGGGTGACTTTAAGTATTTTGGAAAATATATGGAAAGAGGCTGGGAGTAGAGATGTGGATGGCTGGACAGAGTCAAGATTCTACCTGTTGCAGTCAGAGTCCAGATGTGTCTAGGGGTGAATGATTGCCTCACCAACTCCTGGAGATTATGGATTCTCCCTGGAAGCCACAGGAAGTTTGAGGTATGAAATGATCCATGTGACTTAATTCACCATGAGATTTCCTAAGGCCTTGGTGTGGGATTTCAATCTCCCATTAATCAAATTAAATTAATTTTTGAAGCCTCTTGACTGATGGTGAGTGAATCCCAGACAAAGGCATCCCAGTGGGCTACCAGTGCCTCAGATTTCTACCCTGCTTGACTTGACCGCGTGTGCGTGCACACACACACACACACAATTAAGGTTAGGGTTGGAACAAAGAGAAAGGCACACACAACACATACATTTCTAGCCATTCTGAATTTCTAGCAGTTCTAGATGGTCTTAGGTCAGCAAAGGATTCTTGCACTCAACATTCAGCCAAAACAAGGCTAGTGTTCTTATCATAGCACACCCCACCCGCATAGAGACAAGAAACATTAGCTAAAGGATGTTCAACTCTCCTAAAACCACGAGCCAAGCCCAAATCATGACTCAGAAATCCAGACCTCAGTCATTTCTCCTGCTCATGAAGGCATTCCTTTTTTGAACTGGAAACAAACTCATAAATAAACATCTCCTTCCTCAGTGCCCCCAAACAACTTGATGGACAGAGAACTCTGCATTTTATAGGAAATGTTTGCAGATTTTTATGGTAAGTTTCCAAAAATAAAAGCACAAACATTTCTCCTCACATATATTTGTTAAGATAGTTACTGGTCCAAGTAGGAATACATATCATCCTGAAGGTAGAGAATGCACCAGGATCAGATCTTACCCATTTTCATAAACACCATGGAGCATAGTTAGCTCAGAATCCTACAGAGTCCACTTGGCTCAGACCCACACTGGTGCTTCAGGATAGTTTAACGTTTGGGGAACAGGTTCCCTTACTGACACATAGCATAATTAGGCATAATGTCTTAAGCGAACATATTAGCTCGGGCTTTTAACAGTGTGCAAGCCTCAGCTTCCGCAATAACAACCTAATCTTGTGTGGGAGCCATCTCAGGCTTCACTTGAACACAGGCACTGTTGTCCACCCACAGATAAAGCTTGGAATGGTTTTATTTATATCGTCCTTGTTAGTCATGCAATCTGTGCGCAAACAAAACAACATTATTCTTATCTCTTTGGAAAGTTTAATTCATTAGCAATTAAAAACTGGTGCAGAAGAATGGCCAGGCACCTGGAAAAGGCTCTTCCTAGCACAGCACACCCCGAAAGAGCAGTTTGTGGGAGCAACTTTCACCAATAACAACACAGTGACATTTGCTGAATTGTTGCACAGCCTTGTTTTTGATAAATAGTTTAGCCATGTAAGGATTATGCCACGGTAATTAAATAAGATAATGTAGCCAACAATCTCTTCAAAAGTACCTCGTTGAAACTTGCTGTTCTCAGGCCCTCGCCAGAGCCTGTTCCTGCTGTCTGCTCCCTGCCCACTCTCTTGTCTGGCTTGTTTTTAGGGGAGGTTGCGTCTGGGTCAGGTTCCTGTTGTTGTGACAAAGGCTTCTTAGTAGGAGGAATGCCTTGGCCCTAGAAGCTGGTTAAGGTCTACAGATTGAGTGAGTCCTATTTGGAACAGGGATGGGCCTTACAGTATTCTTTGCCATCTTAAGGTCAGGGAACTTAAGAATAGCAAACCTGGACTACTCTGTCAAAAGGTCATGCTCAGTCGGGCCTGACGGGGTGCTCCTGTAGTCCCAGCTACTCCGTAGGCTGTGGTGGGTGGATCAGTCGAGCCCAGGAGTTCAAGTCCAGGTTGTGCAACATAGCAAGACCTTGTCTCAAAAAAAAAAAAAAAAAAAAAAAAGAGTCATGTTCAATGCAAGATGTTAATAATAGAGGAAACTGTGGGAGTAGGGGTAGGGTAGGAAGAGGGTATATGGGAACTCTTCATACTTTCTGCCTAACTTTCCTGTAAACCTAAAACAACTCTAAAAGGTAGTCTATTATTAAAAACAAAAGCAAGTCAGGCTCGCCCATGGCTCTGAGATGTGAGGGTCCAAGATTTATTTTTAAAAGACTTTTCTTCTTCTCCATAAGAAGTTCAACAAGCAAGCACTGATATTTGGAGGGCTACACCCAGGACAGGGAATTTGAAACAAAACAGTCCCCTGGCTGCCTTCATTGGTGGCAATCCATTCATGTGGAAAGTGAGACTTGACCCAAATGAGGGGACCTCTAGGTTTAGCACCACTTGACCTTCGTCTGACCCTGGAATAAACAATACATCTACTCTTTAGTTTGGCATTGCATGGGTCAACTTGTTACTTAAATATTTTACTTTCAGCTGCTTAACTTTATATAGGTCAGCCTCAGTGTTGTTAAAAAAATGTTGCTAAAAATAATAAACAGTTTTGGAAATAGAGTACATCTAAAACAAATAAAGTTAACGTAGAATAATACATCTTAGGGCTAGTAGGGACTTCAGTTATCATTTGCTGCAAATTTTGCCTGCTCTTAAATAGGCATGAAAGAGTTAAATAATGCAGCCCCAGCAGGGCAGGTAGTAGAAGTTTTTTAATCCCAAATGCTGCCCCCGGGGGTAAGAGGAAGAGATATTTGATAATCCAAAGCAGAAAGTAAATATGGAATAAATTACTTCCACGTAACTGGGGAGATTATTTCAAGTAGATTGCAACTTGGAAATGGATCGCTTCTTTTCAAAACCTAGGGTGACCTGCAAATTTCCCATCCTGGTTTCAAGGTGGCACCAAGGGAAGGAGCAAGTCCTGGCTTTCAAGGGCACCTATAGCTGATATATTTTGTAAAGTCAAAGCTAACATCTTTAATATTTGCATTATTCAGATCCGTGCAGTAGTTAATAGGAACAGAAATAGAAAGAGACAGAGAAATGTGGCCAACAGAAAGACACTACCTTAAATGTTTGAGCTGTAACCTTTGGTAGATGGCAAACAGAAAACTCTTTGCAATTAATATAATTGCCCTTGTTCAAGGAAATAGTCAATTTGATTTGAAATGGGGTTGAAAAGCCTGGGAAGGGATCTGTGTGAGACACCTAAAAGAATTACTGTACATTTTTCCACGTAACGGGCCAATTTTCCCATTCTTTGGTTTTAGTGCTCCCTTTTATAGTCAGTATGACTATGCACCAATCCTATTTCCAAGTGGTAGTCTTTCTAATATTTGTCTTCTCCTCTTTTTTTTCAGACAACGTCTCATTCTGTCACCCAGGCTGGAGTGCAGTGGCACAATTATAGCTCACTGCAGCCTCAAACACCTGGGCTCAAGCAATCCTTCCACCTCTGCCTCCTGAGTAATTGGGACTACAGGCATGTGCCACCACACCCAGCTAATTTTTAATTTTTAATTTTTTTGTAGAGATGGCGGTCTTGCTATGTCACCCAGGCTGGTCTTGAACACCTGGCCTCAAGTGATCCTCCGGCCTTGGTCTCTCAAAGCTCTGGGATTACAGACATGAGCCACTGCACCCGGCTCTATCTCCCCTTCCTATGTGTGTTAGCTCTAGAACAAGAGAAGCCTTGTTGAGATTCCTGGCTGCCCACCCCCCATCACCTCTCTGACTTTGGGCAAGTTGCCTGGCCTCTCTCAGCCTTTATTTTCTTTTTGTGAAATGGGGATAATAATAGTACTTGCCTCATAGGCAAAATGTTGTGAGAACTAAACGAGAAAATGCATGTAAAGCACTTGGCACTTAGTTCTTTTTATGATTATAATGATAATCAGACACAATAAATTATGTCTCACATCACATGCTGTTTAGCCTATTCACTGTTCTATTTTTCCTGAAGTCAGTTCAGTGTGTAGCATCCAGAATTGAACAAAACACCCCCGATGTGACCTGATAGTGCAAAGTAAACTATCATCTCCTTCATTCTAGGTATTATGTTTCTATTAATGCAGTCTAAAGGTAGGATATGAGTTGTTTTGTTTATGTATCTTTTTTTTTTTTTTTTCAGGGATGGGGAATGACTATCTCCAATTAAACTTCTCAGTAAAATCTCTCCTCTTGTGTGTTGTGCTTTAGTATTTAGTTTTGGATACTAGTGCAGGATCTTAAATTTATCCCATTACATGTGATTTCTTTAGTGTTAGTTCCTTTTCAAATCTGTATAAGCCATTCATTCATTCATTCATTCATTCATTTTAGAAAGTCAAACATATATTTATCATGAGCCAGCACAGTGCCAGTTATTTGCCATATTCTAAGATTTTAAACATTCATTGGCATTTTAATTGTGCATGATTTCTATACCTTCATCTGAATTGTTGTGTAACATATTTGGATAATACAGAGCTAAGGGCACAGGCAAAGAAATATCTTTAGAAACTTTCCTCTAGGCTCACCAGCACCCTTAGGGCACTGTCATTTAAATATTATGAATTAATCTTGTGTGGTATCATTTGGTACAAATTATTTTCCAGCTTGACCAGCAAGAAATCTTGAGACTTTCTCAGAATTCTTGTTCAAGTCAAGATTCCCTATATCTTTCTAGTCACCTAACTCAATATTCCTATCAAAATAAGATGAATCTGATGAGATTTTTTTTAAAAAGTGAAGTTAGGCTGGCTTGTTTCCTAATGGGCTGAGAGGACATATTCCCATTCCAGAATTTTGAAGAATCTAAGTGCACACAACACAGTGCCTAAAGCATGTCAGCTGTCTGTTTCGGATGCTCGTCCTACCACGTGTAGCATGGCGAAGACAGGAGTCAGAGGTTGGGAAGTTTAGCTAGGTGAAAAAGTCTGCCCTAGGGCATGCCCTTCCCACTACTGGAGAGCAGTTGCTTTACATTTTATTTTACCTAGCTTTTTGTAAATATTTCTCCCTTTCTGGGTTACTTGTGATCAAGGGGCATGGACTTACTCATCTCTTATAATTCCAATCAGTGCATGACACATCATAGCTGATCCTCAATTATGTTTTAAGTTAATGTACTCAAGGTTTATTTGTCAATTGAATGCCTAACCTATTACAATTAAGGAGAGAGAATACTATCCCCTTTCAGTCCAGGTGTATGGCAAATGGAGATGTCTGTAGGTATTAGGACATCCCTAGAAACTTTCAGAAAGGCATTGGAGGAATGCCTCCTTAAACAGTATGAAACTCCAGTGATTAGCAATGGAGTCTAATGAATGAGAAGCAGTATAATGGCTTTCTCAAAATATTGGGAAATTCATGATCTTTTTCTCTCCTTTATCATTCCTAGGGTTTTGGAAATCTGGATTGTAGCAGGGCATTGTAAGTTAAAAAATCATCTTCCCATTCTGTTCTTTGCAAAGATATTTCTGTTCCTTAAATTTGTTGAGGGTAAGAGATTGCAGATTGCTTCTGTGGACTTCTTGAAGGTAAGTATTATTTCTTGATATTTGTATCTCCAGTGTCTGGCACAATGCTT
Source organism: Homo sapiens (assembly GCF_000001405.40). NCBI lineage: Eukaryota > Metazoa > Chordata > Mammalia > Primates > Hominidae > Homo > Homo sapiens. Next base: position 148,206,444 of record NC_000001.11, on the reverse strand, counting down.
GGGGGTGAGGAAGAACTCAATAAATGTTTGTTGGATGAATAAGTAATATTTGTGAAAGTGTTTTGTAGACTATGAAACTGCACAAACGAAAGATCACAAGGATGATTGCTTATGAAGCCCAGAAATTGAAGTGGAACTCCTTTCTTAATGTAACACACACATACATATTACACACATTTTTTTCCTTGAATAGTGGCTGCATTTTTTTTAATGGAACACTGGGCTACTTTTAAATATTGAAATCAAAATGTACATGCCCACTTTTTATTAGCAGTTGCTCCATTTGCTCCTCCAGCTTTGGCTGGAAAACATCTATTTGTATACTTAGTATCTCTGTCCTTGGTTACCCCCATCCCTGCCTTCTCACCCATCTTTAGTCTGCCTTATGGTCTTGCATAGATTTTCAACTGTTAGACTGTCAGGCTTGCAAGGATGCATTTTAAGAAATCAGTTTCTTTGAAAGCACTTGAACCAAAAGTCAAATGGCATGATGTAAACCAATAGTCTTTCAATGAAGATATGAAAACCCTCAATAATTACAAATAAGGAATCTAACCTATTGACACCAATTTGATTACACTGTATTGATTTCTACAAAAATATTATGAGAGAGCAGGCTACTTATACTCTACTGATCAGATTACAAGTATACTTAGTAAAGACAGAAATAGTATAGCCATAAAAGAGTTTACCTTAAAATGTCACCTGATGTTAGTTGTCCCTCACTGATTCAAGTAATTTCCTTTATTGAGGTGGATCTGCCTGTTGGTGGAGAACCCTAGACTGCATGCAGCCATGCACATGATCTGGAGACACAGCAGGTGAGTCCAGCATGTCAAGAGCAGATGACAATGAATGGAAAAAGCTGGTCTTGCTACTTTCTCAGTAACAGTGACTAGCAGTGTGTATGAAGAGATCAAAATTCTAAAGGTTCCCACAAATTTCTCAGTTTCCTATTTAGGGCTTTAGGTCTTTGGAGATATCTTCCAGATACGGTATTTGTCTGTTTTCCTTATTCTTCTGTGAACTGGTATAAATGAAGGTGGGTAGGGTGGGGTGAGTGGGGCTTTGAGGCCTTCCATTTCATCTGAGCTCGATGTGCCAGGAGGAGGCCCCTGAGAAGCTCAGGCAGTTCCACATAAGCCAGCTCCCACACAGCTCAGCAGGACTTGACAATGATTGCACTGTGAGGCTTTCATCCTTCTGGGCAATTGGCAAATCCAAAATTTCTAGGTAGAGGGGTTTAGGGTGGCACCCTGGAGAGGAGGAAGGATCAAGGGCATTGTCTTGAAGCGGCTTTGTCTAACAAGCACCAATTTTTTACTTAGCTTGAATGCTTATTTTGACATATCTCGGAGTTAAGTAAATGGAAATTTTTGAGAGGAACCTTAAGGAAACTCCAAGTCACCCCTGGATATTGCCAATAGAACCCAAGTATGGTAAACACTTCAAAGCCTCCATAGTGTTGTATGAAGCATGGAATCCCTCTTCTGAGGGTTTGAATTCACTCACCAGGGAAATGTTTTTCAAAGTATTGTCCTACTGAACCATGCAATCAAGAGTAGTGATGGGGAGGGCTTCTAGTGAAGGAGAGCCTTCATCTGTAATAAGCATCTTGGACAGAACTAATGCACAGTGAAGTCTAAAACCACTGTCCACTGAAAGAACCTCAAGAGCTCTTGTCCTTCTGATGTATGGAATTTCTTAATTTTTTATTCCTCTGTATCTCCCAGTGGTATTTTGGAATATGAATACCTCCACTGGATTACTTTCCCCATTGTGACTAGGAAGTCTGTATCTTTTTGAGCGAATCAAATTATCAAAGGGCATCCCTCAGAATCTTTCATGCTGCATCTAATGAGGAGCTCACTTACATTTATAGCACACGGTATTGACCATCACATTGGGCAAAATGAAAACATGACAATAATATTAATACCACATGTTTAAATAAGAGTCTACAATTCACAGTTACATAAATTAAACTGCATGGTTAAATTCATAGCACATTTATAGTTAAATCATATCTCATCAATTTTTACAATATGCTGTCAGGGTAAGGCCATATTCTTTCTATTTTACAGATGAGGAGCTTGAGACTCAGAGAAGGCAATGACACACCTTAGGTCAGCTGACTAGTGTACACAGAGAAATTGGCTCTCAAGTCAGATCTTCCAACCCTAGTCCACCAATGCTAACTCATGTCATCAGATGACATCCCAAGGGGCTTTCAGGAAGATTCATTGATGTCAGATCACCTGGGTTCTGACATTTGTAGTCCCTTTGGGAAAATCTCCACTTAGATTGCCATGGACATCCTCTTGATGAGTGACAGTTTTCTCCAGGGAAAGATGCTTCTTAGTTGGTCTTGCTCCACCTGTACCGGTCAGCTTTACCGTAGGCCTCACATTCTTGATACAGAGCACATCCTCTCCTGCCTTGCTGGCCACTGTATTGCTCACGTCAGGGAGGGTGTGACTCTAACATTTCACAAAACTCCTTTTTCTCATATCTGATTATGCCGTGTTTGTAGACACACTGTAGACGTGTGATCATATTTTCTACTTCTTTGTTTTAATCATCTTGATTTAATCCCTGTGAGCTCATATTCCTTCATTAATGTCATCAAATTAAAAGAGGAAAAGGGATTTTGGAGGCTTATGCTGGATTTCCCCAAAGACAGGCACGATAGTGGTCCACTCAGCCTCTGCTGTGCCCTTCCTGTGGCAGGGACACACTATCAGGGAATGCAGCCTGTAATAACTAGACCCCCCTCATTATCACATAGGCCTTCCTTTTGTTCAGCTGAAAATTTCAGCTTTTACCTTCCACACATTGGTCCTTGTCTTGTCCCTTTTTCATGTGAAAGTTTTTCAAATATATGAGCCAGTCATCACGTAGCATTGAAGTTATATAACTGGAAGTTGTTATGTTCTGAACCATGTCTCTCCAGATTCATATGTTGAATTCCCAGCCCCCAGTGCCTCAGAATGTGACTGTATTTGGGAACAGGGTCTGCATTAGTTTGTTTTCACACTGCTATAAAGACATACCTGAGGCTGGATAATATATGAAGAAAAGAGGTTTAATTGATTCACAGTTCTGCAGGCTGTACAGGAAACATGGCTGGGGAGGCTTTAGAAAACTTACAATCATGGTGGAAGGTGAAGAAGCAGACACATCTTCACATGGCTGGCAGGAAAGAGAGAGAGAGCAAAGGGGGAGGCGCTACACACTTTCTAACAACCAGACCTTGCGAGAACTCTATCAGGAGAACAGCAAGGGGAAAGTCAACCCCCAGGATTCAGTCACCTCCCACCAGGCCCCTCCCCCAACTCTAGGAATTACAGTTAGACATGAGATTTGGGTGGGAACACACAGCCAAACCATTTTATTCTGCCCCAGCCCCTCCCAAATCTCATGTCCTTCTTACATTTCAAAACACAATTATGCCTTCCCAACAGTTCCCCAAAGTCTTAATTCATTCCAGCATTAACTCAAAAGTCCATGTCCAAATTTTCTTCTGAGACAAGGTTAAGTCCCTTCCAAATATGAGCCTGTAAAATCAAAAACAAGTTAGTTACTTCCCAGATACAATGGGGGGTACAGGCATTGGGTAAATGCTCCCATTCCAAAATATAGAGGATACAGGCCCTATGCAAGTCGGAAACCCAGCAAGGCAGTCATTAAGTCTTAAAGCTCCAAAATAATGGAGCTTAAAGTTGTTGGTGGATTTACCATTCTGAGTCTGGAGGATGGTGGCCCTCTCTTCAAAGCTCCATTAGGCAATTCCCAAGTGGGAACTTTGTGTGGAGGTTCCAAGACCATATTTCCCCTCCATACTGCACCAGTAGAGGTTCTCCCTGAAGGCTCTGCCCCTACAGCAGTCTTCTGCCTGGACATTCAGGCATTTCCATACATCTTCTGAAATCTAGGTGGAGGCTCCCAAGCCTCAACTCTTGCCCTCTGTGTACCCACAGGCTTAACACTACATGGAAGCCATGAGGCTTGCAACTTTCACCCTCTGGAGCAGCAGCCTAAGACATATCTGGGGCCCTTTGAACCATGGCTAGAGCTGGAGCAGCCGGGATGCAGGGAACCATGTCCTGAGGCTGCGCAGAGTAGCAGGGCCCTGGGCCTGACCCATGAAACCATATAACCCTCCTATGCTTCCAGACCTGTGATGGGAGGGGCGGCTGCAAAGGTCTCGGAAATGCCTCCGAGGCATCTCTGAAATGCCTCGGAGGCATTTCCCCATGGTCTTGGCTATTGCTATTAGCATGTGGCTCCTCTTTACTTATGCAAATTTCTGCAGCTGGCTTAAATTTCTCCCCAGAAAATGGGTTTTTCTTTTCTACCACATGGCCAGGGTATAAATTTTCCAAACTTTTATGCTCTGCTTCCCTTTTAAGTGTAATTTCCAGTATCAAATTATCTCCTTGTGCATGCATATTAGTTTATGCTGTTAGATGCAGCCAGGCCACATCATGAATGCTTTGCTGCTTAGAAATTTCTTTTGCCAGATACCCTAAATAATCTCTTTCAAGTTCAAAGTTCCACAGATCTCTAGCACAGGGCCACAATGCCACTAGTCTCTTTACTAAAGTATAGCAAGAGTGACCTTTACTTCAGTTCCCAGTAAGTCCCTCATCTCCATCTGAGACCAGCTTGGCTATCTCTGTCCATATTACTGTCAGCATTTTTGTCAAAATCATTCAACAAGTCTCTAGGAAGTTCCAAACCTTCCCTCATCTTCCTATCTTCTTCTGAACCCTCCAAACTGCTCCAACCTTTGTACATTACTCAGTTCCAAAGCTGCTTCCACATTTTCAGGTTTCATTATAGCAATGCCTCACTATTTGGTACAAATTTTCTGTATTAGTCCCTTCTCACACTGCTATAAAGACATACCTGAGACTGGGTAATTTATGAAGAAAAGATGTTTAATCGACTCACCATTCTGCAGGTTGTACCAGAAGCAGGGCTGAGGAGGCCTTAGGAAACTTAAAATCATGGCGGAAGGCAAAGGGGAAACAGGTACATTTTCTCATGGCCAGCAGAACAGAGCGAGAGCAAAGTGGGAGGTGCTACACACTTTCAAACAACCAGATCTGGTGAGAACTCTATCACAAGAACGGGAAGGTGGAAGTCCGCCCCCCCGTGATTCAATCACCTCCTACCAGGCCCCTCCTTCAACACTGGGAATTACAATTCAACATGAGATTTGGATGGGGAAACAGAGCCAAACCATATTAGGGTCTTTAAGAGGTAATAAGTTAAAATGGAGTTATTAGGGTGGCCCATAATTCTACAGAACTGATGTCCTTGTAAGAAGGGGAAGAGACACCAGAAGTGCCAGCACAGAGGAAAGGTCCTGTAAGGACACAGGCTAAAGACAGCCATCTACAAGCCAGGGAGAGAGGCCCCAGAAGAAACCAAAGCCACAAATACCTTCTCTTGGACTTTCAGCCTCCAAAGCTGTGAGAAAATACATTTCTGTTGTTTAAGCCACCCAAGTCAGTCTGTGGTACTTTGTTATGGCTGCCCTAGCAGATGAATTCAGAAGTCAAATGTATATGGCTTTGAAGCCACAGAGGAAGGTGAGATTATCTGACCAGAGATCCAAGGTGAAAGGGGTGGAGAGCTATGGGGTAAATCACTTTACAGAGTGGGTATAGGAAGAAGAGCCTGTGAAAAACACAGAGAAGAATCAAGATAGAGCAGAGTTAAAGATGACAAGGGAAGACAGAGTTCTTTGCTTTCTTTTATTTTGGGTTCACATCTCTTAATTTCGTGTTCACTTTTGTTAAGGTCATCCTCAGCATTTATACTCTCTCTCCTTTTGTGCCCCCATGGACCAAGTTAAGAAGGTGTAGGCTTCAAATCTTAAGATCGGTCACCACAAAATTCAAAAGTAAGTGAAAGTGTTTATATTAGTGTCACTGAATCAAGAGCCAATCTCAAAATTTACTTGGGGAATTTTTCAAAGTGCACATTTATTTGACATACACTGCGAAATTTTATTTTAGTATAGATTTGTGGTGGGATACTACCATATATTTTGAAAACAAACAAACAAGCAAACAAAAAAATGTTCCCCAAACCCACAGAATCCCCAGGTACTTTTGATGTACACACTGATGGAGACAAACTAATCCAGATGAAAAGACAAATGAATTTTTTTCTACATGCCTGGAAATAATGCCAGATGATTATAGATTTCAAACTTCATAGAAAATTGAAATTTCCCCCTTTTGTAGGGGGAATGTTTTGTTAATCTAGCATACACAGCCTATGTTTTCTATTCTTATTACTTTTAATAATAATTTTTTTCTTTTCTTTTTTTTCAGAGACAAGGTCTTTGTCTGTTGCTCAGGATGGAGTGTAGTGGTGCCATAGCACACTGTAATCTTGAATTTCTGGACTACTGGCATACACCACCATGCTTAGGTAATTGTTTCTTATTTTTTGTAGTGACAGGGTCTTACTATGTTGCCCAGGCTGGTCTCAAACTCCTGACCTCAGGTGATCCTCCCACCTTAGCCTCCCAAAATGCTAGGATTATAGGCATGAGCCACCATGCCCAGCCTACTTTTTTTTTTTTTTTTTTTTTTGAGATAGAGTCTTGCTCTGCAGCCCAGGCTGGAGCGCAGTGGCTTCATCTCAGTTTACTGCAGCCTCCCGGGTTCAAGCGATTCTCCTGCGTCAACCCCCAGTTAACTGGGTCTACAGGCACCTACCACCACACTCAGCTAATTATTGTGGGTTTTTTTTTGTTTTTTTTTGTTGTTGTTGTTTGTTTGTTTTTTGTTTTGAGACGGAGTCTCACTCTGTCGCCCAGGCTGGAGTGCAATGGCACAATCTTGGCTCACTGCTACCTCTGTTTCCTGGGCTCAAACAATTCTCCTGCCTCAGCCTCCTGAGTAGCTGGGACCACAGGCACCAGCCACCACATCTGGCTAACTTTTGTATTTCGAGTAGAGATGGGGTTTCACCATGTTGGCCAGGCTGGTCTCGAACTCCTGACCTTGTAATACGACCGCCTCGGCTTCCCAAAGTGCTGGAATTACTGGCATGAGCCACCGTGCCCGGCCCACCAGCCTACTTTTAATGGTAATTTTGAAAATGACAGTTGACCTGGTAGCCTTTGGGGATGTTTGTGTTCCTCCTCCCAGCAAATCGCCTTCCATGGGCAACAGGCACTGCTCCTCTCTCATGTGTCAGAAAATCAGTCTGAAACTAGCTATCAAAGCGTACAATAGTCTATCACGTTGACCATCACATTATTTGTTGTGACTTCGGAGAACTCCCCTGTTTTCTCAAATCCCTGTCTGCTAAGAATTAGGAACCATTTCTATATAATAAAAAACTATTGCTCACCAGAAAATATATTCTACTTTCCTGTGGAAGAAAACTTATGACATTGAACTTGATAAAAAGCCATTTTCACAAGCTCAAATAAAACCAGTCTTCTCCATCTCCCCTCCCACCTCTATTGGCTCAAGTATGAGCAACTGAAGGATACCACGCTGCAAAAGAGATGTTGGGCTTTAGGCTGAAGCAAATCTGGGCCAACCAGAGTTAATCAAATTCTTTATTAAAAAAAATGAATTGTGCCACTCTAACTTAGAAGTTTTGGAGAAACACTAACACATTTTTTTTTTTTTTGCTGATTTCTTGAATTAAAAAAAAAAAAAACAAAACTACTGCTCCTTTCCTTTTGGGTAAGTGAGGAGGCAATAGGGTCTTGAGAATCACCAGGACAGCCAGACTCTGTTAGTTTACTTTCATGTGAATACATTAGGTTCTGAGTAGATAGGCAGAGCTACAATACACTGTGCCTAAAACATCACAGTGGAAAGGTGTGTGTGTGTTTGTTGGGGGTGGAGGTGCCTGGTCCTGAGATTTATCAAGCCTACCTTATGGGTACTGACTTGACTGGTTCGTCTACTTTAGGTAAGATGAGAATATACTCCCCTGCCCCAAATTATATTTTATCCAGGTGCCCTGGTGTCTGACATTCCATCTGTAATCTTTCTTTCCTGCTTTTAAAATGAACATTCTCTTGGTTTGTGCAAAACACTAAACTACTTTATGAAGGCAGATACACTAATGTAGGAAACTGCTTTGTTTTCCATTGGTTGAAAAGGACTAGTGGAGCTGTAGGAAGCTTGGAAGTTCATCAGTGGGAATGGAGGGAGGCGGCCAAGAAGGTGAGGGGAAGGGGAGGGGCCACAGACAGATTTTGTCTACTTGGGAATTTTGAATGGGATTGACCCTGTCCACTCAGTAATAGTTAAAAATGAAACAAAACAAAAAACAAGGTTTTTGAGTGTTGTTTGAATCCAAGTGCACTATTTCAGTAGTGGAACTGGGCAAGACTTATAAAGCTGCCGTAGGGAAGGGTGATTAGGATTGCAACCATAAGCATGAGTTGTAAATCATGACATTTATTTGGGCACAGAAACCAGATCATTAATATTTGAGGAGCACCTTTCAAAACTCAAATTTAGAGGGCAGAAAACAGTGTTGGCTTTTTACACTATTTCTCTCTTTTTGAGGTAAGTCAGAGAGTTGAGTTATGAAGCATTAAAAGATCATTTTATTCCCATATTCAATTTTCTTCTTTTCACTTGGAGAAAACCTCTTAGGCTAAAGACCATTGGAAGTGGCCTCCATGTTTAACTCACTGGCCCCTAATTTCTGCTGGACCTTCATTTCAATCGACTGTGTTTCAGGAGGGAAGCGATTCTGGTGACCTCACTGTAGGGAGACAGGAGCCTCTGGCAAGTTACCAAACTGCCAGCCTATTCTACATGAGCAGAGCTCTTTGCTTTGGCAGAGGAAAGCAATGCTGTTGTAGGTCAACAGTCAAATGTGTCCCGGAAGTTGTTAAGTGTGTGGGGCATTCTAGCCACTGCTGCTGGTGGAGAGACCTGGCCATTGCCTGCATCTCACCTTCAGAATATGGCCCTGATTAAGCTCTGCAGGTAGAGTCCTGGTTTCTGAGAAGGGTACAGGGCCTGAGGACATGCTGGTATTTCTTCCTCACACTGCTGCTGAGGACACAGAGAAGGGTATTCTGGCCAAATTAGCCAGTTATTGGTTCCCCAGATAACTTTGGTTTTAGACACCTGACTTGACTCTGAGTGAGTGGGAGGCTGTTTTCTCTGACTGTTTTTGCATCTTGGCTTTCATGTCACTACATGAACATTCAGCCCACAAATTTCTGTTATCTAATCAGGTGCATCAGTCCGTGGTGGAGATGAGAGGGGAGGAACACCCCTCTGACTCAGATTTTGCACAAACAAAATTCAGTCTTGTTAGCAATGGCAGGAAGAGCACCCAGAGCTGCTCAGATCAGATCTTTCCCTGACAATCTGCAGGGCAGTGAAAGTGAGTGAGGAGTTTTTATGGCAAGATAAGCAATGCAAGGGCCCCAATTTGGTTACTAAATAAAATAAAATGTCAATATTTACACATGACCTTCAAGGCTCTTACACTCTTGCTTCCTTAATATTCAGTACAGACTACATTTTCTTTAGTCCGTTACCAACAGCTTGGAAATTCAGTTAGAGGACATAACCCAAGTGTTCTCCAAATGTTGCTTCCAAATGGTCATCTTGAAAAGTGCCATTTTAAGGCATGCAGTCTTTCTACACTGAGAGAGGGCTGTCACTCTGCCTACCCAACTGCAGGGGAATTATCCAAAGATTAAAACCACTGATGATAAAGATAGTGCCATGCAGCATATTTTAATTTGTTGATAATGAAAGCACAAGAGGCCTTTTTACAGGCTTCTTGAAGCCTTACTATTGTGTATTGCACATACAACCCCGGCTTGCGCGCTGACACAAACAAACGTGATCGTAACGGTTGAAATATAGTTAGAAACACAACTAAGAACATCTGTATTGTAAGCAGAAATAAATTAGAAATGCTGAAGTGTTTTGTAGCTGTGAAAATGAAGGAATTAAAAAAACCCACAGTACCTGGATTAAGCGGTTATAAATAACGCATAAAGCAAAAATCTCATTACCCCCAGTGTAAACTCCCCCAAATGAAATACATTTTATGAATGTAGTAACACTGTAATAACCAAAGCATTTGTTTTTCCCCACAAATTTTCCATTTCATAACTGTGAGATTGTTTGGATTTACAGGTTCGGGCCACAACATCCGTGACTTTACCGGTTTTGGTCTCTTCCTTGTAACTTTCGGCTCCAGGATGCTGCGCAGCTCCTCTCTGCACTATCTATCAGAACGTTGCTCTGCGTGCTTGAAAGTTTCGCCAAACAGAAGTACACAAAAACAAACAGAGGCGAAACACAAATCCCCTCAGCCCTGGAGGAAAAGGCCTTGAAGCTCTTCCAGTGCAGAGGCCACGCAGAGGACATGCTCCTACCTGTGCACATCGGCCACGCCTGGGGTGCCTCCTGGAGTCCAGGCTGCTGGCGATGGAATCCATCATGTTGCTGATGTCACTGTAAGTCGCAGCCCGCAGGCTGAGCTATGGGGCAGTTTGAGGGGCCAGAAGTTTTCTCCTGGATGTCATCTTCAGCATACCCAGGAACCAGAGAAAATGTAATTCTTCCCATGCCCATCTCACTCCTGCAGACTGGGGTCCCTCTTCAGTTTCTTTTTTTTTTTTTAATCATAAGCACATAGGCTCTGGGACATCATGGAACCCAGAAGCATGCTGAAAGGTGAAGCACAAGTCTAAAGTCTTGTTAGTTATGAAATCCAGCTCTCCTGGATTAGGCAAGGGGAAAACCACATATTTAAGATATACTAGGGCAAGAAGTAAAGCGGAGAGAGCTGACTCAATGAAATTTTGTGTATAATAGGAGCCATCCTATGTCTAATTGTCTCCTGTCTCAGAGACCTCATGATTATTTCTGAGCTTTAACCAATGAATTAATGTAGGTTCTGTCTGGCTCTTCTAACATCTTTGGAATGGTTCCTCAGTGAACCACAGCTATCCATAGAGATAACAACCTGAATCCAAGCCCAGTGCCCAATCAGGTGCTACTCTTACTTGCATGACTTGGTTCTATTCTTGCCCAGTCCCATTGGGATAACAGCGGTAGCTAAGCAGCTAAGCAGAGTGACCTCATTAGATTATCTTCTAGCATAAAATCACATGTTAACTCATTTTTGGACTCATAGTCAGAAACTTGTAATTTTTCTTCATTTTGCTATGCAGCTATTGCACAGTGGGGGAAATATGACTGGATAATGAGTCAAAAAGACTTGCTCTTACATTCCATCTTCCCCTTCATTGCCTGGGTGTCTTCGGACCAGTCAATCTTTGAGCCTCAGTTATCTAGAAAATGGGGACACTACTACTTTATATTTTTTCTTTTAGTGGGACCTAGATAAGGTAATGTTAATAAAGGGGCTTTATTTATATATTGAATGGCATGATGTTACGATTACTAAAAGGAAATAGCTATTCTACTTACATTACAATGTGGTTTGAGAATCAAATTCAATGAAATATGTGAAGAGGACTTTGAAAAGTAGAAAGAGCTGAGCAATGCAAAATACATCACTGCACTTGAATGTAATGGCTGGTGTCATGTCAGCTGGATTAACTGTGGTCACCAGTTCTCATATACCCATTTGCTAGAGTAGCTCAGTCCTCTGGACTATGAAAGAGGGCACAGAAGCTACAGACACGAGATCTGGTACTATCTTTACCACTACATTTTTATTGTGAGCACCTCAATCATTTTGAGATATTTGTCTCATTTCTTTTACTTTGAATATGGAAAAACAACAGTCACCTCCTAATATGGCTGTTGGGAAAACATAACTGAAATGGATTCAGAAAATAGCCTTTAAGGACAAAGTTATGTGAAGGACATAAATTGTGCATGAACTCTTTCAGTAATGAATAGGCACATCTCCACATACCCCAGGATCTTAAGCTGATAATGTAACAACAAGAACCTATTGAATCAGGACAAGGTGATGGTTCTGCTCCTGTGGCAATCTAGGTCTCAGAATCTGGTATGCAGGCAGGGTGTAAAGAGCAGATTGCATTTTCAAGAGAAAGGTTAAGCTTGAATGTTTTGGACAGGAGGTGATTAGATGCATTTTTAAAAAGTCCTTGAATTTACCTGATGATTTTTATGTCCTTGTGATGGTTGTAGCCCATTCCAGGATACGAATAAATTTAGCAACACAAAGAAGTTCATTTAAAAATCTTTCCCTCAGATGCTCCACTTCCTCTTCCTTCTAGCTTTCTCTTCTTCACTAATTTGCAACCCGCGAGGCTGCCCTTTTGATCACTGGCAGTCTAAGAATAGTGATAAGTGGCTTTTGAAAATGTTTTAAAACTTTTATAGGAGAGTGGTGGAAAGATGGAGGTTTCTAGAAAACCCTTAATAGAAGAGACCCATTTCATTTATTTATTTTTGGTTTTAAAGCATTATTTTATTTTGAATGAATTTTAGACTTTAAGAAATTGCAAAAACACTAGAAAGTGTTCCTTTAATCCCTTACCCTGCTTCCACTTATGTTGAATCTCTCTCATCATTTTAATTATCAAGAATAGGAAATTGACATTGGTACAATATTATTAACTAAGCTACAGACTTCATCTGATCTTTACCAGTTTTCCTGCAAATATCATTTTTCTCCCATCCAAGTACTAACAGGCCTAACCCTGCTTAGCTTCTAAGATCAGACAAGATTGGGTGCATTCAGGGTGGTATGGCCATAGACCCAAATATCATTTTTCTGCCTCAGGAGCCTATCCGGGACCCCGCATTGTATTGAGTTGTATTTCTCCCTAGTTGACTCCAATCTGTGACAGTTCCCTAGTCTTTCCTTATCCTTCATAACTTTGGCACTCTTTGAAGGATACTGATTTTTACCAGTGGAAGGTATCCGAGTTACTGGTGGCAAATCCATACAGGTCTGCAGCAACCTCAGTTCTTGCCCCCTCAGAAGAAAGAATTTGACTGAGGGGCATAAGGCAGAAAAAGAGATCAAGGCAACTTTCAGAGTAGGAGTGGGAGTTTATTTAAAAAGGCTTTAGAACAGGAAAGAAAGGAAAGTATGCTTGGAAGAGACCCAAGTGGGCATGTGAAGGTCAAGAGTAGTGTTTAACCTTGATCCTAAGACTTTATAGGCTGGCCTCTTTCCCATGATTCTTCCCTTAAAGTAGGCTGCCCTCATGCACAGAGCCCTCCTTACCCTTGGGAGATGAGCATGTGCACTGTGTTTAGGAAGTTGTATGCATGCCCATTAGAGGCTTTCTTCCCTTTTCTCATGGCGTGCCCTTGGAAGGTCATACCCTGCCATTTTATCTCCTAATACGCATGTCTAGGAAGTTGTGTTTCCCTGGCACCTATACTCAGTTCACTCTTTAGTGCAACAGGTGTGGACCATCAGGAAAAGGCCTCTCCCTGGTGCTGGCTGCCAATTTATCACTTTTAGAGAGGCAATGTGATAACTGCCAAACCATCACCTGACATTTTTAGTGGGTGGGGGAAAAGCCCACTCCTGCCCTGCTTATGCCTGTCTACCTATAAATACACTGATTAGTAATTTGGTAGAATGTCCTTCACTTTAGGTTTGTCTAATGTTTTGTCATGATTAGAGTGAAGTCATGCCATTTTGGCAAGAATACCGCAGAAATGATACTGTATCCCTTTTCAGCACATCATGCCAAGGGATTCATGATGCTGATATATGCCTTATTAATGGTGTTATTTATTTTGAGCACTCCATTAGGTTAGTGTCTGCTGTTTTCTCCATTATGAAACCACCTTTGCAAAAACTATAACAGTGAGAAAATTATGACAGTGAAAGGGATCTGATCTAACCAACCCCCATCTTGCTTTTAACCTCCAAAATGCCTTACTCATTTCTGGGCTTATGCCAAGTTAACTTTGGGAGAAATTTAGTTTATAGTTTAAAAGATTGTATCTGTTCCTCAAAACTAAACCACCTTTGTGTAAAGCTGATGAAAGATCACCAGGTTAGGAGGATGAGAGGAACCTGAATTCTGTTAACATGTAGATATAAATAATTACCAACCATTATTCCAGAGGTCACAAGATTTGCAACTTCCCAGTTGTTCCTGCAGATAACATGACTGTTGTAGAACTTAAGATTGGCCTTTTGAGATGCCTTTTCAGATTTTTGCGTTTCTGAAAATGGATGGCTCCACCCAGACCCACAAACTGGTCCTGCGGCTCCACCCAGAAGTGGACTTAGCAGCTCATGAAGACCATTTTCCACACCCCTATGATTGCACCCCCAATCAATCAGCAGCACCCATTCCCTAGCCACCCCCCTTTCCTAAACTATCTTTAAAAAACCATAGTCTCCAAATTTTCAGGGCGGTTGATTTGCGTAATAATAAAACTCTAGTCTCCTGTTTAGCCAGTTCTATATGTGTAAAACTTTCTCTATTGCAATTGCCCTGTCTTGATAAATTGGCTCTCTCTGGGGAGCAGGCTGGAAGAACCCATTGGGTGGTTACAACTATACAGTTATTGTATTTCTCTTTGTAGCTGATAAGTGTTTTGAGGTAGATACTTTGAGTTTATTCAAATCCTGTTTATTGTTCTTGATTTTTTTTTTCCATAAAGGATCAGATACCTGTGTGTTTTCTTATATCTGATTTCTTACACAAGGAATCACATAACTCAAAATCACATCTTTTGGGTTTGGGTTTTGTTGTTGTTTTTCCCTTACTTAATATGTCATGGAAAGCACCCCATATCCACTCTAGAGACTTTCCTCACTCTTTTATACGTTTGTATAGTACTCCATGTTATTGTTCCAGCTTATTCAAGCACTCTTCTGTGTATGGGCATTTAAGTTGTTTCCAGTGTTTTGCAATTATAAATGATAATTGCAAGTTTATTCATATACATTTTTGTATTGTCAGAGATACATACCCTAGAAGTGGGATTGCTAGGTGAAAAGGGAAATGTATGTGCACTTTGGTTAGATATTGCCTAATATCCCTCCAAAAGTGTTGTACCAATTTGCATTTCTAAGAGGGAAAGTGCCCATTTCCCCATAGCTTCACCAACAAGCCTTATCAACAGAATGTATTCTCATATTTGTTTTATTTTTGCCAATTCAATAAATGAGAAGGGGATTTCCTTAATTATCAGTGAGTTTAAGCATTTTCTGCATATTTAAAAGCCATTTTGAAACTTTTCCTTTTTTTTTCAAATGAATTATTTGTTTATGCCTTTTCCTCATTTTCATCTCAGGATTTTGTCCTTCAATTTTTAAGGTTTTTTAATGTATAAGGAATATTAGCCCTTTTTCTCTAGTGTATGTTACAAATATTTTCTCTCAATATGTTAGTTGTTCTTTGATTTTGTTTATGGTGGTTTTCATCACACAAAAAAATGCAGTCAAATTTATTAATCTTTTAAAAAATTGCCCCTGGATTTTAAATCATAGTTAGAAAGGCTTTTTCTTACCAAGGCTAAATAATAATGTAGCCATTTATTTTCTATACTATGTGGTTTTAGTTTTTATATTTACATCACTAATCCACTTGGAGTTTATACTGCTATATGGTATGTTTTACCCTAGTGATTTGAGATGCCACTTTCATCATATACTAAATTTCCATATGTATTTTGGTCTAATTCTGGACTATTCTCTTCCACTGGCTTCTTTATTTCTCTGTGCTCCAGTACCACTCTGTTTTAATTATCCAGGCTTTATCAAATGTTTTAATTTCTGGTAAGCCTAATCACTACAGCTTTTCTTTTTCAGTGTCTTTCTACCTCATTCCTACCCATCTTTTTTTTTATATGAACTTTAGTATCAAAATCTCTAACTCCAGAAAATAGCCTGTTCATATTTTGATGGAATTGTATTACATTTATAAATTAACTTAGGGGGAAGTGGTATTTTCATAAAGCTATAATTCTATCCAAGAACCTGGGAATGTCTTTCCTTTTATTCAAGTTTTTATTACTGTCTGTTAGGAGTGTTTTGACATTTTCCATGCATAGGTTTTCATAACTCATTAAATTTATTCATAAATACTTATATTTATTCATAAATACATATATTTTGATGCTATTTAAATGGTGTTTTCTCTACCATTATGTCCCCTGTTTGTTTGTATGAAGGCTATTGATTTTTATGTTAATTTTATATCCGTGTTCTTCAGTAAATTATTTTATTGTTTGAGTTAGTTTTATTATTGATTCTCTGGGATTTTCCACATATATTATTATATCATCTGCAAATATAGTTTTACCACTCATTTAGTCACTCTTATGCCTTTCACTGATTTCTCTTATCTAATTGCACTGGCTAATATCTCTAACAGCAGCAGAGATAATAGATATTTATCTCTTGCTTCTGATGTTAGTAGAAACATCCCTAATGCTTTTCCATTAAATAAGATAATGACTTTAGGACTATGAACTCCCCAAATTTGAGACAAGTCTCAGTTAATTTAGAAAGTTTATTTTGCCAAGATTGAGGATGTGCACCTGTGACACAGCCTCAGGAAGTCCTGATGACATGTACACGAGGTGGTTGGGGCACAGCTTGGTTTTCTGCATTTTAGGGAGACATGTGACATCAATCAATCAATATATGTAAGAAGTACATTGGTTCTGTCCAGTGAAGGGATGGCCTGCCCCTCCACACCTGTGGGTGTTTCTCATCAGGTAGGATGAGAGACTGAGAAGAGAAAGAGACACAGAGACAAAGAATAGAGAAAGAAAAGTGGGCCTAGGGGACTGGCGCTCAGCTTACGGAGGCACTCAGCTTACAGTTTACGGAGGACCGGCAGGCACTGGTCTCTGAGTTCCCTCAGTATTTATTGATCATTATCTCTACCATCTCGGAGAGGAGGATGTGGCAGGACAATAGGGCAATAGTGGGGAGAGGGTCAGCAGGAAACATGTGAACAAAGATCTCTGTGTCATAAATAAGTTTAAGGAAAGGTGCTGTGCCTTGATGTGCATGTATAGAAACACCTTGGTGCATTAAAGAGCAATATTGCTGCTAGCACGGCTCACCTCCAGCCCTAAGGCAGTTTTCTCCTATCTCAGTAAATAGAACATACAGTCGGTTTTACGCCGAGACATCATTGCCCAGGGACGAGCAGGAGACAGATGCCTTCCTCTTATTTTAACTGCAAAGAGGCCTTCCTCTTTCACTAATCCTCCTCAGCACAGACCCTTTACGGGTGTCGGGCTGGGTGACGGTCAGGTCTTTCCCTTCCCAGGTCTTTCCCTTCCCACGAGGCCATATCTCAGGCTATCACATGGGGAGAAACCTTGGACAATACCTGGCTTTCCTAGACAGAGATCCCTGCAGCCTTCTGCAGTGTATTGTGTCCCTGGGTACTTGAGATTAGAGAATAGTGATGACTTTTAACAAGCATACTGCCTTCAACACTTTTTTAACAAAGCACATCCTGCATAGCCCTAAATCCATTAAACCTTGAGTCAACACAGCACATGTCTCTGTGAGCACAGGGTTGGGGCCAGGGTTACAGATTAACAGCATCTCAAGGCAGAAGAATTTTTCTTAGTACAGAACAAAATGGAGTCTCTTATGTCTACTTCTTTCTACATAGACACAGTAACAGTCTGATCTCTCTTTCTTTTCCCCACACAGTGTTCATTGTAGGCCTGAGAGAGGGAGAGAGAGAGAGAAAAGGATAATTAAAGACAGTCTCATGAGATCTGCTGGAGGTTCAGGGAGGTCCCAGACCACCCTGGGCTTTCCCTGTAGGCCAATCCTTCATGTTCCAGTTATTGAATGCCCATTCTACTGTAGGAACAGATCATAGTTATTAGAGTTCAGAAAATAAATTTTCCCTGTTATTTATTCTGGAATTTGTCTTATCCTTTTAATATTCTACAAGTCTCCCACCAGTCTACTAAAGAATATCACTTCCCTAAGGAACAGAATGGTCTGCTTCTGATACTAAAAGTAAGATGTTTGTTTTTGAAGCAACATAAATTCAAATAGGGATAACAACTCTTTCTTTGTGGAAAATCAAAGCATCTTTATATTTACTTGAGTAAACAGAAAAAATATCTCAATTGAAATGATTTCCCACCTGCCAAACAAAACAGTTTTCTTTTGTAAGTCCTATTCCATATATGCGAGTGGTCAAAGCACAAGGCTGCACAAAGGGAATAGTAATGAATTCAGCTAGTGCAAGCCACTGTACCCGCCGAGAGCTCACTCGCTCCATCCTGCAACCTGGACTGACAGGCTCAGCTGCTTACTAAGTGTCAGTTCTTTTCTCAAAGAGCCATGTTTTTCCTGGGAGTTAATTTGTGGGTGTTTCATGTTGGTTGAATTGGGCCTAAAGTCAAAGCAAAACTTTGGAGAAGCTGTGATGCATCCCAGGTTAAACCAGAACTATTTATTGCAGCTTCCCTTTTTGGCCACGTAGTTCTTGTCCTACAGAGTGGCAGGGATTTTCCACTTCAAGTGTCTGCTTGTATCTTGGGAGGTGGGTCATGAGGACCTCTAGCCTTCTTTTTTTCCTGTGGCTCTCTTTGGAGGTCTGGCCAAACTGACCCACCAGTGCTCCTCAGGACCAGCCACAGGCAGAACACTGCAGGACATGAAGTTTGCCTTTTACAGCCCCATACCTGTACTATTTTCACCTTTCCCAATTCCTAGGACTTCCCAGACCTACCCAGGGGCTTCTGGCTATGGTGCCTGGCTCCTTCGCTATGACACTAAACCTAGGCCTGCCTTGATTTTAAAAAATATAGCAGCATTCACCACCACAATTACCATTTATTGGCCCTTCATTGTGTGCCTAACATTATGTTGCACATTGTATTCATATTTTTCTCCATCACTGTGTGAGCTCAACAGCTATAAGAAGTGGCTGTACATGCAGTGAATACCTTTGGTGCCCTCTCTGTCTCCTTGCCTACTCCAGGAGGTCTCATGCAGGCCAGATGGCATGACAGCTGTGTCCCTTTGCCTGAGAGGGTGCCCTCGCCTCCTGAGAAGATGGTAAATTGAGGGCTAAGCTAGAGGTGCTCAGTCCAGGAGTAATCCTCAACCTTTGAGGGGTAGGAATTTCTGGGAAAATTTCTTGACTTCCTATTCCCCATGGTGGGACAATTCTGGGGTAGGTTCCCAGGTCTCCCAGAGGGTCTTCAAAAAGATTGACAGCAGTGGCCTAGTGGTAACCTCATGGCAGCCACTTTATTGGTTTGTCTCCTGTCCCTCCTGTCTCACTTACCATTCCCTCTCATTGCTCTCTGGGATTTCTGCCCAAGCGTGTTCTCAATCCTTGTGTCATGATTTGTCCTTGAAGGAATCTCCACCAACATACTGCACGATTGTCCTCCCAGAACAGGAGAGAAAGAGAGCTTTGGGAGGCTGACATGCATGAGGACGTGTAGCTGGTGAGTGGCCAGCAGGACTTGAATCAGCACCATCACTTATGTTTCCATCAGAATCAGTGTGGGCATATTTTTCTAGTTAGTTAATCAAATTAATTAATGTGTAGCTTTTTTGAAAATGATTTAAGCCTTTAGAACATATCCTAATACTTCCTTCTTCTATCAAATCTATTTGTCCTGTGTCACATTCCATTGAGACTCAGGATTTAACCAGCAATATAATTAGATACAAAATATAACAAATTAATCAATATTGCAATGCTATAGCTGAAAGTGATGAAAGGTAGTATGCCTCTAGCGCTATTCATACTTTACACTAGACTTTTCCAATTGCAGTGCCTTAATTTAAAGGAAGAACTCTTTAAATTCTACTAACTCTGTTAGTAGAATTTCAGGCATCTAAGTAGGGCAGACATGCAGTTGGGGATGGAAGTGTTTAATTCTGAAGGAAAAGTGGTAGGCTTGTAGCCACAGGTTGAGCTGCTTCTCTAATGCAGTTTAGTCAACCTTTAGGATTTATTTTTTTTCTTTTCTTTTTTTGAGACGGAGTCTTACTCTTGTTGCCCAGGGTGGAGTGCAATGGCGCTATCTCGGCTCACCACAACCTCTAACTCCCAGGCTCAAGCCATTCTCCTGCCTCAGCCTCCGGAGCAGCTGGGATTACAGGCATGCGCCACCACGCCCAGCTAATTTTGTATTTTTAGTAGAGGCGGGGTTTCTCCATGTTGGCCAGGCTGGTCTCGAACTCTGGACCTCAGGTGATCCACCTGCCTAGGCCTCCCAAAGTGCTAGGATCACAGGCGTGAGCCACCACGCCCGGCCAACCTTTAGGATTATAGATAGATGTTCATCAGCTGGATTCCTGCAGTTGTTTCTCAACTTGCTCCTAATTTAGATGAGGGGAGATAGTGAGTCAAGAGAAAAAAAATGTAACGATTAATAGTTATAGCCCTATACCTCAACTAATGTTACTATTGCTAACATTTATTTAGTATTTATTCTGGGTCAAGCTGCATTTTCTCATATAATTCCCCCAACAACCCTGTGAGGTCATAGTATTATTGTTATCATTTTACAGATGATGGAACTGAGGCATGATGAAAGCCCCTCGCAAGTAAGGGAGCTGGGATTTGCTCCCATGTTCCTAGCCACTTCAGTCTATCGCCCTTCATCTATTCTACATCATAAATAACACACAAACTTTTTTGCACCAATTGTAGCTTGACTTGTAAACTCTACCTGATGTTGTTTTCTATAGTTGAATATGTCTGTTATTTTTTAAATAATATTTTATTGTAGTTATTGAATATCATTATAATGACTTTTGGGATATACAGATTTTTATTTTTATGCAGTTAAATCTATTCTTATTTTCCTTCGTGACTTATTCCATCTTGATTTTGTGTTTAGGAAGTCTTTCCAACCCAATAAATAGATTTTCACCTATATTTTCCTTTAGATTCTATGGTTTTATTTTAAAAGTATAACTTTTGACATCCAGAAATTATTTGATATAAGAGAACCGTTCTAAGTTTTTTGTTTTGTTTTGAAGAAAAAACAAACAAACAGTTGACTCAACACCATCCTTTCTCCACTGGTTTCCAAACCTGTTTCTGGTTTCTGTTTTTCTCCTTTGCACTACCTACTAATTTTTCTGTAATTTCACTCTGTTTTTATTTGTTTGTTGAAGTTTTTACTGTAGCTTTATGGAATATTTTAATATTTAGAAGGATGAGTCCCACCTTAGTACTCTTTATTTTTAGAAACTTGTTATCATCATGTGATATTCTTCCACATACATTTAAAAATTATTTTATCAAATCTCTGTCCTAAAATCTTAGTGGGAATGTAGTTAGAATCTAGTTTCATCTGCAACTCAGTTTGGAAGTATTTAATATCTTTACAGAATTCCTTTTTTCCATCTAGGAACCTGTAATTTATTTCTTCTTAAATATTTTCTCTTGCATGTCTCAGGTACTGAATTTGTCCTCATGAATGTGGCATTCTTTCTTGTTCAGGTTATTTCTATTATTTTATATGTTTGGAGGCTATTGGGAATAGATTCTTATATAAATAGTTATTATGATTTCACATTGTTTAAAACAACTGGTTATTGTTGGCATATGGACAATGTGGACAATTTTTAAAAAGTATTTTTATTTAGTTTGTAGTTTCTTTATTGACCTCATTAATTTTAAAGTTTTTCCTTTAATCCTCCTGAGTTGTCTGTGCATAAATATATCATTTAGAATAATGGCTTTCATTGTTTACAATTTTTACATATGTTTCATTTTTATTTTATTGACTGGAACTCCCAGAATAGTGTTAAATAACAATTATAATGGACATCCTTATTTTGTTTAAATTTTAATGGAAATGCCTACAGGTTTTCACTGTAAAACATGACAGTTCTTGTTGCTTTAGAATAGATATTTAAGTAAATAATATGTCTATTTGTAAAAA